>NC_000016.10:83255682-83880682 GCF_000001405.40 Homo sapiens | reverse complement strand
TGGACAGTACTCCATACTCAGTACCACCCAGCAGGCACTCCAGTTGGACGCAGTTCCAAGTACACTAATTCTAGCTTTACTCCGTCTTCTTCTCATCCTCCAAAAGTTTTTCAAAACGCAAGTGAGAGCTGGGCACATTAGCTCACTCCTGTAATCCCAGCACTCTGGGAGGCTGAAGCGGGCAGATCACCTGAACTCAAGAGTTTGAGACCAGCCTGGCCAACATGGTGAAACCCCGTCTCTACTAAAAGTACAAAAATTAGGCAGGCGTGGTGGCAGGAGTCTGTAATTCCAGTTACTCAGGAGGCTGAGGGAGGAGAGTCGCTTGAACCTGGGAGGGTTCAAGCTTGCAGTGAGCTGAAATGGCACCACTGCTCTCCAGCCTGGGTGACGGGGCGAGACTTTGTCTCAAAAACAACAAAAAAGTAGATGTGAACTCCCCTTAGAAGACGGTTATGGGTACAAAAGTCTCCTTTTATATATATTTTTACAAACACCATTGTAGGGAAAAGAAAGAGCCATGAGACTGTTACTGTGTCTATGTAGAAAAGGAAGACGTTAGAAACTCCATTTTGACCTGTACCCCGAACAACTGCTTTGCCCTGAGATGCTGCTAATCTGTAACTTTGCCCCAACCTTGAGCTCACAGAAACATATGTTGTATGGAATCAAGGTTTAAGGGATCTAGGGCTGTGCAGGGTGTGCCTTGTTAATAAAATGTTTACAGGCAGTATGCTTGGTAAAAGTCATTGCCATCCTCCACTCTCGATAAACCAGGGGCATGATGCACTGTGGAAAGCCACAGGGACCTCTGCCCAGGAAAGCCTGGTATTGTCCAAGGTTTATCCCCACGTGATAGCCTGAGATATGGCCTCGTGGGATGGGAAAGACCTGACCATCCCCCAGCCCGACACCCGTGAAGGGTCTGTGCTGAGGAGGATTAGTAAAAGAGGAAAGCCTCTTGCAGTTGAGATAAGAGGAAGGCCTCTGTCTCCTGCCTGCCCCTGGGAAGTGAATGTCTTGGTATTAAACCCGATTGTACATTTGTTCAATTCTGAGATAGGAGAAAAACTGTCCTATGGTGGGAGGCGAGACATGTTGGCAGCAATGCTACTCTGTTATTCTTTACTCCACTGAGATGTTTGGCTGGAGAGAAGCATAAATCTGGCCTACGTGCACATCCAGGCGTAGTACCTTCCCTTGGACTTACTTGTGACACAGATTCCTTTGCTCAAAAGTTTTCTTGCTGACCTTCTCCCCACTATCACCCTGTTCTCCTGCCGCATTCCCCTTGCTGAGACAGTGAAAATAGTAATCAGTAAATGCTAAGGGAACTCAGAGACCGGTGTCGGTGCAGGTCCTCCGGATGCTGAGCGCCGGTCCCCTGGGCCCACTGTTCTTTCTCTATACTTTGTCTCTGTGTCTTAATTCTTTTCTCAGTATCTCGTCCCACCCGACGAGAAATACCCACAGGTGTGGAGGGGCTGGCCCCCTTCACAGCATCCTGGAAGATTCTTACACATAAGAGAGTTTAAGAACCACCAGTTTAGAGGCAACATGCATCCCATATTTAATTTTTACTAGTTCTTAATAAATATTTGGAGCAAAATCCACAAGTTCCAGCAGAGGGGGATGTTACTGCATGAGAGGAAAAATCTTTAGCAGGAAACGAATTTAATAAGCCCCACATTCCAACACTGGAAAATGAAGACGCTTCCTTTTGAGACGAAGATATCCACCTGTGAAAGGGTTTTCCCACCACCTATCCCTCTTAGAGACCTCAGATGAGGATCAAGGCAGTCTGTAGAACAAATGCTGGCTGATGACTGTGTTTATGTTCCAAGAATTTGGGAATTTGTCAAAGCACAATATTGTTAAATTAATACAATCTTTGTCTGTAAGGGGTCTGGGGGAAATTATTTTGACAACTATTGTGGGCCAAGTATGCCTCTTTTTTTTCTTCTCTCTTTTTTTTTTTTTTGAGTCGCAGTCTCGCTCTGTCGCCTAGACTGGAGTCTAGTAGGGCAATCTCGGCTCACTGCAAGCTCCGCCTCCCAGGTTCACGCCATTCTCCTGCCTCAGCCTCCCGAGTAGCTGGGACTACAGGTGCCCGCCGCCACGCCCAGCTAATTTTTTGTATTTTTAGTAGAGACGGGGTTTCACCATGTTAGCCAGGATGGTCTCGATCTCCTGACCTCGTGATCCGCCCGCCTCGGCCTCCCAAAGTGCTGGGATTACAGGCGTGAGCCACTGCGCCCGGCCCAAGTATGCTTCTTGTTCTACGTTGGTTCACTTTCATTGTTGGGCTTGGCACTCTTGAAGAAGCCATGAATGAAGCTGTACATTTCTCAATCCCCAGATGAAATGAAAAATTATTGCAAGGAGCCTTCACTCTTAGACTCAATTTACCCTCATGTTTCTGCATCTTTACAGACGAGGCTTGTTCCCTGGATGCAGACTTGAAGAGGTGGAAATTTTAACTAGAAGAGGGAAAGAAACGGACATTTATTCAGCAGCCTCCTTGTGTGAGCAACTTGTACATTATCTCCTCTAATCCTCAACCACACTGCAAAGCCTAGATTAATGTCTCTATTTTAGACAGAGGGTAACTTAGGATCAGAGGACGTAGGAAACTTGCCCAGATCATACAGGGTAGCAAGAGCCTGAATCAAGATCTGGACCTTGGTCCAGGTGACTCAGTAGAAAGAAAAAGAAAGAACCATCTTGATACCCTATCACCTACACAAGAGAAGGTCTACTGCTTTTAGCCAAAAGGATGGAAATGTGACCAAAGAAATACCATGTGCGTTAGCTGAAGATAAGGCCCAGTTGCCCCTCGAAGCACAGCCCGGAGAGTGAGCTTGTGGGGGCTGCCCTGCTGGGGAGCTGACACACCGAATCTGACCCTGAGGATCACAATGACTTTCTTCCTTGGCTCTGTTTTACTCTTTCTGCCAAAGGTCTTCGTAGCAGGCGGTACAATGCCCCTCCTAACGATGTCTACATCTGAATCCCTAGAATCTGTGAATATGACACCTGACATGGAAAAAGGGACTTTGCAGATGTGACTGACTTAAGGACCTGGGATGGGGAGATGACCCTGGATTCTCTGGGTGGGCCACCACAGCAGTCCTTGTACGGGGAAGGCAGGAGTTAGAGAAGGAGATGAGATGATGTAAGTAGAAATTAGAGTGATGCGGGGTCATGAGCCAAGGAATGCGGTGGCTTCTGCGGGTGGAAAGGCAAGGAAGTGATTCTCTCCTGGAGCCTCCAGGAGTATAACCCTGCTGACCCTTCGATTTCAGTCCACTGGGAGCCATGTTGGACTTCCTACCTCTAGAACTGTGAAATAATCACTATGTTGTTTTAAGATATAAAGGTCGGGGCTGGGCTCACGCCTGTAATCCCAGCACTTTGGGAGGCCGAGGCGGGCAGATCACGAGGTCAGGAGATTGAGACCATCTTGGCCAACTTGGTGAAACCCCATCTCTACTAAAAATACAAAAATTAGCTGGGTGTGGTGGCACATGCCTGTAATTCCAGTTACTCAGGAGGCTGAGACAGGAGAATTGCTTGAACTGGGGAGTCAGCGGTTGCAGTGAGCCGAGATCACGCCACAGCACTTGGGCAACAGAGTGAGACTCCCTCTCAAAAAAAAAAAAAAAAGATACAAAGGTCATAATAATTTGTTACAGCAGCAAGGGGAAACTGATACAGTCTCCAAACATTTTTGATTGTACCCCTCAGCAAAACATTTTCACTCATTAGCAAAAAATTTTCTATGGCACAAATTCATCATGTATATTATAGAGCAAACACAAACAGAAATTGAAAAGGATAAAGAGGATACAACAAATGTTTTGAAATGCATTTTTGTATGTATTAATGTACTAACAGTATAAAATCCTTGTGGTTATCACTAAAATTATTTGCAATAAATAGTGTTAATAAATATTTAATCAGAGTGAAGAATTGAACTTGTTTCATTATATTTTAAACTCTTTAACATTTTTTGAGACTATAATTTAAGGAACTGACTCTAAAGTTCCATAGTTTGTTTTTTGAGAAGGAGTCTTGCTCTGTTGCCCAAGCTGGAGTGCAGTGGCACCATCTTGGCTCATTGCAACCTCTGCCTCCTGGGTTTAAGCAACTCTCGAGCCTCAGTCTCCTGGGGTAGCTGGTATTACAGGCATGCACCACCACACCTGCCTAATGCTTTTATATTTTTAGTAGAGATGAGGTTTTGCCATGATGGCCAGGCTGGTCTCGAACTCCTGATCTCAAGTGATCTGTCATCCTTGCCCTCCCAAAGTGCTGGGATTACAGGCGTGAGCCACTGTGCCTAGCCAGGTTCCATAGAGTTGAATACATGCTTTGAAAGTCTATCATAACTGGAAAATATTCCACACAAATGCTTGAGGCTTGGTGCAGAAGCAGCTAATGATATTCATTTTTCAATCCCAACTGCCAATTATGCACAGATTTTTGTTGACATCTGGCTAGTAAATTTCCATGTTTCCTAATCTTGATGTTGTTCTTGCAAACTAATTGGAAGGTGCTCCCTTTTGATATTTTTAACAAGTGGGTTCAAAACCCACTAAAACTGTTTACTTGAAAGATATTGTAAATGGTTAGAATAGCTCATTTCCAAGATTTTAGGCATGCAGCTTTGAGCACTTTTATAAATGATACATTTAAATGTTTTTTGGGGGGTAAAAAGGTGATAAGATAATAAAAACCTTTTCAAAAATGTTCTCTCCATAGCAAGAGTTTCTTTAGAAAAGCAATTACTTTCTTGTTTGTATAAAAAATGGAATCTTTATGGTATGGATTGCTATGTTTATTCTTTTGAAATTATAGTATCTTCTGGGTTATATATTCCTCAGAGCTCCTTGTCATTACAGAACAGGTCAGCAATTGGAATGCTTGTCATTTGTCTTTAAAAAACTGTAACTTTTTTAAGTTCACAAACTCTTCCATAGTCTTTGCCAGAAGGTGGGTATTCAACGTGCCTGTGAGGTTTCTTCCCATCTCACGATGAGCTCTGGATTTCACAAGGTGATGGCATCAATGATATCCAGTAGCACTCATGAGTGGCGTACTTTTCACTTTACCAGCTTCCTTTCCTTCCTCTTCCTTTCCCCCTCTTATTCCTCCTCCTCCTCCTTCTTTGACCTTGTGTAGAGATGGTTGGGTTAAATATATTCCTCACTTCATTACACATCATCATCATTGGTCTACCCAAGGTCTGTCATTCAAAAAGAATGACTCCCTTTTATCCTCATAGGTCATTCTTATTTCTCTAGTGCAGCAGGTAACTCTTCTAATGTATGTAACGTGGGTTTTAAAAAATGTGTTCTTTTAAAATAAATATTGTTGTTTTGTGTGATGTATAGTTTATATACGTGAGGAGTATTATATCTCACTACATTTTTCACTGTGCTGCTGGTTTTTTTTTTTTTTTTTTTTTTTTTTTTTTTTTTTTGAGACGAAGTCTCTTTCTTGTCCCCTAGGCCCCTAGGCTGGAGTACGATGGCTTGATCTCAGCTCACTGCAAACTCCGCCTTCCGGGTTCAAGCGATTCTCCTACCTCAGCTTCCCGAGTAGCTGGGATTACAGGTGCCTGCCACCACGCCCGGCTAATTTTTGTATTTTCAGTAGAGACGGGGTTTCACCAAGTTGGCCAGGCTGGTCTCAAACCCCTGACCTCACGTGATCCGCCTGTCTTGGCCTCCCAAAGTGCTGGGATTACAGGCATGAGCCGCTGTGCCCAGCCCTGTTTTAAAATCTATCCATATTGCTGTGTGTTCATTTAGCCTGGTCCTTCTAACTCCCTGCCATGATGTACAACCCCATGTTTTACTTCTTTTTCTCCTAAGGATAGACCTACAGCTTGCTTCTGACAACTTGCCACCACACAAAAAATAGTACACTGGACATCCTTGTATCTGTCCTTTTGTACACCTGCACAGGTACACAGAATATCCAGAGTGAAAATCTATAAAGAAACAGCTGACTTGAGCAACACTATGGACCAAATGGGCCAACAGACATATACAGCATGTTCCACCCAATGATAGAAGAATACAGATTCTTTTCAGGTGCACACAGAATGTTTTCCAGGATGGATCACATGTTAGGTCACAAAATGAGTCTTAACAGACTGAGGAAGATTGAAATTATACCAATTATCTTTTCCAACTACAATGAAATGAATCTAGAAGTCAATAACAGTAGGAAAATGAGAATCACATATATATGGAAACTAGACAACACACTTTTGAACAGTCATTCGGTCAAAGAGGGATCCGAAGGAATTTCAAAAGTATTTTGAGACAAATGAAAATGAAAGCATAATATGCCAAAACTTATGAGATGCAGCAAAGGAAGTACTAAGAGAGACAATTACAGTGATAAATGCCTATATTAAAAAAGAAGAAACACCTCAAATAAACAACCTAACTTTATACTCTAAGGAAAAAGAACAAATTAAGCCCAAAGTTAACATAAACGAGGAAATAAATATTAGAGCAGCAATAAATCAAATACAGAATAGAAAAACAATAGGAAAAAATGAACAAGACTAAAAGTTGGTTTTTTAAAGGATAAAATTGACAAATCCTTAGCTAGACTAAAGAAAAAAGAGAAAATTTGAATAAATAAGATCATAAATAGAAGAGGAAACATCACAATGCACACCTCAGAAATTAAAAGAATCATAAAGGACGATTATGAACAATTATATGCCAACAAATTGGGTAACCTAGAAGAAATATATACATTCCTGGAAACATACAAAACATACCAAACTTATGAAAATTGAATTAAGAAGAAACAGAAAATCTGAACAGACCAATAGCAAGTAGCAAATAAATTCACTAACAAGAAACCTCTCAACAAAGAAAAGCCCAGGACCAGATGGCTTCATGGATAAATTCTACCAAACATTCAATGGAGAATTAATACCAATCCTTCTCAAACTCTTCCAAAAAAGTAGAAGGGGAACACTTCCAAAGTCATTTTATAAGGCCAGCATCAGCCTGTTACTAAAGCCAGACAAATACATCACAAGAGAAGAAAATTACAGGCCAATATCCCTAATGAATATAGATGTAAAAATCCTCAATAAAATACTAGCAAACTGAATTCAACAGCACATTAAAAGGATTATACACCATGACTGGGTACTGGGTAGAATTTATCTCTGGGATACAATGATGATTAAGCATACACAAATCAATCAATGTGACATACCACATCAACAGAATGAAAGATGAAACACACATAATCTTTGCAACAGATACGGAAAACATACTTGACAACATTCAGTATCCATTCATGACGAAAACTCTCAACAAAATAGGTATAGGAGAAACTTAACCTTTCCGCAATGAAGGCCATATACGAAAAGTCCACAGCTAACATCATAATCAACGGAGAAAAATTGAAAGCTTTTCCTCTAAGATCTGGTAGAAGGCAAGGATGCCCACTCTTGCCACTCTGTTCAATCAGGTACTCAAGTCCTATCTAGAGCAATTAGATAAGAAAAAGAAAAGTCACGCAAATTGGAAAGAAATAAGTAAAATTACCTCTATTTGAAGATGACATGATTATGTTACCTAACAAAAAACTGTCAAGACTAATGAACAACTCAATAAAGTTACAGCATACAAAATCAATGTATAACAATCAGTGATGTTTCTATACACAAACAACAAACTATCCAAAAGAACCAATTTAGAAAACAATCTCATTTATAATAGCAACAACAAAAAAATTAAGTATCTATGAATAAACTTAACCAAAGAGGTAAAAGTCTTGTACAATGAAAATTATATAACATTGATGAAGGAAATTTAAAGACACAGATAAGTGGAAAGACATCCTATGTCATGGAGTGGAAGACTTAATATTGTTAAAATGTCCATACTACCCAAAGAGATCTACAGATTCAGTGTAATCCCTGTCAAAATCCCAATGGCATTCTTCAGAAAAACAGAAAAATCCTAAAATTCAAATGGAACAACAAAAGATCATGAATAGCCAAAGCAATTTTGAGTAAGACAAGCAAAGCAGGAGGAATCCTACTTTTTCATTTTCAAAGCTACAGTAATCAAAACAGTATGGTATTAGCGTACAAACAGACAGATCAGTGGAACAGACTAGAGGGGACAAATAAATCCATGCATGTATGGTCAACTGATCTTAGACAAGAGTACCAAGAACATACAATGGGAAAAAGATAGTCTCTTCAACAAATGGTGCTGGGAAAACAGTATATCAACATGCAGAAGAATACAATTGGATCCTTATCTCACATCACATAAAAAATCAACTCAAAGCTGGGCGCAGTGGCTCATGCCTGTAATCCCAGCACTTTGGGAGGCTGAGGCAGGGGGATCACGAGGTCAGGAGATCGAGACCATCCTGGCTAACATGGTAAAAATACAAAAAGTTAGCCGGGCGTGGTGGCGGGAGCCTGTAGTCCCAGCTACTCCGGGAGGCTGAGGCAGGAGAATGGCATGAACTTGGGAGGCGGAGCAAGCAGTGAGCCGAGATCGTGCCACTGCACTCCAGCCTGGGTGACAGAGCGAGACTCCACCTCAAAAAGAAAAAAAAAAAATCAACTCAAAATGGATTAAAGACATAAATATAAGACTTGAAATTGTAAAACTATTAGAAGAAAACATAGGGAAACATCTCCTTGACATTGGTCTTGGCAGTGATTTTTTGGATATGACACTGAAAAATAGGCAGCAAAAGCAAAAACAAACGAGTAGGACTGCATCAAACTAAAAAGCTTCTGAACAGCAAAGGAAAGAATCAACAAAGTAAAAAGCCAATCTACAAAATGCGAGAAAATATTTTCCAGCCAGTATCTCATAAGGGGTTAGTACTGAAAATATATAAGGAACTAATACAACTAAATAGCAAAAAAGACAAATAGTCTGATTAGAAAATGGGCAAAGGACTAAAAAAGACATTTCTTAAAAGAAGACATATAAATGGCTATCAGGTAAATTAAAAAGTGCTCAACATCACTAATCATAAGGGAAAAGCAATCAAAATCACAATGAGGTATCACCTCACACACCTAATGGAAAGGCTATTATCAAAAAGACCAAAAAATTAAGTGTTAGCAAGGATGCAGAGGGAAGGGAACTCCTGAACATTGTTGGTGGGAATGTAAAATAGTACAACCATTACGGAAAAAAGTATGGAGGTTCTTTAAAAAATTAAAAATAGAACTACCATATGATTCCACAATCCCACTTCTGGGTATATATTCAAAGCACATAAAACCAGTATGTTAAAGAGAGGTCTGTTCTCCTAAGTCCATTGCAGTACTATTCACTATAGCCAGGATATGGAAATAACCTATGTTCACTAGTGGATGAATGGATAAAGAAATTGTGGTATATATAAAATGGAATATTATTCAGCCAGAAAAAGAAGGAAATCCTGGCATTCTCAACAACACAGATGAAGGAAGACATTGTGCTTAGTGAAATAAGCCAGACACAGAAATACAAGTACTGCATGATCTCACTTACATGTGGAATCTAAAACAGTTGAACTTATAGAAGCAGAGAGTACAACGGTGGTACGGTGGTTGCTAGGGGCTGGGTGGGGCAAATGGGGAGGTGTTGGTCGAAGGGTACAAAGTTTCAGTTGTGCAAGATGTGTAAGTTCTGGAGCTCTAACGTACAGCATGGTAATGATAGTTAACAATATTCTGTTGTATACTTAAAATTTGCTAAGAGGGTAGACCTTAAGTGTTCTCAACACACACACACACACACACACACACACACTACGTGAGGTGAAAGAAAAGTTAATTAGCTTTGTGTTGGTGATCATTTCACAATGTATATGTATATTAAAACATCAAGTTGTAAATCTTAAGTACATGTAATTTTTATTTCTCAACGATACCTCAATAAAGCTCAAACAAAAATCTGGGTACCTTTTTGAAATATAGACCCAAGAGCAGCATTGCAGGGACCTGGAGTATGTGTGGCTTCTTTTATTTGACTAAATGCTAGTCTTCTCCTCCCATGAAATATTATGTTTATGCCATTCTGTACCCACATACGCAATGCATGAGGACCCCCAAGCATCCACATCCCTGCCAACAGTTGGCCGATTTCTTATTTTTGTCAGTCTAATAGGTGTCAAGTGCTTATCTCATTGTTTCAATGTTAATTTTCATGATTACTAATGAGTTTGAGCATCTTTTCAGATGCTTGTGAGCCCTTTGGGTTTTCTCTTTTAATAAGTTGCCTGATTGAAGTCTTTGTCCGTTTTCCTGTTGGGATTGTCCTCTTTTACTTATTGACTTGCAGGAGTCTTGTAAATCATTCTACAACTGTGCTGTTCAGTATGGTGGCTACTAACCACATTTTAGAATATGGCTATTGGAAAATTTAAAATTACGTAAGCGGCTCACGTTTTACTTCTCATGAAAAGTGCTGGACTAGGTACTAAAGTCTTGTCCATTTTAGACTTTTTACAATGTCTTCTCCCAATTTCTGTCCCCTTTTTATTAACTTTATTCAGGGTGTCCTGTATTTTCACAAAAGCTTTAATTATTTTATTAGGCAGGTATTGCTTATTTTACTTTTTATTTTATTTTATTTATTTTATTTTTTTTTACTTTACTTAAGTTCCGGGATACGTGTGCAGAACGTGCAGGTTTCTTACATAGGTATACATGTGCCGTAGGGGTTTCCTGTACCTGTCAACCCATCATCTATGTTTTAAGCCCCATATGCATTAAGTCTGTGTCCTAATGCTCTCTCTCCCCCTCCCCTCAACCCCCCGACAGGCCCCAGTGTGCATTGTTCCCCTCCCTGTGTCCACGTGTTCTCATTGTTCAACTGCCATTTATGAGTGGGAACATGTAGTGTTTGGTTTTCTGTTCCTGTGTTACTTTGCTGAGGATGATGGCTTTCAGCTTCATCCATGTCCCTGAAAAGGACACAATCTCATTCTTTTTTATGGCTGCATAGTATTCCACGGTAGATATGTACCACATTTTCTTTACGCAGTCTATCACTGATGGGCATTTGGGCTGGTTCCATGTCTTTGCTATTGTAAATAGTGCTGCAATAAACATATGTGTGCATGTCTCTTTATATTAGAATGATTTATATTCCTTTGGGTATATACCTAGTAATGGGATTGCTGGGTCAAATGGTATTTCTGGTTCTAGATCCCTGAGGAATCGCCACACTGTCCTCCACAGTGGTTGAACCATCTACATTCTCACCAACAGTGCAAAAGCATTCCTATTTCTCCACAGCCTTGCCAGCATCTATTGTTTCTTGACTTTTTAATAATTGCCATTCTGACTGGCGTGGGATGGTATCTCACAGTGGTTTTGATTTGCATTTCTCTAATGATCAGTGATGATGCCCTTTTTTTTTCTTCATATGCTTGTTGGTTGCATAAATGCCTTCTTTTGGCTGAGCACAGCGGCTCACACCTGTAATCCCAACACTTTTTGGGACTGAGGCAGGCAGATCACCTGAGGCCAGGAGTTCAAGACCAGCCTGGCCAACCCACCTCTACTAAAAATACAAAAATTAGCTGGGTGTCGTGGCGGGCACCTGTAATCCCAGCTACTCAGGAGGCTGAGGCAGGAGAATTGCTTGAACCTGGGAGGCGGAGTTTGCAGTGAGCCTAGATCACGCCATTGCACTGCAGCCTGGGCGACAAGAACAAAACTTTATCTCAAGAAAAAATAAAATAAAATAAAATAATAAATAAATGCCTTCTTTTGAGAAGTGTCTGTTCATATCCTTTACCCACTTTTTGATGGGGTTGTTGTTTTCTTGTAAATTTGTTTAAGTTCCTTGTAGATTCTGGATATTAGACCTTTGTCAGATGGGTAGATTGCAAAAATTTTCTCCCATTCTGTATGTTGTCTGTTCACTCTGATGCTAGTTACTTTTGCTGTGCAGAAGCTCTTTAGTTTAATTAGATCTCATTTGCCAATTTTGGCTTTGTTCCAATTGCTTTTGGTGTTTTGTCATGAAGTCTTTGCCCATGCCTATTTCCTGAAAGGTATTGCCTAGGTTTTCTTCTAAGGTTTTTATGGTTTTGGGTTTTACATTTCAGTCTTTAATCCATCTTGAGTTAGTTTTTGTATAAGGTGTAAGGAAGGAGTCCAGTTTCAGTTTTTTGCATATGGCTAGCCAGTTTTCCCAGCAACATTTATTAAATAC
Organism: Homo sapiens; assembly: GCF_000001405.40. Taxonomy (NCBI): domain Eukaryota; kingdom Metazoa; phylum Chordata; class Mammalia; order Primates; family Hominidae; genus Homo; species Homo sapiens. The sequence continues at coordinate 83,868,452 of NC_000016.10, read as the reverse complement.
GGAATCTTTTCCCCATTGCTTGTTTTTGTCAGGTTTGTCGAAGATTAGATGGTTGTAGATGTGCGGTGTTATTTCTGAGGACTCTGTTCTGTTCCATTGGTCTATATATCTGTTTTGGTACCACTACCATGCTGCTTTGGTTACTGTAGCCTCGTAGCATAGTTTGAAGTCAGGTAGTGTGATGCCTCCAGCTTTGTTCTTTTTGCTTAGGACTGTTTTGGCTATACGGGCTCTTTTCTGGATGCATATGAAATTCAAAGTAGTTTTTTCTAATTCTGTGAAGAATGTCAATGGTAGTTTGATGGGAATAGTATTGAATCTATAAATTATTTTGGGCAGTATGGCCATTTTCACAATATTGAATCTTCCTATCCATCAGGATGGAATGTTTTTCCATTTGTTTGTGTCCCCTCTTATTTCCTTGAGCAGTGGTTTGTAGCTCTCCTTGACGAGGTCCTTCACATCCTTTGTAACCTGTATTCCTAGGTATTTTATTCTTTTTGTAGCAATTGTGAATGGGGGTCCATTCATGATTTGGCTCTCTGCTTGTCTATTGTTGGTGTATAGGAATGCTTCTGAGTTTTGCACATTGATTTTGTATCCTGAGACTCAGCAAAAACACACAAAAATATAAAGACTAATGACACTATGAAGAAATTGCATCATCTAGTATACAAAATAATTAGCTAGCATTATGATGACAGGATCAAATTCACACATAACAATATTAACCTTAAATGTAAATGGGCTAAGTGCTCCAATTAAAAGACACAGGCTGGCAAATTGGATAAAGAGATGAGACCCATTGGTGTGCTAGATCCAGGAGACCCATCTCATATGCAAAGACACACATGGGCTCAAAATAAAGGGATGGAGGAAAATTTACCAAGCAAATGGAAAGCAAAAATAGCAGGGGTTGCAATCCTAGTCTCTGATAAAAGACTTTAAACCAACAAAGATCAAAAAAGACAAAAAAGGGCATTACATAATGGTAAGGGGATCAATGCAACAAGAAGAGCTAACTACTCTAAATATATATGCTCCCAATATAGGAACAACCATATCCATAAAACAAGTTCTTAGAGACCTATGAAGAGACTTAGACTCCCACACAATAATAGTGCGAGACGTTAACACCCCACTGTCAATATTAGACAGATCAACGAGATGAAAAGTTAACAAGAATATTCGGGACCTGAACTCAGCTCTGGATCAAGTGGACCTAATAGATGTCTACAGAACTCTCTACCCCAAATCAACAGAATATACACCACATGGCATTTATTCTAAAATCAGCCACATAATTGGAAGTAAAACACTCCTCAGCAAATGCAAAAGAACTGAAATCATAACAGTCTATCAGACCACAGTGCAGTTAAATTAGAACTCAGGATAAAGAAACTCACTCAAAACCATATAACTACATGGAAATTGAACAACCTGCTCCTGAATGACTCCCGGGTAAATAACGAAATAAAGGCAGAAATCAAGAAGTTCCTTGAAACTAGTGAGAAAAAAGACAATGTACCAGAATCTCTGGGACACACAGCTAAAGCAGTGTTAAGAGGGAAATTTATAGCACTAAATGCCCACATCAGAAAGCTAGAAAGGCCTCAAACCGACACCCTAACATCAAAATTAAAGGAGCTAGAAAAGCAAGAGCAAACAAATCCAAAAGCTAGCAGAAAACAAGAAATAACTAAGATCAGAGCAGAACCGGAGGAGATAGAGACACAAAAAACCCTCCAAAAAATATGTATCCAAGAACTGGTTTTTTGAAAAAACTAACAAAATAGATAGACCGCTAGATAGACTAATAAAGAAGAAAAGAAAGAAGAATCAAATAGACACAATAAAACACGATAAAGGGGATATCACCACTGACTCCACAGAAATACAAACTACCATCAGAGAATACTATAAAAAACCTCTATGTAAATAAACTAGAAAATCTGGAAGAAATGAATAAATTCCTGGACACCTTCCCAAGACTAAACCAGGAAGAAGTCAAATCCCCGAATAGACCAATAACAAGTTCTGAAATTGAGGCAACAATAGCCTAGCAACCAAAAAAAAGCCCAGGACCAGACAGATTCACAGCCAAATTCTACCAGAGGTAAAAGAGGAGCTGGTATCATTCCTTCTGAAAATATTCCAAAGAATTGAAAAGGAGGGACTCCTCTATAAGTCATTTCATGAGGCCAGCATCACACCAAAACCTGGCAGAGACACAACAAAAAAAGAAAACTTCAGGCCAATATCCCTGATGAGTTATCGAGGTGAAAATCCTCAGTAAAATACTGGCAACCCGAATCCAGCAGCACATCAAAAAGCTTATCCTCCGCGATCAAGTCAGCTTCATCCCTGGGATGCAAGGCTGGTTCAACATACGCAAATCAATAAACATAATCCATCACATAAACAGAACCAACGACAAAAACCACATGATTATCTCAGATGCAGAACAGTCCTTCAATAAAATTCGACATCCCTTCTTGTTAAAAACTCTCAATAAACTAGGTACTGATGGAACATATCTCAAAATAGTAAGAGCTATTTATGAAAAACCTATAGCCAATATCATACTGAATGGGCAAAAGCTGGAAGCATTCCCTTTGAAAACTGGCACAAGACAAGGATGCCCTCTCTCACTACTCCTATTCAACATAGTATTAGAAGTTCTGGCCAGGGCAATCAGGCAAGAGAAAGAAATAATGGGTATTTAAATAGGAAGAGAGGAAGTAAAATTGTCACTGTTTGCAGATGACAGGATTCTATATTTAGAAAATCCCAACGTCTCAGCCCCAAAACACATTAAGCTGATAAGCCTTAATTTTGATGTAGTCAAATTCATTGATTGTTTTTGCCTTATGCTTTATGCTTCAAAATGTTTTTTGATAATTTCTTCCTCTGTTTTTGCTCAGAAAGACATTTTCCTAAGTTTCTTCTATTGGCTTTATAGTTCCATCTTTCGTGTTTAACTCTTAATTCACTGGAGGCCACTTTTCTGTAAAATGTTACACAGGAATCTTGCCTCAGTTTTCCTAATACCATCTATTGAGCAATCTACTGTTTATTGTGGTGCCATCTTTATTATACTTTAAATTTTCTTTTCTTTTCTTTTCTTTTTTTGAGACAGATTTTCACTCTTGTTGCCCAGGCTGGAGTGCTGTGGTGCGATCTTGGCTCACTGCAAACTCCACCTCCCGGGTTCAAGCGATTCTCCTGCCTCAGCCTCCTGAGTAGCTGGGATTACAGGCATATGCCACCATGCCTGGCTAATTTTGTATTTTTAGTAGAGATGGGGTTTCTCCATGTTGGTCAGGCTGGTCTCGAACTCCCGAACTCAGGTGATCTGCCTGTCTCAGCCTCCCAAAGTGCTGGGATTACAGGTGTGAGCCACTGCGCCCGGCCTATATTTTTACACACACACACACACACACACACACACACACACACACACACACACACAGCCTGAGCTCTATTTTATTCCATTACAACCTATACTTTATCGCTTTTCCATGAAACAGTGTTCCTATTTAAAAAGTAATATACTTTGGAGAATATGCATTCCCTGGTACATCTTTTATTTAATGGCTCACGAAAAAGTGGCCTTTTGTGTATTTCTTTATTGAAACAAAATCTTGCAAATACCATTAGCTGTGACATGTTTTTTTTGAAAGAAAAAAAATATGTATTCTCATCCAGTTGTATAAAAAACCTTCCACACAGCATAATTTATTTTAATCCTACTTTCTTCAAATGTTCCATGTTTTCTATGCCTTTTCTAATGACAATGCTGACAAAGAAATGCATTTTGGTATTTGCATTTCATTCTATATTATTTTACCCATTTTTTACTGCAGTGGAAAGAAGAAGTATTTCCCCAATGACATATGTCTCTTTTGTCTTTCACTAATCTCAAAAGAGACTTCTGTATATTTATAATCCTATTTAGTAAACTTTTATAAAGTACCGGACAGAGTATTGCCTGATTTTACATACTACTGAAAAAAATGGAGGCAGCTTTGTCTTCATGTCCTGAGTGTTTACCTTTCTAAGGTCTTGCTAATCACAACAGCTTTAACCCTCATTATCTAATATCTCCCGGCATAGGATCAGGTGGGCTGACAAAAGGATGTGGCAGACGTAGGAGGCTCTGCTGGCCCAGCTCACTCCTTCACCCCACTACCAGCACGTTGATTTGGTGTAATCATCCTCCCTTTTACTCTCAGCACATGGAATTCTCTTTTTCTTTTTTTTAGACAGGGTCTGGCTCTGTTGCCCAAGCTGGAGCGCAGTGACACAGTCATGGCTCACTGCAGTTTTGACCTCCTCGGCTTAAGCAATCCTCTGGTCTCAGCCTCCTGAGTAGCTGAGACTACAGGGTGCTACCACCATGCCCAGCTAATTAAAAAAACATTTTTTTTTTGGTAGAGAAGGGGTCTTGCTATGTTGCCCAGGCTGGTCTTGAACTCCTGGTCTCAGGGGATCCTCCTACTCTCAGCACGTGAAATTTTTGTGCCACTAGTACAAAAGGGGGTCACATGACACAGGCCCAGCCAATCAGCCTACTCCATCTTCCTGGCCCTGATTGGCTCAAGGATGGGCATGTGACCCAGGCCAGGCCAATGAGACCCAACTGGAATACTATTAGTTGGAATATTATTATAGAGATGCTCCCTTTGCACAGAGCTTGCCAAACCTGAGGATGCAAACTTGGATCACCAGAGGAAGTCTGCTTAGAAACACAGCCAACAGGAGGAAAGCAAGCTGGCAGGAACCCTGACGGTGTCGTCTGAGTTCCTCCTTCAGCCTTGCCTGTCCTCCATGATGGGAACCATGTCCCCTATTTTAATTTGTGGCTGTTAGGGTTGTTTTTGGTTATTTCCAAACTACCAGGAATCTGGGGGCCACTGCATCCTGATCTTTGTCCTGGACTCAAGGCTGGCTTCCTCTCTCTAAAGGTCTTCAGCAAAGGCACAGGTGGGGTGGTTGTACCACGAAGGCTTTCCTATGGATTATATATTACTGGTGTGCTTCCTCATGGCCCCTCCCATAGTCTAACAGGTTAGCTAAAGCTGACGGGCATTACATTAGTCTGTTCTCACGCTGCTAATAAAGACATACCCAAGACTGGGTAATTTATAAAGGAAAGAGATATAATGGACTCAGTTCTACATCGCTGGGGAGGCCTTACAATCATGGTGGAAGAGCAAGGAATGTCTTACATGGCGGCAGGCAACAGAGAGCTTGTGTAGGGAGATTCCCCTTTATAAAACCGAAAGATCTCATGAGACTTATTCACCATCAGGAGAAAAAACATGGGAAAGACCTGACCCCATGACTCAATTACCTCCCACAGGGTCCCTCCCACGGCATGTGGGAATTATGGGAGCTACAATTCAAGATGAGATTTTGGTGGGGACAAAGGCAAAGCATAGCAAGCATCAACCAGGAACTTAGCAGCTTCACGCTCACTTCCCAAACTGTGTGAACTAAATGTATTAATATAACATTGCAGTGAGTGCATTTGCCTCTTATTCCTCATCTTTGCAGAAGTTCTGGGAAAGGGGGGGGATTTGCTGACTCGGCACCTTCTGCATACCTAATTACCTGGGGAATTTTGCGTTAGAAAACACTTAACACCGGCATTACAAGAGAAGCACAGAACCCCGGACTTGAAAGGATCTCAGCCATTTTGATTTGTAGCCTCATCCTAAGATACATGTCATAACAGACATTCAATGCTCATGTGTCGCTGCACGGTAAACTCTTTGGAAAAAGGTCAGAAAGTTTTCTTTTGTAAACAAAACATTCACCTGCCCTACAATCAAACAATTCCATTCCTAAATATTTACCCAAGAGAAATGAAAACGTGTCTATACAGACATGGATACAAATGTTCTTCCTAGCTTTATTCATAATAGTTTCAAGTTGGAAACTAACCAAGTCTCCACCAACAGCAGAAGAAATTTAAGGTGGTATATTCAGACAACAGAATACACACAGCAATGAAAAGAAATGAACTGCTGATAAATGCAACGACATGGATGAATCTCAGAAACATTATGCCAAGTGATAGAGGCCAGATCCCAACAGTACATAGTGTATGATTTCATTGGAATGGAGTCTCAGACAAACAGAACAGATCTTGGGTGAAAAATGTCAAAATACGTACCTTTATGATACATGTACCAATATGATACATGTAGCAATACGTGTACCAATAGGATCCATGGTGGGCTGTTCAGTTGAAGCTGGGGCCCTGGAGGGAAGGCAGCCACCGTCAGAGATGGGCCCAGAAACACTGTGGCTTTTCTCTTCCTCCTGCCCTTCAATCATTGCTGACCTCTCCACTGACCAGACCAGCTTGCCCTGGGAGCCTGGGAGATGCAGGCCGCAGTCACATGGTCAGTGATCAAGCTGAGAGGCAAACCTAGGTCTCCCTTGCTCCTAAGCTAACGTTGCCAGATTGAACAAAAACACAGGATGTACAGTTATTTGAATTTCAGATAAACAACAAATGATTTTTTTAGGGTATATCTTTTGCAATATTTGGGACATAGTTTACCCTAAAAAAATTATTTCTTATCTGAATTTTATCTGGTAACCCTATTAAACTCTTTCAGCAAAAGACTTTGTTTTTATTTTTTAAATTATTATTTTTGAGACAGGGTCTCACTCTGTTGCCCAGGCTGGAGTATAGTGGCACAAGCACGGCTTACTGCAGCCTCCACCTCCTGGGCTCAAGTGATCCTCCCACCTCAGCCTTCTGAGTAACTAAGATCACAGGTGCACACCACCACACCTAGATAATTTTTTTTTTTTTTGGTAGAGAAGGGATCTCCCTATTTTGCCCAGGCTGGTCTCGAACTCCGGGGCCCAAGTGATCCTCCTGCCTTGGCCTCCCAAAGTGCTGGGATTACAGGCGTCAGCCACTGTGTCTGGCCTCTTTCAGTGAAAAACTCTACTGACACTGAGGCCACTGTCAGTTACAGCCTCATTGTATCTTCATAAATTGGCATTCTTGTTTGCCCTTCTGTAGCAGTCAGAATTCTCTTGGTTACAGGTGACAGAAATACATTGTAAACTACCTCAGGCAAAAAGGGCAGCTCATTAGCTGAGGTCAAACCTTAGAAAGAACAGGCATCAGGGCTGGAACGAGAAATCCTTCCTCTTCCCCTTGTCTTTCCTTCTCTGCACACTGTCTTCATTCTCTCTGTCAGCTTTGTCCATGAGCTGGATCCAGTTTCCAGATTCACATTTTTTCATGAGTAACGAAGAGGCATCTTTTATTCAGATTTGAGAGCAATCAATGGGAAAGCCCGATGTAGATCACATGGCCTTCTCTGAAGGTTAACACTGATTCCATAAGGATCAATTCCCCCAACACAATGATCCTCAAAGTGTGGTCCCAAGCCAGCAACATCAGCATCACCTGGGAACTTGATAGGGCATTTGGGGGTTACCACAGAGGCGCTGAATTAGCATCTGGTTAACTAGCCCTCCAGGTGATCCTGATGCACCATCGGGTGGGAGAACCATTGCGTTAGATGAAGGGGAGCTGCTCTATCGGAAGAGAAGGGTACTGGGCAGAAAACATCATTGCCTATGATTGCGCTAGCTTCTCTGACCCTAGTCAAGTGAGTCCTCACCAGGTTTTGATAAGCTCACATCTTGGAGCTTGCAGGAGCTCAGACCAAGCAGTACGGTGACTTCTCCAGCACAGGTGCCCTGGGCAGGCCTGGTGACCAGCCTTCACCACGTGCACTCCCAGTTAGGGGTGTTTCAACCCTTGACCTCTCCCCTCAATCCAGCGGTCCTCCACCTGCCTCCCTCCACAATTAGCAATTATCAGCCAATCATTTGTATTCAAGCAGGGAAATTAAGTGATAAAAATAAGGATGCTGGCTTCATTTGTCCCTTTTTAGAGACGTAACAGGAGCTTTTTACATTTCACAAAATTATTTAATCGTATTAATGTGCCTAACCCGACGATGGCTTCTTCAAATGCCTTTCTTTTTGCACGTAAGACATTAAGGTAGGCATTTAAAACTGTATCTTTGAGCATCTCCGACATTAACGAATTATTAGACACTAATTGTTCTGGGGTCTAGCCACCTCCCTCAACAGGCAAGGTTTTCCATTTGCAGAATTTAAAACATACCAGAGCAATTTGTGTTCCATAATAGCTACAAATTTGTTAGCTTGACTCAAAACTAGGAAAACCTGGGAAGCTATTATGTAAATATAGATAATGTCTCTCCAATGATGGTAATTAACACAGAGATCTCCAAAATGGCATTTTCTTTATGATTGGGTAATAGTGAGCATTTCAAAGCCTGTGGGGTGGCATCAAGAGGCCCTGGAACATTTTCCTCGTCCCTCAGTAGTTCTTTCTGTCTGAAGAAGCCCTTTAGTTTCCTTAGAGGGAATAAGAAACAGAGGACAAAGACCGGCTCCTCCTCCTCTGAAGCCCCAAAGCCAACCATGAGCAGAGTGGCCTTGACAGCTGGTTGTAACCCCTCCTCTCCACTCCTCTCTGCATCTTAAATAGTTCCATTGCAAAATAGAGGGCTGGGCTGGACATGGTGCCTCATGCTGATCACCCCAGCACTTTTGGAGGCCGAGGTGGGAGGATCGCTTGAGCTCGGGAGTTTGGTACCAGCCTGGGCAACACAGTGAGACCTCGTCTCTACAAAAAAATAAGAAATTAGCTGGGCGTATACGAAATTATATGAGCTTTTATAGTACCAGCTACTCAAGAAGCTGAGGCAAGAGGACTGCTTGAGCCCGGGAGATTGAGGCTGCAGTGAGCCGTGATTGTGCCACTGCACCCCAGTCTGGGTGACACGGCAAGACCTTGTCTCAAAACAAACAAACGGAACAACAAAAACAAAATACAGTGCTGTGTCTGAGGTCGAGTTACCTCATTTGTATTGAAATCAGTGTCATTCAGACCTGTGCTTACCCTTGATCACGTGTGGGTCACATGTCACATGTTTCAGGTAATGCTAGGGAATCAAGTTCTATTGATCACTGCAGGAAGGTCTTCCTGATCAGCTGATCTCCCGCTTGCAATTTATCAAAAGAAAGAAGCAGTAGGAGACCTGGGAGCCTTGATTGCTACCCCTCCCCCAGGATGGACTGGTCTTTAGAGTATCTCCTGCCTGCGCATCAATGACAACTAACATATTTTGAGTGTGTATTGGGTTCTGGTTACCGTGCAAGGTCCGGGAAGGATAGAGTGATGGCTAAGATATGGTCTTGGCTTTGAGAAGCTTTCAACCCAATGTGGGGATCAGACCTGAACATAAATCAGCAACAACAGAAGGCAGAATGAAAAAAATAATAATCTGTCTGAAATGTCTTGTCCCACTTGCTGTAGGGCCTTTACACATGCTGTTGCCTCTGCCTGACTCACTCTGCTTTCCCCTCCCCTCATGAATACCTACTCTGCGTTAAACCTTCCCTGCTCCAGCATCACTTCCTCAAGGAACCCTTCCCCTGTCCACTTGGAGGGCTCTGAGTTCCTCTTATCCGTTCCCATTGCATACTCCATTGTTTTTTTGTATCCAGAAGGAGGTTCCTTTGTAGGTCTCTGCTACATCTTTCCCGCTCACCTGTGCACTCGTTCACATTAAAGTATAAACTAGTGTATTCTATGTACATTAAAACTGTGTAAAAGATGCCCTGCAAACAGAACTGTCCTCTTTCATGGATGCCTGTTGAAATAACAGAGGGTCTTGCAGGACATGAGCGACTATGTCTTCTTTGTGACTGTTCAGTGCATTGCAGAATATCTAGCATCCCCCTGAAGGCCACTGTTCATGCCAGGCATTGTGACAAGCAGAAAACTCCCCACAAACTTCCAAAGTCCCCCCCGGGGTAGGTGACAACTTTCCCATTCAAGAATCACCACTAAAAACCCAATAGGAGTGGCTACATGCAAACATACCACCCTGATGGATGTACAGTGTGGGTGGAGAGTGAGGAGTGACACCACAGCATCATGTCTTCATCCCTTCATTCATTCGTCACCTATCTGTGTGCACACTTGTGTAGGCTGGGTGTTGGGGACCCAGGGGTGAGCAAAACCTGACACAACCCCTGCCTTCAGGGGGCTTGCAGTCAAGGATTATAACAGGCTAAAGAAAGTGCCTTGGATACTTAGACGGACAGGAGCTTTGCACCATTACTGGTTAGAACGCACTGGAAGAAGGAGTTAGAGAACTTTGGCAGGGATTTGCCCATCTTGGCTAAGTGCCGGCATGTTGCACAGAAGTCATTCTTGATGGTTTATTTTCATGTGCACACTCATCTGTCTGCCTGTCTTGGTTGAAACAAGCATATTTATCAGATCTGGAGATTACATAGAACAAAGAGAGGGCTCTTACTCTGGATGGCAGAATTAAGATTCAAAAAATCTTAGCAGGTGGAAAGGCAAGTTGGAGACCTGCTGGAGTAAATCAAAAGAGTGTGAATGCTAAGAAGTAGTCTCATAATACTTCCCAACCCCCACAAAAATAGGATGGGGGAGGCCTACCTTAACAGAAATTCCTACGGAATATCGGTGGGAGGTTTAGGCACTTTCAGACCAGCAATGGGATGTGGTGGCGATAAAGTAAATGTGACGAATGGTTGTATTAAGTAAGGTATTAGGTCCAGATGAAGGGAGGGAATAGTACTGTTGGAGGGGCAGTTGTTCTTGACGTGTTATACCTGACTTGCAAATCATACTTTTTTTTTTTTTTCTGAGATGGAGTCTTGCTCTGTCGCCCAGGCTAGAGTGCAATGGTGTGGTCTCAGCTCACTGCAACCTCTGTCTCCCAGGTTCAAGCAATTCTCCTGCCTCAGCCTCCTGAGTAGCTAGGATTACAGGCATGTGTCACCACACCCAGCTAATTTTTGTATTTTTATTAGAGACAGGGTTTCACCATGTTGGCCAGGCTGGTCTCGAACTCCTGACCTGCGATCCACCCGCCTCGGCCTCCCAAAGTGCTGGGATTACAGGCGTGAGCCACTGCGCCTGGCTGCAAATCATACTCTTATCGAGCCCCTTCCCCTTCTTCCTTATCTTGTTGCCCTGCCCAGTCTATGAGCATTTTATTGGCATAAAGAAAATATCAGGGCTTTTAGAAAATCTGGAATGAGGTTCAGTAGGAGGGGCGTGGCCTTTTAAATCAGACGTTCTTTCGAATCTCCATCCTACCACTCTTCAGCTGAGTTACACTGGTCAAGTTCACCTCTCTGAGCCTCATTTTCACCACCTTCAAGAGAGAAGCAATACATTGATTGTGAGGATTAAAGGAGACAATTTCTATATAGTGCAGGGCAGGCCTTCAATTGCCCCCAGGGCCCTTCCCTATATTTCTAGGATTGAGTGTGATTTTATTTCCTCCTTCCTTTTCATCTGGCTTTGATAAATGCCTAAAACATTCCACGGGGTGGAGGCTCGGGTATTGTTACCAATCCCAATTAGGTATTACAAAAGCCCCATAAATCTTGGTGAATATGGCACCAGGAATTGAAAGCTGGAATTGTGTGGCCATTGCTCTAAGGAACACAGCAATCATTCTCCTAAAGCCCTCGGGTTATTTTTTCAGTCTGTTTAACGGCATATGCCTATCAATAATTGGCTCATTATTGATTTCTTCACCCTCACTAACGCAGCTAATGGCTCCATTTTTCCAAGCCAGAACCAAATGAAGAGGCCAGGGTAGGTTGAGGGACGGCTACTTGGCTTGTTATCTGGGAGCGTGTTCATCTGAAGCACCCATGACCTATGCAAAATTTGGGTGTCTTTGGCTTTGAGAATGGAATTGAGTATTGATTTTTGTACCATTCTCTTGTTGTTTAATTAAACAAACCACAGTCACTCCCTGGGTGTGCTCTGGCCATCCAGCTTCATCCTCATTAACAAGCTAAACGTAAGACCTATGAGCTGTCGCGCACGCACACCTGTCACAGCTCTGTGAGTGTGGGGGCCAGTGGCTTCGTGGCAACATAGGGTGGATCTGCGGCTTGCATCCACTTCTTGTATAAGACGAACCCTTGTTCCATATTATCAGGCCAGAGGAGTATCTGCAAATATTGGGTGTTCAATAAATATTTGTTATGTGAAGCTAAATACTTGAAGGGAACATGCTCTCTGGTATTTTTACTCTGTTGCCACCGGAAGAGAAGATAGCTTGCTGCTTAAAACTGACATTGGCGTCTCTCTCCCAACAGTGTAAGAGATGGTCGGACTTCTCAAAGTGGGTTTATTTTTTGGAGGTCTTCACTGCTCAGGATGAATGGGGTTCTTCGCCGTCTGTGCTGTTTTCTGTTATTCAGCACTGGGCTATGGACCCTGCCTTGTCCACTGTGATCCTCGCAGTCAAAGCGATCATCCCTGGGGCAGCAGCCTGGCCTCTGTGATCATTCTCTGCAAACACAGGGGTGCTGTCTTTGCAGTTGCTCAGTCCTCTCAGTGTTCTGCCCCAACTTAGCCCCCTTCTAGTCTTCAGGCTGCCCCAAAAACGTATATATATTTTTTGAGATGGGGCCTTGCTCTGTCATCCTGGCTGGATTGCAGTGGCATGAACATGGCTTACTGCAGCCTCCACCTCCTGGACTCAAACAATCCTCCCACGTCAGTCTCCAGAGTAGCTGGGGCTACAGGCATGCACCACCACATCTTGCTAATTAAATTTTTTTTTTGTAGAGATGGGATCTCACTATGTTGCTCAGGCTGGTCTGAAGCTCTTCGGTTTGAGTGATTCTCCTACCTTGGCCTCCCCAAATGCTGGGATTACAGGTGTGAGCCACCATGCCTGGCAGTGCCCTCAGATCCATCAGCAACCTTGATGGAACCCGATCCAGACCTTCTGATGGTGGCCACAGAGCATAATTCCTGCATGGGACTTCATAGTTCTGCTACGTTCCCTTTCACGCTTCGGAGTCTTTGTGGGAGTCTTCCACGATGCTAGGTAGAATTAAGGGAAGATTGTGTGTGTCCTCCCCTGGTTTGGAGCTTGGGATGGGGAGCAGTGTCCTTCAACCCCTGTGTGGTGGGGAAAGTGAGTATTGGCCTCGGTTTCCCCAGGGGATGGTGGGTCTGTGGGGACAAGCATTTGAGGTCTGAGGCTCTGTGGATCCTCCAGGCTTGTAGATTTTCCTCTAGTGTCAGCCCGGGGTTGACACCGGGTTGGGTTGCTTTGGCCTCTGTATGTCAGGAGCGATAGAGAGGCCTTCAACTGGCTTGAGCCAAAGGGCAAGCATCAGCTTACATGGCTGCAAAGTGCCTGCGTGGCACCAGGAATTGAAAGCTGGAATTGTGTGGTCATTGCTCTAAGAAACACAGCAATCATTCTCCCAAAGCCCTCAGGTGATATTTTCAGTCGGCTTCACGGCGTATGCCTATCAATAATTGGCTCATTATCGACTTCCTCACCCTAAGTAATGCAGATAATTGATAAAGCAGTTAAAAAGAAATTATTTAGGCAGATAGTGAGGGTAAGGAAGTCCTCGGTAAGGTTTCCCTTTTAACAAAAAGCAGCCCCCAAATCATTTCTTTTCTAACAAAGAGCAGCCAGTAAAATGGAGCTACAAACATAAACAGGATGGAAAGTTGCATAGGTGAATACCGGCCACTGTGACAATAGGAAAAGGCTACCGGGGGACAGGCATGTTTGACATGGCGGCTCCATCTTCCCTTTTCTTTCTTGACCAAGTGTACAGTAAGGAACAGACAACATGGCGCCAGCCAGGCAGAGACCCCATCTGCATAATAAAAGATTAGGGTTGGGTGACCAGCTTCTCCTGGCGCTGTGCAAACATTACACCTGGTCTGACCAATCTCTTGCGCCCTATGTAAATCAGACACCGCAGCCTCGAGCTTGTCTATAAAACCCCATGCTTCTCACCACAAAACCGGAAGACCCACTCAGGCACCCCTCTATCTCTGCAGGAGAGAGAGCTATTCTCTTTTCCATTCTTTTGCCTATTAAACCTCCACTCTTAACCTCACTCCACGTGTGTCCCTGTCCTTGATTTCCTTGGCAGGAGGCAACAAACTTTGGGTATTACCCCAGAAGAATGACGCTGCCTCACTGATGGCTCCGTTTTTCCAAGGCAGAACCAAATGAAGAGGCCAGGGTGTGTTGAATGACGGCTCCTTGGCTCATTACCCGTGAGCATGTTCATCTGAAGCACGCATGGGCCTTGCTTTCCCAGGGCCTCATTTCAGGGTTCAAAAGACCCTTCAAGTTGGGCTCTGCCTCTTCTGATACCAGCTTTACCCTGGGGCTGCCCACTCCTGACGGCCACACAGCAACCTCCGTCCTGAGCCTGTGTTCTACTGCTAGACCCACAAGACTTGGGTTCAAGTCCATGGGGCGCACCTCCTGCTGAGAGCAGGGTCGGCCGCACCAAGCCACATGGCTGAGGATGGGGGAGGGTGGATTCCCCACAGGGCCCCGGAGGAGACGGGCAGGGAGGGCATGCGTGTTGGTTAAGCAGTCAACAAACACCCACAACAAACATTTTATTAAGAGCCCTTGCTGGTTTCCTCAATAGATTTTCCTTCATAGAATTAAAAGATTGGCTGGGCACCAGTCTTGGGCTCATGCCTGTAATCCCAGCTTTGGGAGGCTGACGCTGGCGGATCACCTGAGGTCGGGAGTTCGAGACCAGCCTGACGAATACAGACAATGAAGAAACCCCGTCTTTACTAATAATATAAAAATTAGCTGGGCTTGGTGGTGCATACCTGTAATCCCAGCTACATACTGAGGAACGAGAATCTCTTGAACTGGGGAGGCAGAGGTTGTGGTGATATGAGATTGCCCTATTGCACTCCAACTTGGGCAACAAGAGAGAAACTCTGTCTCAAAATAAATAAATAAATAAATAAATAAAAATAAAAGATTAAGCCTGGAAAAATAGAATTCTCATGACAAAAATATGTTATTTGGTTGCATCAGGGTCGTGAAATCCGAAATCTACCATTAAGGTCAACAAAGATATATAGGGATCCTAGCAGAATTCTCCTTGGAATCCCTTAAACTCATGTTCTTTAACTATTTCACCAACTTTTACTTAAGGAGAGACTGAACGCTGAGTGGAGAGGGCTGGGAGGAGTCACTGCGTTGGTACTGCTGAGCTTTCTTGTCCCCGGCAACTCAGCTCTGCCTGGGGGTCCAAACCTACCTGGGCGTGAGGGGCAAAGGCTTTGCAGTGAGCCACATCCTGCTTCTGGGAGGGCAGCTGCTAGCCTGGCTTGTGAGCTGAGCTTGCCCCATGGGGCCCTCTCTTCACTCCGGGGGCTCATCCTATGATCATTTCCAGTGGATGATTTTAGCCTCCTGGGGAGGTTTGTGAGTAGATTCTGTTTTCTTCATCTTGTTACCCTTCTGATGATGCGTTTGCTGCCCTTATTATCAGTGCACCCAGCACCTGTCTAGCTGTCACTCTCCAACCCAATCCAGCCCTGGAAACAACTGGCAGGAACCAAGGAGTGGGCGGTAGGTAACTGGGGAGGAGAGGTGAGAAGGAGTCTGCAAGTGTGCGTATTTGTGTGCGTGTGCATGCGTGCATGTGTGCACGTGTGTGTGCGTGTGTGCATCTGTGCGTCTGTGTGTGTGCGTGCATGAGTGTGTGTGCACGTTACTGGAAAGGGATCCCAATCCAGACCCCAAGGGAGGGTTCTTGGCTCTCCAGCAAGAAAGAATTCGAGGCAAATCCATAAAGCGAAGGCAAGTTTATTAGGTAAGTAAAGGAATAAAGAATGGCCACTCCACGGGCAGAGCAGCAGCATGGGCTGCTCAGCAGCTTATTGTTACTTCTTGATTATACGTTAAACAAAGGGTGGATTATCCATGAGTTTTCTGGGAAAGGGGTGGGCAATCCCTAGAACTGAGGGTTTCTCCCCTTTTGAGCCCATGTAGGGTAACTTCCTGATGTCGCCATTTGTAAATGTCATGGTGCTGGTGGGAGTGTCTTTTGGCATGCTAATGCATTACAATTAGTGTATAAAGAGCAATGAGGACGACCAGAGGTCACTGTCATCGCCATCTTGGTTTTGGTGAGTTTGGCCACCTTCTTTACCTCAGGCTGTTTTATCAGCAAGGTCTTTGTGACTTGTATCTCGTGCTGACCTCCTAGCTCATCCTGTGATTCAGAATGCCTTAACCTCCTGGGAATGCAGCTCAGTAGGTCCCAGTCTTATTTTAACCAACCCCAATTCAAGATGGAGTCGCTTTGGTTTGAATGCCTTTGATGTGTGTGTGTGTGTGTGTGTGTGTGTGTGTGTGTGTGTGTGTGTGTTTGGCGGGAGGAACAGAGGAAGGGAAGGTCTGTACCTGGGGTAGATGGCTTCATTTAGCACATACTTCTTCCTCCCCTCCTGCCCAAGGCACCACAGTGGTTGGAGTCTATTCCCCTCTTGCTGACTTCGGGCTTAGCCATGTGACTTTTGTTGGCCAATGAATATGACCAGATACCATATCCGCCACATTGGACAGAGGCTTTACTTGTGCTTTTGTGCTTTCATGGTTTGGCTTGGCCTTTCACCGGGAGAAGAGCATGTCCCAGGAAACCACTGACCCTTCAGGAATCAAACACCCACAGAGCAGACAAATCTAATCCACAACTGGCGCAGAGCTGAGCCTGATGCATGAGCGAACAATACATACTTGAAAACCCCCGGAATCTGGGATTGTTTATGACACAGCATTAGTGTGGCAAAACCCTGACCGACACAGTAGCTGTGTCAGGTGCTGGGGGACAAGGTGCAAGAAGCAGAGGAGGGAAGGACAACAGGGAGTTGAGTTGCAAAGTCCAAACTCTGAGCATGTGCTCTGAGATTCAGATGGTGGCTTCCTGCTGAATGCCACCAGTTCCCCTCCCCTTTATTTCCCTAACAGGTAAATACACCTTTGACATTGTCACAGGTGCTGAAGGAGCTGTGGCTGAGGAGGTGAATTGCAGCACTGCCTGTAAAAGGGGATACCATGTGCACATCCATCTATGGGGGAAAGGATACAATCTATGAGGGGATATTCAAATTCAGTGGAATATGAAACACAGGGTAAATTCCATGGGTTACAACCACATGTATATTCATTTGGACGCATTTCACAAACAACACAGAGCCAGAAAAGCAGGTCGTGGAATGATGTGCTCTGTATAATATTTATTGAGTTTTAAAACCTGGAAAAACCCACATATTGCTTGTGGATGCATACATATGTATTGGAAGCTTGACAACAAACAGTTGAAGGAGAAACACCCAGTGGATGAGAGACGAACCACAGGAGAGGAGGGATGACAGGGCTTAGAGGCAGCTATATGGGGGCCCCAGCAATTCCTATATGGGGGCCCCAGCAATTCCATGATGCTTTATTCCTTAAAAAAAAGAAAAACAACAGAGAGATTTGAGGAAATGCAACATTCAGCTAAGATGTGATAATGCTGTCTGGGGAACACGGGCATTTATTGCGTTGTTCTTTTTGTGTGTGTTTGAAATAGTGTGAATAACACTGTTTCCAAGAAAGACATGTCCTTCCTATGTGATGCGTGTGGGGAACAATAGGGGTGAGGTAGAGGACTTGAGGGGTGTGTGGGGGAGGTCACAGGGGCAGAGCTGGGGCTGCTGTGGCAGATTGGGCCCTTAGGCAGCTGCCTCTGAGATGGAGGACTCGGGAATCCTGACTTTGTTCTACTGACAACTGTTCATCTTTAACAAGCCTGGCTGTTACACCTAGATTTTTTTGTTTTCTTTTGTTTTGTTTTTGAGACAGGGTCTCACTCTGTCACCCAGGCTGGAGCACAGTGCTGCCATCACGGCTTACTGCAGCCTCAACCTCTCAGTCTCAGGTGATCCTCCCACCTCAGCCTCCTAAGTAGCTGGGACTACAGGCATGCGCCACCGTGCCTGGCTCTTATTATTATTTTTTTTTTGGAGAGATGGGGTCCCCCTGTGTTGCTCAGGCTGGTCTTGAACTCCTGGGCTCAAGTGGTCCTCCTGCCTCAGCCTCCCAAAGTGCTGGGATTATAGGTGTGAGACACCATGCCTGGTTTTAGTAGCATTTAAAAATGTTTAATTTGAAAACACGTCCAAACCTATGGAAAAGTCACAGGAACAGAACAGCGAACAGCCACACACAGACCCTTCTCCTAGGTCCCTTGCTTGTTAACATACGCGTTCACCAGAGTGTCTTCCAAGGTCCTTTCAGGAAGCCTCTCAACCATAGTAAGTTGCCGGCAGCGTGATATTTATCCTTAACTATTTCAGCACGTGTCCCCTATGAACCGAGGCATCTTCTTCTATAATCACAATAAGGTGATTGAGTTCAGGAAGCTCAATATTGATTCAACACTATTATCTAAATAATCTACACTTCACTGTTCAATACTAGGCCATCCAGCAACATTTTCTATAATTCAGGCTCCAATCTAGGATCCTTCACTGTATTTCAGAATCATATTAAATATCTTTTCTTTTTTGCTGAGATGGGGTCTTGCTATGTACGCCGTTTGGGCTGTTCTTGAACCCCTGGCCTCAAACCATTTTCCCAAAGTGCTGGGATTACAGGCTTGAGCCAGTGTGCCTGGCCTAAATATCTTTTTAAAGGAACAGTAGTTCGTGTTTTTTTGAGATTTCTTCATGTTTTCCAGATTTAACTCATGTGAACTCTCTGCTTGGAAACAAAAGCTTTTCCCAACCCAGCGTTAGCTTGGACCAATGCTGGGGGCGCCCAAGCCCAGAGTCCTCCCTTGTCTCTAGCCACCCTCTTCCATCTGCACCCCAGGGAGCCTCTGCCTCGCTCAGGACACTAACGGTGATTTGGGGGGAGGTGGCACGTGGCCTTCTGGTTCTCAGGCCCAGCTTTCTCCACATGCAGCTGCTCAAAGCGCAAACTCTCTGTTGCTAGGAGCTCTGGACTCACCAGGGAGTTGCAGCTAAGCTGGCTGTTGCACAAATACAAAAATATTACAATTAATGGAAAAATATTTGTACCATATATAGCAGTTTAATGGCCATATTCTTAAGACCCCCCAAAAAATTACAAAGCAGCAAAAACAAAATTAACCCCACTTTTAAAAAATGGGCAAAACACTTGAGCTAGCAGTTTACAAAGAACCATAAATGGCCCATAAATAGTCACTCGTTCCAGTAGGAACTAAAGAAATGCAAACGAAGTCAACAAAGAGATCAGTTTTTAGGTCTCATTTGAAAGGATGGCGTTGGTCCCCAATGTTGGTGAGACTGCAGGGAAACAAGCCTTATCCCAACCTGCTGGTGGGATTTCAAATGTGTATCTTCCTAGGGGGTCAGATTTGGCAGTCTCTATCAGGGCTTTCCAATCATTTAGTCTCTACAAATGTACCTTTAGGAAATAATTCTAGATGTGTTCAAAGAGCTTCACGAATGTTCACTGTCTGCTACTTATAATAGTGAACAATTGAGTTCAACCTAAAGGTCCAATAAAAGGGGATCACTTAAATAAATGGTGACCCTTCCACACAATGAAACACTTTGTACATTTACACAATGATAGAAAAATGTTTACTAATTAAGAGAGTGTTCACAATTTATATTGTTCAGTAAAAAGGGAGATTAAATACAAAACCGTATGTATAGTATAATTCATTTTGGTAAGAAACAAGAAATTTCTTACCAAAGAAGAAATACTTAAATAGAATGTCCATAAACCTTAACAGTGGTTATCTTTTCTTTGAAATAGGGTCTACATTACCCATTTTTGGCTGGTTTTGAACTCCTGGGCTCAAGTTAGCCTTCTGCCTCAGCCTCCCAAAATGCTGGGATTACTGGCGTGAGCCACTGGGCCTGGCCTTTAACAAACTTTTTTTTTTTTTTAAAGGGGTAATAAAGGTTGTTTTTCCACTTTCTTTGGAAACTTCCAGTCTTTTTCAAAATTAGGAAAGGATCTGGTTGTACAGTGGATAGTGTAAATTCTACCAGGGAGGTACACCAGATTACTAAGTGAGAGGCTGACACATAAGCCTAGAACGGTCTCCTTGCACATCTCACTGAGGGTTGTGGCCTATGTTCTAAGTCCAACAAAAAGGAAACTCATCTGCTCAGCAGAGTATTCATTGCATGATAAATTGAATGTAGCCACTGAAAATATTCATGCAAATATCTTCATTAGTAAAATCATGCAATTAACCTGAAATATGTGCTAAATGAAGCAGCCAAATTGTTGCATATTTTCCCAGCTCTTAATTATAATTTTGGTAATCAATTTTTCTCCTGATTACCAAAAAGAAAAAAAAAAAAGACCCTTCAACGTATGCATGATCCGAGGATGAGCTGGAACGTGAGATAAAACCCTGAATCGTTATAGCAAAGGAGGCCATTAACCTTTCCTGTGTTTTTGTTCATTGCAAGCATTTCCTGCTAATGCTCATTGCGGAAGAAGATTGGATTTTAACAAGAGCTTTTTGGATCAAGCATCAGCCCTTCCTGAACTCTACGTTTTGCAAGCGCCACCGTCATTAAAGGTTACCAGCACTTCCATTATCATCTTCCCAGCGTTTATTTCTTAAATGGCTTTTGACTACAGTGTAAAAATTTTCCTTAAGTGAAAACTGGCATCCAATCTCTCGCAAGCCCAGACATGCAGATGGCCAAAAATGCCACAGGGCCACATTAAAAAAAAAAAAAAAAAGCAGGGTGGAGGACAATGAGTCCTAATAGACAGATCCCCTGTGCTCTCTGAATTCTTGTTTTCCCATTTACTGAGCAGTTAGTGGATTTGGAGGTGGGAAGAGCCTCACCCTATAGCATTTCACAAGGTACATTAGGAGGAGCTGCTGAGCCATGGGGTAGCTCAATTTCTACATCTGTAAAACGAAATGAAGCACGTGAGGATTGAGATGAGTAAAGTCTCTAGCATATGTAAAAGACAAAATATATTTGCCAATATTTAAGTTGCGACATTTTAACTTCCCCTTTTTAACAGGTCCTCCATGAAGCAGTCTACCTCCTCAGGCTAAACCGGGAAGGTGTCACCCTTGGGACAGAGTGGGTACTTGATCTCTCTAGTAAGATGTTGTTTTTCACCACTTGACCTTAGAGATCCTCCCAAGATGCAGAAATGCTTAGTTCTCAGTCATGAGAGTAGAGCTGGGAGGAACACAAACATATTAGACAAAGAAAAGCCAGGAAGGCAGGGCCCGGGCATACAGGTTGCACACTGTGCAAGGATCTCATGTAAGGGGCACCTTTCATTCATGGCAGAGACACTGTAGATTTATAGATTTGTCCTGACAGTTTTCTAGATACAAAATAAATAGAGCAATTTTTCTTCCAGATAGAAGTAAAGTGTCCTGAGGAAGGAGGTGCCTGTTTCTAAATTGCACCAAGATGCTCATAGATTAACTGCAGCCTGGGGAAGCCCTCTGCTCATGGCTCCCAAAGTTTGTGGGGTGAACAGACCTGGAGGGAGCAGAGGGGAAGAGTGGATGTGTGGGTCTTGCTAGGTCTCTTGGAGAAGACCCCTGGTAGGGAGTTGGGAGGGAGCCTGAGGGGGAGGGCTTCTTTTCTGGTTCCTGTTTAGTTCTCTGCTATCCTGACTGCACTGATACGGAATTTAAGAAGAAATTATTGGCTGGGCACGGTGGCTCACACCCATAATCCCAGAATTTTGGGAGGCGGAGGTGGGCGGATCACTTGAGGTCAGGAGTTCGAGACCAGCCCGGTCAACGTAGTGAAACCCTGTCTCTACTAAAAATACAAAAATTAGCCGGGTGTGGTGGCGGGCACATGTAATCCCAGCTATTCGGGAGGCAGAGGCAGGAGAATTGCTTGAACTGGGGAGGTGGAAGTTGCAGTGAGTTGAGATCATGCCACTGCATTCCAGCCTGGGTGACAGAGTGAGATTCCACCAAAAAAAAAAAAAAAAAAAAAAATTATTTAGGCAGATACTAAGGAAGGGTAAGGATGTCCTTAGTAAGGTTTTTCTTTTAATTAAAAGCAGCAGCCCCCAAATCATTTCTTTTCTAACAAACAGCAGCTTATAAAATCGAGCTGCACACATAGAAAGGCAGGCTAGAACCTGGCATGGTGCATGCCGGTAGCTGTGCCAGTAGGAAAGGGGTTACCTGGGTCTACGCATGTCCAACATGGCGGCTCCGTCTTCCCTTCCCTTTGCCAGCCAAGTGTACAGTAAGGAGCAGACAATATGGCACCCACCAAGTGGAAAGCCAATTTGCTTAATAAGATTAGAGTGGGATGGGCAGCTTCCCCAAATGCTGTGTAAACATCACACCTGGTCCAACCAATCTGTGGGCCCTCTGTAAATCAGACACCCCCTCCTCAAGCCTGTCTATAAAATCTGCTGCATTCTGCTGCAGGCCAGAAGTCCCATTCTGGTGCCCTTCTCTTTTGCAAGGGAGAGAGCTGTTCTCCTTTCTCTTTCTTTTGCCTATTAAACCTCCACTCTTTGTTGTTGTTGTTGTTGTTGAGACAGAGTCTCGCTCTGTCGCCCAGGGTGGAGTGCAGCGGTGCCATCTCGGCTCACTGCAACCTCCGCCTCCTGGGTTCAAGTGATTCTTGTGCCTCAGCCTCCCGAGTAGCTGGGATTACAGGTGTGCACCACCACACCTGGCAAATTTTTGTATTTTTAGTAGAGTTGGGGTTTCACCATGTTGGCCAGGCTGGTCTCAAACTCCTGACCTCAAGTGATCCGCCTGCCTCGGCCTCCCAAAGTGCTGGGATTACAGCTGTGAGCTACCATGCCCGGCCTGAACCTCCTTGTGTGTGTCCATGTCCTTAATTTTCTTGGCATGAGGCAAGGATACTCAGGGATTACCCCAGACAAGGACACCGCTTCAGCATCAGGGAGAAGTCAGTAATGGAGTGAGACTAGGAGGGGAGGCCTCGCATATCCAGCAGGCCCCTGGCAGGAAACCGATGGCTCATACCAACTGGGAACTTGACCGTGCGTGGGCAGAGCAAGAGAAGGCTGCAGGGGGCCACAGGGCCTAGGGCCAGCAAAGGCAGGAGCCACTGCTGCTCCCAGGCCTGAGAGTGGCGGGTGGTGCTGGGCAGACAGGCTCCCGATAGGTGCTGGGCCCTGGGGAGAGGACCCAACAGTGGGGGAATCAGAAAATGAGGACAGAACCGAAGGCCCTGTTCTCCCTCCTTTTTGCCTTCAGCTGGTGCTGACCATTGGCCAAACTCAACTGGAAGCCACAGGCAGAAGTGTCTGGGCACCGGGCTCGGGGACAGGGGAGGACACTTCTCTGAAGGAGGCAGGGATTACTCGGCGTACCTGATCCTGGCTTCACTGGTCTCCTCTTGGTTCCCAGGTAGAAAGGGTCAAGGTGACCCTTAGGCAGAGGCTGGGTATAGGCTGGTCTGGGACAGGGAAGCAAATGGAGGACGTGGTGGAGACTCACAAGAGACTTCAGTTTGGAGAGGGCTGAGGTGAGACTGAGGCAGCCATGGGGTCTCTTGGGTCCCAAACAAACCCATCTCGGGAGCTTACCCCAGCCCCCAGTTCACACGATGGAGGCCCACGGGGCTCTCGGCACCGCATCATGGTCACCGCCTGGACCTGAGAAGTGCTTCCCTCTGCTGTCAGGGGTACCATGGGGGCCCCTGGTCTCCCAAACACCCAGACCGCATCTCAGGGAGGGGTGGGCAAGCAGAGACGGAACTGAGAGAGGCTGAGCACGGCCAGCGGCCAGCTGTGTGTGACCTGATTCAGCAGCTGGGACAAAAGGCAGTTTGTTCCATGATCCCTGAGACGGGGCCTTGGGAGAGACCAGATGAATTCTACAGAATATGAGGAAGTGGGTGGTCAGGTACAGAAATCTGAATCCCACTATATATCTATGTCTTAAATATATGTATTTTTTGATCCCATTTGTGTGTGTATGCGCGTGCACTCACACACGAGAGTGAAAGGGAGAGAGAGAGAGACAGACAATTAAGGCAATCCCTTCTCTAGTATTCAATCCCAGAAACTTAGATGATTATGGTACCCTATTAAAATGGAGTATCCTAGAACCATGAAAAATCCCATTTCTCAAAAATATTACAGACCAATAGCACTTGTAATGATAGATGCAGAAGTCCTTCATAAAATTTTACCAACCAGCATAAAACAACTCATTAAAGAAAAGTCACCAAGGCCAAATAAGCTTTGTTCTTAAGGTAATTTATCGTGGAATAAGAGAAAATATTTAAAGGCTTTAATAATTGAAACAGACAATTTTAAAACATGATTCAACACTCTGTTTTCATAAAATAGTGGAAAAATAGTAAAGGGAGTTTTCCCTTAACACGATGAGGTGTTGCATTTGAAATTCAAATCCAATAGTCATTTACAGAGGTGCAGGGTTCTGTGCTGGGCACTGCACCACGGCATGACCCTGCTTCCCCCTGACCCTGGAGTGATGTACAAAATCCCACTCTGTTTGGCCCAGCACTGTCTCTTCGGTCTCTCCTCCTCCCCTTTTCCCTCCTACTCATGCATCGCGGCATGGCAGGCCTTCCTGCTGCTACTGGTGCATACCAGCCTCACCTCTGTGGCTGCGTCTTTGCATGTGCGGTTCCTCTCTTTAGAACAGCTTCCCCTTGGCCAGATAGCTCCATGACTGGCCCCTCCCTCCTCCCTCCTTCCTCCTTTCCTTTCCTTCTTTTGGTGGAGTTTTGCCCTTGTCGCCCAGGCTGAAGTGCAGTGGCGCAATCTCGGCTCACTGCAACCTCCGCCTCCCAGGTTCAAGCGATTCTCCTGCCTCAGACTTCCAACTAGCTGGGATTACAGGCAGGCACCACCACGCCCAGCTAATTTTGTATTATTAGTAGAGATGGTATTTCTCCATGTTGGTCAGGCTGGTCTCAAATTCCCGACCTCAGGTGATCCGCCCACCTCGGCCTCCCAAAGTGCTGGGATTACAGGCGTGAGCCACCGCGCCCAGCCTGGTTCCCCCATTTCTTTGAGGACTCAGCTTAAATGTCACTGTCTTGCTCAGGACTTTCTTGAGCAACCTATGCTAAAAAAAAAGCATGCAAAGTCTACCCAGCTCCCTCCCAGTGCTCCTCACCTCCCCTCCCTACCAGTCCTCGATGTCACCTGTCATAACCTACAGACCATATAGGGACTCGTTTCTTTATTGTCTGTCTCCCGCTGCCAGAACACGAGGGCCACCAGGCTGGGGACTTTGCCTTTTTCACAGCCGTTTCCCGGGGCCCAGAACAATGCCAGGCACTGCAGTTGCTCAGGGAGTGTCAGTGACATGAGTGAATGAGCAGCTGCCCCCATGGGAGAAGAGGTAATACCTGCAACTTCTCCATTTCAAACCCTTTTGCTTAGGACTTCTGCATACTTGCACTTAAAACACCTTTATTTTTGAAAAGGCAAAACATGCCCATGGTATAAAATTCAAAAAGGCCCTAAGACTTAAGAGTACACAGTAAATATAAACACTAAGCGCCGCCTCATGCAGGCACTTAAAGCCTCTTCCCCTTGCCAGAGTCTGATAGATAGAAAAGGGAAGCTCTTGCATAATTTTCATTTTTTCCACAAGTGAGATTGAGCTTCTCATCTATTTAAGACTAGTGAGTGTTTGTTTTTGTTTTACTGGGGACTGTCTGTTGATAGCCTTGCTTATTTTTCTGCGCAGTTGTCAGTCTGTCTTATTGATTCTGCAGGGTAGGAAAAAGAATTTTCTCTCTGTCCTTCATAATTCTTAGCCGGGACTCCCTATAACAAAAGACAGATGCACAAGAGAAAACAAACAGAAATTTAAAAACATTTATCCCTCCTGTATACGTGGGAGATGACCCAAAGAAACGAGTCGATCTTAAAAAAAAAAGAGTATAAACTTCAGGCTTAAATATCATTGTTTGCTGAAACAAAGTAAGGAGGGTGGGGAAAGGCCCCTTTAAGGTGAGAAGGCCAGGACAAGCCCTGGAAAGCAGAAGCGAGCTTGCGCAGATTTAAGTTGAAGGCTTCTCCGCTGATTCAGAGTCTTAGAGGGAGACATCCTTTCAAATGGAGATTTCCTTTACAAATACCAATTTCTCTTACAAAGGATAATTTTTCAGATCTTTTATGTCTGCAGTTTCTCAAAATAACCAGGTCAAAATAATCCTTATGACAAAGAGGCATATTTGGGTGGCCTATGGCGGTCTCCTTGATTCATATTTTGGGGTGGTGTGTCCTGAGCCTTATCAATTCATACATGGGAGCACTCTTCATATTGAGGAAATCAGGCCTTTTTCACAGTTTGTCATGTTACTGTGTTTATGGTATACGTTTCTGGGCAGAACAGCTTCTTTTTTTTTTTTTTTTTTTTTTTGAGACAGAGTCTTGTTCTGTTGCCCAGGTGGTGCGATCTCAGCTGACTGCAACCTCTGCCCCCACCCGGGTTCAAGTGATTCTCCTGCCTCAGCCTACTGAGTAGCTGGGACTACAGGTGCATGCCACCACACTCGACTAATTTTTGTTTTTTTTTTTTTAGTAGAGACAGGGTTTCACCATATTGGTCAGGCTGGTCTCAAACTCCTGATCTCAAGTGATCCACCCGCCTGGGCCTCCCAAAGTGTTGGGATTACAGGTGTGAGCCACTGCGCCCAGCCAAACAGCTTATTTTTACATCAATCTTGTCTTTTATGGCCTCTGTCAAAAATAAAGTTGTAAGCCTTCCGATCAACTGGATAGACCCTTCCTGTACGCCAAGGGCATTCTAAAGTAAACCTGAAACACTGGTTCAGGTCATGATGGGAATGGGTTGTTAGACATGTGTCACTATACCTTCGTCTCCTTGGGATTCAGGTACAGCTGACCAGCATTAACATTAGAACAGAGACCTTAAGACGGACAGAACAGATGCTTTCAGTCTGACGAGAAACATTTACATGTGGAGCTGAGGCTCTTGCCTGTAATCCCAGCACTTTGGGAGGCTGAGGCGGGAGGATCACTTGAATCAAGGAGTTTAGGATCATCCTGGGCAACATAGTGAGATCTGGTCTCCACAAAAAAATAAAATAAAATAAAATAAAATTAGCCAGGATAGTGGTGCATGTCTGTGTTCTCAGCTACTCGGGAGGCTGAGGTGGGAGGATCACTTGCGCCCAGGAGGTCAAGGCTGCAGTGAGTTATGTTTGAGCCACTGCACTCGAGCCTGGACGACGGAGTGAGACTCTGAAACCTACTACCTGAGGGCTTCATCCACATAATAAGAACCTTGGTCTCCACAACCTTTTTTTTTTTCTTTTTTCACTCTTGTTGCCCAAGCTGGAGTACAATGGCGCGATCTTGGCTCACTGCAGCCTCCGTCTCTCCTAGGTTCAAGCGATTCTCCTGCCTCAGCCTCCCAAGTAGCTGGGATTACAGGCATGCGCCGCTATGCCCGGCTAATTTTGTATTTTTAGTAGAGACAGGGTTTCTCCATGTTGGCCAGGCAGGTCTCAAAGTCCTGACCTCAAGTGATCTGCCTGCCTTGGTCTCCCAAAGTGTTGGGATTACAGGCATGAACCACTGCGCCCAGCCCCCAAAATAAAATTCTAAGCCCTCTGACTGACTGAATGGATCCCTCCTCTCAGCCAAGGGGATTCCAAAGTAAACCTGAAAAACTAGTTCAGGCCATGATGGGAAGCAGGGGTTGGACATGCCTTTTTATGCCCTCCTTCCTTTGGAATTCAGGCACAATGGACCAGCATTAACATTAAAACAGAGATTGTAAGGCTGATCAAACAGACTCTTTGTAGCCAGAAGATACCAAATTCCAACCTGACTCTCGTATAGCATCACATGACAGATGGCAGGCCCTGAAAGAAACGGAAATATTTTACCTCAAAATATATTTTTTGAGATATTCTGAAATGGCCCTGTAAAGTGGTCTTTACATTCTCTAGAGAATTCCCCTCCCTTTCCAGGACTTTTCCTGATTCAGGAGAGATTAACTAAGAGGCTAGCACCTTCTTAGGTCTGATAAGAGCCATTTAACATCTATTCTCTCTGAAGCCTGCTACCTGGAGTCTTCATCTACATAATAAGAACCTTGGTCTCCACAACCCCTTATCTTAACCCAGTCACTCTTTTCTACTGATTTCAGGTCTTTAGCTAATAACTCTTTCAACCAATTGCCAATCAGAAAATCTTTGAATCCACCTATGACGTGGAACCCACTCTCCCACCCCCAGGTCTTTGAGCTGTCCCGCCTTTCTGGATGGAACCAATGTATACATGCATTGATTGATGTCTGCCTGTAATTCCTGTCCCCCTAAAATGTATAAAATCAAGTTGTCGCCCAACTACCTTGGGCACATGTTCTTACGACCTCTTGAGACTGTGTCTCAGGCCCTGGTCACTCATATTGGGCTCAGAATAAACCTCTTTAAATATTTTACAGAGTTTGGCTCTTTTTGTTGACAACTTTATAGTATTCATAAAACTATATATGGTATTTTTAAAAATTGAACAATGTATAAAAGTGCAAAGAATAATAATGCTAATGGAAAGACACTCGCAATCTGCTTCCCAGAAATAGCCATTATTATCAGTCTTTGGTCTCTGCTACATGGATAAAAAGACAAATAAAAAGACATTAGTTGAAAACGGGGAATTTTACTGTAGATGCTACTTTTAAAGAGAAAACATTTGATTTTACTTAGATTTGACAGTAGAAGAATCTGAAGTTAAACTAAAGAAATTGCTGACCTTTGGATAAACACAAACACAGACACCCACACAGAAACACACACACACACACACACAGACACACACACAAAGGACACAGGAGCACACACACACACTCAAGAGAAATGAGTCCTCTGTTCCTTTAAAGTTAAGAAAAATGTTTAGAAAAATCATAGAGGCTGAAGTCATTACCTTTTTCTTAAACTCCATGTTTTAACTTCGGATGGTATTTGTTGACTCTCTGGCATGAACAATGAAAAAAAAGTGCCCCATTTATTTTTTCTTCATATTCCTCTCCCTATCAGCCCCAGGAAATCATTTTTTAAAAAACTTGGTTTTATGGCAGTTGGTTAACAAATGTTATGCCATATAAATCCTCAAAACTTAACTATTGGCTGAATTTAAAATATTGAAAATCTGGGAGTAAAGCAAATTAGATAATTACAATTGTGACACTTGAATTAACTAATCTGTTTTGTCTTCTCAACTCTGTTTTAAAGCTGAAATCTAAGAAGACATGAACACAATCCATCGGCTTTGAAGATTCTGTGCCTTCTAGTTCTGCCTAAGAATAAGAAGAACTTAATACAAATGGAAAATTAAGATTTCTGTTATTTTATTTATTTATTTTTTTGAGATGGAGTTTTGCTTTTGTTGCTCAGGCGGGACTGCAATGACGTGATCTCGGCTCAACGCAACTCCTCCTCCCCGGTTCAAGTGATTTTCCTGCCTCAGCCTCCCGAGTAGCTGGGATTACATGTGCCACCACACCCAGCTAATTTTGTATTTTTAGTAGAGATGGGGTTTCTCCATGTTGGTCAGGCTGGTCTCGAACTCCCGACCTCAGGTGATCTGCCCGCCTCGGCCTCCCAAAGAGCTGGAATTACAGGCGTGAGCCACCATGCCTGGCCAAGATTTCGGTTATACATGATAAAGATAAACTAAAGAATTCCATAGAGTTCAAATTATTGTCAGTGTTCCCAAATGGCATTTTTCATCTGTGTTTGAGGGAAGGAGAAATATCAACCTTACTAATAACTAAGACAACCAATACAAGTGTAGTTTCCTGAAATGTATTAATGGACATTTTAGTTTTTAAAGCAGTCAGGGGACCTGGATCTGAAATCTGGACATTCTTTTACTCTCCATAGAAAAGACACCCCAAGTAGTTCCAATGCGATTAGACGATTATGGCTGATCACATTTCCCTTTCTAAGTACACAGTCTATGAAATCAGCAAAAAAAGAGATCACGGTTGTTGTAACTCGATCCTCCTACTCTGCGGCATTAATCTTTCCAACGGAATAAGACAGTTGCATCTCTTTCTTCCTCCTTCTCTCCTTTTTTTCCTTTCTTTCTCCCTCTCTCCCTTCCTTTCTTCTTTCTTACCTTCCTCCCTCCCTCCCCTTCCTCCCTCCTTCCTTCCTTTTTCCCTTTCTCTTTTCTTCCCCTCCTCTCTCTCTTCCCTCCCTCTCTCTCTTCCCTCCTTTTCTTTCCTTTTCCTTCCTTCTTTTCTTTCTCCCTCTCCCCCACTGCATCATGCACTTATTCATTTATTCAACAAATATTCATTGAGCATCTACTAGCACCAGCCCTGTATCCTCCATCCTAGAGGATACAATGGTAAATTTATTGGTTATTCTGTGCTGGCTAACAAGCCACCCCAATACTTAGTATTTAAACTTAGTGTGAAATGGCAATGATATTGCTTTACTCATGATTCTGTGGGTTGGCTGGATAATTCTTCTGCTGGCCTCATCTAGGCTTGCTCACCTGGATGTATCCGGCCAGAGGGTCAACTGGGCTGGAAGTTTTAATATAACTCACTAGTATATGAGTCTCTTGGTCCTGGGTATTGGTGGCGTGCCTCAGTTCTCCACCAGGTGGGAGTTAGCTTAGACTAGCTCCCTTAGATGGCAGGAACTAGGACTCCACCTTCGGATGGGAAAAGTGGCAAAATCACAATGCAGAGGGACGTGTATATAAGGATGAGAGGAATCTGGAGCAATGTGGCCATGTTTTGCATTTCACCGTAGCAAATGAGATGGATGGGGTTCCTACCCTCATGTAGCTTGCAGTCTAGTAACAACAGTCAGTAATGACAGTTCATACTTGCAGAGCACCCACAATACAATGTGCCAGGCACTGTTCTAAATCATTTATAAGCATTAAGATATTTCATCCTCACAACAACCTTATAACATCATAGTATGAGCCACAGGCGACCTGCCTTATTCCAGGATTGTTAGGGGCTCTTCTCCACGGAAACGATGTCCAGACTCTCCCTTGAGGGATAAAAAAGCTATCAAGGGAAAAGGGGAAGGGTGGGGAGAAGAAAAAGGGTGCCATGGGGAAAATCACGGAAATGTAAGATTTCGTTTGAGAATTGCCGCTGGCTACAGTCGAGTGAAATCAAGAGCAAGAAAAGAAAGCTGCCAAGTTGGACAACAAAAAAGGACATTCACCCCATCCTAAGACAATTACTCAGAGATTTTGAAAATAAAGTTTATTGCTTAAAACTCCATGAATGAAATTAGATAGGCAGATAACAAATGGGAAAAATTATTAACAACATATATTGGTTCAACCATGTATTCATTCAATTACTGAGCACCCAAGAGATTCTGCAGTTCCAGACCCTTTTCCAAGCACCTACCTAAATATACGCCCCAATAGATAATTACCTAGGAGAGTATTCTCTAACATGGGTTTGAGGTTGATTCACTTTTTACCACATTTTTCTCTCAACAGCATATCTTAATAATCATCAGATAGGTCTAGCTCTTTCTTTTTGAATGGATATATGCTACTGCTCATTTAAATCTCAATGGATTTTAGGTTGTTTATAATTTTATCCTATTGCAACCACTGCAACCAGGGGCACCTCAGTTATTGCTTCTTGGCACATGAAGTATTTCTATAATCTAGAGGCAAAATTATTGCAACAAATGATATGTGCATTCTAAACATTTTAGTAGCTATTGCTATGACACCTTCCAATAAGGCTGAACTAATTTGCATCTTATCAGCATATTATGAGAGTACCCATCCCTTTGCCCATCATTAAATTTTTAACAATCCAAAGGGCAAAAAAAAAAAAAAAAAAAATTCCCCACAAACCAACAACACAACAACAAAAACAACAACAAAAGACCCATTTTATCGCTATTGAGTTAGTCTGAATTTGAACTGTCCTAATTTCCAGAGCAGTCCTTACCAGTTTTCAAGTGGACACATTTATGAGACACCACGCATATTGCAGGAATATTTTGCTTCAGGAAATTGCCCAGTTTAAGTTTGTGGATATACTGAGGGTTAAATTGCCTCCAAATGAAGTTTAAGGTACATAGCAAAATGTATGGCTCCAAAGGATATCAAAGTAGCAGCTCAGAGCAATTTCAAAGAACGTACGAGGCTCCTATCAGAATAAGAGCATAGATGAACAGCGGATCCATGATTTGCCGAGGGCTTATTCATTACAGAGTTATTTTGGGGGTAATAATACAAATAGGCATGCCCCCTTTCCTTCTGGGTGGAATAAACATGATAATGTTCTCTACAAGAAAAGATGGCAATATCCATGTTGATAAATGTATGCTTTATCATTTCAGAAGTTGTTTATGGAAAGAATGACTCAGCAGGAAACGCAGATGAGAAACCACAGGAAATCTGAACTGGGCTTTTGACTGGAGCTGGTTAAATAAAAGCCATTATGTTTTACTTTATACCTAGACATTTGTATTTTAAATTTAATCACATTGAAGTCTTAAGTGGCATCATTTTATTACACCTAAAATTGATGAATACAATGTCTTTTTGTTTTTTTCCCATTAAAAATTACTCCAAATTGGGCCGAAATGTTTCTAAGTGCTCAGAACTGGAACATTGGGTGAAGTCATGGGAGGGGATAGAAAATATCCTCGGTAAATTATTAGGTCCTTCTTCTTATGGAATTTCATATTATGTTACTAACAGGGAATGCTGACACCCCTCTTTGAAGACTCACATTTATAGTAGAACGGTATTTCCTGTGGTGGTTTTGGGATGTGATTACTAAGAAATTGAATTTAGGAAAACAACCATGTAGTATAATCATATAAAAACTTGATTTCTTGCACCAAGCTAGCCAATCCATCAAAAAAAAACAAAAAGCAAAAAACAAAAAGCAAAAACAAAAACTAGAAAACGACAAACAAACAAACAAAAACTATTGATTCTACCTCTTGAATGCACATTAGTTAATCCGGTCCTCCCAAAGTCTACTGCCTGTCCAAGGCACCTCAGTGATGTCACGCCTGGAGCCCTGCAGAGGCTTCCCATGGGTCTTTGGGAATCCCCTCTACCTCTGGGGTGGACATGGTTTGGTGCCTGTCCGGCAACCAACACCCAAATCCTACTTGATAAGAACACCCAAAGACTCAAGGGAAAGTGACCACTTTTCCAACCCAGGGATAGATTTTGATTACTCTAAGCCAGTTAGGGCAGCCCCATTTTCCTTGCAGTGGCTGGTTTGGAACAAGCAAATGAATTACAGAGGGGTTATAAACCCACAAATCTTACTATGTTATGTCTCCGCTTAAAAACCTCTCAATGGCTTCTTGAGTCTTTTAAAAGAAGAATCTTAATAAGGTCTTTTGTCGTCTGTCAAAGTGCTCTAGCTTTTCCTTAAGGCCTCCTCCCCATGTCTGGCCTCCAGCACAGAGGTCTTCTCTGAGTTGCTGGAAGCTCTGAAAGTGGTTGTTCTAAGAGCCTGCACACAAAGTGATCACTTTGTTCCCTAGACTATAGCAAGTGTTAAAATAATGATAATAATAATAGCCACTTTGCTTCAGTCTTATTTCCACTTTCTTTGTTCAGACAACTTTTTCAGCTCCTTGGTAAAATCTTCCTATGCTCCCTTCTTCTGAGACATGGGAATCTTCCCTTTTATAGGTTTTCAAAACACCCTATATTTTCTCATACCCCTTATGTATTAGTCCATTTTCCCACTGCTATAAAGAAATGCCTGAGACTGGGTAATTTATAAAGGTAAGAGGTTTAACTGACAGTTCCTCATGGCTGGGGAGGCCTCAGGAAACTTACAACCATGGCCAAAGGGGAAACAAGTACCTTCTTCAAATGGCAGCAGGAGAGACAGAGAAAGCCCGGGGGAAACTGCCACCTTTAAACCATCAGATCTCCTGAGAACTCCCTCACTATAACGAGAACAGCACGGGGGAAACTGCCCCCATGATCCAATCACCTCCCACCAGGTTCCCCCCTTGACACGTGGGGATCACAGTTTGAGATGACATTTGGGTGGGGTCACAGACCCAAACAATACCACCTTACCACAGTTTCTCAGACTTTCCTTGTTTTTGATGACCTTGGTAGTTTTGAGGCATACTGGTTGGGTATTTTGTAGAATGTTCTTTGTTGGGCTTTGTTTGATGATTTTCCTCATAAGACTGGGGTTGTGAGTTTTGGGGTCAAAGACTTTACAGAGGTAAAATGTCCTTCTTATCACATTATATCAAGGGTGCCTCCAA
Organism: Homo sapiens; assembly: GCF_000001405.40. NCBI lineage: Eukaryota > Metazoa > Chordata > Mammalia > Primates > Hominidae > Homo > Homo sapiens. The sequence continues at coordinate 83,834,257 of NC_000016.10, read as the reverse complement.
TGAATGGAATGTCATTGCTGATGTTGTCCTTGGTCACCTGGCCAGGGTCATGTTTGCCATGTTATTCCACTTTAAAGTTACCCTTTTAGGCCCCAAGCGGTGACTCACACCTGTAATCTCAGCACATTTGGAGGCTAAAGCAGGAGGACTGCTTGAGGCCAGTAGTTGGAGACTAGTCTGGGCAACATAGTGAGACCCTGACTCTACGAATATAAAAATTATGCACACCAGGCTTGGTGGTGTGCATCTGCAGTCCTAGCTACTCAGGAGGGTGAGGCAGGAGGATCACTTGGGCCTGGGAGGTGAGGCTACAGAGAGGCATGATCATGCCATTGCACTCCAGTCTGGGTGATGGGGCAAGACCCTGTCTCAAAAATAAATAAAGTGACTTTTTGTCCCCTCTTTGGAAGGAAGTCACTGCATGCAGCCCACATCTAAGCAGAAGGGAATTATGCTCCTTTCACAGTGTGGTTTTCAGGAAGCTCGGGCAGAGCTGTCAGGGAGTCTATGAGTCAGGGTCCCCCAGCAGAGGAGTCCTGCATCCCCCAGGAAGGGGCCTGGCTCAATGTTTCTGTCATGCCCAGTCCCTGGCTGGGAGCAGCTTATGGCAAGCATGGCCTTGCTGCAAATGTGGCAATGGATTTCAGGATTCAGCAGCTGGGGCTGTGGGGCTGTCACCCTGCCTGTAGTCAGAGGCCTGCAAGACATTTTCTCATGATGGCCTGGGCAGTAGGCAGCAGCTGCGTGTAGCAATCCCATTGATAGTCCCAGCTGAGGTCCCAGCCAACCTCTAGCATCACCTACCAGCCAAGTGAGAGGCAGGGCCTGCAGCCTTCCAGCCCTGGAGCAGGGACACGCACTTTGTCCCTTGGAGTGGGGGCATGCACTTCCTGCTTTGCCCTACACAAATCTCCTGATGCAGGGCAGGCAGTCCCAAACTGGGGCTTAGCCTGGGAGGGTTCCTTGGCTCCACTCAGGAAAGAATTTAAGAGCGAGCTCGTGGTGGAAGAAAACAGCTTTATTGAGGCAGCAGTATTACAGCTCTGTGGCTGGTCCTCCAGAACAGGGCTACCCTATAGGCAGTATGCTAAGAGTAGCAGCTCAGGGACTCAGTCTGAGGTCTGCAGTCATATTGATACCCAGTGATATGGTTTGGCTGTGTCCCCACCCAAATCTCATCTTGAATTCCCATATGTTGTGGGAGGGACTCACTGGGAGGTAATTGAAACATGGGGGAAGGTTTTTCCCACGTTGTTCTCATGACAGTAAGACTCACTAGATCTTATGGTTATTTTAAGTGGGAGTTTCCCTGCACAAGCTCTCTTTGCCTGCTGCCATCCACGTAAGATGTGACTTGCTCCTCCTTGCCTTCCACCATGATCGTGAGGCTTCCCCAGCCACAGGGAACTATAAGTGCAATTAAACCTCTTTCTCTTATAAATTGCCCATTCTCAGGTATGTCTTTATCAGCAGCATGAAAATGGACTAAAACACCCACTTTTAATTACATGCAAATTAAAGGGAGGATTATGCAGAAATCTTAAAGTAAAGGGTAGTAACTTCCAGGTCATCAGGTTGTTGCCACGGAAAGGGGCAGTAACTTCGGGGTGTTGCCACGGCTATGGTCAACTGACATGGAACACTGGTAGGTGTGTCTTATAAAAAGGTGCTTCCACCCAGTCCCTGTCTAGCTGGTCTGGTATCCCAGCCTTACCTCAAGAGTTGAGTCCTCACTCCCATTGGAGGGATAAAGGGTCGTTTATGCTGCCTAGTTTTGGGTGGTGTGTTACAAAGCATAGGCAACTGGGACACTGCTTTGCTTCCATGAGACCTGCCTGTCCCTTCATGGAAATGCCCCTGTTTTACTTAGACTGGGTGTGGTGGCTTCTGTGATGCCCACTCAAGCCTCCTGAAGACCCTCCTTGGCCTGTGGATTAGGCAAACACTGGAGCCACTGGTGAGAAATGCTGAAAAGAACCTTCTGCATAGATGGCAGCAAAAACTAAGCAATCACCGGGGGCTCTTCCAATCCCAGGGCTCAGTCCTTCTGGATCCAGGCCATGGGTATTTCTTCTCATTGGTAAAGGCAATTTATAATTCATTCTCATCTTCAAAAATGCTTTTCTGGGAAGGAATTGGGGCAATGCAGCAGAAAGAAGAGGCACAGCACCCCTGAACAAGCCTTGTTTCACCTGGTTCTGTTATAGAGGCATCCACTCACTTAGCCAGGGATTTTTAGTACCTTCTGAGCTACTCAAATAGGAATAGTGAGACCAATACTCTGACACAAAGAAGCTTCTGGCAAGGATGTTAGAGCTAGTATTTTCTGCTTATATAAAGAAATTGAAGCATGATTTTAAGCAAACAAGATTTCCTGATCTCTAATGTATTCCAGAGTGTTTATTCACCACCTTTCAGAAAATTCGAATTTCTGTTTAAACAAAAGATTTTCTTCTCATAATCTATTTATGGCTGACATTGCAAAAGTCATTTTATTATGCAAATGGAAGTCTGAGAAGTGGAAAGCGAAGGTCAAGGGCAGACCGGATGATGAGGGTCGCAGGTGGGAGAGGAGCAGTTATTGGATTTTAAGTTTCCCAGTTTATGCAAGCACCTCCCCAGGGAGGTGGCAAAGGGAGAGGAGTAAGAGCACAAGGGGAGGAGGGAGGAGTGGAGAGAGGAGGGGCAGCACTGGGACCTGCTCAGCATCCGTTCCTGTTCTTCCTAAAGGAATTCCAGTTTCACTCTGGAATCTTCCCTGTGCTCAAAGCAGTCCACCCCTCAGGAGAAGCTGCTCCATCCCCTGGCTCCCGGATGCATCTGCCTCCTCCAATGGCATCGAGAGACAGGAGTGTGGTGTGTACCGCTGTCAACTCTGGAGTCAGACAGCTTGGGTTAAAATCCCAGCCTTTGTATTTACATGCTGTGCAATCTTGAGCAAGTAACCTCACCTCTCTGGGCCACAGTTTCCTCGGCTGTAAAGTGTGCGGATAATAATTACAGACATTTCATAGGGCTGTAAGAGGACAGAGTTCATACTGTAAAGTGCTTAGGATGATACCGGGCACAGAGCGTTTTGTTAAATAAAATCTCAGTCTCATTGTCTGTACCAGCATTTGGTTCAGAAATGAGTGAGTGGCTATCTCCAGCTAAATACACGTGAGTGATCTCTCCCCTTCAGACTTCTGGCTTTGTGAGAAAAACACCTCCCTATTGGTTTGACCCAGCATCAAGGGGGTCTGTGCTACCCGCTACTGAAGCCTTCCTCCCCGAGGCATTCCACAGCAAGTCACTCCCTCTACTGCTGGCTATGATTTCTCAGCAGTTATCCCGCATACTTGGGAATTTTTGTGGCACCTACAACTTACTCACCAACACAACATTCTATGAATGCTAAATATACCTGTTAATGAGGTTGGTATAATGGTATCTTTTGTAGATATTGATTCAAACGTGTTGGACCTCGGAATTTCACTTTGGTATCAATACCATCCCCTTCCCCACAAAAGTCTCTCATAAATGTACAGGTCCTGAGAAGTCCGTAGGCCCCAGCGCTGGGCCGTTTACACCTAATGAGTAAAGTGGCTTCGTCTCGGATGTCCCACCACAGACTCCGCCCCGCAACAGGGAGCCCAGGCTGCCGCCTCCTACAGCTGTGATTTCGAAAAAGAAACGCACCTTGGTACCGACGCTGGGAAAAGCACTCTGCTTGGCCTGCCTCACCACGTGGCCACCTTCAGATCAGGGTTGGGGGGCCTGTCATGTGACCTGAATAACTCATATGACTTTTTGCCAGAGTCACATGGAAGACAGCCCTACTTCAGCTTCTGCATTAGCCACGGTGATTTCTCAGCGGTATGGAGTCAGGCTTTTGCTGCAATGATGCGGCGTCCCTAAACTGACCAGACATGAAACGGAGGCGCCCCCCCATACGCAGCACTGGCCAGGCACAGCCCCTCCGCTCCAGCATGCGCACGTGGCTGGGACGCTCAGCTCCAGCATCTCAGGCAGGGACCTAGGATGGGGCGGGCTCTGTCATCCCCGCTCTTATCCCATTGGATCAACCAAGTCACATGGCCACGCCCAGGGCAAGAGTTTGTGGCCGACACTCCGCTCACCGCGCGCTCCTGTCTACACAACAGGGGAGCCAGGACCTGCCACACGAATGCAACCAGCCCGTTGCCTGCGGTTGAGCCTGGTGACCGTGAACTGGGATTGCCCTCCTGGCTCTGCGGTGCCACCCCCTTGGCCGGACTGCCATAGGGCAGAATGCAATTGACAGACTCACCTTTAGAATACGAATCTGTCATTCTGGGACCCTCGGGAAGTGGTGCGGGGACCTTGTGAGCGTCCCTCTCTCAGGACCCCTGCAGCTCCATCACCATGGGGAAATGGCGGGAAATGTAGGACACGGCTGTCCTGCCTGTTGGGGAATTAAGAAAACAGAAGACAAAATTGATTATACAGGTTATGCGTGAACGTATGTGCCTGTTAAAAAATGCAAACAGTAAAGCAATGTACAAAATAAAATGAAATCACCCTTTTCCCCGCCTCCCTGTAGGTAGACGCTGTGATGTCATCTTTCAGTGCTGATTTACTTGCACGCCTTCGTTCTACTTGAAAAATGGGACTGCAAGCAAAAGATTAAGGGGCATGGAGGGAGGAGGCAGGAGCGGGCCAGGGAGCAGGTCACTCAGGCCTGGCCGGTGCCTCAGCCTCCCTGTGCACTTGTGCACATTCCTCTAGGATACAGGCCCAGCCACCCCAGTGAGTCCCAAAGCCTCTGTCTGTGGGCTGGTTAGGAGGAGGAGGCTTTTCACCTTCCCAGGCTGCTGTTGGCCTCCTGGAGCTTCTGGAATCACACAGAGATGAAGGTTTCTAAAAATCTACCGAGGGCCAGGAGCGGTGGCTCAGGCCTGTAATCCCATCACTTAGGGAGGATGAGGAGGGCAGATCACTTGCGGTCATGGGTTTGAGAGCAGCCTGGCCAACATGGTGAAACCCCATCTCTACTAAAAATACAAAATCAGTCGGGCGTGGTGGCGCACGCCTGTAATCCTAGCTACTCAGGAGGCTGAGGCAAGAGAATTGCTTGAACCTGGGAGGTGGAGGTTACAGTGAGATCACATTATCGCACTCCAGTCTGGGCGACAAGAGTAAAACCCTGTTTCAGATAAATAGATAGATAAAAAAAAAAAAAAAATCTACCAGGATTCCTTATGCTGACGTGCAATTTGATGCCACATGTCAGAGGGGATGGTTGTGCTTGCTACGTGGGGCCTCAATGTAGTGAGGACTGAGCCCCTATTCATTCTTGCTGGTGTCAAGGGACCCAGTGCTTGTCCAGGGGCTGGTGCATCTCTATCATCTCGTAATAGTCAGGTGCAGAGTGCCTTCTTTCCTAGGCTTGTGCCCTCACCCAGTCACATGGGCTGAGGAGTGGGGAGGATGGTGGTCTAGGTAGGATAGCTCAGGTCCCAGAGGCCTTCACTCCAGTCCCAGGGGACAGGCTGTTCAAAGAGGTCAGCTGATCCTCTGACCTCTCCCTTATCTTCAAGACGGAGGTCTCAGCCCCCTTCTCTAGTCTTAGCCAGGACAGAGTATTCTGAGGGTCTCTCCATCAATGAGACTGGGCCATGAAAATGATGAGCCCTTGACCTGTTCTGACTCACTCACCCTCTGCCCTGCCAGAGGCGGGCACTGCCATTGGCTTCTCTGCTCTCCCATCTTCCAAGGAGGATCTGGCTTGGACTGACCATTTTAAGGGGTGCTTTCATGAAGTAGAATCTGGAGGTGAGTCGGAGGATGAAAAGGGCTGCAGGTTCCTGGGACAAGATGGTGAGGTGTTCCTGGGCACAGACACACCTGGGGGAGTGAGGGGTCCAGGGAGGCTCACGGAGAGACTGGAACCCTATTGTTGGGCCCGCGTGGCCTCTTCACAGCAGCGGAAAACTGAAATAAAGACTTGTGCAGTTTCTCAGACAGCAACGCCATCCCGAGTCTGCCTCACATGGGTCCCAGCCTGCACACCCTCTGTGAATAGTGTGGATGGGATAGGAGTGCCCTGGGAGATGAGAAGGGATGCACTGCAAAGCTGGGGGTGGGGTAATCGCTGATTGAAGAAGAGGAGAGAAACTCACTCCATAGCCTCGAGGAGCAGATATGACAGCGCAGAAATCTGGGCTCCACCAACTACAAATTGCGGGACCCTGTACTAAGAGTTTTCCAAGCTGCAAGCACTGTGTCGTACTCCCAGTCACTAGCACAAAGCTCCCCATTGACCATCGTGGCACTGTAGGGGCCCGTATTCATTTCCCAGGGCCACTGCAACAAAATGCCCCAAACTGAGGGGCTTACAACCCCAAACTGAGGAGCTTACAACCTCAAACTGAGGGGCTTACAACAGAAGACACTTACCCTTTCATAGTTCTGGAGGGCAGAAGTCCAAAATCAAGGTGTCTACAAATCCATGCTCCCGGGAAGATCCTTCCCGCCCCTCCAGCTCCTGATGGTTCCTGGAGACACTTGGTGATCGTTGATGTTCCCTGGCTCCCAGCTGCGTCACTCCAGTCTCTGCCTCCATCATCACGTGGCCTTCTCCCTGGGTGTTTCCTATCTGTGAAAATTACCTTCTTAGAAGGACTCTAGTCATTGGATTTAGGGCCCACCCTAATTCAGCATGACCTAATCTCAACTTGATTACATATGCAAAGAACCTGTTTCCAAATAAGATCACATTCACAGGCAGCGGGAGTTAGGACTTCCACACGTTTCTGGGGGGACACAATCTATATAGTGACCTTCCCATGTCCCCTGCCTTTGTCACTTCTGTAAACTCTGGCCTGACATCTGACCACCAGCAGCTGTGCTTCTTTGCTTGAGAGCTTTCTGTTGCCGCTGGATTTCACGCTACCATCCGTTCCAGGGAATTGGCACCACTGCGTGCCCACCTCTCCACCCCAGCAGCCCCCAACCATGACTGACAGGTGTTGGTATATAAGTCCCGCAGGCCCCCTTGGGTGGGAAGACTAAAAAAAACACCAATTTTCAACATTTGCTCATATATGGCAATAAGATAAAGTGGGATGTGGACTGATTAGCGGGTCAGAGGATCTGGGTCGAATGCCAGTTCGCCTCTTACCAGCTGTGCTACCTTGGGCAAGTTCATTCATTCATTCATTCAACAAATAAATATTGGTAGGGTGTGCCAGCCAATGTCCAGGATACTAGGGAGTCAATGAAGGCAAAAACAGTTCTTGCCTTCTTGGTGCTTACAGGCTAGTGAGGGAGAAAGACAATCAAAGAGTCACACAGATACACATACCACCATGATAGAAGCTCTGAAAAGAACAAGCTGGTATGAAAGCAGAAACCACAGCACCAGGCCAGGTGTGCAAGATTTGAGCAAAGCTCCCTGAGGACGTGATGTCTGACTTGAGATGTACCTATACCGAGCTGTTCGCCAAGTGAAGGAGCTGTGCGGTGGGAGGATGGGATTTCTGCCAAAAACAACAGCACAAGCAAAGGTCCTGGGGTGGAAGGGAGGCCAGCACGTCCCAGAGACAGCTTGCAGAGCATGATTTACTCTTCTGTTTAGAAACAAAAGAATATATAAAAATGCCCAACTTTCAGATTATCGGGAAAATCGAATGAAACACGGCACAGGAAAGTCCCTATCAAACATCCTTCCTTACAGCCTTGGGAAAATCATGCAGGGGTCTGAAGCTTCTCATCCTGGGAGCGGGGTGGGGCAAGGGGGAAATTAGACCGTCCCCGAAAGCGATTACTTCATGCTGCCTCTTTATTTGCATGCAGGTCATGTGCCTCTTAGGTATCATTTCTTGGGGCGTTGTTTACTTTAGTTCTGAGACTCAGGAGTAAATTATGCAGGTTCCCTGCCAGACCTTCTAGCAAAGTTGTCCTCTGGGTTTGGGGCCTTGCCCGAATCCTGGGGCTTTAGTTGCACAACGCTGCCCTCTGCTGGCCACAGATGGAAGTCTGGGCGCGGCTACTGAGCAGGGCAGGCCACGGTACTACGTGGGTGGCCTTCATCCTGGTTTTGCTCTGTTTTCGCGTGGAGATGGGGCTTCCACTCACACTGAACAGTCAGTCTGCTTCTCTTCCTCTCTTCTCTCCTCTTCCTTTCACCCACTGAATGAGTGCTTAAGCCCCGCCCTAAGCATGGCACGTTCATAATCTTATTGCAATCTGCACAAAAACCTGGAGGAAATTATTGCTATCCCCTTCGCAGAAATGACAGTCAGGAGGCTTGCGGTGACCAGGTGACTTTCCCAAGATTATGAGCAATAAAGCTGGAAAACAGGGCTGGCCTCTGGGGTCTGTGACCTACGCACAGGGCCCTGTGCTCGGTTTAATGCTCTGCCGTTGTTATCTTGAGATTCCTAATAGTTTCTGAACACAAGACGCTGCATTTCTTGGGCAGGCGTGGTGGCTCACGCCTGTAATCCCAGCACTTTGGGAGGCCGAGGCAGGCAGATCGCCTGAGGTCAGGAGTTCGAGACCAGCCTGGCCAACATGGTGAAACCCCCGTCTCTACTAAAACTACAAAAATTAGCAGGGCATGGTGGCGGGTGCCCGTAATTCCCAGCTTCTTGGGAGGCTGAGGCAGGAGAATCGCTTGAACCCGGGAGGCAGAGGTTGCAGTAAGCCAAGATAATGCCACTGCATTCCAGCCTGGGCCACAGAGTGAGACTCGGTCTCAAAAAAAAAAAAATAAAATAAAATAAAAAAATAAAAATAAATAAATAAATAAAAAGACCCTGCATTTCCGTTTTGCACTGGGCCTGGCAAGTTTGTGTCTGCCCTGCTGTTGGAGCTGTGGGTTCCAACCAGGCCTGCTTCACTGCAACCCCAGTGCTTTCCTGTCTCCTCCAGGGCTCTTTCTAGAAGGCACACCTGGCAGCTCAACGTTTAACTTCCAAGAAGGCGCTCCATTACGTACGGGATAATGCGTCTTATTTCCTAACGCCGGGATTCTCACCCTGGCTGGACACCCAGGGGAGGGAGGACTTTGGCAAAATACTAATGATGTGGGCATGATGAATGCTGCACGTGGGGCCCTAGCATTGCTGTGTGTAAAAGTTTTCCAGGTGATTCTAATGAGTAGGTAGAATACAGCACCATTGGTGTAGGGCCTGGCACAGTTCCTGGCATTCAGTGGGTGTTTAATAAATGTTTTCCAACTTTTTAGAGCACCGAATTGACTGGAGGGCTTATGCTGAGAATTAAACTGAGTCGTGAAGAAGAAGAGACTCACCTTTGGGTTCCATGTTGGCGTCAGACTAGGAGCTCGGAGTTTGCCAGGCAATGGGGGAAGCTACCTGGGGCTGGCTGGAGAGGGAGAGAGAGTGGGAAAGACTTGGAAATTAGGTGCACCTTCCTGAATATTTGGAGCTTGGTGAGCCTTAAATTTACGTAGCCTGTAAATAGCACCTGATCCCACTTAGGTAGCTCTTCTCCCCCATCCTCAATTCCAGTTCTTTGATGAGTGGGTTAATCCCATGCCTGGTCTCAGTGTAGGGTGCTGAACCAGGCCTGGCCGATGAGATTATTCCACTCCTCTTGGCTGGCTTCCGTGACTGGCTCAGAGATAGGCATATACCCCAAATCAGACCAAGGAGATGCAACCTTGGGACATTTGCGGGAACTTTGGGAAACAACCAGGGAAGCTGTTGTTGTCCAGGGGTTGATGCCTGAGGGGTTTGAATGCAGCTGGAACTGCTTGTGGCCATCTTTCCATGGTGGCCAAGGCATCATACAGGATGGTAGAGTTGAGTGGCAGCAGCCATTCCTGATGAATTTGAGCAGCTGGATCAGCAATGTCTGAATTGACCCCCAAACCCCAGCTTCCAAGTGTCAACAAATGCCCTTTCTTGCTTCAGTGCCTTGAGGTAGATTACTGGCCACTTGCAGCTGAAAGCAAGTGATAAAGAATGTAAATATCCTGAAGAGAATTTCCTGTCCCTTGGTTCCTGAATCACCTTATAGGGATTTGCAGGGAGCTGAATATTCAGTCCGGAGTGAGAGATGCATTCAAGGAGCAAATGGCACTGTTACCCGAGTCAGTCTTGTCTTCAGTCAAGATGACATCCTGAGATCCTGAGATCTTTCCCCCCAATCAGTACAACAGCAGACCTTTGATACTGACTCTATAGGATCCTTTTTTTAAAAAAATTTTATTTATTTATTTATTTTTGTCCGACCACAGCTTGCCAGGATATGCATCTATCCAATGATCAAATGTTTGCTGAGCATCTACTTCGTGCCGGGCACTGTGCTGGTACAGAACTTGTGAAGATGACAATGTTTCCAGGTCAGCCCAGAGAAGCCAGTGCAGCCCATTAGACGATTTTCAGAATCATGGGCTGCAGAGTATGGAAGCATTCTATTTATTCAATTATTATTTCATGTAAGCAGTTGTAAGAATATTTAAACCTACTGCACACGTTAATAAACAGATACATAGTAGGTAGCCAAATTTTACCACACTAGTCATGAGACAAAACTGACACAAAGGAATGTGCAATATTTTTTTTTTTGAGATAGGGTCTCATTATGTTGCAGTGGCACGATCTTAGCTCACTGCAACCTCTACCTCCTGGTGTCAAGTGATTCTCCCACCTCAGCCTCCCAAGTAGCTAGGATTATGCAGGCATGAGCCACCACACCTGGCTAATTTTTGTATTTTTTGGTAGAGATGGGATTTCACTGTGTTGGCCAGGCTGGTCTTGAACTCCTGACCTCAAGTGATCCACCTGCCTCGTAAAATGCTGGGATTGCAGGCATGAGTCACCGCACCCAGCCGGTGCAATAATTTTTAAAACAAATTTTGGCTGCTGGTGTTACTGCCAGGGAAAAATGGATATTTCCACAAGGACTCTGATGGCAATGCTGGCCTCTTGAAGGGCTTTGAATGTTGATAATACAGGTTCTTTGAGGACAGTTTGCTTTTGAGACACTGGCCCCTCTCAGGGCGAGCCTGGAACCTTCCTCTCCTGGCAGTCTCTTGTGACCTGTGCCATGGCAGAGTCAGAAAGATCATACATCAAGCAGAGTCATATGTTAGTAGTTGACTGTAGGTAGTATGCAGGTGTTCACTGTAGAAATTCTTTTAGTTTTGTTGAATGTTTAAAATTTTTCAAAATAAAATGTTGGAAAAAATGAACTTGATTCAAATTTATTTCCCTCCTTTTTTTTTTTTTTTCAATTTTCTGTTTTTCTTTAGCTTCTCTTTGATTACTAATGTTGCCAGTCCCAGAGCAATTGCTTTCTGCAAACAAGTTCTCAGAAGCCTCAGATGAATTTTGGACCTAATTTAATTCCCAATTTATTTGCTTATGAAAAAAAAAAAAGGCTTAATTTCGTCACACCAGATCAACCCTTCATGTACCAGCTATGATTGCTTTTAAAAAGCTGGCTATAAGATGCCAAGCCAGGCAGCATGAGATAGTCCAAATGAATTCATGAAAACTGGGGAAAAAAAGGGGTCTTCAGAGTCTGCAGGACAATGGCAAAACCCATACACAGACAAAGGGAGCCCGGGAGGGGACACGCACGCCAGGATAAAGGGAGAGCACGGATGGTGCCTGTGATCAGGTACAGACAGGAGCGAGCCGCTCCGATGAGCAAGGGTGAATGGGGCCAGTGGGAGCCTCTCTCTGTACCTAACACGTGGCTTGGTGGTTTCAGGTATGTGGGCTGGGAAAACAGGCACAGAGTTGTCCTTTGACTTGTGTCCCCCGCAGAAGATATGTTGACATCCTCACCCTTGGGATCTGTGAATGTGACCTTATTTGGAACTAGGGTCTTTGCAGATATAACTAGATAAGATGAGGTCATCATGGATTTGGGTGGGTTTTAATCCAACAACTGTGGTCCTTATAAGAAGAAGTTTACTTGGACACAGACACATGGAGAGGAGAACAGAACGTGAGGACACACAGACATGCGGAGGGAGGGAGGCCATGTGATGACGGATGCAGAGATGGGAGTGATGCAGCTGCCAGCCACGGGATGCTGGGAACCACTAGGAGCCGCCAGGAACCATTAGGAGCTCCAGGACCTGGAAGAGGCAAGGAAGGCCCTCCCTAGAGCCCCAGAAGGAGCACAGCCCTGCCCACCCCTTGATGTTGGATGTCTGGCCTCCAGACCGTGAAAGGACACATATCTGCTGTTTTTTTTTTTTTTTTTTTTGAGACAGAGTCTCACTCTGTCGCCCAGGCTGGAGCGCAGTGGCGCCATCTCGGCTCACTGCAAGCTCTGCCTCCGGGGTTCACGCCATTCTCCTGCCTCAGCCTCCCGAGTAGCTGGGACTACAGGCGCCCGCCACCATGCCCAGCTAATTTTTTGTATTTTTTAGTAGAGACGGGGTTTCACCGTGTTAGCCAGGATGGTCTCTATCTCCTGACCTCGTGATCTGCCCGCCTCAGCCTCCCAAAGTGCTGGGATTACAGGTGTGAGCCACCACGCCTGGCCCATATCTGCTGTTTTAAGGCCCCCGGTGTGTGGAGCTTTGTTAGGGCGGCCCCAGGACAGTCACACACAGGGTAATGGTGGAGCACGAGAGAGGTCTGCAGAGTCGCTGCTGCAGGGCCCAGCATGACCTTGGTCTGCCCTTGGTGTCAACACCCACAGTCCTCCTTGCTTGTTGCTTCTGTGTCTTGACCCTAAACAACCAATGCCTTGTCTTAGAGCAGAGCACTGTGTCCGTCCACTCGCCCTCTACTCCTCTCTTCTGCAGGCAGCCCATAGACACAGGGGGACTCTGGAGCCCAGCTTAGTCTGGAATCCGACTGTATCAACGTTATCAGTAAAGAACAAAAAGCACCCAGGAGGAGGTGGGTCAGCTGTGGGACCTCATGCAAAGACAGCTGGGGAACAACCACGGGCACTCTGCCTCCTGCCTTCGGGGTGCTGGGTCCACGCCGTGGCTGGTCTCTGCTGGGGAAATAGGTGCATCCTGCTTGCTTTGGGAGCACGTGCTCCAAGCTGCTTTCTCAGTGGAGTTCAGCCGCCTGGGTAGACTGGCCAGCAGAGAGGACTCCTTCATACTTTGATTTCTCACTGAAAATGACTACGCGGTCATTTTGGAGCCCAGTGAGGGGAGGAGCCATGCCATGGAACTCAGTGATGTCACCAGGGCCGGGCCAGCCTGGGTGACCTGTTTGGGTGGGTGGGCGGGCAGCTGGTGCTTCTCAGGTGCCTTCCCTCCTCTTCTTGAAATTATGTCCTGGGCTCAGAGAAGACGAGGCTGTCCCCCAGCTGGCCCTTAGCCAGTCAAGGTTATTTGGCATCCCCTTGCCAGTGATGGCTGTGAGGTGGGCATGTGACCAGCGCCTGGCCAAACAGATAGAAGGGCAGGTCTGTCGGAAGATTACGGGAAAGTGTGCCCCTGGGGGAGAGACAGAGAGAGAGAGAGAGACACGTACACACACACACAGAGAGAGAGAGAGAGAGAGAGAGAGAGAGAGAGAGAGAAAAGAAGAAGGGAGGGTAGAGGGAAAGAGAAAGAGAGAGAACAGATGATGCAAAGCCCCCGCTCTGCCTCCCTGCCTTGGATGGGGCCTGTGAAACGTGTATCTGAGTTGGGACGATTTAAACAAGGGATGCAGCAAGCCCATATTGCAGGGCCTCCCTTCCTTCCACAGGGGCAGCAGTCGGTGAGCAGGTGCACTTCAACTTTTGTTTTCAAGACGGAGTCTCACTGTGTTGCCCAGCCTGGTTTTCCCTATTTCCAAAAATAAGGCCACATTCACAGGTATAGGGGTTAGGACTTCCATCAGTCTTTTAGGGGGACACCATTCCACCCACAGCTGAGGTGGGCAGGGAGGAAAGCTTTGGGGCAAGGGCGTTGGGGTGGCCCACAGAGGCGGCGCTTGGAGATATTGTGTCACCCCGAGAAGAAAGCCACAAGCCCCACAGAGCAGCCAGCAGGGTGGGTGGACAGAAGGGGTGACAAGTCTCCTATCCACGGCACAGCCTCCTCTGGACATCTCGTGTGTGAGATCCCTCAATATCCTTGTGATTTAAACCATTTTTAGTCATTGCTTGCAGCTGAAAACATTCTGATGTTTTTATTATAGAAATCAAATATGTAACCGTAAGCACTTGAACCCAGTACTTTGATTTTGGGCTAATGTATTACATGTTTTCCTTTCCAGCTATAAGAAAAAGAAGTTATGCATTAGTTATTTCCTTCAGGATCAATGACCCAAGTGATAAGTGAGAATCTTGTTCTTTTTTCAAAACAGCAAATGTGATTCCTTTTTAAGTGCATGAAACTGTGCTTAAAACTCTCCGAAAGTTCAAATTAAACTGTAATTTTATAGCTATCTTTTCCATTATTAGTGAAATCTTGTTATTTTCACAAGTTAAATTCTATTTAAATACATTTATGTGTTACAGAATTGTCAAGTGGCAGCTTAACCTGCTGAGGGAATAGAAAAAAAGTGTGCCTAGATTAAAAGAATGCACTTACACGAAAATAAAGATAAATGAACTAATAAATTACTAGTTTTTAATAAATAATCTCCATACTGAATAACTTATCCTTCTGGTAAAATATTTACTATGCTCTTTAAAAGCTTTTTAATCAACCGAAACACTCAGGAAGCTTTAAATGATTGGATATCCTTTTGTGGCTTAAGAGTTGAAATGATTTTTTACTGAAGTACATTTTAATAAGAAGCAAATTGCTTTAAAGTGATTCAAGTCTTCATGGCGTCAGGGCTCTTCACGCTCAGTTCCTCGGGCTTAGGGGTGGACTCCTCGGTTCAGAAGGCAGAAGAGGTCACACTAGGTCCTAGAGCGTGGACGTTCTGGGTAATTAAGAATCAATTCCTTTTCAATTATTTTAGGACTAGCCCAGGCCTGAGACTCCCAGCATGGGAGCATCGCCCACACTCCCATTTCTCTACGCAGTGTTTTTGTGTATGGGAAATAAGACACAAAAATAATAAATGAGGGAATTTATTAAAAATATGAATCTCCAGCCCCCGTCCCAGATATTCTGAATCAGGATCTACAAAAAGGGGGCCTGGGGACCTGCATGCTAATCAGTGCCCCATGGGGCTTCTTGGTTTAGACATATTTGACCCTAAAGCCATTAGACTAAAGGGTGTTGGGCAACCCAACACCCTCGCCCCAAGGTTGATGCCCGAAGGCCCTGGCTCTCTCACTCTCAGAATCGCCTGGAGGATGTGTTAAAACCCAGGCTGCTGGACCTCCCTCCCAGGGTCTCTGATTCAGTAGGGCTAGGTAGGGCCTGGGGATCTACATTTCCAGCACGTTCCCAGGGGATTCTGATGCTGCCGGTTCAGGAACGTATTTTAAGAACCACTGCCCTATGGGAAATGTCTCCAAGGAAGAAAATATTCTTTCCATGTATGTTTTGTTGAAATCCGAGGCAAAAAAGAAAAAAATCTGTTGTTCTCAGACCAATTATGGAAAACAAGTCCCAGTAGAGAGCAGGAGAATGAATTCTGCCAGAACTTCAGTGACTTAGGTGCCGCTGCAAACCTTTCAGAACCAAGACCAGATACAGGGTCGTCTGCTGAAGGGGTTACGAAGAGTCCAGAAGAGAACATCACGGTGGTTCCCAAGAAAGACCTTAACATCTCAGTGGTGTTTAATACAGCATAAAAGCAAATTACGACCTCCATTGACTTATGGGTATTTCAAACAGTTCTCACCAGTTTATTAGTCAGCGTTAGGATAAAAGGGATTCTTCAAGTTCTGAACTTGCTAAACGGTAACTTGTTGGAAGCATTACTAGCAAATCTTGTCCACAATTGTTCTGGAATACAAGTCAGCTTGAATAAATCCAAGAAATGTCTGGCAGAGTGGATGGCAGGGAACAATGTCTGGGGTCAGTGATTCCAGAGTTTTTGTGCCAGAGAGTTTCTATGGGGTCTGTTTTTCATCATGGGGAAGACAAAGTTGGGTCACAGATTATTGTTAAGACTTGTCCAAGTTTGAGAAAATGAGAGTGGCCCAGGAAAAGAATCTTCCTCGCATCTCCTTCTGAGGATGCTGGCAAAATGCGCATCTGATATAATCAACCTTCCAGACAAGGATTCTGATAGGAAACCGAGCCCTGGGGATGAGGGCTCACAGACCCAGTGCCGACCCACGGTAACCATGAACCTCTAAAATTCTACAAGCAAGACTGCGTACTTTTGACAGATGGCTTTCAAAACATTCTTTCCCTTTAAGATTCTTAATTATGGCCCCAGCGAACACAGGTTCTAATTGAGGCGCACCTGAGCCTGGCTTGCAGGAGAGATACCTATCAAAGGGAAAGGCTGATTTCTTTTGAGGGCATTGTTTTGCAGCATTTCCTGGACTTACCAGTCCTAGGCTTCTGTTCCATGAATAATTCGGTCCAGTCCTTTGCCTCAATAAGATTCTGGAGCAGAATCAGTCAAATGGTCTTATGTTTTCAGGAGAATGCACTGTTAAAAGAAACAGCCATATTATTTACATTTCCAGAAATGGCTCTTCTGATGATTATCCATAGCCCATCAAAATTAACTGCATATTCTGCATAAAAGACCTTTAAGATATTTAATATGTAAAGTTTCTTTCTGTAAACACTTACTGGGTTTTGACAGCAACTTGTAAAGACCAAGGTAAGAGGTAATAAAACTACAGCAATGGTTTACAAATGGAGGTTTTGAAGGCTGATTAGAGGGAGATGAATTCCAGCTGGAAAACTTTTTGATAATGTCAACAGCTTTCGAGAGCCTCTGAGCAGTGAATGAGATGATACAGGTGAAAGCAGCTAGCGCCATACCTGGCCCAGGACAGGCAGGAAAAATGTCAGGCAGATCTGAAGCTGAATCCGGTTACTGAGTCATCACCCATCAGGGAATCAGAAATCCTTTGATTCAAACAGTTGGGACACAAATTGTTGGGGCATGCGTGACACATGGATTGAATTGAATGCCAGGTAACGGGGGTCAAAGCCCTGATTGTCCAAGTTGGACGTGTCAGCTGGGTTGACACGGGCGTGGCGGAATCCCATGGAACTTGGTGAATTACATCATCGGACGGTTCGCAGTAGACAGGCCTTCTTGAATGCAGTTCTCGACCTCGACTGCACACTGGAGTCTAAGATGAACACTGCTGTCTGGGCCCACCCATGGGGATTCTGATGTGAGGGTTCTGTGGTGCTGCCCAGTTTTGGGCCTTTGAACTGCTCCCCAGGTGATTCTAATGTGCCACCAAGGTTGACAGTCAGCTAATTCCGATTTAACCATCTCCAGTGTTACCAGTGTTTATAATCTAGAAGTTACATCTAGAAGGTCTGTAGCAAACACTGTAGGTTGTCCACCCGATAGCCATTCTGATTTCCTTTCTGATGGAACCCTGGTATTGTTCTCTTATGTCTCCACCTCTGAGGGTCCGGAAACTATCAGCAGAACCGTTACACCAGGCTCAGGTGGTCTCATGAATGGGTTAAGCTGGGATTCCTCAACCTCAGCACTGTTGACACTTGGGGCTGTGCCACTCTTTGGGGTGAGGGTTGTCCTGTGCATGGTAGGGTGTTGACGCAGCATCCCTGGTTTCTACACTCTTGATGCCAGTAACACCCCCAACCTGAGTTGTGACAACAAAAAAACAAGAACCACATGGCTCAACCTATCATGCGGGTCCTGTTTGCCAGGATCATTTTAGGCACAGGAGTGGGGTGGAAACACCTTCAAAGAAACATTTTCTTCACTCTTAGGAGACAAAAGGGAAGAAGAAAGGCATTCTCTGACCGGATGCACCCAGGTGGAACAAATCTGGGGTTGGGTCTTTTTATTTTTTATTTATTTTTTTGTTTTTTATTTTTTGAGATGGAGTCTCGCTCTGTTACCCAGGCTGGAGTGCAGTGGCACGATCTCGGCTCACTGCAACTTCCACCTCCTGAGTTCAAGCGATCCTCCTCCCTCAGCCTCCCGAGCAACTGGGATTACAAGCGCCCACCACCACGCCTGGCTAATTTTTGTATTTTTAGTAGAGACGGGGGTTTCGCCATGTTGGCCAGGCTGGTTTAGAACTCCTGACCTCAGGTGATCCACCCACCTCGGCCTCCCAAAGTGCTGGGATTACAGGCATGAGCCACTGCGCCCGGCCGGGTCTTGCTCTTAGTTTTACTGAGGTGCAGAATTTACTCGCCCCAGAGCTGCCCTCCCTTGGGACTTCTTGCCATGTGAAATAATACATCCCACCATTGTTAAAAGGGCTGATTTTTGCTATTGGTAGCTAAACGCTTCTAAGCTGCTGGATCCTGAATCCAGACTATTCTTAATTATTGGGAAGCAATACTGTTCTCTTTTGGAAGGTGGACATTTTGCAAGACCAACGTGACTAAATGGTCAAATTCTGTTTTCTACGGTAGAGACACAGAATTTGACCATTATTAGATCATTATTGCGAAGATTATTATTGTGAAGCAGGACAGTCAAGAGTGTTCTTATGAGGCAGGGCAGCATCTACACGATAGGTATGTAGTTCATGTATGTGGTGTCTACATATGCTTTGGTAAAATGAAGCTCTGTTGATGAGACAGCCACATATTACATTTCATCATTCTCAGGGATCCCACAGAGGCTGATGTTGTACAGCTTTCAGGATCACTCGAACCCTAGGCAGCGGTCTGAGGAGCTTCCAGCCACCTCTTAGTGAGAGCCTCAGGTGTGAGGACCAAGCGTTAGGATCCGCCCTTTTTTTTTTTTTTTGAGACAGGGTCTTGCTCTGTCACCCCGGCTGGAGTGGAGTCGTCCGATCACAGCTCACTGCAACCTCGACTTCCTGGGCTCAAATGATCCTCCCACCTCAGCCTCCTGAGTAGCTGGGAGCACAGATGTGTGCCACCACACTCTGGGCTAATTTTTCTACTTTTTTGTAGAGATGGAGTCTCAGTATATTGCCCAGGCTGGCCTTTTTTTCTTTTTTAAAATACTGTCATCCTGACTTGTTGAAACAAACCCTTTTCCTATTTCCATATTAATTTGTAGGGTTGATAAGTGCAATGTTCAATCACAATTCCTCTGGTTTTGTTTTTGGGCAGTGACTTGCATCTCCCCTCCCTCATTTTCATTCATTGAAAAGTTCTCAAGTGGCTGCAGCTAAAATCAGACACTTAAAATTAATGCAAGATTAAGATTCCAGGTGATGGCTTCTTCATGAGTCCATTTAAAAGTCTTCGTTGCAATAAAAAAAAAACACCACAAAACAAAAAACAGTGAAATCCAATAGGATGGTAAGCTAATAGGTCACGGAGTGGCGGGGGGGTGTCTTTTTATCCCCCGGGTTGGGCCTCAAGCAATAATTTTTGTGGGAGACAGGACAGGTATAGGCATGGAAAACCAATGTGAAAACCTGTGGTTCATATTCCCCGTGGTTGTGCTCTGGGCAAATGTTTGAGGAATGTCATTTGTTTCTGTTGTTGTTCTCAACTGATTTAGGAGAAAAAAGGCACTGATCCAGGAGCACACATTTTCTACCAGCTCTGAATAGTTTAAATTCCAAATAAAAACTCACATCCAGTGTGTTTATTACTTAATTTTAGGTCATGTTTAATTGAAAACACTCCATCAGCCTTTTGAAAGTAAATTTTGAGATCCAGCCAGTGGGGCTGATGATTTCCAGACAGCCTGGACAGCTGAGATTCGGAGCTCAGCTCACACGAAGAGGCAGACGATCAGCTGTGTTCGTGAGCAGTGCAGGTGTGCAGCTGTGAGACGGTCAGCTGTGCTCGTGAGCGGTGCAGGTGTGCAGCTGTGAGACGGTCAGCTGTGTTTGTGAGCGGTGCAGGTGTGCAGCTGTGAGGACATTCCAGGGTCATCATTACCAGCTGTGACCTTGTGCCCCTGACTCCCCGTCTTGGGTTCCTTTTCTTTAAATATGACTCATCAAATGAAAACCTCTCAGTGTTGTTGTGAGGATTAAGCCAAACAGTGCAAACAAAAGGCTTAGCACAGTACAGCGGTTTACAGTCAATGCTTTCAATGGCGCTAGCTGTGAACATTTGGTAACTGTAACCAGTTAACTTTCAGGGCTAGATATGACAACACATCCTGCAAATTCCTCCATTTTAATCTAATCAAAATATATAATGTGCAAAATACAAAATAAAAGAGGAACACAGTGTCTGCTTGGGAAGGCTTCCATTTACAAACAGCATGTTGAAAAAGTTCACTTTTGTTTGGAGGACTCTATGTTCCCATAGCAACAGTGCTCTAAGTGTGTGTGTGTGGGGCTTAAATTCCAAGGACTCACAAGGGCAAATTAACTCTTAGTTACGTGAAATATTGTGTTAGTCCTGATAGGGTTAAACAATGACTGTACTTGTAGTGAAACAAAGAAAAAATTGATATGAAAATAAGATTGAAATATTTTAAAATCCTGTGGCTCAAAGGAAAGCAGGATGAACTAGGGGCCAAATGAAGAAGCTGTGGGGCCTTGGGGTTTGAGACAGGGCACTTAATTAAATGTAACGCTGTTTTCCTTGGTGCGAGGGCCCCCATACTCATCTGTATTGTTCAGCCCTCAAGAGAATCTTCACTGGCTGGTAAACGAACAAGAATAGCTGGAGAAGGAATACTTCATATAGTATAAAAAAGACCCTTGGACAGGCATGGTGGCTCCAGCCTGTAATCCCAGCACTTTGGGAGGCTGAGACAGGACTGCTTGAGCCTAGGAGTTCTAGACCAGCCTGGGCAACACAGCAAGACCCAGGTGCGGTGGCACGAACCTGTAATATTAGCTACTTGGGAGGCTGAGGCAGGAGGACTGCCTGAGCCCAGGAGCTTCAGGCTCCAAGTGAGCTATGACTGTGCCACTGCACTCCAGCCTGGGCAACAGAGCGAGACCTCGAAAACTAGCAGGTGAGCAGGTTAAAGCTGAGTTCTCTGCTCTACTTTCAGAGTCTTTAATATGCTAATTTCTTCATGAGGTTCACAGAATGTCGTCTAAACCCAAGTGACCATAACCCCTTCCTTCCTGCAGCATCTCCAGGGGCAAGAGTTCTGGGAACACACCTGAGACAAGTCTCCTGCAATGCCAGTCTTGGCAAGCCCTCCTCCCGCTCCTCAGCTTCCCCTTCCAGCAGGCAACCTCCCCCAACACCCCCTCTCCTGCTTTGCCTTGGGCTACTTGTACTTAATCCGTCCAGAGGTTTTAGTTGATACTCTAATGTGATTTCTGCATTTCCATCTGAAAACCAAACAGATTTTTGACACAAAGGAAGCTTCATAGCAGGATTTCAGGCACCTTTATTCATGGCAGATATTTTTGGTCAGGGCAGCCTGCCTTTGAAATCGTTCCATTACTTGAGGAGGTCGACTCCTGCCTAAGTCACAACTCTCCTACAACCGCAACCGGCCATATCATTTCCATTTGCCACTTCCGAGGCTTGAGAACATCACCAGGGACGCAGGTTTCGGATGGTCTGGTCAATGCTGCAGTGTGTGTGGGGCATTCGGGGGCTCCAGCCTGCATCACAACCTACTGGCCTGATCAAAGGAGGTTCTGTAGTTGGGTAACCAGAGTGGTGAATTCATTTTATCACAGAAGGATCTCACTCCTTTATGTTCCCCATGTAATTTGTATACAGCACAAATTATTTCTTACTTTGATAGATTTGCAATATAAACACCAAGACTGGTGAGATGAGAAACTTAAAAAAATCATGTTTTTCAAATTTTCAAGTTTTTGTGTAAAAGCACTTTGTGGTGACAATCATATGGATCACCTTCCAGGTCATCAGTATTGGCCTCTAGGTTTAGCACTCCTGGCACTGCATTTTTGAGTGGCCAGAGATAAAGGTATTATCCCTGTCTTCTATAATCAATGATAACATTGACACTCTGCAAGAATTTAGATAAGAAACAGTTTAAGTAAAATAGTGTTTTTTAAAAACTTGAGTCTACTACAAGTCGTTGATCATATTCTAGCCAAGCAACTGGCATGGACTTAATATGGTCTCTTTTCCTTCTCTCTTTCTTTTCAAGTCACTAGCTCAAAGGAAAGACTGATTGAGTTTTAAAATCCTGCCAGATTTTTTATGGTAACCATTGTAGATGAACCACGTAGGTAGGGTCCTACTGAAGTATTAGAATCTCATGCAAAACTCTAACAAACGCCTCATTACAGAAGGCTATTCTGTTATTTTCTGTACTGTAAAAGTTCTGACACAAGACAGTGGCAGTGGTTACTTTTCATCGACTTTAGCATGTGATCTCAGGGACTCAGACATACGTCTAAGTTCTATTCTGAGTTTTGGCAACAGAGCAGTGACAGATATTTCTGAATGAACAATTTTTAGGTGTTTTCAGCCATTTGAAAAGTATTGCCAACACACTATTTGGTGTTAGCTCAACAGTCACGTTGTGCCAAGAATTAAAGAACTCTAAAGTCTACAAACATCTTACTTCACCAAGACTAACTATAATTGAAGGGTTTACTATTTGTTTAATAAAAAATCACACATCAACTTTTATCCAAACAGCAACTACTACAAA
This sequence comes from Homo sapiens, assembly GCF_000001405.40. NCBI lineage: Eukaryota > Metazoa > Chordata > Mammalia > Primates > Hominidae > Homo > Homo sapiens. The sequence goes on along the minus strand of NC_000016.10, from coordinate 83,811,725 downwards.
AGGAATGACAAGAAAAAAAATGACTTCACAGAAATACACTAAAAAATCTGACAATGTTATGCAAGAACCGCCAAAGTTTTAGTGTTTAATAATGAATAGCACAACTGACCAAGGTCCAAGATGTGAAGATACCATGTTCAAGAAACTGGGGGGAAATCACTCTACAAACTAACTATATACTAGGTGATAAGAATGCATACTTTATAATATAAAACCTGTCTACACATAGTAGTTAGCTGCAAAAAGCCATTCGATCTTCTCTTGGCTTGGAAAAATGCCAGATTCCAGTATAAATTATTAGCAACCTGTTGAAGAAGGAAAAATCATCAACATGTTTTTCATTATATGAGCACAAGTAAAAATGACATATAGACCTATCAACTACAAATCCCTTTCCACTCTCCTACTGAGTTAAACTTATTTTCTTCTGGCAATATTTTAGCAATAGATTTAACTGGAAATATCTTTAAAAGTTTCAGAGTCAGTTTCCTACTCCCACTCTTTTCTTTGAATGACCCCCATCACTAGCCAGTCTACCATCCTGAAATTCTTGTGGTAAGATAATCAGTCAGTTGATGGCAGTTTTGATTGCCACATAATATAAAAAGAGACCCACAGAAGCATCTGAGACTGGTAGGACATTTTTCCAAATTATCTCTGGATAAGAATAACGATGACATAACCCATAGAAAGCAGTTATGTGATTTACTCACACAGTGAATGAACCCCACCTACTGTGAAGATAAAAGCAAATTTTAGAGTCTGTCTTCAACATCCCAAATCTGTATTTCACAGTGACTTAAAATGTGGTCCACAGCAAGCCCAGAAAATAGGAAATTAGGCATGTTTTACTGTACATTCTGCTTAGTACTCTACGAATCTAAAAATACTCAGGAACCATTTTATTTTATTTTTTTGAGACAGAGTCTTGCTCTGTCTCCCAGGCTGGAGTGCAGTGGCATCATCACGACTCACTGCAAACTCTGCCTCCTGTCTCAGTCTGCCAAGTAGCTGGGATTACAGGCGTGCACCACCACACCCAGCTAATTTTTGTACAGACAGGGTTTCACCATGTTGGCCAGGTTGGTCTCGAGCTCCTCACATCAACTGATCTGCCCTCTGCCTGCCTTTGCCTCCCAAAGTGCTGGGATTACAGGCATGAGTCACCACGCACCAGTACCTTTTTTTTTTTTTTTTTTTTTTTGAGACAGAGTCTCACTCTGTCGCCCAGGCTGGAGTGCAGTGGCGTGACCTCGACTGCAACCTCCGCCTCCCTCAGCAACATTCATTTTTATAGAGAATTAAAATGTTATAAATGAAACAAGAGAAAAGTGAGTCTAAAACTTATTTTTCACACATACAGAGGAAAAGGATCACCATGCACTCTGCTGAGTGATTCTGTACATTTACCTATCTTGCTGTGTAGGTACTTTGAATTACTAGGCTTTCCTCTGACATCTGAAACTATTCAGAGGAAATTTAAATGAACTCCAGGGTAAAAGCTTAATGTGGCCACAATCTAGTTCACCTATGTCAAGTTACCAAGAAAGTCTCCAGAATTTAAGCCATTTAAGAAGGTGGTAATGTGGGTGACTTATCAGTTATTTCCATAAAAAAAAAAAAAAGCAATGGAAAATCTTCCAGTGACAGGCTTTATAGGCCAACAAAAAGACACCTTAATTATTAGCTGGAATGATAAAAACTCAGTGGTTATCTAATGTTAGCCAGTGGTCTTCACTAATAGTGACAGAAGTCTAATTAATAAAAACTGGGAAAATAAATTCGGTGTAAAGAATGAGTTTGGCATGAAAAATTTCAAAACATCAAGTCCACAGCAGGTAAACAATACAGTGATGCTTGCTGGGATCATGGCTGGGAACTGATCTACAGAATGTCTGACTACATACAAATTATACTTACAGGTTCTCTCTATTCTTTTAAGACAAAATAAAAAAAAAGACCGGGCACGGCGGCTCACACCTGTAATCCCAGCACTTTGAGAGGCTGAGGCGGGCAAATCACTCAAGGTCAGAATTCGAGACCAGCATGACCAACATGGAGAAACCCCGTCTCTACTAAAAATACAAAATTGGCTGGGTGTGGTGGCACAAGCCTGTAATCCCAGCTACTCGGGAGGCTGAGGCAGGACAATCGTTTGAACCCAGGAGGGCAAAGGTTGCAGGGAGCCGAGATCGTGCCATTGCACTCCAGCCTGGGCAACAAGAGCAAAACTCCGTGTCAAAAAAAAAAAAAAAAAAAAAAAGAAAAGAAAAGAAAAAAAAAATTGCCCCCTTCCTCACCTTCAACTCTTTTGCGTGGCAGGTATCTTGTTTTCACTTTCCAGTTCTTCCACCCCAGCCTGTGTCATGAGGTCCGCGATATTCTTTTCCAGATCATCAATGCGACTACTCATATCATCAAGTGCTGAAGTTAAAGACAACGCGTGCCAACATCTCATTGAGCCTTTTTCCTCCCGTCCCTGCAGACTACAGCCTTAAACACAACGACTTTAGGGAAACTGGTCTTCCAATTTTCTTTCGACACTGTTACACGCTGGTGGGTAAGAGTACAGGACTGTGGGGCATGGCTACCCCGCATCGGATTCCAGCCCTGACCCTTACTAGTGATGGAACCCCTAAACCTCAATTTATTCATTTGCTAAAGATGATAACACTACAACCCACTCATAAGGTCATGCTGAGCATCAAAAGACACACACAAAAGCGCTTAGTTCACAGTGCATGGTCCACCACACCAGCTATTAGGATTGGTAGACGTATGCTCCTTGAGCCAGGAGTCTAACTCAGCTTTGCCCCTAGCTCTCGGCGCAGTCCTTCTCAGAAACACAGTACAATCCAAGCTCAAATTCTACAAGTGAATGGCTGAAGCTAGCCTGAAAACTACTCATTTATCCCCACCACTGCCCGGCAAATAGGCTCCAAAGGCCCACAGGAGGCCGACTGCAGATAAAAAGGATATTTCTCCCAATGATCTGGTCAGACATGGTCTGAAATTTATCTTGCATCTGCTGCAGGAGTGTCTGCACCTAAGAAAAACCGAAACAAACAAACACGGTCCACATCGATCCTGAGACAACTTCCTGGGATCAGGACGCAAGCCCTGGTCCCGGGGTTCCAGCCCCATTTCTGCCTCTGGACAGCTGTGCGGCCTTCAGCAAGATCTTCCTTCTCTGGGCTTCCGTTTTCCAACCTGTCCAATTAGACTGCTGGGCTGGGGAGGCCGCTGCGACTCAAAGCTCAGGGTCTTTAGGTTGTTTCTGCCGGGCTGGGGCACCCGGGGGTGTGTGAGGAGTTGAAGGGCGGGGAGGGTGTCAGAGGTAGGCGGGAGGGACCCGGAGGGCGTTCGCGACAGATGAATGGGGCTACTGGAAGGGGTCGGGCTTGGGGGCGCCCGCGGGGAGACTGGCCCGCACCGAGCGCCCCGGGGGTCAAGGTGGCCGGGAGCCTCGGCCAGAGACGCTTCCAGAAACGGGGCCTCGGCAGACGCCACGCGCGGCCGCGGTGGGCGCGCCTCTGTCCAGCAGGGCTTGGCCCGGCGCCGCCCGGGAAGGCCGCGGCCTCCGGCCCTCACAGCCGTCCCTTACCACCGAGGTGAGGTCCTGCACGGTCTTGGGGTCAGTCTCGGCCATCTCCCCGATGCCCAGCTTGGCGGTGATGTCTCAGACCGTAACCTACACTTCCGTTTGTCCGCTCAGTCGCCCCGGGCCGCTGCTTCTCGCGACGAGACTGGCAGCTCGCGGGACCGCGGGGCATTATGGGAGTAGTAGTTTCTCCCGCACCGGAAGGGCCTCGAGGCCGCGCGCTTCCGTTCCAAGGAGCGGCCCCACCCCACTCTCCCCGCCTTCTTTCGCATAGCCCCTCCCCTCCCTCTATGCCCCGCCCCTCACGCAGCGCGCCGTCAGTGGGGTGGAAAGTGAGACCAACTCAGAAATGGAGCAATAGAGGCAGGGAGTGGTCTTGGCCTCTCTTCCAGGCTGTAGTCAGTCGAAAGACGGCTCTGGGGTTTCTTTGGCCTGTCGGGACGAACTTACAGAACTTTTGCCCTTCAACAAGCCCCACTGTACCCTTGTAACTGCCCCCAAGCCAAGGAACATGACCCACCCCTACCCGCCCCGGGAGCCCCATGGCTCCTGTCCTGTTCTGTCATCTCCACCCTATGAAGGTGGCCAGCGTCTGGAGTTTAGCCCAGTAGGTTCATTGTGCCCGTCAGGTTCATATGAGGGGATTCAGACAGGAAGCTGTCCATCATGCCTGGCTTCTTTCACTCCACGCAATGCCTGCTGTTGAGTGGGGAAGGCTTCCGGCATCAGGGTTAGACTGTGGGTTTGGGTGTTGAAGGAGGTGGGCACTGCTGATTTGGAACCTCAAGTTCCAACCCCACAGGTGGTCTTTAGGATTGGGTCTCATGGCAAGGGGATAGGAGAGTCCTTGACTGCGGGCCTGGCATGTTCTGGAAACTTTCACACATCTCATTTAAGGACTGTGCTATGTGAGGGGTCAGCTCCAGTTTGACTTTAGCTAGGGAGAGGCTGTAAGGTGTTAGAGCTGTTACGGGAAAGGGTCCTGATCCAGACCCCAAGAGAGGGGGTTCTTGGATCTCATGCAAGAAAGAATTCAGGGCGAGTCTGTAAAGTGAAAGCAAGTTTAAGAAAATGAAGGAATAAAAGAATGGTTACTCCATAGACAGAGCCCTGAGGGCTGCTGGTTGCTCATTTTTATAGTTATTTCTTGATTATATGCTAAACCAGGGGTGGGTGATTCATGCCTCCCCTTTTTAGACTATATAGCGTAACTTCTTGACGTTGCCATGGCATTTGTAAACTGTCATAGCGGTAATGGGAGTGTAGCAATGAAGACAAGCAGGGTTCACTCTTATTGCCATCTTGGTTTTGGTGGGTTTTGGCCGGCTTCTTTACCGCAAGCTGTTTTATCAGCAAGGTCTTTATGACCTGTACCTTGTGCTGACCTCCTATCCCATCCTGTGACTTAGAATCCTTTAACTGTCTGGGAATGCAGCCCAGTAGTTCTCAGCCTCAGTTTACCCAGCTCCTATTCGAGATGGAGTTGCTCTTGTTCAAACGCCTCTGCCAGACCCACCAGTGTCTCTAACAAACCCGGAATCCAGTTGGCCTTGAGGCATGAGACTTCAACTCCCTTTACCACCCCTTCCCCCTCACTCACACCTTTGCCCCTCACCCTTCACACCTCATCCTTTCCTATAGAGAGATCTTCCTTTCTGTGTAAGTATACACAACTTTTTTGTAATTGGCTGTTGTCAACTGGTATTTGGCTAGTGCTTTACCCGACTACTTGAAATAAAAATATCTCAGTGTTTTAAGTTAATCCTCAGAAGACCCTGTGATATAATTATCATAATTTTACATTTTTGAGAAAACAGATGCAGAGGCGTTAAGAAACTGGAACAAGGTCATCAAATTAAGGAAGTAAGAGACGCAGGACTTCCTGACTCTGCATCTTCTCCTTTTTTCTCACCATTCTAGAATTCTCTGAGTTTTTTGAGCTTAGAGCAGAGTTTCTCAAGAGCTGCAATACTGGCATTTGAGTCAAGTCGTTCTTTATTGTTGGTGGTGGAGGGGGCACCCTGTATATTGTAGGACGTTGGGCAGCATCTCTGACTTCTACCTACTAGATGCCAGTATCTCAGTTTTCTTAAAAGACTTTTTTTTTTTTTTTTTTTTTTTTGAGATGGAGTCTTGCTGTGTTGCCTAGGCTGGAGTGCAGTGGCACCATGTCGACTCACTGCAACCTCCGCCTCCCCGGTTCAAGCGATTCTCCTGCCTCAGCCTCCTGAGTAGCTGGGATTACAGGTGAGCACCACCATGCCCAGCTAATCGTAAAAGACTTTTCATAAAACTTCAGAACTCCTTAAAAACTAGTGAATAGCCAAGGTGAAGAAAGCCCTCAGGCTTCTGACTTTAGACCCCAATCCCTGGGACTCCCACACTCAGCAAAGAAAGCTGGGTGCCTGCACCCTGGATCTCTGAGCAAACCTGTCTTATGGCTGTGGGCAACTCAGGAACATGAATTAGCACGAGAATCTGGAGTTTTTCTTTCCTTTTCTGGTAAGACACTTGTGGTTTTTTTTTTTCAAATTCCAATTGGAAATTTGCTTTACATGAACAACAAACAAACTTGATACTCTTTTAGTGGAGGCATTATTTGTTCCTTTATTTTTTGCACTTAAACAGACAGGCAGTATGCTTTCTCTGTGTGGAGACCAAGGTCTGTTAAAGGGCTGCTTTTCACGGAAGCTTCACTAATTTATACTCATGGCTGACATACTCACCTTGTGGGGCTGACACACCGAACCTAACTGAATATTGTCCCATTAACAAAACTAATGTATTACGTGTAAGGCACCAGTAATTAACCTTTAAACTTCGGTTTTGAACAACTCTCATTTTTAACCTTTATTTAAGTGTCATAGTTGTCTTACCTCCTCTTGGCATTTTTTTTTTAAAGCTCTTCCTAGATTAATTGCATGTTGTAACTCCCTTTTTCCATTCAAGACAGTTTTGTTTTACGTGCGCTTATTATGGTACTTTTATAATTGCTTTTTGGTTCTCTGGGCCATTCTTTTGACATGCCTCCTTTCTTGGATCTGTACTATGATAGGTGGCTGGGCATGGTGGCTCATGCCTGTAATCCCAGCACTTTGGGAGGCTGAGGCAGGCAGATCACTTGAGACCAGGAGTTCAAGACCAGCCTCGCCAGTGTGGCGAAACCCCATCTCTACTAAAAATACAAAAATTAGCTGGGCTAGGTGGCGTGCACCTGTAATCCCAACTATTCAGGAGGCTGAGCCAGGAGAATCGCTTGACCTGGGGAGGCAGAGGTTGCAGTGAGCCGAGATCTATCCCCTGCACTCCATCCTGGGCAACAGATTGTGACTCTGTCTCAAAAAACAGTAATAATAAAATACACTATGGAAGGTGTTGGTCTGTCCATGTGACCACATGCAATGAGGTGCTTTGTGCGTTTGCCTTGTGTGAGCAGCGATGGAATGATCCTAGCGGGGCCTTGGAGGAACTGGAATGTTCTTTGCCTAGTTGCACCTGCGTCAGCTCTGTAGGCCCAGCCCTGGGGCCCAGCAGCTGCTCCCCTGGTTTGCTTTCCTCCCAGGTTGCCTCATGCTGCTGCTGAGCAACCTTCACCTGATGGGCGGTGCCACAGCAGGGTCAGTGAAGGGTGCCCCTTCCTTCTAGTGACCTGGGCTGCCCTAGCCCTGGCCCTTCAGTAGCCATTCCAAACCTTTCTGGTCCCCCCAAATCCAGGACTTTATCCCCTTCACCCTCAGAGGATGACCTTATATTCTATTTTGTGGAGAAAATGGAGACTGTCCATCAAAACCCCTTAACTCCCGTCCTGCGTGCATTCCTAAGTTCCTACATTAACCCCCGTGTCACTAGCTAACGATCCTTTCTGTCTCAGGAAGCAGTGTTCTTCCTCGCGCACAGGGCTCTGCGTTTGTCTAAGGCAGAGAGACCTGGGCCCTGATCCCATTCTCTTTCCTCAACTCCAGGAACTTGCTTCCTGCATTCATTTTCTTTTTTCCAATGATTCCTCCTTCTCAGCACATAAAAGTGACCAACCCCTCGCCCCACCCCCGCTGCACAAAAAACAAATAGAAAATGGAAACCAGTCCAACCAGGGTGAACCTCCACTGACTGTGTGCCCTTGTTGAGCTACTGCTCATAGGGGAGCTTCTAGAAAGGAAGGACTTATTGTCTTAGTTACTTGATCCACTTCCTTACCTCCTGTTCATGCAACTTTGCTTGTTTTGCTTCTACTAAAATGGTTCTAGGTGCTGTGTGGACAGGTGATACAAAAGCCTGACTCACACGGTTGACATTCATTCATTCCATTTTCATTTCTCTTTGAGTGATCCTGACAAGCAGAGGGTCTCAGGTGGATATTACTGTGTCTTTGAGACCTCTCTAATCCTTATCTATCTCTCATTTTAATACAGAGAGTTTCATACGCAGACCTTAAGTAGACATAGTATCCAGCTAAAAGGTAATTATGCTTTTTTGTTTGTTTTCATTGTATTTATTTTTACTGCTGCTTTATTGTATTCCAAGTGATACTGGTTTTTCATTCATGTTGTTATAATGTAGAGTTTTCTTTTTCTTTTTTCTTTTTTTTTTTTGAGACAGGGTCTCACTCTGTCACCCAGGCTGGAGTGCAGTGGCGCAGTCATGGCTCCCTGTAACCTCAACCTCTCAGACTCCAGCAATCCTCCTGCGACAGGTATGCACCATTACGCTTGTCTAATCTTTGTATTTTTTGTAGAGATGGAGTTTCGCCATGTTGTCTAGGCTGGTCTTGAACTCTTGGGCTCAAACCATCTACCTACCTGCCTTGGCCTCTCCAAATGCTGGGTTGATAGGTATGAGCTACCATGCCCGGCCAATGTACCAGCTTCTTTTAAAATAAATTCAAGCCAAAATTATAAATGTAAAATTACGTAGTTTAAAACTAGAGTTGTAGCTGATGGTACAGGTGGCATTTCAGTGTGGCAGAGTTAGTGAAGGTGCTGAGAGATGAGACAGGGAGACGGCTAAATAGGGACGATATTCCCTTGGGATTAAAGTTTAGAAAATCCTGCCTTGAAAGAAGGCAGGGAGCCAAAGGGTGAAGACATTGCGTGTGCTGTGAAACAACATGGTTACAAAATTTGATAAGGGGAAGCACAGGAACTATGACTGCATCAGGGTAACATCGACTTGCTTCTTCTCCGTGGGGATAAACTCAGAGAGGATGCTGAGGGATGTCAGCAGGTGCTGGGTCCCTGTTTTTCACAGAACAATCCTTCAGGTGCTAGTAAGCCTCAGGAGGAGGATGCTGTCCCGCTGGCACGAGGAGGGGCTGGGGCACGACAGTCATCATCCAAGCAAAGGTAGGGCTTAGTTACAGACACAGAACGGCAGATTTAATCTAGAAACACCACCATCCTGGTACCAGTCTTCTTGGCTTGGATTCCCATGTAAAAATCCAGCGTTGCTACCCTCTCAAGGGTGTGCCCTGGTTAGAATGAGTGGATATTTTGCCTCGCATTACCAAAGCACAAGGAGGTCTCTTTGAGGACTTGTTTGTAAAAAAATCAAACAACAACAAACAAACAAACAAAAACCTAGAAAATTGCTTTTCTCGGGGAGAATGGTGTGATCGGTGGTTGTTCTGACAATTTCACGTTCTCTTGCTTTCGGATTGAAGCATTGGTTTCTGTTTCTTATGTTCTTTTGAGGCAAATTTCCAAATTAGCGTCTCTATGACTGGCTGCCAAGGCATCCGTTTGCTATTTATTTACCCAAACTAGCAGTTTCCTGGAGACAGACTGCCTAGGGGGAAGGAAAGTTTTCTTATAGACCAGATTTGCAAGTTTGGGTTTCCTCTGCTTCATCCCCCATCATTGACAACTTGCTTAGTCCTCAGCACTTTCATGCATTGTTTGTGATGACACAGTTTGTTCCTGGAGATAAATGGGGTGGTGCTGCCTTAGCATATAGCAAGAAAAGTGCCAGGGTGGGGCCATGCATATCACTTAGTAGTCGTGAGACCTACTGTGAGATAGTTTTAACTGTGTGAACCTCAGTTTCTTCATCTATAGAATGGTGCTAATGTCTATTACATAAATTATGTATATGATATATAATTATGTATTACACATAAATTACAAATATAACTACAAGGTAATATGTATATACACATCTATATAGATACGTAAAGTATCCGGCCCGTAGGAAGCACTTAACGAATACCCCCTTCCCTTTTTTTTTTTTTTTTTCGCTTTTGAGTTGGAGTCTTGCTCTGCTCTGTTGCCCAGGCTGGAGTGCAGTGGCACTATCTTGGCTCACTGCAACCTCCGGCTCCCAGGTTCAAGAGAGTCTCCTGCCTCAGCCTCCTGAGTAGCTGGGATTACAGGTGCCCACCATTACACCTGGCTTAGTTTTATATTTTTGGTAGAGACGAGGTTTCTCCATGTTGGCCAGGCTGGTCTTGAACTCCTGACCTCAGGTGATCGGCCCACCTCTGCCTCCCAAATTGCTGGAATTACAGGCGTGAGCCACCACATCTGGCCCCCTCCTTTTTTTACAAAATGATCTCACTAACCTTCTTGCTATCTTCTCTCTCTTTCTATCTCTCTCTCTCTATCATCTATCCATCTATCCTTCTATCATCTATATATCTGTTTTTCCAAATCAGAATGATTGACTTTTATGAAAGAAGCAGAAGAGAGCCAATTATTAAGCAGGCAGCACTTGGTTTTAGTCTTGGTTTTTAAACATCATAGGCTAACCTGGTGTGGAGTCCTGATAAGTAAGCAACAATGAGGAAGGGGGGTCCCAGGTAGGGAACAACTGTTCCAAGAGACAGCTAATCACAAACAAGCCGCTGGCACAACTACCTCACTCCAAGTGTAACATCCTCCAGCACAACCCTATAAAACTTCCCTCCAGCCCCTGCCTCTTTCCAGACATCCCCTTCTCTGCTGTGCTGCCTGTTGCTTCCTTGCAACGTACTTTCCCTTGAATAATCAGCCTTTCTTTACCTACAACTGTCTTGGTAAATTGGTAAATTCTTCTTCTTCTTCTTCTTCTTCTTTTTTTTTTTTTTTGAGACAGAGTCTCACTCTGTTACCCAGGCTGGAGTGCAGCGGCGCTATCTCGGCTCACTGCAACCTCCGCCTCCCAGGTTCAAGCGATTCTCCCGCCTTAGCTTCCTGAGTAGCTGGGATTACAGGCATGCGCCACTGTGCCCAGCTAATTTTTGTATTTTTGGTAGAGATGGGGTTTCACCACTTTGGCTAGGCTGGTCACGAACTCCTGACCTCCGGTGATCTGCCCGCCTTGGCCTCCCAAAGTGCTGGGATTACAGGCGTGAGCCACCACGCCCTGCCGGTAAATTCTTTTACCATCCACAACACCGGCACCAGCCAGTTGCACCCATGACACTGTGCACCATTGGAAAAAAAGGTCCCTTTGCTCTGTCACAGTGTTTAGACCAGACTGTACTAAAGATGGTCTAAGACTAAACACACAAGTTAAAAATCCCAGATAAGCTTTATTTGAATGTTTCACAAACAAGTTGCACATTTCTCTGTAACTACATAGTAAAGCAAATGTTAGTTTACAGCTCAGAAACTGTAAGCAATTCAGCAGTGAGGGCCCAAAGGAGCGACATCTGCCATAGACTGAATATTTTAACATGATTAACTTTTATCCCTTTTGAAAAGTGTGTGTGAATAAAAAGCATTTAAAATTTCTTAAAATTTTTATCTGGGGGGATACATAAAATTTTGTCATCAGGACAGTGTTGACATGTGCATGACAACACAGATATAACTCTCTAATAATAGTCTGAATTCATGTGTACGACAGATATAGAATGGCTTTAGTACTCTCTAAAGAAAAAGCTTTTTAAAAAGTAGCAAAAAAATAGTCTCCAGTTTATTTTCATAGTGCTTCTATAAGCCCCTTTCTCCAAATCTTCATAGCTTCAGAGTGAAAACCTCCCTCGTCCTACACCACCCAACGCTTTTCACCATCTCCCTACCAATGAGACGGCACGTGGAAAGTCAAATAAAATGGTTCAAAGGCGTATCAAGCTCAGCAACCCTCCAACGATAGATGTGATGATAGCAACATAGTATGAGAGAGAGGAAATTTTTCCGCTTACTTAATTTGATGAGTATCTCAATTATTTCTGCTTAAATTATAGACTGACTCTTCTTAAATTATATAATTGAAGTTCTTATCTGAAACCCTCATACACACACCCATTCCCACCATTTTTTGCTGTCTCTCCATGTCTTGTATATGCTTTCATGTGAACACGGTCACAACTGCAGAATTTTTTCAATAGTGGGCTAATCTATTAGCAATAGGAAATATAGTAAGGGTAACACATTGCATATAGTAAAAGAATTGTTAATTGTGTTAGATGAACCATTTTGAAAGCATTTTATCATTAGACTGTGAAAATTATCAAATCTCAACAGTCAGTTAAGGAGAGAAGATGGAGGTCTTTATGAAAGATGTAGCCAGATTATTAGATTATTATTCTTAGTATTTGGTAAACAGAAAAGGTAGGTGGCTTTTTTAGTGCTTGGGTTTCCTGTTGGTGTGACTTACCCTGTTGACTCATGTTTAAGGCAGCTACACGTAAACAGATTTATGGGCTACCTTTACAAAATCAGCAACTACTTAGAGATCCTTTAGAATTTGCCCCTTTGAATGATTTATAGCAAAGCACAGTGCAAACCCTTTGAGACCCCACCCCACTTTCTCCCTCAGTTTTCTCTCCCCTCAGTTGGTTTGGTAGTGAATGGGTACTCTGGAGTTCATAAATTTCCTTTTCTTTCTTTTTTTTTTTTTTTTTTTTTGACGGAGTCTTGCTCTGTTGCCCAGGCTGGAGTGCAATGGCTCACTGCAAACTCTGCCTCCTGGGTTCAAGCGATTCTCCTGCCTCAGCCTCCTGAGTAGCTGGGGTTTCAGGTGTGCACCACCACACCCAGCTAATTTTTGTATTTTTTAGTAGAGATAGGGTTTCACCATGCTGGCCAGGCTGGTCTTGAACTCCTGACCTTAAGTGATCCACCCGCCTCTGCCTCCCAAAGGGCTGGGATTACAGGCATGAGTCACCATGCCCGGCTACTTTTGATTAACTGAGATGTTAAATTAATCTAGGAGAAGCCCCTCATCTACCTGCTAACAAGCCATGGAAGGGAAGGGGCAAATAATTACGTTATCTTGCACAGGAAAAATTTCTAAGGTCTCAATATTAATTTAGAACGATGTTAACATTTTTTTTTTTAACAGAAAGCTTTCAGATTGAAGAAGTATAGCATGAACTTAATAATAGGTAACAGAAGATACTGTTAGTAAAAGGTACTTAATAGTAAAGGGTACCTCATAGTAAAAGGTACTGTTGCTTAACAGTAAGTTGGTCTAGCTGCATAGTCACGCTAATGGAGGCTTCAAACGAGGGTCTTCCGGTCTGCAGTAGGCACTTTGTCTGGTTTTGCTCCTGGGTTGAGAGTGGCATTGTGATGTTGTCGGAAGAACATGAACCCTGGAGCCAGATAGCCTGAGGTTTGGTTCTGGAGGCCACTTACCTTGGGCAAGCCATTCAATTTTTCTGAGCCTCAGCCTTCTTTATCTGTGAGTTGGAGAAGATAGTAGTGCTTGTCTCATATGTTACTGGAGGGATTAATGAGTTACTATCTGTAAGGATTTTGTACAGTGTGGGCACATAATAAGCAGTTGATAAATATAAACCATTATTATAATTATTAATCACCTTTTTGGTACCATGTTCATACACCCCCTAGGAAAATTGTAGACTCCTTTCCTCAGAATCATCTGGAGAGCTCGTGCCTGGGTGCAACTGCACTAAATCCAGGATCAAACACAGACTTGTTAAAAATTTTTTAGTTGTCACATCTTAAGATTAAGACCCAGTGTATTTATTTGGGTAAAATGCAATTTGAGCTACTCTATGAGTGTGATGGTAGATGGTTGTTCCATTTATCAGACTGTTTTAAATGACATTCTGAAACTCTGGAATGAGCTATCAAAATTTCTAACGATGTTCTTTAAGAGCCAAAGTCTTATTTGATACCTACCATGAAATCTGGCTGGATTTATTTCGTTATAATGCTTAGATTTGCTGGTGTCGGCCAAGAGGCACAGCAGGTATATCTGCCTGGAATGATGCTCATTTGGAGAGAACTGGCGGTATTGAAGGTGACTTTTATTGAAATTAGAAAATGTGTGCATATTCTTATTAAAACAAATTATCCAAAATAATTAATTTATCGTATGTAAAATGAGGGAGAAAATGTGATTTTTAATCAACTAAGTTGGTTGAGTATTAATAAAAAGAAGTGAAGGTGTGACTATTTGCTCAGTGGAAATAAAACCCTCAGACCTGTGCTCAGTAATTGGGAAAAGCAATTTCTGGTCCTTACTTGACTTCGTTTTTTAATAAGTTGGACTCAGATAAAATGCATAGGTAATAATGAAATAACATTTTGATTCTACTATGGTTTTCAGTAAACAATGTAATATATTCCAGCAAATGAACAAAACATCTTATGATTCAGGAAATGCTACCACTTTGGCCTATAAGAATTGGTTTATTTTCCTTTTTTTCTGGAAACTATTAGGAGGAACAACATGACAGAAGTATCTCTGTCCTGATTAGAACTGTGGGGACAGAGAATATGTTTAAATAAGGGAAAGTTGAGGCATATTCTATTTATTAATGAAGTGTGCACTTTACTCCTATTTTTCTGAATTTTCAGCGAAGTTAATCTTCTGGTTCGGTTCACAAAGTGCAGGAGAGCCTACCAGCTTGAGAGAAAAGGAGTCATGCTGTATTTGTTTCCTTGAGTGAATGGCCACTCAGCTGCTGTGTTTCTCCCTGCATGTGGCTGAAGTTTACATTGGAGGGTGACTTCCTGATTGCCAGTTAGCATATGTGTCCGGCTACCAGCCGCCTGACTGGCTGAGGATGCTCTTTGTTTGTTCAAGGATGAACGTTCTCCCCCTGCCTTGCAGGAAGAGGGGAGCAAGGTGCGCCCGGGAGACGCGTGACAGTGCCCTGTAAAGCCAGTAGAGGAAATCTTGTGGAGTGTGAATGCACAGGCTTAGATTCCCCTGTCCCTGAGTCGGGGGCATGTGCTCGTGGAGAATGACCCTATCAAGTTCAAGGTGTGGCATCTCCTGATCCAGCAACAGGATTTGTTCCAGAGAAAAATCCCCAGGTCTTGGGACTGTTGACAGATGGCCATGACTATGCTTAATGTGGTCATCAACTGAGAATGGTCCGTCTCATCTTTGAGTATGCAATTACCTTTATAGCTGATTATGACACCCTCAGATCATATCATGAGGTGGACAAGATGAGTCCATGGCCCATGCTGAGAACTGGTACTTCTGTCTTCATAGACTCACTCACCAACCAGAGATGTACGACGGACCCCAAATGGTCTGTCAAAAATGTGAACTTGCACTAAGACAAGACCCAACATCAGTGACATTGGACACAAGATAGAAATCAGAGAACAGTTACTGTCCAGCAGTTTTAACCACCAATACCCATTTATTTTAATGGAAAAAAAAATCTCTGCATTCTATATGTTCCAAAAGGATTTACCATTGAAACAAATACAATATATGGAACTCTATCTGTATAATTTCACTACAACAAAGACAACATATGACTTCTACTTCCTACAGAAGGCTAACTGAAAGCACAAGTGCAAACATAGATTGCATAAGAAAGCGTGTGTGTGTGCATGTGCGGTTAAAACCTTTAGTAAGCAACTGCATTAAAATATGCTAAGACACTCACCTTACCCTAGTTCGTGGCGAGCTCTAATAAAAAGCCACAAGCTGTCACTAGTTTTATTTGATAGAAAAATTTGGTGTGAGCTTTGATGATTCATTTATGGTTTATCAACAAGAAGGTAATCTTAGAACAAGCACTAACTTTCCGCTTTTACATGCTCACAGAATACAAATCAGTTACTTTTCATACATAATGAACGTCTTTTATTTTCGGGTTTGCAAACAACGGTAGTCAATTCACACAAAAGGGTACTTTTAAAACTACCTGTATTTACTCTATTTTATGCCTGTATATATGAAACAAACAGCGTGAATGTGCATAAATGTATGTCTGTACATGTGGGTATATATGTGTATACAAGATGGTACCTGTACACCTCTTTGTATGCATGTATGACCTCCATGATGACAGGTGCAGTTGTACATTTACTGAGGAGGGAGAGATTCTCTACCATGATCTGTGTCCCCATTAGAATCAGTACGACTGTGGATTCGGGACACATACAAATGCAGGTTGGTGCCCATGAAAGAAAATGTCAGCCCTTTTCTTGGCATTTGGTGGTGAAATTGCCTGCTCTGCTCCTCACCTCCTTGGCTCAGGATCACGGCATCAGATGGCAGTGTAAATTGGTTGTAGTCCTCGAACTCAATAAAGAGAAAGGACTTCTTTCTCTGCTCTCCCTCTCTGTGGACCTGCCTGGCTGGTTGTGGCAGCATTCAGACTGAACGGGACAGTGGAGAAGTAGCTTCGGAGCAAAAGTGACAGCTCTGTGGTCTGTCCTCATGCTGACCTTGATGCGGGAGGCCCTGGAGGGTTCAGGTGTCTTAGTTTCCACCCACCTTGCTTAACCTTGCAAGGAAGAATGGCATCAAAACGAGGCTTCTCCAGGATAGTCTCTCTCTATAAATACCGTGTATATATACATACAGATACTCATACATACACCAATACTAACCCACAGACAAAGCTGGGTGCCTGGAGCACTGGCTAGCGACATGTTAACACACCAGAAAAAGTAGTCATTGTTCCTGCTCCCAGAAGATCAAGTCATATGTCATGATCTTTAAACATTCAGGGAAAATTCAGAAGATTCCATTAATTAAAGGAGGGAGGAAGATGCTGTCAAAATGATGAAGTACAGACTAAGTGAAATTGTAAAGAAAATAAAAAACCGGAACAATTGAGGCCTAGTTGTGAAGTTCGATAGCTGTAAACCGCAATCTTCAGATTTGGATAGATTTTTTTTTTTCCTGTTGCTATGGAAACTTGGGAGTCAAGCTTCAGACGTCAGGAGTTCTCACAGACCTGAATAGAGAGGGTTCAGAGTTAAGTCGGGAATATCACCACTCAATTCAAAACATTTTAGCTAAAAGCCAGAAAAATGACAGGCAAGGTATAATAAACACATTTTAAACATCACACGACTATGGGGGAATTTTTTTTTTCCTTAAGGATCACATTGGAAGACAGAATGAATGGTTATATGGTAAAAAGCTGGACTTCTCTGAAAATGCTAATGGTGACTTCAGATGCCAAACATCGCTCAGACCGAGAGCTGCTATTACCACCGTTACCAATGAGCCTTATGTCTTTGTCTCTCAGCACAGAGCTTGGCTATTTTATGAGCATGCTATGTATCTTAGAGATTGGTGATTATCCCATATATGTATCGACTTCCTGTGACTATATATATATATATATGTTGACTTAAGGATCACAAGTCACAGAGCAAGATACCTATTGGTGGTTCTTCAAACATGATATGTTTTTATTTTGAGACAGGGTCTCATTCTGTTGCCCCAGCTGGAGTGTAGTGGTACAATCTTGGCTCACTGCAACCCCTGCCTCCTGGGCTCAAGCGATCCTCCCACCTTAGTCTCCGGAGGAGCTGGGACTACAGGCATGCACCGCCATGCCTGGCTAATTTTTGCATTTTTTATAGAGATGGAGTTTCGCCATGTTGTCCAGGCTGTTCTTGAACTCCTGGCCTCAAGCGATCCTCCCATCTTGGCCTCCCAAAGTGCTGGGGGTTATAGGCTCACCTGTGAGCCACTGCACCTGGCCCAAACATGGTATGTTAATTTCCTGTTGCTCCTGTAACAAATGGCCATAAAGTGCAAACAACACGAATCTATTCTCTTACAGTTCTGGAAGTCAGAAGACTGAGCTCAGTCTTATGGGGCTCAAATCAGTGTTGACCAGGCTGTGCTCCTTCTGGAGGCTCTAGGAAAGCATCCGTTCCCTTGCCTTTCCTGGCCTCTAAGGGTTGCCTGCATCCCTTGGCTCATGGCCCCTTCCTTCATCTTCAGAGGCAGCACTGCAGCATCTTCTCTTTTTCACCTCTGACCTCCCTCTGTTTCTGTCATCACATGGTCTGTTTCTAATCGACTCTTCCTTTGTCCCTCTTATAAGGACTCTGTGATTATATCAGGCTCACCTGGCTAATCCAAGATACTCTCCCCATCTCAAAATCCTTCACTGAGTCACATCTGAGAAATTTTTTTTTTTTTTTTTTAGAGACAGAGTCTCACTTTGTTGCTCAGGCTGGAGTGCATTGGCACAATCTTGGCTCCCTGCAACCTCCGCCTCCCAGGTTTGAGCGATTCTTTTGCCTCAGCCTCCTGAGTATCTGGGATGACAGGTGCCTGCCCGAAGTCTCTTTTGCCATATAAGGTAACATGTTTACAGGTTCCAGGGATTAGGATGAAGAGTACATCTTTGGGGGCCATTACTCAGCCAATCACGAAAGTAGCATTGTGTTCCCAGAGGAAAAAAGGCATCTCATGGCAGACTGTGTTGCAGACTTTGAGAACGTCACTCATGTAGAAAACTTCACAGAAAGAGACATCAGCATAGTGTGCGTTCAAGAGCCTGTCTTCCCAGCACCTGCTCGTGGCTCCTCCTTATGGCCAGCTGCGGGGCTGGCTCCAGTGTGGAGTCTGTCACTCTGCTCAACTCAGCAATGTTGGCTGGGAGAGGCTCTGGCTCTAGGATGCTCAGATCCGGTTTCAAAATGAGGCGTGTTTTTGCCTGCATTTTTCTTTTGTTGCCACCTTACTCCTCGCAAGCACGTTTTGTCTGTGCAATTCCAGCAGAGGCGTGAATTCCAGCCCAGGACTAAGAGTTCATAAAATTGAGTAAACTACTGTGTCTACAGTAATAGTTGGCAAAGCCCTTCCTCACTCTCAGGCTTCTGTTACAGTCTTGCTCCATCAAAAGAAGGAAAAAAGAAAGAAATTAATCAGTATACATGTGCTGTGTACTCATTTTTCTGACCTTTGTTCTCACTCCTACTGATACCCTAGTCCTGCCTCCATCCAAAAGTGCCCACTGAAGACAGGCTGCCCTCTGCTAAGAACTTCAGATGTTTTGAGGCACTCTTTTCATTTTTACCATGATTAGGTTTCATTTTTACAATGATTAGGTTTCATTTTTACAATGATTACACTTATACCCCATGCTGCAAGACAGTTATAAAATATGAACTATTTTTGCAAAAGCCTATTAGAAAGAATGTTAAGATGTTGTTTTGGGTTGGATACATATTCCTCTTTCTTGTTTTAAATGGGCAAAAGCCATTGATGTTGTCAGGGTGGTAGAATGTCTCCACTTTCTGTGTCTAATTTTGGTTAGAGAGCAGAGTGGGGTTTCTCAGCCTCAGCACTACTGACATTTGGGGTTGGATAATTCTTTGTGGGGGGTGCTGTCCTGTGTATGGGAGGACGCTTAGCAGCACCCTTACCCTCCATCCACTAGATGCCACTAGTGGCGTCCTGCCAGGCATAATAATCAAAATGTCTCTAGACATTTCAACTGTCTCCTGGGAGGCAAATTAGTTAAAAGCAAGAACAACAACAACAACAAGAAACATCTTTGGCTGCATAAAATCCACTAAATAGGCTCCAATCTCTTGTTTTCAAATTAGAGTCTCAAATTCCTGTTTTAAGTCAATTTAGATGATAACATAAGTGACTCGTCCCAGGGCTATTGAGATGGTTACTTGAGGAAATTTATTTAATTTATGTAAAGCCCTTAGCTTGCATGCGCAAGGTGCATGGAAAGCCCCCAAGGATCAACTGTCATTGTCCATAATGTCATGTCACTTTAAGGGGCCACAGCTCCTCTGCAAAGCATGACCGCGGCCGTCTGCAGGCCGAAGACAGCCCACTCTACCTGGGTTTAATGCCTTTGCAGGCCGTGTCTGTCCATAATACGTTTCGCAATAGAAAGGAACAAAATACTGGTACACTTTAAGACATTCTAGAAAAGACAAAGCCATTATTAGAGAAAGCAGATCAATGAGAGCCTGGATTGCGGAAAGGGGATCAATAGCAAAGGAAACTGTATTTTGACTAGGGCGTGGTATAAAATTCTGTACACTTACCAAAATGCATCAAACTGTACACTTGCAACGGATGCATTTTGTTTTATGCAAACAATACGTTGAAAAATAAAATTTTAAAAGTGTTTACTGGCTATCTTTTGCTCATCTTGGCTTTTTTTTTTTTTTTTTTTTGGAGACAAAGTCTTGCTCTGTTGCCCAGGCTGGAGTGCAATGGCGCAGTCTTGGCTCACTGCAACCTCCAACTCCTGGGTTCAAGCGATTCTCCTGCCTCAGCCTCCTGAGTAGCTGGGATTATAGGCGTGTGCCACCACACCCAGCTAATTTTTGTATTTTTAGTAGAGATGGGGTTTCACCACGTTGGTCAGGCTGATCTTGAACTCCTGACCTTGTGATCCGCCCACCTCGGCCTCCCAAAGTGCTGGGATTACAGGTATGAGCCACCCCACCCAGCCAGGCATGCATATTTTATTTTTATTTTTATTTTTTTGAGATGGATTCTCACTCTGTCCTACAGGCTGGAGTACAGTGGCATGATCTCAGCTTATTGCACCCTCTGCCTCCCAAGCTCACTCGATTCTCCTGCCTCAGCCTCCTGAGTAGCTGGGATTACAGGTGTGTGCCACCGTGCCCAGGTAATTTTTATAGCTTTAGTAGAGATGAGTTTCACCATGTTGGTCAGGCTAGTCTCGAAATCCTGACCTCAGGTGATCGGCCCACCTAGGCTTCCGAAAGTGTTGGGATTACAGACGTGAGCCACCGTGCCTGGTCCACATTTTATTTAATGTTAATTTTTAGCTGACATGGGGTGGGGCTTTTTTTTCTTTTTTTCAGAGATGGGGGTCTCACTATCTTGCCTAGGCTGGTCTCAAACTCCCAGCCTTATCCAATCCACCCACCTCAGTCTCCCAAAGTGCTGGGATTACAGGCATGAGCCACTGTGCCCTGCCCACTCCCCTCTTTAAATTTCTTTATTGTGTCTGAGTTTGTCTACATCTTACCCTCCATATAGAGACATTTACTTTTGGTATTTGTTAAGATAGTTCACCTGATCTGTCCTTTTACATTCTTGCTAATACTGGTTAATTAAGCAGAAAGCAATGGTCAGAAATGGTTTCCCGACAAGTTCTTTTTTTGAGACTTGCCATACCATAAAAGTCGTGCTAGAAAAACCACAGAAACAGCTTAATGGCAATGCCGGCTTGCCTCACTGGGAGGGTGCTAGGGGAAGAATTACACATCCACTTCATGCCACTGACATGCACTTTATACTACAACAACCGGGCCAGGCATGGTGGCTCACGCCTGTAATCCCAGCACTTTGGGAGGCCGAGGCGGGCGGATCACGAGGTCGGGAGATCGAGACCATCCAGGCTAACACGGTGAAACCCCATGTCTACTAAAAATACAAAAACAACATTAGCCAGGCATGGTGGCGGGCGCTTGTAGTCTCAGCCACTCGGGAGGCTGAGGCAGGAGAATGGCGTGAATCCGGGAGGTGGAGCTTGCGGTGAGCAGAGACCATGCCACTGCACTCCAGCCTGGGTGACACAGCAAGACTCTGTGAAAAAACAAAACAAAACAAAACAAAAAAAACTGACAGTAAAAATCATTTCATTTTCATTTTTTATTACTTTCAATATCAGTAGTTTTATTTCCTTTATTTTCAGATGTCAAAGAAAGAAATGCAGATCCTTCAGTTCAACTCTCAGTTGCAGTAAAGCCACCTACAGGATCAGGTCATACTAAACTGAAATGTTGTTATTATCCTTTTCTGTAAGGGAGGCAGTCAATGGTGAATGCTGGCCTCGCTGATTACTCACCTGGAGACCTTTCTGAGGATCAGTTTTCTCATCTAGAAAATGGGACAACTGCCAGACCACTGAAGAAAATACAGAAAACAGCCCCACACATCAGCATGTTTGGTTGCTGCCAGTCTACTTGGATCTGAGTATTTTTTCTTGCCATGAATGTGACGTGATTATCTTCTCCTACATCACACTGAAGTTTTATGAATGATGCTTTGAAGTGGGAAGGGCCAGAGAGTTAATATTTTCGGCTTCTTGGGCCAGCTGGTCTCGGTGGCAGCTACTGAGCTCTGCCACTGCAGCAGAGAACGGGCACAGGCGATATGGAAATGATAGGCGCGGCTGTGTTCCAATAAAACTTTATTTACAAAAATGGGCAGTAGACCAGATTTGGTCTGTGTCTTAGAGTTTGCTGACCCTGCTTTAAAGAAACATCAAAGAGATTCTACCAGCTGATTTCCTTGCTCCCAAAATTCTTGTAAGGACTATGGCTGAGTTAGGAAGTTATGTACTTTAATAGCTAATTTCAGGCCTGGCGTGGTGGCTCACGCCTGTAATCCCAGCACTTCGGGAGGCTGAGGTGGGTGGATCACTTGAGGTCAGGAGTTTCAGACCAGCCTGGCCAACATGGCGAAACCCTGTCTCTACTAAAAATACAAAAAAATTAGCTGGGCGTGGTGGCAGGTGCCTGTAATCCCAGCTACTTCAGAGGCTGAGGCAGGAGAATCACTTGAACCTGGGAGGCAGAAGTTGCAGTGAGCCAAAATCGCGCCCTTGCACTCCAGCCTGGGTGACAGAGCAAGACTCAGTCTTAAAACAAAACAGACAAACAAAAAAAAAGAAAGCTACTAATTTCAGTGTTTTTTGAAATCACCCTCCTCCTTCTCCAATCCTTGCTTAAGGGTTTAAGCTCACTTCTGTGCAGCCTCTTCTCAATGTCATATAAATGGTAGCACACGTGGGTCGGCCACTTTGATGTCTGCTTTTATGCATTTGAGTGGTTGGGCACTGGTGGTTACCTGTTCCTGCTACCTCTGACCCAGATTCTTACATGTCTTATTATGTCCATCCCTTTTTGGTTAGGAAGAATGTCTTGGACTAGGTATATAATAAAACGTAAATCATGACATTTGGCAGGCATCTCTAACATTTAAATGAACAATATTAGAAAATCTTATGCCTTTTACACATGACCAGACCAAGTGTGTTTTTGAAGGTAAGTGGTAACACCTGTTTTTAACTGTTTTTTGGGGGCTGAAACTACTGTCTTTGTACAGCAAACCATTGGAGTGTCAACTGAATACTTTCCAGCTACACAAGGAGATCCAGAGTTTCACTGTGGGAATAATTTCGACTTTACACACAGGTGCCCCTACTTACAGTGAGATACAATCATCAGATGCTAGATGGGATGGCTCCCCTTAGACGAGCACATAAAGCACATTTGGTATTTCACAGCTAGTGTACCTGTGCCTGTCTTTTATCAATGATACCAACTGTGAAGCAATTCTTTAGGGATTATCAGGCAATTCTGCCTTAGATTAACTTGACCCAAGAGCTCAGTTGAGAGATGAGAAGTGGGAAATCCTTGGCAACCTGCTGATGATTGTCATCTGTAGATCAGGAGTCTCAAAGTGAGGACCACAAGAAAATCCCTTGTTGGTAAGAAAAAAATACTGCCAAGTCTTTTTTTTTTAATCTAAAAAAAAAAATTCAATGTTTACTAATACTTAATATATGGGGAGTGTTGGTAGCAGAATGTGTATTATTATAAAAATATTGTATAAAAATAACCAAACACTGGGCTTTGAGCTAGAGGCCCCTGTCACCTGGGATGTTGATGCCATAGGTTGGATGGGCCTGGAAATCTGTATTTTAACAAGCAGGTGCACAGCGGCTCTGGTCTCCATTTAAAACACTCATTTCCAGTCCCGAGTAGCTGAACCGTGAGCAGGGTCCTGCAGTGCCTTTGTTCTTCAAAGAGATGTCACGGAGTGAGGCTTTGATGTTCAGAAATTGGATTTACAGAGGGCAATGTGTGATGTAACCCCCTTAATTGTCTACTTTCTGGGTACACACACGTGCGTGCACACAAACATACATGTACGTGTGTATATGCATTCCCACTACACACACATAGAATTTTTATCTCTTTGCAATCACATAGGAAGTACTGCTCTCCGATTTATCCAAACTCTGTTATTCTTGAGTTCCAGTTGCTCCTGGATCTCTGCAGGTGTTGTTTTTTGCTCTGTCGCTTAGGCTGGAGTGCAGTGGTGTGATCTCGGCTCACTGCAACCTCTGCCTGGCAGGTTCAAGCGATTCTCCTGCCTCAGCCTCCCGAGTAGCTGGGATTATAGGTGCTTGCCACCACGCCTGGCTAATTTTTGTATTTTTAGTGGAGACGGGGTTTGGCCATGTTGGCCAGGCTGGTCTTGAACTCCTGACCTCAAGTGATCTGCCTGCCTTGGCCTCCCAAAGTGCTGGGATTACAGGGGTGAGCCACCGCACCTAGCTGCAAGCATTGCTTGTAGAGCAGTGGCTTCTAAGTGCTGGTCTTTGGGCAGTGCTGGGCTTGTGGTCTGTCTGGCGCTCACTCCAGAAGCTGGTGGAAAACGTAGATCTCTTACTGTAGTAGCGTTGGTCATAGTAAATGATTCGAATGTGTCTGCTGATAAGGGAATCCACTGCACCGTATTCAAATGACAGGATCCTCCAGCAGGAGGAGTAAATGGAGCAGAGCGGGGTTCAGCCAAGGAACGCTGTGGGCTGACTCTAACCTCAAGTCCGTGTTTGGATAGCTCCCAGGCAAAGAAGGGTTTTCACGTTTTTAAAGGGTGGTACAAAAGACAGAAACAAACAAACAAACAAACAATAAAGATGAATATGTGACAGAGACTAATATGGCCCACAAAGCCACCTGGCCCTTTACAGAAAAAGTTTGCTGAACGCTGAATTAGAGCAACGTGGATGGACCTTGTGAATGTAACACAGGTAGGAAGAAAAGTAAGTCGCAGAATGGTATGCCCAATATAATATGAATTACAGGAGGTTTTACAAACTGCACAAAATAGAACTGTATGTGTCATGTGTGAATGTGTGTGAGTGAGTGTATGTGTCAGTTTGTGTGTAGTAAAAGGATAAAACATCTGGACACACACATGAATAGCTAATTCATGGTAGCTATTGTTTCTGAGGAGAGAGAACAGAAAATAAAATTGGGCAGAGAAACATAGGCAATTTTACCTTTGCCTGTAATATTTTACTTTCTGAAGAAAGAGAAAGGAAGGAGCTGGGTGTGGTGGCTCACACCTGTAATCCTAGCACTTTGGGAGGCCGAGGCAGGCAGATTACCTGAGGTCAGGGGTTTGAGACCAGCCTGGACAACATGGTGAAACCTCGTCTCTACTAAAAATACAAAAATTAGCCGGGCATGGTGGTGCATGCCTGTAATCCTAGCTACCTGGGAGGCTGAGGCAGGAGAATCACTTGAACCCGGGAGACGGAGGTTGCAGTAAGCTGAGATGACGCCACTGTACTTCAGCCTGGGCGACAGAGTGAGACTCTGTCTCAAAAAAATAAATAAATAAGTAAACAAATAAAGGAAAAAAAGAAAAGAAAGACAAAGGAAAGAAGAAAAAAAGAACAAAAGAAAAGAGGGAGAAATATGTTTCCTTTCATTTATCCATCTGTCTGTCCATGCGTCCATTCATTACCATTCCCCAACGCCCTATTCCTCAAGCTCAAGTCGTAATCTAGAGCACAAATGAAAGTTTCTAGGGCACTGAGCTCAGGAATTCGTAGTTTGAAAATGTTTCCTAAGTGGTTCTGACGTGCAGCAGCATTTAGGAACTACCACTGCAATTAACACGTTGCTCTTATCACACAGTGGCAATTGTGTACGGCAAGCCAATGAGAAGCTCAGGCCAAATTTAGTGTCAGTTAACTCCATCCCCAACTCTTCCTAGTTGGTTTCTCTTCCTTGTCAAGTTTAACTTCCTGTCTGGTTCACATTTTAATTCTGTAAGCTTCTGAAACACTTTCTGGAAAGTTGGTGCTATAGAAATTCTCATACTGGATGTGTTCTGTCATCTCACCGTACCCTCCTCTCTGGAGGAGGGATGGTGCCAGGTTTTCTGGCACCATCGGTAGCAAACATCTTCACACTTGTATTCTTAACTTTACTCTCCTCCACCTGTTTCCTATTGAGTTGTGAACCGAAGGAACCAGCACGTCTTTAGGGTGGGGACAAGATTGGAGGACACTGTTAGAATGTCCAGGAGCCTGTACCTAAACGTTGGAGTCACTCACCAGGACGGTCCTGATTTCCCAGTGTCTTCGGACCACCTGGTGAGGCTTTAAAATGGACAAATGTCTAAGCTGCCCTTCCAGCCATAGGGTAGGGCTCAGGTATGGGTAGCTACTTTTAAAAGTTCCCCAGGTGCTTCTGTTGTGCAGCCAGACTTGAGATCCACCACCATCTCCCCAGCTGATACTATGCAAGAGTGACTTGCAGGTTGCTAGTGATGACTCAGCAAACCAGGCCCCAGACAGCATACCCTCACGAAGGGAACATTCCTACACTCTAGAAATCTAGGTCTAGGATATCTGTCAGCAAAGCAAGGGGGCAAACAAGCATAATGTGTTGCTATAAATTCATGGTATCTGCTATGCTCTGAAGTTTGTGCCCCTCCAAAGTTTATATGCTGAAACCTGATCCCCAAGGTGATGGTACTACGAGGGTGGGCCTTTGGGAAATTAGTGGGTCAGGAAGTCAGTGTCCTCATGGATGGGATGGGATGAGATGCCCCAGAGAGCTGCCTTGCCTCTCCCATCATGTGAAAATGCAGGGAGAAGGCGCCATATGTGAACCAGAATGTGGGCTTTCACTAGACAATGAATCTGCCAGCATCTTATTCTTGGACTTCTCAGCCTCCAGAACCATGAGCAATACATCTCTGTTATTTATAAGCCACCCAGTTTATGGTATTTTGTTATAGTAGCCCGAATGGACTAAGACAGTATACAAACTCCTCTGGACCACCCCTGCTCAACGTTTAGCCCAATTGCTGTACAGCCGAATTATCTGTGCTTTGACAAGGTTTCCTAATTTCTTCTCAGTCCCCACTCCCATCTCTAACCCTTCATCTGAAATTGTCTCTGCTTTACAGAAAAGACTCAGGAGAAGCCTCCGAGGGGTGGCCTCTTGATTTCTATTTTCTCTCTCTCTTTGCAGAAGATAAAGTTAGAAAGCCAGTGAGATAATCGAGGTTAAGTGACATTAGTACCTGAGACAGGAGGGTGGAGGCAGGGATGGATGGAAAGTGTTGGACCCTTAGACTCTGTTGGGCTTTGCAGTGGGAAGACCAGGAAGGAGACATGGAGATGATGGTGATGATGATGGTGGTGGTACAGTCATCAGAGACAAGTCAGGCAGAGGGGCAGGTCAGGAGGGGAAGATGATATGTTCGCTTTCAGAAATGCCCAGTCTGAAGGGCCAGTGAAATGCTATAATGGCTTCTTGTTTCCTTTTTTTTTTTTTTTTTGAGACAGAGCCTTGCTCTGTCACCCAGGTTGGAGATCAATGGCATGATCTTGGCTCACTGCAACCTCCGCCTCCCGGGTTCAAGTGATTCTGCTGCCTCAGCCTCCCGAGTAGCTGGGACTACAGGCATGTGCCACCATGGCTGGCTAATTTTTGTATTTTTAGTAGACACAAGGTTTCACCATGTTGGCCAGACTGGTCTTGAACTCCTGATCTCAGATGATCCACCCACCTCGACCTCCCAAAGTGGTGGGATTATAGGTGTGAGCCACCGTGCCTGGCCCTTCATTTTTCCTTCTACTCACAGGACTCTGGTCTTGCACAGAGCTTTATATACGTGAATGTCCAATGTTGTACTATGTGATTTCCTGGCAGCTCACCACTGTCAGTAGGATAAAAAACCTTCTGTTTTCTTTTTCTGTCAATTTCCCAACTTCCTAATTCACAATTACACCGATACGTTCTCAAAAGGTAAATTGCAAGGCCCAAAAGGCTTTTGGATGGTAACAGTTATATATGAATAACGGCTAAAGTTAACATTGGACTAGTATTTCATAAATAAGGAATATCTGAGACATGTATTTATTAATTTTATCCTCACATCTATACTACTTGGCATAATAATTCATTTGTTAAAAACAATGTTTCATGATATTATAGTCATTATTACTAGCCAGTGAAAAAACAGTGTAAATTATGCATTTATCATTTTCCCTGCAGCCCACCCTCCATCCATAAATTCTCACGACTATTCTCAGAAAGTCTCATAATATCTGTTTTAACCTTGCAAAAGATTATTCTGCATAATGTAGAGAGAAACAGGCCTCTGATAGACTAGTTAACTAATCTGGGCGCATTTTCATTAGCTCAAGTTGAGTGGCAGCTGTAGGAAGTTTTGCTTACCACCTAGTTTGCAGGCTAGCAATGAACACCTTTGCACAATCCCTCAGACTGGCTGGCAGGGATTGTTAAGATGCCTTTAAACATCAGTGGGAGCACTTTTACATATAACATGTTCTATCATACAGACATACACTAAAGATGAATGATTCTTCTGGGAAACATCTTCTTGGAAAGGTATATGGGAAAATGCTGGCTTCACGAACCCAGTGAAGTTACAATTTCCTGTTTGTGCATGCACTGGAGTTAGGTCAACTTACAAGCTAAGCTGAAGAGGCTGAGGAGCAGGACTGAGGGCAGGCTGAAGCGCAGGGCCCCTGCCGCGTTGCAGTCCACTTTGGAATTCCTGCAGGAGCACACTTGTACCCTGAGATCTGTGATATTCGTCATGGGTGGTTTCCCTGAATCTGTCACCATGATGGGCAGGTTGTAGTTTGCTTTGTTCAGATTTTGAAGAAGGCTTACCAGGGCGTGTGTATCTGTAAAGGCAAGGAGGGTTCTGGTGAGAGTGGATGAGACTTTTTCCAATAAAAGAGTGAGGTTTTGGTGATGAAAGTCACACCAAACAGGCATTGCATTTTCATTTATAATTGTGCGAATGCTTACATTTAAATTCATTAACATCAAGTGAAAATACCAGTTCAGATCCTCAGTGGCACCTGCCACATTCCAAGTGCCCAGAAGCCACACATGGCTGCTGGCTCCTGTAATGAACAACACAGAGACAGAGTGTTTCCATCACCAGAGTTCTGTGCCTCGGCGCGATTATAATCAGTTTCAAGGAGAGCTCCTTTCATGAAGATGATTGATTACCAAGAACTCCTCCCTGCAAATTTATTACACGAAAAAGCCATCTTGACAAAGACTGCGTTCCACATCTAGAAAGCTAAGGTGAAAATCCACCTGCTCTCAATGTGGGCAGGACCCTAATGTGTTATCATGGAGATGGGTTCTATAGCCTACATTTTTTGTCTTTAGTTTTTTTTTTTTTTTTTTCGAGACAGGGTCTCACTCTGTTGCCCAGCCTGGAGTGCAGTGGTGCAATCTTGGCTCATTGCAACCTCCGCATCCTGGGTTCAAATGATTCTCCTGCCTTAGCCTCCCGAGTAGCTGGGATTACAGGCACACACTACCATGCCCAGCTAATTTTTGTATATTTAGTACTGATGGGGTTTCACCATATTGGCCATGCTGGTCTCAAACTCCTGACCTCAGGTGATCTGCCTGCCTCGGCCTCCCAAAATGCTGGGATTACAGGTGTGAGCCACTGAGTCCAGCCTTGTTTTTGTTTTTTTTGATCAATCCTCTGTCCACAGCTCTACATTTGGGTGGGAACCCGCAACATAGAGACTGGATCTTTAAGCTTCCCCTCCACTTCCCTGATGTCATGTGCGGTGGCAATAGCCACCATCACCCAGGCCCCTGGGTGACACTTGGCAGTGGCTGCACCAGCTGGCCTATTCTTTAGCCTTGAGATAAAGTCACTCACATGATTAGGGTCATATGTATTTTTAAGTGCCCCTTTCTGGGAATAAACAGGGCTAAATATTCAGAAAAAAAAACTGTGAGACAACAAAATCATTTAGAAGGCATTTATCTATTAGGTAAAACCAGGAGAAAAAACAAGAGAGTAATGACAGGGAAATAAAAATACATGAAGCATGATCATTACCAGAAGGTGACAGGAGCAGCAATGACTAATGTGATGCTCACCTAGTGAGATGGCAGATTAAATCAAACAGCATTTTCCCATCTTCCTTTAGTAGAGGATACAATCTTTTTTTTTTTCTTCTTTTTTTTTTTAATTGAAGTTCCGGGGTACATGAGCAGGATGTGCAGGTTTGTTACATAGGTAAACATGTGCCATGGTGATTTGCTGCACAAATCATCCCATCACCTAGGTATTAAGCCCCACATGCACTGGCTATTTATCCTGATGCTCACCCCCCTCTGCACGCCCCCAAAAAAGAAACTCTTGAATGAGAAAGTTCCAATTGGAAAGAACTGGAGATGATTATTCAAATAGGCTATAGCCATAAAAACTAGCAAATAAAACACTAACCCCTCAAACAAGAGAAGGTCTGTTTTAATTAAAAATAATCAGTATAACAGAATTCATTATTTAAAAAGCAATAAAATAGACAAACAGGCAAATAGAATCAATAACAAGCAAAAGGCACTAAAAAAATGAGATATGAGATAGGGCTATAACAATAGATATGAGATTTTTAAATAGAAAATGTTATGCACAATTGTACAATACATTTGCAAAACCTAATGAAATGCGTAATTCTCTGTCTCCCTCAAAAGTTCTACCACTGACATAAGAAGTGGGAACCCTGACGGGGTCAACAGCAGGATAAGTATATTATTGAAGACATAGTGTCTAATGTCTTTCTTTTTCTTTTTTCTTTTACTTTATTGGAAGACAAGGTGAACTTGGTAGTTAGTTTACATTTGGGGAAGAAAGTGGGTGAGATTGTGGATATAGGGATACTCCATATTAATATGTTGGTGTTTCAGTCTTAATAAGGCAAGTGATAGAAGTTGGGTTAAGTTTTGAATTCCACCTGCCTATGTGGAAGGACTTGTGGGAGGAGACATTGCTTGCAAGTTTTATAAAGGAGAAAGAAGATGCATGGAAGAAGACATCAAAGTCAATGGTGGCCAAGGATTTGAAAAAAAACCCAAGGTCATCATTAAACCAAGTCAAGTCTGAGGAGGTCTGCAGCGTACTATGGAAGGTTGGAGGTTGAAGACTATAAAGATTCTTATCCTAGCACTTCTCTTTCCTTTAGTCTTTTATGACAGCAGGTACACCACGAAAAGCCTCTCCAATGCGCTGGTGAAAGTTAATGTTAACACAGTTCTCTGTCTCTGAGACTGGAAAGACAGCTGAGCCAAGAGATAGCTGGGGAGAAGCAGAGACTCCTATCTTTTCAAGGTCTGAGACTGGGCAGGTTGGCCAATATTCTTTGTAAGCTAGTTACAAACAAAGAATCTGTGGAGTTTAATTAAAAGAAAAAAGGAAGAGAAAGAGGAAGAACAAAGAATCACAGTCTTGTGGCTGGGAACTCTGGGATGGCAGAAACTACAGATTAGTTAAGAGAAAGTTCACTATTGGGTGATGGGGATAGTAAAAGCCTAGATTTCACCACTATGCAATGTATGTATGTAAAAACCTGCAGTTGTGCCCCCTAAATATATGAAAATTTTAAAGATAGAATATTGGAGTTATACTAAATAGTGTATGTAGCAGACAGGTTAGGATATACAACACAGGGTGTACAGTATAGAAAATATCAGAGAGGAAGCAGAAGAGAAAATGTCTGTGTTTGAAACAGATATTCAATATTTTTATAAATTGCATTTGTTTGTTGGTGGGAAAATTCTCAGTATTTATAATATGCCAATAACTTAAAATGAACCAAATGAGAATACTTGAGAGAACAGTAGAGAAACAGCATTTTGGGAAAGAGAAAATAAACTGAAAGCTGGAAGAATAGGCAGAAATGCTTTAGCCAGACTTACTGTTGATCTTGGAGATCTTCCAGACTTTATCAGGAACAGCTTGTTTGTGGATTTCAAATTTGAAAGGATCTGTATTCGGGTGAAGATCCTTATCTGATGCTCCCAAAATGACTACACTGAGGTTTTTGGCATCATCACAGACTTCAGCTACTGTGGGGTAAATGAACGGGGCATTGTCATTCACGTCCTCCAGGGTTATCAGCAAAGTCCCAGTGCCCGTAGCGGGAGGGTTGCCTGTGGGAAAAAGGGAAGATGTTGGTATGCAACTGGTATATGCGAGAGCAATTTACCATAGCACTTTTTGCATTGTAAACTTAGTATATTTTGCAGTTATTTTATTTTTTGAGACAGGGTCTCACTCTATCGCCCAGACTGGAATGCAGTGGTGCGATCATGGCTCACTGCAGCCACAACCTCCTGGGCTCAAGCAATCCTACCACCTCAGTATCCCAAGTAGCTGGGACCACAGGTGCACGCCACCACACCTGGCTAACTTTATTTTTTTAGCATTTACATCTAAGAGGATAATTTTTGTATTTTTTGTAGAGACGGTGTCTCACTATGTTACCCAGGCTGATTTCAAACTCCTGGCGTCAAGCAATCATCCTGCCTCAGACACCAAAAGTGTTGTGATCACAGGCGTGAGCCACCATGCCCAGCCCATTTCTCAGTTGTTATTAATAGTTGCAAACAAGACTAACAATAATAGATTTTTTTGGTATAAAGTTTAGTGGTTTACAAAGCCCTTTATCATATATAAGACTTTTTTTTTTTTTTTTTTTTTTTTTTTTTTTTGAGATGGAGTCTCGCGCTGTCGCCCGGGCTGGAGTGCAATGGCGCAATCTCGACTCACTGCAACCTCCGCCTCCCGGGTTCAAGCGATTCCCCTGCCTCAGCCTCCCGAGTAGCTGGGACTACAGGCACCTGCCATCATGCC
Source organism: Homo sapiens (assembly GCF_000001405.40). NCBI lineage: Eukaryota > Metazoa > Chordata > Mammalia > Primates > Hominidae > Homo > Homo sapiens. Next base: position 83,779,264 of record NC_000016.10, on the reverse strand, counting down.
CGGCTAATTTTTTTGTAGTTTTAGTACAGATGGGGTTTCGCTATGTTGGCCAGGCTGGTCTCAAACTCCTGACCTCGTGATCCGCCTGCCTAGGCCTCCCAAAGTGCTGGGAATACAGGCATGAGCCACCGCATCCGGCCTTAAGACTTCTGATTGAAGTTCTTTAGGCTTAATACTTTACCCTTAGAATACTAAGCTTCTGACACACACTAAAAAGTCATTCTCACACACTGAAATCTATTCAAAGAATGGAGATAAATATGACTTTTCCTCACTTATCAAATTAAATCTTTTACATAAGTAGCCAGGTATTCACACATGTTGGTGGCAGGGGGAGGACGGAGTCTCCGTGAGAGATGGCCATGGTTTCACTGCTGTAGCTCTACTCTAACTGAGGAGTTGACTAAAGAGGGAAAGATTAAATCCAAGACATTTTCTTCTGGGGGTGAAAAAGAGTCTCAGATGGCTGATGGTGCCACTGGGGGCTGGGATGGCTGACCCTGCTGGACAGGACAGATTTAGAAAGCTGGGTTAGTGATGAGAAATGAGATCACTAGCTGGCTACAGGGGCATAGAAGCAATCATCATATAATCTTTGGACCTTATTTTTAAAGCCTTGTTTTTTTCCTGATATTTCAGCTACTTCCTGAAATGTTTTTCATTTTAGGAAATACTATTTTAAGATAATGGCCCTCATAATCACCAATCTAATAATGTCTTTCTTTCTTTTTTTTTTTTGGTGAGTCTCACTCTGTCACCCAGGCTGGAGTGCAGTGGTGTGGTCTCGGCTTACTGCAACCTCTGCCTCCTCGGTTCAAGTGATTCTCATGCCTCAGCCACCCAAGTAGCTGGGATTACAGGTGTGCAACACAATGTCCAGCTAATTTTTGTATTTTTAGTAGAGATGGGATTTCACCACGTTGGTCAGTCTGGTCTCAAACGCCTGACTTCAAGTGATCCACCTGCCTCGGCCTCCCAATGTGTTGGGATTACAGGCATGAGCCATTGTGCCCAGCCCTAATAATGTATTTCACTTAAACATTAAACAATGTTAATAAAACTCAGCTTGCCTTCATTTTTCTCTGAGTTCATCTTTAATCATTTGTGCATTAGAGGTTTGCTCTTGGGACAAACCATTTGTTAGTAGTTTCTAATTTTCTGCAAGAAAGGTTAGAGCCAAATTCATAGGTCACACATTTTAAGTATACAGATTTGCCTTATTCCCAAAATAATTTGAAGCACCTCTAAAATTACAGCACCATAATTTTATACAGTAGTACAATCGTTTCTTGGCCTCTTGGCTAAGATGAAGTACAGATCTGTTCTTATCAGTTTAATAAACTAATACTATACAGTACTAATCTAACCTATGGCTTTCTTTTATTTTTCTAATCCTTATTTTCACTTAGCCAGATTTCCAAGTATAATTTTATTTTCTCTTGTACTATATTTATGTTTTGAAACGCATATTAAGTTTGCAGTTAGGCTATCAGGTTACACGGGGGTTAGAAGGGTAGTGAGTATTTGAAGTTGGCATACAGGACGCAGGCAAGTCCTAGCAAAGAAGCAAGGAGACCTCTTTAGATGCAGACAGCTTATTACTTAGACAGTAGAAGCAGGCGTGGGCATGATGGCCTTGGCGCAGGTCATGGCAGAATAAAAGGGAATGGACAACTGCAACAGAAAGAAGGGATGTTGCAGTAGAGCCAACTCCAAGCTGCTTCTCAGCAGTTTTACAGCAGCAGCTGTGTCCTGAGAGGGGCAGGCAGAAAGCCCCCGCACCTCACAGAACCCGGAAGGCAATGAGAAACTGGCTGGGGGACCGCAGGGTGTTCTGCCAAGACTCAGCGCAGCTGCAGGTCATACCCTCCCCATGTGGCTCTACATGCAAAGTCATGGGGTGCCGTGGTGGAGCTGCTCCTCCAGAGCTGAGGGCACTGAGGATGGCATGGGCTCCTGGAGGGCCTTGAGTAGCATCACAAGGGACCTGTACCAATTCTACAGAGTGCACGAGGCCACCAGAGGCTTTCCGGAAAGGCAGTGATCCAGGAACAATCTGATCTGACTTATCTTCAGAAAGCACACGATTGGATTGATAGGAAATGTGAGACCCTGCAGGCAGGCGGACCAGCCATGGATGAAGAGAGGCATGATGTGTGCAGCTCGAGCAGGAAAGCAGTGTCTTTTCTTGGTGATCAAGCACTCAGATGAGGCTGCCCGAAGAGCAGAGTGCAGTGGGAAGTGGGAAGACCAGCGGTTCAGTCTTGATTGTGCTAACGACCCCTTGAATTCAATGCACCTGTGCAGCTTGGCGGAAGTGCCCAGGCTGAGTTAGGGGTTGGGAAGTCATCAACACATAGATGGCTTTGAAACTTCTCTAACAAAGTGGTTACCCAGGGTGAAAGTTCAGAATGCCAGAGGGGTGGAATACGGAATCCTGAGAGACCCCAAAGTTTAAAGAGCAGATGCTAGTTTTGCAGGAGAGAATTGGAAGAGGAGTCAATGACCCATAATTAAATGTGTCATGACCCCTACGAGGATAAGAAGTGAAGAGAAGTAACCGGATTTTGTAAGGAGAATGTTACTGGTGACACTTTTGGAAGAGGTTTCTGTTAACGGGGAAAAAACCAGCTTAAAGGAAGCTGAGCAGTGAGTCATGAAGAAGTGCGAGCCGATACTCTTTAGCGGGGCTGGTGGAAATTTAAATATATCAACACCCAAAGACAGCTACAGAGTAAACATTCAAATAAATGTCTGCTAAAATAGCAACACAAATGCAATTGATCATTTGAAGGATGGCTATTTCTAATGGTGGCATATCATCAACTTTCGTTAGAGCGCAAACTCAAAAGAAATGCATAATTACTTTGAAGTTGGTTTTTCACTGTCAGTTTTAGTCATTTAGTTAAATTTCTTTACTGAAAAATTATTTTTCTCTTTTTATTGAACTAATTGAATATCTCGGAAGAATCCATTATGTTTTTTCACTCTGAATATATTATGAAGACAAGTCATTTGGTAGAATGGATGAGAAGGCGTTATGAGCATTTGAAATACGGCCATAAGAATTGGCCTTTTGTGAACTTAAGTATACTACTGTCTTCAATTTCCTATGTGTTATTCCCAGGCCAGGCTGGTGATGTCTTTTTCTGAAGTTAGTAAGATGAGTTTGTTACTTTGGGCGATGAGTTAAAGACAAGATTCACAAAATCCTGAGGGAAAGAGCCTCTCTCAGTTTCTATGCACGGGATAGAGAAAAATCACATCCAAAATTCAGGTGAAATTCAAAATTTCAAAATTCCTCACAAGCCCATTTGGCTCCAATCATTTCTGGGGCCCAGGAAATATAGGGGCTTCTAAGTATTCTCTAGATTTTCAGCAAAAATCCCTCACCCCTCTGTTCCTCTTTCCATCAGCAGCCTCCACCACCATGGAACCACTCATAACCAAGAATCAAAACCAAGGCACAGTGAAGACGGGGTCCCTCCTTTATGAATTTTCTCTTTCTTTTCTTTTACTTCTTTCTTTTTTCTTTTTTTTTATTTTTGAGACAGAGCGTCTCGCTCTGTCTCCCAGGCTGCAGTGCAGTGTGGCACGATCTTGGCTCATAAGCCACCACTCCTGGCCGGAATTTTCTCTTTCAATAGGGAAAACAGGTCAATTTGAGCAAAACACCCAGAAATGGAGCTAGAATGGGACTCCCTCTTTGCAGCTCCCTTCTGGAGGGAGCCCAGGGGCCATGTTCTCATGGTAGCCATTTTAAGGATCAGAGAAGTCTAACTTCTAAACATGTGGGGGTCTGGCTGAGTTTGTAGGGGCTTCTGTCTTTATAATGTTAGGAGCTGTAAGGACTGCTGACAGATGAACCATTCCAGCTTTCAGGTCTTCAACGTGGTTGGGAGGTGAGTTTCCAATTGGGAATCTGCTGAAGGTCATGGCCCCTGCCTCCAGAGAAACGCACCTGCATTCAGAAATATACCTGAAGAGTCCACAGACACGCAGATTGCAAGCCCAGGCTTGGTGCAAGATCAGAGCAGAAGATCTGAGGCCAATTCATTGTAGGTATGGTGAGGCTGAGGTCCAGAGAGATTTAGGACAGGCTCAAATGGACACCGTGAGTGTCAGGCCTCCTTCTCTAGAGCAAGCATTAACCTATACTTTCTCCACCAGAATTTTTATTACATAGCTTGAGTCTTACAGGCTCTCATTTTAACCATGAAAGCAAGCTATAATCCCTAAACCATAATTCCAGGTTATTATTATTACTATTTACAGCTTCCTTCTTATGAGCTGTTCTTTTCATTGTGGTGAAATATACATAACATAAAATTGACAATTTTTAACCACTTTGAAGTGTACAGTTCAGTGGTGTTAAGTACATTCAAATTGTTGTGGGAACATCACCACCATTCATCTCCAGAACTTTCTCACCATGCAAAACTGAAACTCTGACCCATTAAACACCAAGTCCCCATTCCCCTTCCCCTGGCCCCTGGCAGCCACCATTCCACTCCTTGTCTCTATGAATCTGACGACTCTGGGGAACCCATGTAAGTGGAATTTTTTATTTTTTTTTCACAAATAAATGGTAGGCCGGGTGTGGTGGCTCAGGTCTATAATCCTAGCACTCTGGGAGGCTGAAGTGGGCAGATCACTTGAGGTCAGGAGTTTGACACTGGCCTGGCCAACATGGCGAAACCCTGTCTCTACTAAAAATACAAAAAATTAGCTGGGCATGATGGCACGTGCCTGTAATCCCAGCTACTCTGGAGGCTGAGGCAGGAGAATCGCTTGAACCCAAGAGGCAGAGGTTGCAGTGAGCTGAGACTGCACCACTGCACTCCAGCCTGGGCAGCAGAGCAAGACTCTGTCTCAAAGAAAAAAAAAAAGAAATGGCATTTGACTAGGTCATTCTAAATGTATTTGAGATTCTTAGCTTCCTGTTCCTATTTTGCTTGCTGGAAATGACTATGACAGCCTGTGTCATAGTCAGGCTGGGTACCCAAGGAATCATCATTTCCAGCTAGCATAGTCATAGTTGTCCCTGTAGTAGGACAATAGGCAGGATAGGCGCTGGGACCAATGTCCTAGGCTTGCTGGTATCACCGGCCATGCACAGTAAAATAGCATTTACTATTTCTGTAGGACGAATAGCTCAGTAGCCGAAAATGATTATAGAGTTGAGTAGATCTTTTTCAGAGATAACAGCAGGGGGCTGGGCTCCACATGGGGACAGTCTGTGCTGATGGAGGTTTGTGAAGCAGAAATGAGACCCCAGAGCTGAGGCCTCGTCTTCCAGCTACAAGACCATGCCAGGCAGGGAAGGGGGAGGGATAAGGATGGAGAGAAAGGAGGAAGCTTGGGAGCAGGACCTTATTATAGAAATGGGCCTCTGTGGGGTAGTGGTTTAGAGCCTCATGACTGGGGAACAGTGTTGGAGCCTGTGGCTCAGCCACCAGGAGAATCACCATATACTAATGCTCACCCTGGGTTTGAGGCAAGGCTAGAAGAACTTCCTTACCTCCTAAGGATAGATAGGCTTGACCAAGAGGGCCATAACCTTCCCCTGTGCTGGACTACACTTTAGATGGGCTTCTTTCAGACTCTAGAGCCCTGATATGGTTTGGCTTTGTGTCTCCACCCAAATCTCATCTCCAATTGTAATCCCCACATATTGAGGGAGGGAGATGATTGGATCATGGGGGTGGTTTCCCCCATGCTGTTCTCTTGATAGTGAGTGAGTTCTCATGAGATCGGATGGTTTTATAAGTGTCTGGCATTTAACCTGCTAGCACTTCTCTCTCCTGACACCATGTGAAGAAGGTCCTTGCTTCCCATTTGCCTTCCACCATGATTGTAAGTTTCCTGAGGCCTCCCCAGCCATGTGGAACTATGAGCCAATTAAACCTCTTTCCTTTATAAATTACCCAGTATCGAGTAGTAGCTATACAGTAGTATGAGAATGGACTAATATAGGCCTTGACTTCTCTTTTCTTGAAGCATTTACTTTAGAAACTTGCAATTGTAAATTCTTTCTCTGTCCCTGTGAGATGTAAATCTTCCAACCTGTTGCTAGTTTTGCAACCCAGGACCACTTTTCTCAAGGACCTGACATCTCTTTGAAATGTAATCATGGAAAGGAATAGTGTCTCTGTCTCTCAGTCTCTGTGGAAGGGTTGGAGCCTAACTCCAGTAAACACCCATTAGCAAACACAGATGCCTAATCACATGGACCAACCTCCCCACAAACATCTTCCAGTACTTTTCCATTAGCTCATCCCAGCTCTTAAAAATCGTCCCATTGTTTGTTTCAGCAGAGTTAGTTCAATCTCTCTCCCTTATTGTAGCCTTGAATAAAGGCTTTGCCTTTCAAACTCTGTCCTGCCCATTTTTCTTTGACATGTTCAGATGTTGGCAAGGCTGAAAACTGCAGGGGATCTGGTTGTGATAATCCAGGTAAGCCACAGGGAAAGCACAGGTAAGGCAGAAGCAGGGAAGTGAGGTGAGGGGTGGTGTATCCATGAAAGGAGGGTTCCAAAAATGAATGATAAGAATGGTCATGTCACACCAGGAGTGTGGTACTGTGTGCACCCGTTGGCAAGCGACTTAATGAGATTGCTTTAAACATGGCTTGATTTTAATTTGTAGAACAAAATTGAATCCATGATTGATCCACAAGGCCCTGTGAAGTGTTTTGTAAAAATATACACTAAGTCTTTATGGTCAGAGTTTCTTTGATGCCGGGAGTTTCTGCTGACCTATATTCAGTGTTATAAGTAATTGGATTTTTCTTTTTAACCAGCAGTTGCAGACTGGCATTTGGTCTGCTAATTTATCGTGTTTCTGGGATGTCCAGTGTTCTAAGAATTCTTATTTTTTATCCAAATGGCTTCAAGTGGAGCACATATTTCCAAGATGACCACTGGTCCTTTCCAGCCTACTGCCTCTGCCCTGGCTTCTAGCAGCATAAGACTTGGGCCTTCCTCATATGTTCCCTCCTAGCTAACCTGACTTTAGCCAGTATAGATTTTTCTTCATTTCTCCATTCCTGAAGTATGGCTCCCTCCTTTCTCTTAAGCATGTCTTTCAGTCTTATACTACTTCTTTTCTTAATATTGAGTCTATTTGTATACATGGATAGTTTAATAGGCATCTCATTTAAGGTTCTCAAATAAGTATACAAGCTAAAAAGTCACCCCCCATCCTTCTCCACCCACAGAGTGTACATTGTGTTGGGTGATATCATGGGGAAAATACCAGGAGCAAACCTTAGCTGCAGGAATCTCTTTTCTCTTGTGTCATTGACTTCTTATTAGAAAGACATGTGTTTTGGTTACAAGGTTGGCAATTCCATCATGCAGCAGTGTGAATGGGATGTAAGGAGATATTTTTAATTTTACCTCCTAATACAACCATATCAAATCCCATTTCCAAATGAGGAAATGAGGACTTGTAGGCACAGATATCTGGAAACAAAGCCTATTTAAAATTGCTTAGTAGGAATGACAGTTTTCCTTCCGACCCATTTTCAGTGACAGCCTGTCACTCTTGACTGAGAGATCTCCAACCTACAAATGTTGGTGGGTTATTTATTTTGCAAGCAGCCCTCCTGCTGCCATACAATGGCAAGTCTTGAGGGGGAAAGGGTTATCATTTTCTTTCCTTTGGATCTGAGTTACTGGCTCTGTTGCTCTAGAGGACTATGCCTTTTAGACCATGGCGGTGCTTTTGCTTCATGGACTTGGCACCCTGCCACGGTCTTCCTGGCATTCAACCTCTGCTTGCCCTTGTTTCTGGCTTTGTCGTTCCCACTCAGCACTGACAACTTGTAAGAGCCTCAGCACATTATATGACCACGATAGGACCACATGGATTCCACTGCTGGATTTCAAACTCCAATAATTAACCTTGTATTTCTTCAAGTTGAGCAGTGATAACTGCCTATGAGATGGCCAAGTTGGCCACCTGGCCTGCCTGGGTTACTCTTGGTCTGGTTGGCTCATGACTTACACTTAGCCTTTTGTGATCTTGGTGTAGGGAGGGCAGAACTGTGCGTTTTCTAAGAGAAGCAGGGTAATATGATTAATAAAAGGTGAAGATTTACGTAGAGGAATCGAGCACCTGTTATCATACAGTCTAGGAAAAGTCCAAGCAAACCAGGCAGGCTGTTGCTTTGAGCACATGGGGGTCTACATTCTAGTTTTTTCTCATTTTCTAGAAAAGAAAACTAGACACTCAGATTAAGGAAAATGTCCAAGGTGCTCTAACATTAGTGTGTCAGAGGCATTGAAATCAGAGCAACTCCATCTTGAATAGGTGCTGGGTAAAATGAGGCAGAGATCTACTGGGCTGCCTTCCCAGGTGGTTAAGGCATTCTAAGTCACAGGATGAGATAGGAGGTCAGCATAAGATACAGGACATAAAGACCTTTCTGATAAAACAGGTTGCAGTACAGAAGCTGGCCAAAACCCACCAAAATCAACATGGTGACAAGGGTGACCTCTCGTGGTCCTCACTACTGCACTCCCACCAGCACCATGACAGTTTACAAATGCCATGGCAACATCAGGAGGTTACTCTCTATGATCTAAAAAGGGGAGGCATGAATAATCCACCCCTTGTTTAGCATATCATCAATAAATAACCTCAAAAATGGGCAACCAGCAGCCTTTGGGGCTGCTCTGTCTACGGGGAGTAGCCATTCTTTTATTCCTTTACATTCCTAATATACTTGCTTTCACTTAATGGACTCGCACTGAATTCTTTCTTGCGTGAGATCTAAGAACTCTCTCTTGGAGTCTGGATCGGGACCTCTTTCCAGTCACAAGCATGTCACCTGTTTAAGAGCTGTGGCCCCCTGGCAGGGCATCCCCATCCCTGGAGCTTTCTGGCTATTCTATAAAGTGAATGGAATGCCTGGCAATTGTAAAGCACTTCCCCGTCCATAAGAGCCAGAGCCACAGAGCTCGAAGTTTGAGTATTTTGGTGCTTGTGGTTGGTACTAAACACTGGTAGAAAGGGTAAAAAACAGTTTCCTGTGCTTTTCTTACCTACATGGCCAACAGTATATTGCTTTGTGTGGGAAGCCTGTAGAACTGAACCAGGACTCCTCCAAGAAACATGAGCCACGCGTGGTTCTCCTGGCATTGCTTTGACGCTGTGGGTGTGGATGCAATGAGAAACAGGGTCAGGTTTTGAAACCATCCCCACAGGGTTGACGGGAATTGCATGCCAGGTTCTGGGTACAAATACAGTTATAATTCAGCGTTAATCAGGCTGCACCCTGGCCCAGTTCCTTGTTGCAGTAGGTCATGTACCGTAACCAAGTACCCTGATTTTTCTGAGGTGGTTTAATTACTTTTTTCTCTTCTCTTCTCCTTTCCCCTTTCAGCCTGCTTCCTACCTAGCCCTTTTTGAAATGCAAAATAACCTCTCACCTCCCCCTCACCACACATTCCCTACAAGGCAAGGTCATCTACGTGCCCCAGTGATCTCTTCTCCAGAATTGACAGTCAATTTGCAGATCAAAGCACATCTCCACGGAACTCCCACTTCTGGGGTGGCCTCAGGAGGACATGGTGAAAACACGCCCACTTGGCCACTTTTACAACTTATTTCTGCCCAGGAAGGCACCAACTCAACTGTATGCCAACTCAGCTGTTTGGTAGATAAGACACCAGGCTAGCAGGGGGACTTCCTGCCCTTGCTCACTTCCCCTTTAACCTTATAAACATGTCTGCTTTTTGCTCCAAAGATGAAGCAGCACACTTAAAGCAGGACACTTTGTGTCTTTCCAAGCTAGCTTCAAAAATAAATTCACTTTTCTTGTACCAGGCCTGGATCTTGTTAATTGGACTCTGCTGCAGTGAGTGGCTAACCAGTTCCTCAGTTACAGTAGCACTAGATCCTGACATTTGCTTCCCCACCGTTCCCCTAGATAGGATCTCTGACATTAAGGCCAGAAGACTGTTTAAGAATTGATTTGCATCCCCATTGTTCCTATAGACACTTAAGATGTTTTTCAGACACACCTCCCCAGAATTCCAGCCACCAGTTGGAAGTCTCCCACAGGGGAACAGGATCAGCATGAGAACACAGCTGCTTCCTCTCCCCTTCCTATGACTTCACCCTGTACTCTTGATCTCCACACTTCTGCCCACTCCAAAGCCCTCAAAAACCCAAGCCTCAACTTCCTTGGGGAAATGGCTTTGAGGTTCCCTCCCATCTTCTCGTTCTGTGACCCTGTGGTCAAGGTGTTTGAACCAGAGCAACTCCATCTTGAATAGGAGCTGGGTAAAATGAGGATGAGACCTACTGGGCTGCATTCCCAGACGGTTAAGGCATTCTAAGTCACAGGATGAGATAGGAGGTCAGCACAAGATATAGGTTATAAAGACCTTGCTGATAAAACAGGTTGCAATAAAGAAGACGGCTAAAACCCACCAAGACCAAGATGGCGATGAGAGTGACCTCTGGTCATCCTCATTGCTACACTCCAACCAGCACCATGACAGTTTACAAATGCCATGGCAACATCAGGAAGTTACCCTATATGGTCTAAAAAGGGGAGACATGAATAATTCACCCTTTGTTTAGCATATCATCAAGAAAAAACTATAAACATGGGCAACCAGCAGCCCTTGGGGCTGCTCGATGTCGTAGCCATTCTTTTATTCCTTTACTTTCCTAATAAACTTGCTTTCACTTTACTCTGTGGACTAGCCCTGAATTCTTTCTTGCATGAGATCCAAGAACCCTCTCTTGGGGTCTGGATCATGACCCCTTTCCATTAACACTATGATTAAACCTGTTTCTCTGCTGCAACCTGGTGTCATGGCATATTGATTTGCTGTGTGCATTGGTTAACAAACCTATTGCGATTACAATTTGTGTGTGTGTTTTTTTGTCTATTTAAATTTCAGGGATTTTATTTCATGAAAAACCTTGACCAAACAGGATTTCCACTTAGCTAAAAAACACTGAGATTTTTTTTTCACAGGTTCTGTTGTTCAGTAGCTATATATATAAGTGCTTTATATCTTGTCATTAATAGACATAACTAAAAACATAGTGTGATCCTAATTTAAAAATCTACATATGATTAGAGAAAAATTAGAAAGACATATATAAAAATGTAAGTGGTGATTATTTCCCTAGGTAATTAACATTAAAATAATACATTTATCTATTTTTAATTTTCTTTACAATAACCATGAACATGTTAAACTCAGAATTATGCAGGGATTAAAAATATTTTTTTCTAATTCTACTTTACTTTTTTCTTACTCTTTATTTTTGCGACTATTAATTTTTAGTACATTTACAGAGTTGTGCGACCATCACCACTACCTACTTTTAGAACATTTCATCACCCCCAAAAATAAACCTTGGGCCAATTTGTACTAACTCTTCATGCCCACTCCCAGCCCCTGGCAACTACTGATCAATTTTCTGTCTCTACAGATTCGCCTATTTTGAAGATTTAATATAAATGGAGTCATATAGTAGGTAGTTTTTTGGGTCTGGATTCTTTCACTTAGCATAATGTTTTTGAGGGTTGTACATGTTGCAGTGTGTATTAATACTTCATTCTTTTTTATGGCTGAATAATAATCCATTGTATGGATAGACCATGTTGTTTATCTACTCACCAGCTGATGGACATTGGAGTTGTTTCCACTTTTTGTCTATTACGAATAATGTTTCTGTATTAGTCTATCCTCATACTGCTAATAAAGATATACCCAAGACTGGCTAATTTGTAAAGGAAAGAGGTTTAATTGACTCACAGTTCCACATAATCATTCAGAAGGAGAATGAGAAGCAAAGTCACAACTTACATGGCAGCAAGCAAGGGAGCTCATGCAGGAGAACTCCCGTTTATATAACTATCAGATCTCTTGAGACTTATTCGCTACCATAAGAACAGTACGGGGAAAACTGCCCCCATGATTCCATTACTCTAGATGGCCCCACCCTCGACACTTGGGGATTATTACCACTCAAGGTGAGATTTGGGTGGGGACACAGCCAAACCTCATCAGCTGCTATCCACATCGGAACACAAAGGACTAGATATACATGTTACAAAATTTCTAGACCAGTAAGACAAGACTCCAAATGCCTCTCCCAAGAGGGTCCCATTAGAAGAATAGGATCCCTGGTCTTGCCACAGTGAGATGGTATATGAGTCCATTCTCATGCTGCTATAAAGAATTGCCCGAGACTGGGTAATTTATAAGGGAAAGGGGTTTAATTGACTCACCGTTCCGAGTTGCTGGGGAGGCCTCAGGAAACTTACAATCATGGCAGAAGACAAGGAGAAGCAGGCATCTTCTTCACAGGGTGGCAGCACAGAGTGAGTGCAAGCAGGGGAATGCCAGATGCTTATAAAACAGTCAGTTCTTGTGAGACTCACTCATTACCATGAGAACAGCATGAAGGAAACTGCCCCCATGATTCAGTTACCTCCACCTGGTCCTGCCCTTGACATGTGGGGATTACAATTAAGAAGAGATTCTGGGTGGGGACACAGCCAAACCATATCAGATGGGTTGGTTTCATAGGCACAGAATGTTAGGATCTCAACACAAACTTTCAGAAGTTAGCTCTGAGAAGTCTTAGAAAGTAGTAGACTTTTCCAGCCACTTGTCCCAAATCTTCCCAGAGGTAGGCCCAGAGGCATGCAGCATATGTCTTACCTTGGAAGTTATGAGTACAAGTGGTTTTATTTGGAAACAGTGTGCAAAGTGAGGTTGTCTGTGTGAACAATGAAATGTAGGAAGACAGAGAACAGGGAAAACAGGAAGCCCATATAATAAGTGCTCAGCATATGTTTGAATTCTTAGGTTGATGCACAAGTAATTGTGGTTTTTTGCCATTACTTGCAATGGCAAAAACTACAATTATTTTTGTGCCAACCTATAATTTGATTTAAAAAACAAATATGTATGGCTCTTCCTGTAAATGTAATCATATATGTTTGTATTTCCATAAGTTTGCTTCTATTTTGAGAGTAGTGGCTCTGTCTAAATTCAAATCCTTCCTAATCTAACCCTTGGGGAGAAAACAGTGTGTGGTGGGGCAGAGGTCTGCAGAGCTGGGACTCAGAACAGGGTGCCCATACCAGGGACATAGAGAGGGACCTTGGCTAGTGTCCCAAGGAAGCCTGAGGCCCACATTCTGGGAGGATAATCAGGAAGATGGGCCCATCTGAGAGGAGCCACAATTTAGATGTGAGCTAATGAGCAATCTTGAGCATGGACACAAGAGCGGTACAATCTATGGCCCCAAATTCCCTCTAGGTAGCTGTGCATCTGTTGAACCTTCAATAAGCAGCTGTGAGCAAATACATGCCAGGCCTCTTATGTCATCTGAACAGGACTCTAAATGTACCTTCACCTTTGCTTTAAAACTGAGAGTGAGCCAGGTAACAAACCTGCACGTGTACCTCCTGTTTAAGATAAAAATAGAAAAAAAAAAAGAAAGCTGTAAGTGAACCAGGAGTCTTCTAAGGTTATCCTTTGTTTTATTTTATACTTTGTGTTCTCTTTAATATGGTTTTTCAGCACCAGTATTTTACAAATCAGCTCTATAAGCTGAGAATCTCATTGTTTTTAAACTTAAGATCAGTTTTATTGCTTTGCTAATAGAGATCTTGCCAATTTCATCTCAGAAATCTCTCTCTCTCTCTCTCTCTTTGTGTGTGTGTATATATATATATATAGAAAAATGTTAATAGTAAGCCAACAAAAAGTCTGGTGGAAAATAAGTTTGCAATAATATAACGCCAGGTTTCCGTGTATACTATACTTGATGTAGAACTGAAGCAATTATCCACATAATTTGGGCTGAAAAATTATTTTAGAAGAGACAATAATGTAAAACTAAACTGTTGTACAAAAATTCAACTTTTTGGTTTTTTTTTCCATTCCACTGACTTTAGATAAAAGAAAAAAAGGGAAATAATTAATTTTGAGGCCATGTTTAAACATGACAGTTTCATTTTATTCATTCAGTCAATAACCATTTACTGGGACTCTACCCTCTGCCTGGATGGAAATGTGCTAATGTCAATGGTACAGGTGCCTGCTCTTGAAACGCTAATGCTATGGCAGGAACAGATATGTAAGCAGATGTGGGATGGTGTTACAAGCACAGGAAGAGAGGTGATAATAAAATACTTGTGGCTTGGGATAATTAACTGCCTGGGGATAGATCAGAAGGCTTCATGAAGAGATGGCATTTGAGTGTGCTAGAAATGAGAATACCTTGTAGAGAGGATGAAGGTTGTTGTAGGGGGACGAAGTGGTGTGGCTATTTTGTGAGAAGTTCAAAGACTTTAAAGCAGGAGAATGGCTTTGATACAAAGCAGAGGATGCAGACGCACAGGCAGGAATGGACTTGAGTGAGGAGGCCAGGACTGTCATGGAGGCCATTGCGAGGGCTTCAGGGAAGGCAGGCAGGATGCAAGAGTAAAGGGCTGACTTCAGGAGGCTGAGCAGCCGTGGCAAGGGCCTCAGGGAAGGCAGGCAGGATGCAAGAGTAAAGGGCTGACTTCAGGAGGCTGAGCAGCCGTGGCAAGGGCCTCAGGGAAGGCAGGCAGGATGCAAGAGTAAAGGGCTGACTTCAGGAGGCTGAGCAGGCTGAGGGGGTGGGAGCCTCACAGAGGAAGGGGTCTTGCTTGAGGACTGGGTAGATGGCAATGCCAATATAAAGCTGGGGAAGGGGGACTCCAGTGGGGGACCAGCTAAAAGACACTTTGGCAGGATGAACTGGTTGAGATGGGCATCACTGACAGTATTTTAATGTCAAAATCAGTTTCTTTTGCATAAAAAATGAATGAAAATGTTCTGTTTAAGATAGTTGATTTGCCTGATCAATGTAGAAATGTCCTGCTGTCAGGCTTCCACCTGCCCATTCAGCCAGAGACAAGCTCCATGAATTGATGCCAACGTCCAAGGACACCTTTTCTGGCTAATTGGATTTAGCATCCTTGTCCAAGTGGGGGGGTCCATGGCCCATCCATTCCCTAGAAAAATGCTCAGATCACCACCACGGTGGTCATAAGTGCCTTTTCATAGTTTGCCTCAGCACTCATGATTCTGTAATGACATGCTTAGAAGATCAGTCCATGACTCAGTTCAAGTCAGTTCACTTAAGCATTTCTTATATGCTTAGGAGTACTGGGAATTGTGCATTCATGATTTCCAACCCTCTAACAACCCAGCAGGCAGATGGCATTATCTTCATTCTGCAGGTGGGGAAATTGAGGCTGAGAGAGTGTAAGTCTCTCGGCTATCATTGCACAGCTAAGATGCGGAGCTGAACTCATCCTGAGGTGTAGATGGCACTAGGCTCCATTATCTCAGTGGACCCAGTGTGCTGCCCCTCCAATGGCTCTGATCACACCTCACTATTACCAGATCTTAAGAGTTCTTTTATTGGGCCATTTTGTCAGTGACAAACTGTAGGTAGTATTTTCAACATGACTGATATTTTGCGAGTGCTTGAAGTAAGGCGGAATGATGGCTGGGTCATCAATTTATTTTTCCTCCTCAATTAATATCACAGCTGAGATAAGGGGTGTTAAACTGGCTTGATTGGGTTGCCATCATAACTAATGGCTTCATTTTATCCAAACTAGCATCTTTTAAGTAGAATCAATCTAAATAATCTTACTATATCCCCCCTGCAGTCTAGAGCTTGGTTGAGCTATGAAAAGAGAAAGACCACAGGCTGAGGTATCTTTCTGAAGTTCAGTTCAGAGCCCCTCCCACCCTCAGTTTGGGGGCTATAAATTCAGTAGTTCAGTAGTCATTTCACTCTGGGGCTGAATAACAATTTTTAAAAAAAATCAATCTAAGCATATTTTGAACAATATTTCAATTTTGAATCAGCTGGCATTATTGGAACATCTATCTTACAGAGGACTGAAGGAGAAGACAGGCTGGGACATGATATATCTTAGCCTATGAAAAATCATTATCTTAGTCTATTCCATTTTAATTTTACAGCTGTTATGCCTGGTTCTATATCTGTGTGTCTTCTTGGCAACCCACATCACATTTTTCACTGGCAGGCTCAAACATACTTTATATAAGTTGCTAAGTCATGAAAACATGCTGCTGAATTTAGTGGTAATTTGGCTTGTTTTAAAAGCCATCACTCCCCCGTTCTTTTAAATGGAAATAGATGGGGAATATGACGCGTTTGATAATCATATAAAGACTTAATACGGGCCCCGTAGAGATGGTTTGGGCTGCCAGGTTCAAACTATTTCATATGCCCTGAGCCTTAGGGGGAACTAACAGGGACACCTTTTGTTTTCGTCTTTCTTTAAACTTGGCAGAGTGTGAGAGGGCATTTGGGCTTCCTGGAGCAAAATATTTGTCTTCATTGTTTGCAGTCATCATTTAGGTCTTCTGTGAGAGCATAAGAGCCCCATTCAATAACAATCATGGAACAATGAACCCTACACAATTTTCAAGCAAGAGGAGGGGGAAAGATTAGGTTACCAGTAAGAAGGAGGCAGGAAGACCAGTCTCAGAGAATTCTGAGCAGTGAGCGTGGAGTGAGTGAGCCAAGAAGCAGCGGCCAACGATGCCTTTCCTGCCTGTGGCCGTCCCCAGTGGGATTCCAGAACCCTTACGAGAAATCGCCTGTGACAGTTTTCAGCCCACATAAGACAGGGCGACTAACATTTGACCTTTCTGGTGATTACCTGTAGGCAGGAGTGGTATTGACACTGGGATTTGGCCAGTGCTAATTGCTACTGCCTTGCTCCACTGCCAGCACATCCCCAAAGGGATTCCATTTTATTGCATTCCCGAATGTTCTCTCTACCGCTTGGGTTTTTCCTTAACAGTTTTTTTTATTTTATCCTTTCTTAAGAGAGGGCAGCAATTCTGTGTTCATTGAAGTCTTCCATAAAAGAGTGCCTGTACTCTGAAGGCACTATTTTGACCTTTCAGAAAATCTGGACCATATAAGGCAAATGACGATATTCATCTCTAAAGATAAAATGCCAGCATTAAAGGTCACAACTTATTAATCTATAGGATTAAAGGCTTTACTCATCAAGTCATTTGGCCACAGCCAGTTTTGATGTAGCAAAACAAAAGCATTTCTGTTTTATTGAAACAATGTTCTTAGGTAATTTACAGCTCATTAAAATTACTTATTTTATTTTTATTTTATTTTTTAGGTGGGGTCTCGCTCTGTCACCCAGGCTGGAGTGCAGTGGCGTTAGCTCACTGCAACCTCTGCCTCCCAGGGTCAAGCGATTCTCCTGCCTCAGCCTCCTGAGTAGCTGGGACTACAGGCATGCACAACCACGCCTGGCTAATTTTTGTATTTTTAGTAGAGAAGGGGTTTCACCATGTTGGCCTGGCTGGTATCGAACTACTGACCTTAAGTGACCCACCTGCCTCAGCCTCCCAAAGTGCTGGGATTACAAGCGTGAGCCACTTTGCTGGTTATAGTGCATTAAAATTACTGATAACAGTTTGTAAAATCAAGTTAGCCTAAAGCTGCCTTCTTAAATATGCTAAGTTCCGCCTAAAGGTTTCCCTGTACATAGTGAACTATAATCTGAATGGAGGTGTAAACAGACTGTCACCTACTCTCGTGCCAGTCTCGGAGTTTGAGCCAATCAAAGGGCCAACTGTTCAAATAGCGTTCAAATAAGGCAAATGCCGAGTGTAACCAATCCAGCTGCTTTTGTGCCTCATTTCCATTTTCTGTACATCATTTTCCTTTTTCTGTCCATAAATCTTCTTCCACTACATGCCTGCGCTGGAGTCTCTCTCAGCTTACTTTGGCTTGAGAGGTTGCCCAATTCACCAATTGTTCTTTGCTCAACTAAACTCAGTGAAATGTAATCTAGCCAAGGATTTTCTTTTAAGTTTAAAGAAAGTACCTTGAATATTCTGTTGGTTACAACGTGTCTTTTCCTCCTCAAGTCATCTGCAACCTAGGCATTATCAAAATTATTATGAAGCACGATTCTAGAAATTATCTAGACTAGCTCTGGGGCCCCAAGCAAATAGGTCCAAAGGGCTCTTTATTTCTGTTAACCTCAGATCAGGTTTTCAGTCCTGCTCTTTTGACATCACTCCATTCTGATCTGACAGTTTGTATCCTCTAAGGGGTATTTAAAGGAAAGTTATCGTTTGCTACCATCTTAAAATTGTTATAAACTGAGTATGTTGAGCTGTGTGTAGCAAGTTAACGATGGTGTCACTTCTGCCCGTTGCAAAGCATGGTAGGGACTGCAGGGAACATGATTTGCTTTGCTTTGTTCCTTATGTAGAACTCTTATCACTCACCTTTCCTGGCAAAATTGGCCCATCAGCAAACAGGGATTGCCCTTCCTTGGAACAAGATGCTGAGAGTCTGTCTAAATGCTCAGAAGGTACTTGAGAATATGTGAATGGTTACAGGACTAGCTACGTGCTCTCTCTCTGCAGCCATGCATTTTTTGTTAGGTTCTTATTGAAACATAGAAATCTTCATGTATCAAACACACAGTTTGAAGAATTTTCACAATCTGAACACACCCATGTAGTCTAGTACTACCAGATCAAGAAACCCATCCACAAGGTGATCTGCTGGCTAGGATTAATTTCGCCTGGGTTTGAGCTTTATATAAATGCAGTCATTTAGCATGTGTGTTCTTGTTTCAGCCTTCTTTTGCTGCACACTATGTTTGTGAGATTCACCCATGATGTTGTGAATAGTTGCAGTTCATTCACTCATTATTATTGTACAGATGCCATTTTGTGAATGTATCACAATTTATTATTCAACTTTTGCTGGGCATCTGGATAATTTCCAACTTTGGGCTCTTATGAATAGTGGATATTCTGGCACTCGTGTTTTGGGGAACACATTTCTGTTGGATAGATAATACCTAGGCATGTAATTCCTGGAACATAGGGCATATGTATGTTCAGCTTTAGTTGATACTATGTTTCCAACGTGGCTGTACCCAATTTACACTTCTACCAGCTGTGTAGGAGAGTTCCAATTATTTCACACCATTGCCAGCACTGGGTATTTTTCATCTTTTCATTTCAGCCATTTTATAGGTATGCTGCTGTACTGCACTTCATTGTATTTCCTTGATTAATTTGTGTTTTAATTTATATTTGTATAATTTAATGTATATATCTTTATTTAATTAAGTTGAGCATCTTTTCATACATTTGTTAGGATTTGTGTATTTTCTGCTGTGAAGTATTTGTTTAAGTCTCTTATCTATTCTTCTTTGGGTTGTGTCTTTTGCTTACAGATTATAGGATTTCTTTCTTTTTTTTTTTTTTTTTATTGGTTTTGAGACAGGATCTCACTCTGTCCTCCATGCTGGAGTGCAGTGGTGTGATCATGGCTCACTGCAGCCTTGAACTCCTGGGCTCAAGTGATCGTCCTGCCTCAGCCTCCTGTGTAGCTGGGACCACAGGTGTGTGCCACACCACTTGGATAATTTTTTTTATTTTTTGTAAAGATAAGGTCTTGCTTTATTACTCACACTGGTCTCAAACTCCTTGGCTCAAGTGATCTGCCCACCTTGGCTTCCCAAGGTGCTGGGATTATAGGGCATGAGCCACTGTACCAGGCCTGCAGCATTTCTTTGTATTATAAATATCTTCTACTCTGTAGGTTACTTTTTACTTTCTTAACTGTGTCATTTGAAGAATCAAAGCTCTTAATTTCAATGTAATCTATCTTTTTTTTTTCTTTTGTGGTTAGTACTTTTGTATCCTAATTACGAAAAGCTTTGCTTACACAAAGGACATATATGTTCTCATATGTTTTTCTCTAAAATATGCATTTTTTCCTTCTATATTTTGATCTGTAATATATCTAGAATTAATTATTGTATATGGTTTAAGAGGGGGTCAGGATGCATTTTAAAAAATATGTTTATTCAATCAACTTGGCCTTATTTATTGAAAGACCATGCTTTCTCACCTGCACTGCTGTGTTGTGTTTTCCTTGTTAGAATCAGAAACTGGGTATGTGTGGAATTCTTCCTGAATTCTCTATTCTATTGCATTGGTCAGCTTGTTCCCATCTTTGTGCAAATACCATGGTTTCAATTACTATGGTTTTCTAATACGTCTGGATATATGTACGGTAGTGTAAGTTCTACAACTTATTCTTCAAGATTGCCTTGGCCATTTTTCACTCCTTGTATTTCCATATAAATTTTATAATCAGTGTATCAATTTCTGCCCCGATCCCCATGCTGGGATTGGGACTTTGCATGGTATTGCATTGAATCCCTCAGGTCGGTTTGAAAAGAATTGTCATTTCAATACCATTGAGCCTTCCAATCCATGAACATGGTATATCTCTCCGTTAATGTGGGCTTAAATAGGGAGACAAAAATTATCTTAGGCAGTCATTTGTAGTTTTCATTGTAGAGGACTTGCATATCTTTCTTTAAATTTATACCTTGCTATTTGGTGTTTCTGATGATATTGCAAACAGTATCTTTTAGAATTTTATTTTCCATTTGCTTACTGCTGGGGTATATAAAACAATTAATTGTGTATACTGATCTTATACCTGATGACCTTTACTAAAATCAGTAATAGATTCTCTGAAAATTCTTTTAGATTATTTTAGGCATATCATTTATGAATAAAGAGATTTCTTACTTTTAATTCCTAAGCCTAGTATTTCTTTTGTTTGCCTTCTCGCTCTGGCTGGGACTGAGGTCACAAAAAAAGTTTTTACTATTTCACCATTGAGGAAGATGTTTGCTGTAGCAGCAGCTCCTTCTGTTATTTTTTTTTTAAAACTAGACTAAAAAAGTTTCCTAGTTTGCTAAACATTATTTTAAAAAAATCAGAAATCAACATGAATTTTTTTCAAATGCAACTCTTGAGATGATCATATCATTTTTGTGGGATTCATTAATATTTTTGTTAAGAATTTAAAAATTTATGCTCATGAGTGAGATCGGTCTGCAATTTTAATTTCTTGTAAGATCTTGTCAGGTTTTGGAAAAACCTTGTCTCATAAAAAGAGGGATTAAGTATTTCTTCTATTTCTGTTTCTGGAAGGGTTTGTATAAAATTGTTTTTCTTTCTTAAATATTTGGAAACATGTAGCAAAGCCATCTGGATCTGTAGTTTTCTTTTTGGTTTTCAAGAACATTTTTTTTTTTTCCATAAGCACTGGGCTAGTTAAGATTTTCTTCTTTTCTTTTTCTTTCTTTTTTTTTGGGACAGAGTGCAGCTGGGATTACAGGCGTGCACCACCATACCCAGCTAATTTTTGTATTTTTTAGCAGAGAAGGGGCTTTGTCATGTTGGCCAGGCTGGTCTCAAATTCCTGGCCTCAAGTGATCTTCCTGCCTCGGCCTCCAAAGTGCTGGGATTACAGGCATTAGCTACCATGCCCAGCCTCTTTTTAGGTTATTTTTGATAAGTTTTAATTTTGGGGAAACTTGTCCATTATGTCCAAATTGTCAAATATATTGCATAATGCCGTTCATAATATCTTTGTATCTTTTTGATGGCTATAGTCATTTTCCCTTTTTTATTCCCAGTGTTGGTAATTTGTGTTTTTTTCTTTTTTTGCCCAACAGTTTCGATATGAGTTTACAATTTTATTCAATCTTTTTATAGGACAAACTTTTGGATTTGTTGATTTTCAATTTTTAAAAATTTTTTAGAGACAGAGTCTCGCTCTGTCACCCAGGCTGGGATGCAGTGGTGCGATCTTGGTTCACTGCAACCTCCGCCTCCTGGGTTCAAGCGATTGTCCTGCCTCAGGCTCCCAAGTAACTGAGATTACAGGCACATGCCACTGTATCCAGCTAATCTTTGTACGTTTGGTAGAGACAGGGTTTTGCCATGTTGGCCAGGCTGGTCTCGATCTCCTGACCTCAGGTGATTCACCCGCCTCAGCCTCCCAAAATTCTGGGATTACAGGAGTGAGCCACCGTGCCCAGCCTGGATTTGTTGATTTTGTCTTGTATATTTGTTTCCTATTTTCTAGAATTTTCCTCTGAGCACTGGTTTAGTGCATCCCACAAGTTTTGACATTTCATATTTCTATTTTTGTTTTTGATTATGAGTTATTTGGAAGTGTACTGTTTTATGTTCAGTCAGTTAGGGTGTTTCTGGTTATATTTTGCTACTAATGCTTAGTTTAATTCCATTGTGATTGGAGGATATACTAGAAATAATTGCAGTTAAAAACGTTTGTTAGACTTTTCTATATGCTCTGCATGCAAACAATTTAGGTAATTTTCCTTGGGAATTTGAAAAGAATGAACTCAGTTGTTGAGTTCAGAGTTCTATATATGTTAGTTGATGAAATTTGTTAATTATTTTGTTCAAATCTTTTACAGCTTTACTCCTTGTTGTTTTTTCTTGAAGCTGATATGAGAGATGTTTTAAGACTCCCACAATGATTGTAGATTTGTCTACTTCTCTTTTTAGTTTTCTCTGCTCTGTATATTTGGAATCTGTGCTGTCCAGTACATACAGATTTAGGACTGTGATGTCCTTCTTTTTGATACCTCCCTTCATCATTATGAAATGGCCTCTTTACCTCTTGTCATGTTTCTTGTTTTAAACAGGGGTGTCCAATCTTTTGGCTTCCCTGGGCCACATTGGAAGAAGAATTGTCTTGGGCCACACATACAATACACTAACACTAACAGTAGCTGAAGAGCTATAAAAAAAGCGCCAAAAAATTTCATAATGTTGTTTAAAGAAAGTTTAAAAATTTGTGTTGGGCCGCATTCAAAGCCATTCTGGGCCACATATGGCCCACAGGCTGTGGGTTGGACAAGCTTGTTTTAAAAAATACTTTCATGTGTTTTTAGGAGAGACTGTACTATCAAGGTATATTTTTCTTTTATTTCCATTCTTTGTTCTTTTATTTAAAGTGTGTCTATTGTATGTAGCATCCAGTTTGCTGATTTTTAAAAATAGTCTGATAATATTACTTGAAATATTTAATCTGTTTACATTTTGCATTTTACTGTGGTATAATTAGGTATATACTTACTGTATCACCTTGTTGTTCTATTTGGCCATCTTTTTAATGTTGTTCCCCCTCCTTTCTTATTTTGGATTAGTCAAACCTATTTCCTTCTATTAATTTGTTAGTTTTACTTTCTTTTATATTCTTTTAGTGATTACCCTAAGGGTTATACAATATAGATACTTGACTTATTAGAGTCTAATACAAAGTATTGCTTTAACTACATCTCCAATGCTGCAGAAACTGTTTTAACTATGTTTATAGCCTCTCACTTTTTCTGTTACTGCTGTCATGCATTTTAGTTCTATAAATATTTTTAACTCCTTATGTCCTTACAATTTTACTTCATTTACTTTTTTACTTTATACATATTTAACTTTCTATTTTTATTTATGTTTCTTGTGTTTCTATGCCTCTCTGGCATCATTTTCCCTCTGCCTGAAATATTCTCTTCAGTAAAAGGCATAAACCTGCTTGCAATACAATTCCATTTTTTTTTTTTTTGCCCCAAAAGTCTTTAATTCACCTTGATTTTGAAGGGAAAAATTTGAGAACTAAAGAATTCTAGGTTGGTAGGCATCTTTAAAGTGCTCAGAGAAATGTTATTCCATTGCCTTCCACATTCCATTATTTCTATCTAGAAGTCAGCCATAAGTCATATTGTAGCTCATTTGCAGGTAAATGCCTCTTTTATTCTCAGGCTATTTTTAACATTTTCTCTTTGATATTGTTTTTCATCAGTTTGATTTCAGTGTTTGAGGTGTGTTTTTCTTCAAATTTATCCAGCTTGTGGTTTGCTAAACTTTTTGATTTAATAGGGAGAATGTCTTTCATCAGTTTTGGAAAATTCCTGGACATTACATCTTCAAATTTTTTTTTCTGCTCCATTAGCACTCTCCTATCCTTCTGTAACTCCAATTCCACACACTAGTCTTTTGGCAGATTTTTTCCCGTTCTTTATCCTCACTGTGCTTCCCTTGTGGTGTTTGCTATAGATTCATATTCCAGGTTAAAAATCCTGTGTTCTGCTGTTAAGTCTACTTACTGAGTTTTTAATATGATAATATGTATTTCAGTTCTGGAATATCTATCTGATTCCTTCTTAAAGATTTCAGATCTCTTGTGTAATTCTCTCTGCTTGAATCTATCTTTTATTCTGTCTCCTTGAACATACTAATCATGTTTATTTTAATGTTCTTGTGTGCTAATTCAAATATCTGGATCCTCTGTAGTCTGATTTTTCTCTTGTTCATCACTTACACATTCTTGCTTCTTTACAGGTCAAGTAATTTTTATAAAACTGTAAATTGGGCATTATTAAAAAAAAGATTGGAGAGGCTCCAGATGACATATGGTGCTATGAGTTTTTCCCTCTCCTGTATTAGTCAGATAGGATGATGTATTAGTCCATTTTCATGCTGCTGATAAAGACATACCAGAGACTGGGCAATTTAAAAAAGAAAGAGGTTTAATTGAATGTACAGTTTCACATGGCTGGGGAAACCTCACAATCATGGTGGAAGGCAAGGAGGAGCAAGTCCCATCTTACAGGGATGGCAGCAGGCAAAGAGAGAATGAGGAAGACGCAAAAGTGGAAACCCCTGATAAAACCATCAGATCTCATGAGACTTATTCACTACCATGAGAACAGTATGGGGGAAACTGCCCCCATGATTCAATTATCTCCCACTGGGTCCCTCCCACAGCACATGGGAATTATGGGAGTACAATTCAAGATGAGATTTGGGTGGGGACACAGAGCCAAACTGTATCAGATGGAGCCTTGCTTCATCAACTTAGTAAGGGCTTGAAAAGGGTCAGGCCGCATTGCAAGTTGAACAAGACTGAGTCAACTTCTGGCTTACTCCTGTTGCTGGGCATGGCCCTACTGGGATTTTGATTGAAAGTCTGGAGTATCTTAGTCTGAAAGGCTCCAGGAAATCCAATTCTTCCCTTCAGTGGTTACCATCTTAACTCTCCAGCCATCCCACACCCCATCCTTTAACTCCTTGTACCTTCAAAATCTGGCAAATATCTTAAATGAGAGAATGGCTATGTATTTGAGGAGAGCTTGCTTCCTTTGGTAGGTCTCTGTTTTCTGTGAGACCCAAGGAGATTTCACTCTGTCCTTTAGGGCATTTGTCCACAGAGGAAAAGCAGCCCCTCAAGTTTCCAGTTTGTCACAAAAGCTCCCTGTGATTCTGACACTCGTTTCTAATTTCTTTCCCTCCATCCTAGGCTCTCTGCATGGGCCAAGCCTGACTCTCACCTAGAATCAGAAAATGCACCCAGAGAAAAAAAAAGGTTTTCTTTTTGAAATGACTTTTCCCTCTTTGGTATTTTAGTTTATCTAGTTGTCAATGCTTCTGCAGCTCCCTGATTCCTTTACAATTAAGATTTTTTTATATTATCTGATTTTTATAATTTAACTAGATTTTTCTAGTTTCACAGTGGGGACACTTCCGTACTGTATCCTACATGGAAGTTCCCGAAGCCATATATTTTATCAACATGTTTTGGCATAAATTCCTGAGTTACTCTTTGTTTGGAGAAATCAATTTATTTTGGTTCAGCTTTCCTAGTGTTATATGCCAAAAATCCTTATTCTCTCCTTCCATCAAATAAATTAAATTTCTATAAAACTAATAAAAACAAATGCTCACTTTGGATAAAGTTGAGAGATCAGTTAGCACTATTTACTTTTTTTTTGAGACGGGGTCTCATTCTGCTGCCCAGGCTAGAGTGCAGCGGTGTGATCTTGGCTCACTGCAGCCTTGACCTACCTGGGTTCAGGTGATCCTCCTTCCTCAGCCTCCTGAGTAGCTGGGACTACAAGTCATGTGCCACTGTGCATGACTAATTTTTGTATTCTTTTTCGGGATGGAGTTTTGCCATGTTGCCCAGGATGGTTTTGAACTCCTAGGTTCAGGCAATCTGCCAACCTCAGCCTCCCAAAGTGCTAGGATTACAGGTGTAAGCCACCTTGCTTGGCCTACTAACTTTGATCTAATAGATAGTGTTGGCTTTTCCGGGTTAAACATAATACTAGAGGTAAGTTTTTGGTGAGGCAAAAAGGAGCTTTTAAATAAAAGTTGCTCTGATTTATAAGGGCTTTTTAATTTATGTTCTTTTTGCTGTAAGTCCTTTGGGTCTTGTTCGAGATTATTATTCCTAACGATGGTTTTGTATGTTAATGCCAACCTGGTTTCTATTTACCATTACACCTTTGGGGACATTTTAGCTCTCTGGAAACATCTGTGGTACCAGATTTTAAATTTCCGTGTCTGATATTAGCGTTAACAGAGTTAGACAACAAGTGGATTTCAAGCTGTATATTTCTTGGGTCATGGAAGGATCATTCCTGGCTCTATTCTTTCCTTTCTGAAACCCCCACCTGGGTGGGATTAACATGTAGTGAACATTTAATATGGCTTTTGATGGAGAATCTAGAGGGTACAGCACTTCACTCATTTCTCACAACGTTATAAGTAGGAATTATCTTCTTCATTTTGTATATGTAGAAAATGAGACTCACAGTCTGTGAGAAGCTTTCACAGTTACACAGCCAGACAGTTCATACAGGTGTATGCTGAATGTTGAGAAAACATAGATGAGACTCAATGAGTCTCAAAGATGAGAAACAGCTGTAAGGTATCATTAGGTCCTGACTACATTGTAAATTATTTCTTCAAAATCAGATAGCTAGTAAGTGGTATGGCGGAAGTTTAGACCAGATTGCTGCTTCCACACAGAAATTTTAAAGACTGTTAAAAATGCAAGAAACTAAAGGTAGAAAAATGCTATCCTAATGATACGACTTTTAGAAAGCCAACTAAATTTGGTGTCTGTTTCTTAATCTGCAAATTTTGGTTTTGTTCTTCTTAATATTCGGGACACGGTATATACGCACACAGTGTCACTTAACTGATTACTGCATACATGTAAAGAAGGCTCTCGCTTCTGGTAACAATTCAAGTATACCGCATTTCTAGTTTCTTTGGATTTATAATTGCACAAAAAATTTCACAAAGAAATGCCAGCCATGCTACGCTATATTTCATCCATGCTTCTTGACATTCTTTGCTGAGAAATTTCTCCACAGATACAGATACTTCTACATACTACAGAACCCTGCCATTGTTACTTTAGCTGATCAGTAATGGATACTTTTCATTTTACACAGAATTTTAAACAATCTTGGCTTATTTTCATCCCTGATTCTGTACTCAGTACTCTGTCCAGACCTCTTCCTTTTGGAAAGCTTTTCTGTTCTGATAAGTCGCATCTCTTCTGCATGGGCAACTCCCTAATCAAAATCTCTCCTTATTCCATTTCTATCTTGCCAGCTTCTTCTGGGACGTAATCTCAACACCCACCCTCCGAAAACAAGAAGGACCAGTCCTCTGAAACTCACTCCCTGTTTACGTTGATGAAATAGTCATTCCTGATTTCTGGACCAGAAACCTGAATATTGCATTTCTCTAGCTCATGTTCAGTATAAGCTCTTGACAAAGATTTGTTTCTTCCTTTCAGATGTTATCTAGGTTCTTCCCCTCTGGTCCGTTTATGTTATGCTTGCGCAGACTCTGACCCCATCAACTAAGATACCTGCTATGGTTTCTAACACATTTACCCACTGCAGGCTGACTTTTCCCCAACTAACTTCACTACCTTGGCTTGGTCCTCTCTTTTCTCTTACCTGTATTTCTGCGGCAGCTGCCTAATGCCTCCCTCCTCACATCTTGCCATCACCGCGTCCATTTTCTATGCTGCTATAGGATGTATCTTTCTTTTTTGTGGAGGGGAGGTATATTTTTTTTTTAGTAGAGATGGGGTTTTGCCATGTTGGCCAGGCTGGTCTTGAACTCCTGACCTCAAGCGATCTGCCCACCTCAGCCTCCCAAAGTGCTGACATTGCAGGCATGAGCCACTGTGCCTGTGTATCTTTGTAAAACACAATGTTTATTCTGGAGGCAAGTGAGTGACATTTTCAAGGCCAAAGTCCATGGCATAGCATGTGGAGCATTTCACGATTGATTTCATGACTTATTCTACAGGCATGTGAGTGCCTGCTCTAAGTCAGGCACCATGGTAGGTGCTGGGCATTCAGCACAAGACCCAGTTCCAACCTTAGAACAGTCCGGTATCCACACGC
Source organism: Homo sapiens (assembly GCF_000001405.40). Taxonomy (NCBI): domain Eukaryota; kingdom Metazoa; phylum Chordata; class Mammalia; order Primates; family Hominidae; genus Homo; species Homo sapiens. The sequence continues at coordinate 83,751,099 of NC_000016.10, read as the reverse complement.
TTCTCTGCCCTTATCTTTGCACACAAAGAACCTGCCATGCTAGCTTCCACTAATGCTGACCAACTTCCCAACTTCTCACATCTTTATTCTACTAGAATGCTTTACCTGTTTTTTTTTTTTTTTAAATAGTTAAGTTAAGCACTTGCTACAAGCAAGGTACTGTTCCAAATGCTTTATAGGTAATGACTCCATTAAATCTTGCATTACTTTGCTAGAGTTGCCATAACAAAGTGCCACAAAGGAGTGGCTTACACGACAGAAATCTATTGTCTTACAGTTCTGGAGGCCTGAAGTCCAAGACTGAAGCATCTGCAGGTTTGGTTCCTGCTGAGGGATGTGAGGAAGGCTCTCCTCCCAGCCTCTCCCCCAGCTGCTGGAAGTTTACAGGGAATCTTTGGAACTCCTTGACTTGCAGAAGCATCACCCTGATCTCTGCCTTCATTTTATGTGGTGTTCTCCCTGTGTGCATGCCTGTCTTCAAATTCCCCCTTTGAGGAAGACATCAATCATATTGGATCAGGGCCCACCTTACTCCAGCATGACCTCACCTTAACTAACCACATCCGCAACAAGCCTGCTTCCAAATAAGGTACATGCTATGGAACCAGGGATTAGGACTCCAATACGTCAACATTGAGAGGACACAGTTCAGTCATATCAATTGTTAAAGTAAATTAAAATGGAAATTAGGCCTGAAGAACCACTGGGCAGAAAAAGCCAGTTAGGTGTCATAAGTCACCTTAACCTTGCTTGATTTGCAAACATAAGCAAAACTGAACGTGAGCTATTTCTTTCTTTTTTTTTGAGATGGAGTCTCACTCTGTCACCCCGGCTGGAGTGCAGTGGCATAATCTCGGCTCACTGCAACCTCTGCCTCCTAGGTTCAAGAGATTCTCCTGCCTCAGCCTCCTGAGTACCTGGGACTACATGTGTGTGCCACCATGCCCAGCTCATTTTTGTATCTTTAGTAGAGATGGGGTTTCACCATATTGGCCAGGCTGGTCTCAAACTCCTGGCCTTGTAATCCACCCACCTCAGCCTCCCAACGTTCTGGGACTACAGGCATGAGCCACCGTGCCCAGCCAACATGAGCTATTTCTTATAAATGACTATGTTAAAGAAAAACGAAACTTAAGGCTAACCAATCAGAAGCTGCCAACTAACTCAACACCAGAACTAGCATGCCCTACCTTTAATCCACATATCCTTCATCACGCAGGTGAGATGTCCCCTCTCTCAGGCAGCTCTCCATGACTACCCCCCAGGCTGGACAGGGGCTTCTCTGGGCTTAGCTCCATCAGAACAGTTAGGACACTCTACTGTGATCTTCTGTGTACTTGACTAACCTTCCAAATAATTCATGAGCCCTCTGAACACAAGGACCATGTATTATTCATCCATGAGTCTCCAGGACCAAGCACAAGATCTGGTCCAGCTCTCAGTTGCTGAACATTGTCTACCTGATATTTCATCGTGTCAGTTTCCTCCTCAAGAAGTTTCAGGGTCTCCTGGTTCCCTGTTCTATCAAATGAATCATCTGGCTTTGAAGATGTGACTTTTCCACATACATCCAAATAGATTCCTACATACGCACTTATAGCAGACACAACAGTTATTTTTTCCTTTTCTTACCTCCTGTGCTGTGCCCCCTTCTAGTTTTGATTCCTCTGCCTTGGATTTCTGGGTAATGCCACTCATCCGAATCCTACCCGTCTTTCAAGGCTAACCCCAAGGCTCACCTTTATTTTGAAGCACTCTCTACTTATTGTGTGTCACATGGATTGCTCACTTCTTAGACTTGTCTCCTAATGGTTTGTGTGAGTAGCCGGCATACGAGGACCAGGACTGAGAACTCTTAGTTCACCCTTGTTGAGTATAACAATGGGCACCTATAAATATTCATCTTGATATGGAAGGACTCAAAACTGAATCTTTAGCCATAAACAGCTGGCTTTTAGGAATAATAGGGAGAACAAAACTTCTTGTGTGATTGACACAATACACATTGCAGCTTAACATGTCCCCAAACCAACTGGAATCCCCTCATCTCAGTTAACGGCAAATCCTGTCAGCTCTGCATTCAAAGTATATAGGAACTCTCTTTTTCTCATCCCCTCCTAGTCTCTGGTCCAGGCCACCATCTTGCATAGATTACCATGCACTCTCCTAAGAGGTTGCCCTCCTTCTGCCCTTGTGCCCTACAGTCTGATCTCAAAGGAGCAGAGAACAATCGTGGCACTTTGAACTTTGCCTCCTTTCTGCACGTCAGCTCCATGAGGACAGCTTTCTTTTTGTTTACTGCTGCGCCCCCAGCATCTAATCAGGGGCTGGCATATGGATAGTGCATTACCATCTTTTGAACGAACAGCAATTGCTTTGTGGTTGTGCAGCCACTAACTGAGGGTACCTGATGCCTTTCCTTGGCAGCGTGTCATAATAGGATAAAAGCTACAAGAACAATTCAATGGTCAGGGTCAGTGATGTCCTCTGGGACTTACTTTCAACTTGTATTAAGTCCAAGAGCCTCTTTGCAAATGAGAGCATGACACCAAGACAAAGCACATCAGCGTGGCTTTCTAACCTCCACGCCTGCCCAAGATGGGACAGGGTGAGTTCATTGCTCTGACCTCTCACCAGACATTATTCACTTTCCAAAAAGATCTGAGGATTCTGGGACTTGGAGATATTACTGAACTCAACATGTGTATATTTAAACATTTACTTTGCTGTTCCCACACACTTACATTCTTCCCAAGAACACCCCTGGGTGTATCAGAAGAAATTTAAAAATGTAAAAGTATATTTGTAGCAGAAAAGTATACCCTTGATGGTCTTTGTCAAGTACTCACCACTGTCAATTGCCAGGAAGAGAGCAGTGTACACGCTGTTGTCGACAAATGGGGACTCACGGTCCAGCACAGCTGTGGTGTCAACAGTCCCATTGATGGGGTTAATATTCAGCCAACCTGCTGGGTCCTTGTAAACAGAATACCTGAAAAAAATCCCCACAATGTCAGACTCTGCATTCAAAGTAGATTCAAGAAACATTTACAGAGTGCAGGGCATGAGCTCCTAGGCTAGGTGCTGGATCCTAGGTAACAAAAATCCAAAACCATCATTTCTGTTACAGTTGCTCATTCACAAAGTCAAGAGGCCACTGACTCTGGGTCTGCTTTGTGTTAAGCACTTTGCATGTGTGCCTCCTTTATTCCTCTTGACACTCCCAGGAGGAAGATGTTCTTGCCATCTGCCAAGCTCTCACAGAAGCAAAGCAGAATTCACAGCCCAAATCCTGAGTCCACGTCCAGTCTTGTTTCTTTCACACCTCAGATGTATCTCGTATGTGGACTAGTGGGAGAAGTGCTGTTGTGAAGGTACAAGCAGGGCACATCAATGCTTGGAGGAAGAACTCACTACCTCTGATCCAGGGCAATATTGGGCACCTCACAGAGAATGCAGCATCCAAACCAAGACAGGAGGAATAGATAGGATGTCATCAGAGAGTGAGAGGACAGACAAACCAGGAAGAGAGAATATGAGTTAACAAATTGTATTAGTCCATCTTCACACTGTTGATAAAGACATACTCAAGACTGAGTGATTTACAAAAGAAAGAGTTTTAATAGACTCACAGTTCCATGTGGCTAAGGAGGCCTCGCAATCATGGCGGAAGGTGAAAGGCATGTCTTACGTGGTGGCAGACGAGAGAGTGAAACCAAGCAAAATGGGTTTCCCTTTATAAAACCATCATATCTCATGGGACTTATTCACTATCACGAGAACAGCATGGGAAAGACCCGCCCCTATGATTCGATTACCTCCCACAGGGTCCCTCCCATAATATGTGGGAATTCAAGATGAGACTTGGGTGAGGACACAGCCAAACTATTACAGATGGAACAGAAACACTCATTAGGATGTAGGTTACGCGAGGGCAAGAAATTTGTTCACTGCTGTGACACCAGCTGCTTGAACACTGCTTAGCCCATATGCGACACTAAATATTTGTTGAATATACAGATATTTAGGGACTAGAAAGTAGAGGGTTGTGTTTGAAACAGTTTCTTTAAGGGAACTAAAAGTTAATGAGTTTTGAGAAACAGATTAGACAATATTATAGAGAACCTGAACTACTGTTTTAAGGGGTTTTGACTTTGGATAATGGGAAACCATCCAAGATTTTAAAATGTTACTTGTTTTGAGGTTGCTCTTTTGAGATTTAAACAATATAGATGCATAGAGTAAGAAATAATAGTCTTATCTATCAGGGAGACTCAACTGGGCATGACTCAGCTTTCTTTGAATTGGGTGGCTTGGATAATGTGCCACTTGCAGACCTAAGCCAGAAAGATGCTGTTGGCACTTTGCTGCCATTTCCTACCCATCTTTGAAGTACATCCCCATGAAGTGACATGGGAATCTTTACACTGGTAAAGATGCATGAAGTTGATTTTCTCTGCCTTGTATGGCCAGATTTGGGTCTAAGGATGTTTAAAACCTGATTTAACCAACAGGATTGAAAATCTCCAACTGAAGGGCTTGGAGCAAGTTAACCCCGAGTCTTCACGGGAAAAAGATATCTACCTCCTAATCCTGGAACTTGGGAATGTTACTTCATAGAGCAAAGACTTTGCAGAGCTGAGTTAAGGTCTTTGAGATGAGATTATTTTGAGTTATCTTGGGGTTGTTTGTGGTTTGCTAAATGCAATCAGAAGTGTCCTCAGGGGGAGGCAGAGGAGATTTGAGACACAGAAAAGGAGAAGACCACACGACCGTGGAGGCAGAGATTGGAGTGATGTGGCCACAAACCAAGGAATGCTGCAGCCACCAGAAGTGGGGAGTGGCAGGAAGGACCCTCCCCTAGACCTCTAGATGGAACGTGGCCCTGCCAACGTCTTGGTTTTGACTCAGTTAGACTGATTTTGGACTTCTGTCCTCCAGAACTGTGGGAGAATAAATTTCTAGCCTCCATGTTTGCAATACTTTGTTACCGTGGCATTACTAATTTATTATAGTAGGTATAATATCCCCACTTACAGATGAGGACTCTGAGGCACAAACCAACAGCTACGCAAATCGTAGAGTCAGGACGTGGGCCCAGGTGGTCTGACCTTGGAGCTGCGACCCTGAACCCACACTCAAAACTGCTGCTTCCCAGCTAACTTAGTGACTCAGGGTGGGTGGTCAGCAGGTATGTTTCACCTGAAGGATCTTACTTCGAAGAAGATACGAATTCTGAGAAAAGGTGGCCTCTGAGGATAGAGTTAAGTTGAATCGAAGTGTGGTGGGTGGGATTATTCAGATGTAGGTGGAAGCCAGAGGGATGCCTCCTGTGTGGCCAAGGAGAAGAAGAACTGCCCTTGTCCATGACTTAAAGGTCATCTTGGGGGCTGCAATGGGATTGTTACCTGGGGGAGGCTGTGGTCACTGAAGAAGGGATGGTCAACTTGGGTTGTTGAGAAGGGGAGCCAGGGAATAAGAAATTGCTGGCTGACAAAGGGAATGGGCATCTATGCAGTCACCACAAGCCTCATGGCGACCCAGGACAGACAGCAATTCACCTACCACCCTCGCCTGGCCACCATCCAGAGCCCCTCCGAGTGTTCCCAGCCTCTCCTGGAGTCTCAGAACCAATCATCTGGAGGTCTTTGGGCTTCCAGTCAGCATTGACAGATGCTCTGATACAGCGCTGTTGTAAATTTAATTCACACAGAGGCGGTCTGGGTTGGTATCAATCCTTTTTGTGTTGGGGTCATGTGAACTGACCTGAGAATCAAATCAAGTTTTTGTCCTGCAAAGTGGATGTACCAGACCCCCAAACTGCAGAAGGACGCCAGGAGAGGCTCCTGCTGATGCTTCCTGGAAGGCGTCTGGCCTGTTCTTTCCTAAAACAGCCTCGGGGTGCAGCCTCCCTTTAATATTAATAGTAACACAGCTGCAGCAGCATCGAGCCTTACATTGCGCCGGCTGGACACCGCTCCAGGAGCTTCCAGCATCTATGCCTTCAGCCCTCACACCAGCCCTGGGAGGTTGATAATATTATTCCTCCCCTTTTACAGATGAGGAACTGAGAGGCCTAGAGATATGTGAACTTTGCCAAGATCATTGGCTAATATGGGGCATGGTTGGGATTCGCAGGCTGGATCTCTGGTGCCAAGGCCTGCTGTCACCCTCTGCTGCTTCCCCCCAGCCGTTCACATTGCCAGCATCACATGAGTGTTAGAGTCATGGACTCTGGAGAGGAAAGGACCTGGGTTCTAACAGTGAGCCTGGCAAGCTACTTCTCTGTGTTTCTACTTCCTCCTCTGTGACTCGGGGACAGTCCCAGTGGTGTTCTGGGGTAGCTGTGAGGGCAAACTGAAGCTGACACAAAGGGCTTGGTCTTGTGCGGGGCGCCCTCGGGGGAGCCGTTGCAGAGTCAGGCTATGGGTGTGTTAATGGCTCACTGGGGTCATGGCCCTGTGTGTCCTCCCTGATGTGACTCACACGGTCCCCTGGAATGTTTCAGAAACATCCGACTCAGCAGAGCCTAGGGGAACAATGTTTTGATGCTGCAACTGTGACAGGGGACAGATGGGGAGAACGGATGAGGCGAACGCAGGGCTTCCACATGCCCTTGCTGCTGCAATGATCCTTTCACTATTTTGTGAAAACAGAAGCGATGAATTACTCATGAGAATGAACTGCTTTAAAAACACCAGGCTTTCATTTAAAGAGTCATTTATGCTTCCACCTGGCAAATTTTTACTGTTTCAAGACCCCACTCATACGTCTCCTCTCGTTCATCCAGTGTGACTTTCCCAGTAGAATTAATCACCTCACTAGGTCTGTGCGAGGCACATGCACTGGTAAAAATGCCTTTGGGAGCCTAACACGGGCCCTGACGGCTCTGCCATCTCCACTAAACTCTAAGCTCCTTGGTGTCAGGATAGGTAAAAGTTGGTCAATAGACACACAGAATGCTTCCTTGGGCCCAGCTTGGTGCTAAACCCTTTAAGAGCATCACTACATTTATTTTTGTGACTCATGACAACCTGATGAAGTGGGTATCATCCTTGTTTTAAGGTTGAGGTAACCAAGAATCAGAGAGGCTTAGCAACTTGTCAAAAGCGGCCCAGTTAATAAGAGACAGAGCTGGAATGTAGCACCAGCATGCTGGATTCCAGGGGCTGGGCTTCTCGGTACACAGTGTTTTTCATGCCTAAGGCTGGGGTGGTGTGCTCTGCACCCCCAGGGCCGAGTAGAGTGCCTGGACGCAGACGGTGCCCGGTAAAGGTTTATTACATCTTTTCTCCTTCTGTTGGAACAATCATGGGGATGGAAAAAGCAAAGAAAAAAAAAAAAAAAAAAAGAAAAAAGAAAAAAGGCAACTCATCAGGTAGCAAGTTTCCTGTTGATCCAGGAGTGATTGGTAGTGGTTCAACATATTTGAAATAATGAAAGTTTTAAATGAACCGCATTCTATTGCCTGATTACTCAACTCAGTTTAGAAGATAAATAAAAACTGAATTAAATAAATTTGGCTTTCATGTTTGGCGTACAAGCAATGCTCTTTGATGCTCCCTCTGTCATTCCTTTTTTGTCCCATGATGCCATAATTTTGTTGTACAATTAGCATGTTTGCTTGTTTCTTGTCAAAGAAGCAGTTGTATTCAATAAAATGCTTAGAGACATGAACTCGGAGGCAGTCCTCAGAAACAATACTCAGCACGGTTAGGCCTGCCTGCGCCACATTTCCAGGGAAAGCCAGGGTTTGGGTGATTTTACAGGACAATGTCTCACTCTTTTTCCTCCTTAAAAAAATAATCAAGTATCCAGAGCTGTGCTATTTAACTGAGTTTTCACAGGACTCTTTCTGCTCCCCTCTGTTTGCTTATTTTATTTTATTTTTTGAGACGGAGTCTTGCTCTGTCGCCCAGGCTGGAGTGCAGTGGCAGCGATCTCAGCCCACTGCAACCTCTGCCTCCTGGGTTCAAATAATTCTCCTGCCTCAGCCTCCCAAATATCTGGAATTATAGGCACCTGCCACCATGCCTGGCTAAATTTTCTATTTTTAGTAGAGCGGGGTTTCACCAAGTTGGCCAGGCTGGTCTCGAACTCCTGACCTCAAGCGATCCACCTGCTTTGGCCTCCCAAAGTGCTGGGATTACAGGCATGAGCCACCGCACCTGGCCAGTTTGCTTATTTTGTTTGGTGCCTCCTCCCATGGGAGACCTCAAGGAGGTATGCCTGCCCCACAGATGCCCTGGAAGGACAGCTTGCTGCTCCTACTCAGAAACACACCTGCAGACAGAGGAGGACAGACGGACACTCATTTGCTGAGCACCCATGTAACATGAACTAAGAGCTGGGTGGAGACAATGAACGGTGGAGCCATCGTTCCCGATGTGGAGGGAGAACAGCTCAAGACCACGGAACAGCCTGCTCTCCCGCTTCCTGGCTTCCGTGCGCTTTTGTCCAATCAGGCTTTTTGACCAATCGGCCAGGCGCGCTATGTAAATTTCTGACATTTTCAAAGCTGTCTTTTTAATAAACCTTTCAGTGTAAAAATACTAGCGTGCAAGATGTTTTCAATGCTTCTAGGCCTGAAAAATGCATACGCCTTATTAAATTGGAATTTCCGGGCAATTTATCTGTAATGTGAACTTTGCTTGTTACAGGAAAAAAAAAATCAAATTAAAAGCTGAGCTCATTTCAGCCTGTAATGTAGCTTCACAGAAGCTGCTCTGAGTGCTTGCCAAGCCTCGGCCTCTTCTGGGTGTCGGTGTTGGGAGACGCAAGGCAAACTGATTAACAGAATTCGAGTCGCAGGCAGCGCAGTGGGGGTTACTGGGGCCTGCGCCACCCTGGAAGGCGGGCTCACTCTCAGCAGGGCCCCCTCAGAGCAGGGAAGAAAGCTTCCAGGCAAGTGGCCAGGGCCAGCTGTTGACCTGGAAGGACTTCCAGAGCCAAGGGCTGCCAGCCTCTGCCCTCAGGGGCTCAAGTATTGGTGGGAAGGTGAAAGAGATCAAAGGTTTGACAAGTCCCTTCTGCAGGCTTCTTGGGGTCACTCGCTTTCTGTGAGGTAGGGCAGCAGTCCCCAACCTCTTTGGCACCATGGACTGGTTTCGTGGAAGACAATTTTTCCATGAACAGGTGGGGGATGGCTTGGAGATGAAACTGTTCCTCCTCAGTTCAGGCATTAGATTCTCATAAGGAGTGTGCCGCCTAGATCCCTTGTGTGTGCAGTTCACAATAGGATTTGTGCTCCAATAACAATCTGATGTTGTGGCCCAGGGGTTGGGGCCGTCCGTGGCCCAGGGGTTGGGGACCCCTGATGTAGGGGACCCATGTTTGCGCAGCATGGTTGCCAACATTACATGACTGAGCATAGCTTTCCTTTCAGTTTAGACTTAAAAATGTCATAAAGTAATATTGGGCAATTAGTGCACAATAGCCAAATGGATCAATGCAATATAGCAGAGCACTAGACATGGCACAGATTATATACGTATCAAATTTATATATAGGGAGATTATAGATATAGTAATAGATGGAAGATGGATCTATCTCTATATATGGCATATATATACACACATATATATACACACACACACACATATATATATATACACACACACATATATATAGTAGGATAGGAAAGACTATGAGAAACGTAGAAAATAAAAACTACGAAAGGAGAGGAGATACAGGGTATTTTTATATTCCTGCTGAAGGATACAAACAACCCTGTAAAACTGTAGGAAAGAAGGGAAACAGTAGGGGAATTCTTCACACCCTATTTAATTTCAGTCCACTGGACCCCGTATTTATTATTAAAAGCAGAACCAGAAAGAGACAGAACTCCCAATTGAAGGAAATACACTATCTTAAAATAGCTCATGTAGCTATGGCCCTGAGTGTAAAGTAAAGGGCATATTTCAAATCTTCTGACAAAATGTATGGATAAAATTGAATGGCTAGTGAATTCCAGAATCCTAGATTAGTTAGACAGTCACAGCCCATCACAGTCCAGGGTACTGTTCTCTTCCTGTCCCAGGAAACCAGAGCCAAAGAAAGCAGTCTCAGTAAACAGAAAGGACTGCCATGGTCTCTAGGGCCCTAGAGGATCCATCTGGACCTGCCTGACTTTCTACCTGCATTTTCTATCTCTTTCCTCAGCCTTCCGAAGTTACAGACTCACTGGCCTTTCTTTAATTCCTTGAAATTAGCAAATTTCCCAGGGATGGGGTGCCACAACCAGCAGATGTGGACAAGAAGAGTTGTCCAGTGAGTGGCCTGGGCAGGGCCTCTTGGGGTTGGGAGGATGGGATACTTCTTGCCTTGCCTTTCATGTAGGTATGACCTTCTGTGACTCCATAACAGCTGAGAACAGGGCAGGAGCTCTTGACATCTCCAGTCCCTTCCCTGGATCCCCTTCCCAGGCATCCCAGAGCTCCTGGTGAAATCCTGTGGACATCTGCATGAGGCTCTAGCACATGACAATTCTGACTGGCATATGGCAGCTGGCATCTTCTGATGGCACATGGACCAAAACTTTGCTTTTTACAGACATTCTGATCCCTACCATGACAACAAGTAATATATATCATGCCCAAGAGAATCATCACCTTCCACACATGCAGTGGACCGAGGTAGCTGTGGTGTGGGTCCACTTTCTTTGGTTATTGTAGGAGGCAGGTGGTAAGACGACTAGGGATCGTCTTTTGTGTAGACCACTGCAATGCACCTGATTCTTTGCTTCTCTTCTGCTTGCTACAGTCCATTCTCCAAAGAGCAGCCAGTGTTAAATCACAGAGTGTGAATCCCCGGCTTAAAACCCACCAATGACTTCCCATGGGGTATAGAATAAAATCCAAACTCTTAACCATGGTCTCTAAGGTCCTAGAGGATCCATCTGGACCTGCCTGACTTTCTACCTGCATTTTCTACCTCTTTCCTCAGCCTCCCTAAGTTACAGACTCGCTGGCCTTCCTTTCATTCCTTGAAATTAGTAAATTATTTCTGGTCTCAACACATTTCTACTTGCCTCATCGGATAAGTCTTAGATTTTCTCATGTGTGTCTTGTGCTTTGTAGGATCTCAGCTCCAACACCAAGGCCTCTGTGTTCCCTAGAGAAGCCACTCTGGATGGTCTCTCTGAAGTCTGCCTCCTTCCCTGGCCAGCTCTACAACTTAGAATGTGAGCTCCAAGGGGCAGTGACCTCATCTATCTTACTTAACCCTTCATACATAGAATCTAGAAGAGTGGCCCGCACACACTGAGTGGGTAGGTACTCAGTTGTTGAATGCATGCATGAGGGAATGAATGAGAGTAGAAACCTTCTTTAACATGCATTGGTTGACCCATGTGCTGGGTGACCCAGAATTCTAAAGTGCTCATTCATCCCTCCCCCATAGGCAGGTCTCTCAAAAGAGCCACCTGTCTCTCTTGTCCCAGCCAAACTCCCACTTCTATGCTGCTCCAGACATTCCCATCCCTTTAGTTGCCTTGGATCTGATACATGCTGTCAAAGGGGGCTTAGTTAGGTGGGTTTGTGTGCTGGGGGTCCCGAAGACCACTCCCAGGTTCAGTGATTTGCCAGGAAGGCCCACAGAACACAGCATATTGTCATATTCAATGGTTAAAACTTATCACAGGGAAAATACGCAGGGAAAACAGCACAGAAAAAAGGCACATGGGGCAACATCCTGGGGAAACCAGGTACCAGCTTGCAGGAGTCTGCTCCCAGTGGGGTCACACCGGACGTGCTTAATTCCAGGAGCAAGTTGTGACAACATATGTGAAATGTTCTCCATCAGGGAAGCTCACCGAAGACTCAACATTCAGGGTTTTTTTTGGGGGGCTGGTCACGTAGACACCCTCCACATGGCATTAGCAAAATTCTTGACTCCCAGGGGGAAAACAGATATTCAGCATAAACCACATTTGTTCGCGCAAGCAGTTTAGGTGCAGTGAGTCACTCTTATCAGCTAAGAGAGTGGGAGCCCTCCCCACATCCAAGATTCTACATACCAGCTGAGGCCAACCTTGTAGGCAGGTCTTTCTAGGAACAGCAGTCTCAGGCCTGTTGTGTGAGCTCTTTTTTGCATAGTCCATGATCAGGACAAGGAAATGGTGAATAAGAACAAATTCTACTTATCTTTAGAAATCACTAAATTCCTATTTCTCCTAAACCCCCCCTTTTTGTTTTCAGACGGAGTCTCCCTTTGTTGCCAAGGCTGGAGTGCAGTGGTGCAATCTGGGCTCACCGCAACCTCCGCCTCCTGGGTTCAAGCGATTCTCCTGCCTTAGGCTCCCAAGTAGCTGAGATTACAGGCATGTGCAACCATGCCCGGCTAATTTTTGTATGTTTAGTAGTGATGGGGTTTCACTATGTTGGCCAGGCTGGTCTCAGACTCCTGACCTTGTGATCCACCTGCCTTGGCCTCCCAAAGTGCTGGGATTACAGGCTTGAGCCACCACACCTGGCCCAAAACCCTTTTAATTCTAGAGACTACATATTGAAACCCCCAAGGAAGCTGGAATCACAAGAAAACATGCTCTTGTAGGCACAGTGGTAGGGGGTGGCTCCAACTCCACTCGCATTTACCCAAGGAAATGCTAGTTTGGTCCTCTGTGTTAATTGCAGAAAATTCAGACAATACGGAGGAGAAAAAAGAAAAAAATTAAAATCACCCTAATCCACTTCCAGAGATAAGCACTATTAACATTTTTGCCTAGAGGCTTCCAGCCTATGTATCGATGTATACATAAACACACACGTTTTTAATGTGACGTACTGTTCACTCGCTCATTTGGAATAAACATTTGCTGGGTGTCTGTTTCATGCCAGGCACCGCGCTTGGTGTTGGGAAGACAGCAGTGTATTCCCTCCAGTTTTTGGAACTTACACTCCAGCAGGGAGACAGGATATAAATTAGTAATTACACAAATGGTTATTTAATTACTCTCGTGACAAGGGCCATGCCAGCAGGCTCCCTCACATCGTAAATCATGCATTGTGAGTGTTTTCCTATTTTTCAGCATTAACTTTCTGCTGTTGTGTCTACAACTGGAAGCGCACATTCATTGATCACTGAGGAGGTGGCGTACGATGTATGTATTCATATACATTACTGTCTGCCATTGCCTCATCAACCTGGGAGGTAGATATTACCACCTTATTTTACACATGAGAAAACAAAGACTCAGAGTGGTCTAGGAGCTTGCCTGAGTCATGCAGCTTTCCAGCAGCAGAAGTGTGGTTCCAATGTGGATCTCTGCCTCCCAAGCATAGCTTGATTTTTGTTTGCCTTGTGAATAGCCCACGAGGGTTGGGCATTTGTTTGTGCCACTGGTTCTCCAATTTGGGTGTGTATCAGAATGATCAGGGCTGTTGATGATATGATGGGACCTTTCCATTTTTAACATGTTTTCCAGGTGGCTCTGATTCACCAAAGTTTGAGAACCACCATTCTGAGAATAATGATTTAAACTCTGAGGTGGAAACCAGGTCTATGTCCCACAGCTGGGCTTTCCTTAGTGGGGAATAACTCAGGAACATAGGACTGGAATTTACAGGATGGCAATATTTCCCAAAAAAAAAAGAACCCTATTACATAGATATAAAGCTTTCTTAAAATTATATTTCTGCTTATAAAAATCATACACATTTGAGAAAGGTTTAAAATCACACAGCACATGTGTGTGAATTTAATATCTTCATCACTATCAATGGTGAAACAATATTGGCTTAAACTGTTCTTTTATTGGAAGGCTCTTAGTAACTTCGAAGTCAAACTTCGAGACTTACCACTGAGATAAACTACTCAGTTGTGATGTAGATATCAAGGAACTTGAGTCTAACAGCGCTCACTAATAACTTAAGTCTGAGAATGATTTAGTCTAGGAAATAGGCGCTCTTTGCCATGTAGTCACTTTCAATAGTGGGCAGGAAAGGGGTGGGGCCACAGCTAGGTGCCACTGATTGTGGGCATGGTCAGCATGAATTACCAGCGTGCCTGCAGACAAACGCCTAAGAACCACTGTTTTGAGCTCCCACCCTTTTCTGCGGACTCTCTAACCTCTTCCTTTGTGTGTGAGCCCCACGTGCACCGAGCCTTCCCTGGCAAACAATGGAACTGACATTTCCTGGGCACCAGCTACTTGCCAGGGACTGCACACATCTTCTCTGAAAACCTCCTCACCACCTGTTCCAGGCAAGCAAGTCTGCTCCTAGTTTCTTCTGGCAAAGGTCATACCGGGCGTCTTGTTCGAGGCCATTAATTCTTTGTTAGAATTTACCAAAGGTCTCCCAACTGCTGCAATAGGACCTTTTTGTGCCTGCAATAAGATTTTGCTGTGGCCGGGCTCTTCCTAGTCAGGGCTTGCTAGTCCATTTTGCAGATTTATTTCCAGGGGTGATTGACATAGTTTCCGCTAGGCGCTCACTGCCACTGCCCTCCCCCACCCCATTTTTGAAACCTACGTGAATACAGCAGCTATTAGAGTAAGGAAACAACGTCTTCACAACTTTATAAGTGTCTTTGCAAAGACATTTATATCTCATATAAAGGGACATTTGACACTTCGTAAGGGTCATTTCGTTGTTGCTTTTGACCAAATTGACTGCCAAGCAATACAGAGAAATACAGACAAAGAGATTCAGGGTATAAAGCCACAAATTTAACAATATCATACACATTGAGTAAATTAGGAAATAAAAAATTAAACAGTAATTAAACATTGAGAGACTAGGACCTTAACATATTTAGTTACCATATTAACAGGCTGAGACTTCAGAAGCTATCCGATTTCTGAAATCCAGAAATACACTTATCAATCCTAGGTGAAAACAGGGATTGAACACTCTTAGTATGGGTAAAAGCATTACACAGATGCTTTAAGGTGCAACCACAAGATAGCTTTCATGATTAATTTTCATTATCATTATTAATGACTGATCAAGTCTGATCCTATAGGTAATCTAGGTCTAAGGTTAAATTTGCTACATCCATGTATCCAGATTGGGTGGCTTTTTCTAAGCAGCAGAAATGGCGCTTGGAAAAGAACAGGACGACTTGGAGTTTGGTACCAGTTGGTAGCAACGTAAGCTTTACTTGGTGTGAGGCTCTTCATCCATTTGTTCACACTCTTTTCATTCAGTGTGTTTTATCCCTTTTTTCCCTGCATTCCTAGGCCTGAATATATACAAATATGAACAAGACCCACAAGGACTGCTCATCACCCCAGTATTCCATTTACAACATCCTGAATGAACTCCCGACCAGGCCTATAATTCTCTCTTGCAGCCAAATATCCTGCTTACTCCTGGTATCTACCTGGTCAGCAGACCTCATGAGTTATCGCCCAGTGACAAAACCATCCCAAAGATGCACCAGTCCAGCACAAAGTATGACTGTCAATCTCACAAAAGATGTAGGGTTCTACGAGGATACTCAGAGTATAAGAATTACGCTAAGTGAAATAAGCCAAGCCCAGAAAGACACATACTTTATTATTTCATGTATCTGTGGAATCTAAAAGAGTCAAATTCATGGCAGCAGGGAGAGGGCTGAAGAAGGGGGAGATGTTGATCAAAGTTTCTATGTATACAAAGACCAAACCATCACATTATGCCTCATAAATATATACAATTATTATTTGCTAATTACAAGTAAAGCAATACAAGAAGAAAAAAAGGAATCATAAGTAAATCCATGACAAGTGAAAACGCAATGGAGAGAAGGGAATCAATGATTGAAGAAGAGAAAGGACAGTGGATTTACAACTGCTTCGAAAGAGTGATTTGACTGGCAAAGGACTGGGGAGAGGTCCTTTGGGAAATGGACAAAGCCCTCGAATGGTTAGGAAAGACAATCTCTTTATAAATGCAGGGCATAAGCTGAGCACAAGGTGAAGTTTGGCATGTACTGCCGTGGGATGTTGTAAAAATTATGTCAAAAGCAAAGCAATTCTTGGTTCATCTGTGTTCACTGTGAGACTAGCCTATTATTGGGGTTAAACTTATAAACAAACTTCTATTCATCATTTTTTTCTCCAAAATAAAGTGATCAAATTGTCCCACAGAACTGACGCTTATGTTTTTTTTTTTTTGAATAACCACAGAAATTGTTCCTTCCAGACTTTAAAACTTGAGAAAGTTACAATTGTCTTATCTGAGTTCCTTTCTCAAGAAGCCAACCATCAGGTCTCCCAGATAAAATCAAGGAGCTGAAACTTACCAGACCACTGCCTCTGGATAATGAGGAGCCAGACCCCTCATCCATCAGGATTGCCTAAAGGACCACCTGCTTCCTACTGACCAACTTCTCTTCCTTGCCCCGCTTTAATCCCTGTTTTTATTATTATTATTATTATTATTATTATACTTTAAGTTTTAAGGTACATGTGCACAATGTGCAGGTTAGTTACATATGTATACATGTGCCATGCTGGTGTGCTGCACCCATTAACTCGTCATTTAGCATTAGGTATATCTCCTAATGCTATCCCTCCCCCCTTCCCCCACCCCACAACAGTCCCCAGAGTGTGATGTTCCCCTTCCTGTGTCCATGTGTTCTCATTGTTCAATTCCCATCTATGAGTGAGAACATGCGGTGTTTGGTTTTTTGTCCTTGCGATAGTTTACTGAGAATGATGATTTCCAATTTCATCCATGTTTTCCCAAACACGGTTACATTTCCTCTCTGGTGCATCAACCCCTCATTTCAGAGATGGATTTGAGACTGACCTCCCATTTCCTTGGCTGCAGCAGCACCCGATTAAAGCCTTCTTCCCTGGCTTTTGTCTTGTCTCAGTGATTGGCTTTCTGTGCAGTGAACAGCAGGACCCAGACCAAACCCCTGGTGCTTCGGTAACAATTACATCTTAACCAAATACATATATTTTTTCAGTTTTGAGTCACACTTTGGTCTTCACTTTAAATTGATTCATGGTAAGTTGCTTTTTTGTGCTTCCAGTCTTCTTTTGGTAAGGGCTGTTGGTGGTCCCTGTTTTTTGGTTCATGATTTGGAGTACATGGATGGTCACAGGAGGGGAGGTAAGGCTTTGGGGTTTAATCTGGTGACTAAACACTAATAACACTTTATTACAAGAGCAAAAAGCAGAATAAAATAGTCTGGTGCTCTGCTTCAGAGTTTCTGATAAGGCCCTCAGCAGCATGGAACCTGGGGCAGGGGGCTCTCTGCCTAAGTCTCAGGCTGCGCTGCTTGCAGGTCACGTTCCACTTTTGTCCACTTACGCCAAGGCATGGTGGTGTCTGGACAGGTGATCAGTTTCCCAGGGTGGTTTATCTCAAAGAAACACGCTCACTGGGAGAGCAAACTGGGATGTCAGAAGACCAGAATGGGAAAGTTAATCACCCCTCTGTATTTGTTCTCAGAGTTTATTTTTATTGGGTGATTAACCGACACACCATGGCCTTTGCTCTGGCACCTGGGTCTCTGAGTCCAGCTCAGACCAAGCTGAGCATGGATATTGCCACTTTCAAGAAGTCAATAAATGAAGCCAGCTGCAGCGGGGACCACAGTGAGATAGATGGCTGAGCCTCGCATTATGACTTGAAGCTCAGTGAATGTGGTCTGGCCGGCTGCCAAGCAAGGAGGTACTTAGAGGCAGCTGTGCTTAGCTTAGGTGATGACGGGACCTCCCTCTCCAGTGGCATCCTAATAGACAACCGTCTATAGAGACTGCATTCGTGATGGAGGCCAGGTTACCGGGAGGGCTGCAGGGTCCCTGGGAGACAGAAGCATCTGGGTTTCACAAGGAGAGAGCTCACCCAGGAGCACGAGTCCAGTGTGCGCTCACGGATCATCATCCGGAGGCACCATCACCAAAACAGGTGATGCTGCTGGCTGTTCTGTGAAGGAGCTGGAGGGTTATTTCCATCACTGAGTGCTCAGAATCACACATTCCCAGCCCTGTGTACTGATTTCCAGTGTTCATTCCATACATACGCTTTGACCACCTTCTATCTTCCCAGTATTCTGTTAGGGACTGGGGAGTTTGCAGTGATCAAGGTGGGGAGCTTCCTGCCCTTGGGATGCGTATCTTCACCAAGGCATTTACTATCTGATGTTGTAATTTTCACACAAGGTAGCGAGCTCCCAGGGATACACTTTGTCTTTCCCTCTTCATGTAGGCAGTGAGTGGCCTCATGTCTGGCCATACAGGCCTTGGTTAAAGATGGGTGAGTGAATGGGCAGAAAAGTCAATGTGTCAGAAGCAAGTGGAAGAGCAGCCTGGAATTCCAAGGAGTTGATATCCCCAGGGATTTCAAGGCTCTGTGATGACAAGTGCAGCTGAATCCCTGCAGGAAGCAGTTGGGTTTGGTGCCCCTGGTGAGGTCAGGGGTGTCAAGTACTGAGATTAGCAAGGGGGATGAGATGTATCCTGGGCCTGCAAGCCTCCCTCTGTATGAGGATGCCAGCTGTTTCTACGTGTGGGAACATCAGTTGCCAGGAAGAATGTGGCTCAGCTCTGCTATCATCTTTCTGGATGTAGGAGGTTCTACATTAGCACTAGTGTAGAAACAGAACCCTACTACAGTTTCCGGGTCCTCTATTCTGTTGCTCACAGAACAGGAGAGTGAGATTTAAAAAATGTACGTCATGTCCCTTTCAGGCTTCAAAACCTTTGTGGCTTTGGGGACTGATCACTGCTCACCTCCCACCATCAACTCACCCTGTTCCCCAGTCCAAAGCTAGCCAGGCTCTCCCATCGTCCCAGCCTTTGCATTAGCTGTTGGTTTCTCCCCCTCACCTCTCCCCTTGGCTGGTTCATTATCACTCTTCAGATCACACATCATCTCCCTCCTAACCAGCCCATCTAAGGTGGCCTTCTCCAGTTACTCTCCATCCCATTAAGCTGTTGACTCTCCCATGGGAAAGAGCTGTAAGCTGTAATCACACCGGTTGTGTGATCAGACATTCATTGGCTTGTTCATTGCCGGTCTTCCCACTAGAATGGAAACTCCACACTGTCTTGTTCACTGCTATCCTCAGGGCTAGTTAGGACCCGGCTCACAGTGTGAATTTTTCAATATTTTTTGAATAAATAAATAAACCAGGATGATTACCTTTAGGTTGGATGTATGAAGAATAGCTAGCCTGTCCAAAACATTTACTTTCAGCCTTGTTATTTAATCTGAAAAGCAATATTCACAACTGGCATTTATCGACTACCTGCTACCTGTCATGCAGCATTTAAATCTTCCACAAACCTTTGAGCTAGTTTATACACGAGAATTTTGCTCATTTTACATTTTCCTGTCTGAAGTCTAGAAAAAGAAAATGGATACTTTCTGAATAAATCAACCTCTTCTAAACTGACTTGCCAGAAGACGAGAAAAGAATCCAGCTGGAAAAAACCTAGGAAATAGCATTCTGCACATTGACCTTGGCAAAGAATTTATGACAAAGTCCCCAAAAGCAATTGCACCAAAAACAAAAATTGGCAAAGAAACTATCAACAGAATAAACAGACAACCTATAGAATGGAAAGAAATATTCACAAATTATGCTTCCAACAAAGGTCTAATATCCAGAATCTATAAGTAACTTTAACAACTCAACAAGCAAACAACTACCCCATTACAAAATGGTCAAAGACATGAACAGACACTTTGCAAAAGAACACATACGTGCGGTCAACAAACATATGAAGAAATGCTCCACGTCACTAATCCTCAGAGAAATGCAAATCAAAACCACAATGAGATACCATCTCACACCAGTCAGAATAGCTATTATTAAAAAGTCAAAAAATGACAGATGCTGCCCAGGTTACAGAGAAAAGGGAACTCTTATACACTGTTGGTGCGAATGTAAATCAGTTCAGCCCCTGTCCAAAGCAGTTTGGAGATTTCTCAAAGAACTTAGAACAGAACTACCATTTGACTCAGCAATCCTACTACTGGGTGTTTATCCAAAAGAAGATAAATTGTTTTGCCAAAAAGACACATGCACTTGTATGTTTATCACAGCACAATGCACAATGGCAAGCACAAGGAACCAATCCAGGTGCTCATCAATGGTGGAATGGATAAAGAAAATGCAGTGCGTGTATACCATGGAATACTATGCAGCTGTGAAAAAGGATGAAATTGTGTTCTTTGCAGCAACATGGATGCAGCTGGAGGCCATTAACCTAAGCGAATTAGCACAGGGACAGAAAACCAAATACTGCATGTTCTCAGTTCTAAGTGGGAGCTAAACATTGAGTACACACAGACACAAAGATGGGAGCAATAGACATTGGGGACTACTAGAAGGGGGAGCATGGAAGGGGTGTAAGGGTTGAAAACTATCGGGTACTATGCACACTGTCTGGGTGATGGGATCACTCATACCCCAAACTTCAGCAACACGCAATAGACCCAGGTAATAAACCTGCCCATGGACCCCCTGAATCTAAAAGCTCAAAAAAACCACAAACCAAAAAACGAAAACAAA
This sequence comes from Homo sapiens, assembly GCF_000001405.40. NCBI lineage: Eukaryota > Metazoa > Chordata > Mammalia > Primates > Hominidae > Homo > Homo sapiens. Next base: position 83,730,642 of record NC_000016.10, on the reverse strand, counting down.
ACAAAAACAAACAAACAAAAAACCCAGGTGATCCTTTGTACCCAGTTCAATTGTATGAATTTTTTAAAAGAATACCACCGTATATTTTAGTGTGTTGAACTTTTCATCGAATTGTGATTTTAAAAAGTCACAGTTTAGCCCAGAAGGAGGTATCTCCAAGTTTGTCAGTTCCTAAAACAACATTCTAGAGGGAAACAAATGAAAATCTCTTGGAACTGTACATATTCTTTGACCCAGAAATTCTTCCTCTAATTATTTAGCTTAAAGAAATAGCTATAGGGAGCACATTCCAAAACTGGGGAATGCCAGGTTAATAACATCAAATGAGGTCCCCCTTTGCGCAAGAATTCTCAGAGCCTTTAATACTCAGATTTGCATTGTGAAGATCTGAGAGAGGGCCTTAGAATAATGCATAGCTCAGACTTATTTGGCTGAAATATTTAGCGACAATTATATTTTCTCCTTCAATGTTTACTATAGAAAAATAAAAAATCAATCAGGGAACTGTTGATCAAAAGTGATAATGGAATGCTACGTAGACATTAAAAGCCATGATGAACACAGCATGACAAGATGACAACACATACGAAGTAAATCTTTATAGTAGGTAGGTATGTGTATAGCACCGTGAGGGTCCACATGCAAACATGTGGCAGGCTCGCTGCCCCCTTCTCACAAGCACGGTAATGACTTGGCAATGGCCAGGTCAGCTTCAAAACCCCTCTTTGTATGAAGCCCTGTGTGCCAAACCCTTCTTTTTCACAGGGCTTGACATACAATCCCAAACAGATTTGCTGCTGCTGGCTGAGAAAATACCTTGGAAGGGAATGCTAGTGGCAGTTGCGGTAATAATTATGATCATGATGATGATAATAATAGAGTCACAGATAATATTTATTGAGCACTTGCTTTGTGCCAGGGAATTTCCAAGCACTTTACATGGGTCAGCTTATTTAAGTCTAACAATAACTTCATGTGGGTGGGATTACTGACCCATTATATAGATGAAGAAACAGAGGTGGTGAGGGACTAAGTAGCTGGGTCCAGGACACACAGCTAGTAAGTGATAGAGTTGTCCAACCATAGCGCCCATGCTCTTAACAGTGATGCCTCGCTGTCTGACCTGGGTCTTAGGAGTAGTGGTATCTGGCTAGTGGGATTTACATCTTTCTTAGTTTTGCCTATCTCAGTTGCTAAAATTTTTACCATGAGCCTATATTTGTTTTGCAAATAAAATTTTTTTGGCAATAAAAAGACTAGTAATACAAAGATGATTTCCTTTATATCTCTACATTTCCATTTTCTCTTCTTTGTGAAACCTTATTACTATAGATGGTATATTTACTATATATACATACACATATGTATAATATGCATGTCTTATCTATGATATGTAACAGTATATGATGTATATGCACATAAATAATATATCCATTTTATACTTGTGAACTGAACATTTGTTGCTGTTCCCCCCAAATTCGGATGTTGATAGAACTCTAACCCCCATTGTGGCAGTACTTGGAGGTGGGCCTCTCCTTAGGAAGTTAAGGTTACATGAGGTCATGAGGATGGAGCTCTGATCTGATAGGATGAGGATCCTTATAAAAGGAGACCCTGTATGCTCCCTAATCCCCACCCTCCAGGTACATGCCCCAAGGAAATGAGGCTACATGAGGACACAGCAAGAAGGTGGCTGTCTGCAAGCCAGAAAGAGAGCCCTCCCCAGAGACTGAACCAGCTAGAACCATGATCTTGGACTTCCAGCCTCCAGAACTGTGAGTAATACATGTCTGTATTCAAGCTGCCCAGTCTGTGGTATTTGGTTATGGCAGCCTGAGCTAAGACAATACTATCTAAATATTAGGTTGAACCACACAGTTGCCATTTCTCTCGTCAAAACCCGTCACATCAGCAATTTCACATGGCCCAACCTAATATATAAACATATATACAATAAAAACGGCATGTCGTAATTGTGTGCTTTCCTTCCTGCTGGGCACAGTGCTTTGAAGGCCGAGAGACACGCTTATTTATCTTTGCTTTCTCTTCTCTCCAGGCTTCCATTGGCACTTGGTAAACACTGGTGACTGAGTGGGTAAATTACAAAGATGAGCATTTTGAATTCCTCTTCCAACAGAAGCTTTAATGTAGTTCTTATCAAGCCTAATTCACTCACTAAAAAGAATTGCATTGCACATATTGGCAGGAGCTATTGAACTGTTGTTTGTCAAGACCTTTTCTCCTCGTTTCATAGGGACTCAAACTAAATGTATCTTCACAACACACACACACACACACACGCACACACATACACATACACACATAGCCAGTGCCATTCAACTGTTAGCGAATCACACCGCTTACGGCTCACAGGCTTGTGGGGTCAGCCCGTGAGAACAGGCACCTTCTCTCCAGGGCCCAGTGTGCACATCAAAGACTTAAACCCTGTGGTCGAGGATAGACTCTGAGACAGAGACGTGGTGTGTGGCTCTGAAGCCTGCCCGCGGTGCTGTTCCCCCTTTCCAGGCAGCGTGCTCACTGCTGTCCACATCTGAGTATGTGTTGCCGCATAACAGACTCCTCAGAGGAGCTGTGGCTCTTTGTACAGTCACAGTTTTCAAAAGCTTTTGCCTCACAAAAGAAAAAGCAAAGCGCCTTCCCTCAGGCAGTTTTCAATTCTTCCCTCCAAATCCATCAGTCAAACTTGATACTTAAACCCTTGAATCCCAAAAGCTCCTTTGAGAAGCGAGCCCATTAGCAGCGGGCGGGAATGGCTGCCCTCCCCGCCAACGCCCCTGTTCACTCCCTGGGCTGCCCTGCTGTGACTGGTGAGCAAAGTTGTCAGCCAGTTCCGTCAAGGGATCTGTCATTCCCAAACCTGTTTGGTCCTTAGTCCTCCTGTCCTGAACACACAGGCCTTTCCTGGAGAGCTAGCAAGCCTAAGACTTTTTTGGCCTTTGAATGCAATTTTATTTTTTAGGGCTTCTAATGTTGATGTACTAACATTCTCGGCTTATAAAATCTCCAATGTTGATATTTCATTTAGTAAAACTGATATTTTTCTTTCTCAATGCGGGAAGGTTGGAAGGTTCTCCTTTGAGAACCCACTGCCGCAGTGGTGATCTCTGGAACAGGTGGATAGGTGTGCACTAAATAAAGCAAGCAGAAGAAGATGTGCTGGGAGAATCTCGGTGATGGGGCAAAGGGTGCTTGCTATAAAATTCTTCCAACGTTTCCACATGTTTGAAAACTGTTCTAAAGTTGAGAAAATACAATAAAATGATGAATGTGTCTGTTCTCTAAACACTCAGCAGCGTCCCTTCCCACGTAGATGTCTTTCTGCTACAAAACCATTAAGGATATCACATGTTAGCTGATTTCATTCCGATGAAATGTCCGTACTAGGCAAACCCACAGAGACAGGAAGCTGGTTAGTGGTCACTAGAGCAGTGGGGAGAAGGAAGCACGTTAACGGTTAAGGGGGATGGGGCTTCTCTTTAGGGTGCTGAAAATGTTCTAAAATCGAGGGCGGTGATGGTTGCACAACTCTGTGACTACACTAAAAACCATTGAATTGTATATTTTAAATGGGTGAATTGTACGGTATGTGAATTATATCTCATAAATCAATACAGCTGTTATACATGGGAAAGATAACTTCAAGGAAGGGAGGTATCCATGATTTCCAGGGCTGCTAAAACAGAACAAAACAAGGCACAAACCAAACACTCCTCCCTCGATAGTCTTCAGAATACTCTTGACTGACAGAACGCCAAAAAAGGACGGTGATTTTTTTTTTTTTTTGAGACAGAGTCTTGCTCTGTCGCCCCAGGCTGGAGCGCAGTGGCGCCATCTCCGCTCACTACAAGCTCCGCCTCCCGGGTTCACGCCATTCCCCTGCCTCAGCCTCGCGAGTAGCTGGGACTACAGGGGCCCGCCTCCACGCTCGGCTAATTTTTTTTTGTATTTTTAGTAGAGACGGGGTTTCACCGTGTTAGCCAGGATGGTCTTGATCTCCTCACCTCGTGATCTGCCCGCCTCGGCCTCCCAAAGGGCCGGGATTACAGGCGTGAGCCACCGTGCCCAGCCAACAGTGATGTTTTGATTTTTCTTCCATTTTTTGCCCGTTTAGCAAATACTCAACAAACAAAAGACGTGCAGAGTCTCCCCTGCAGGGCCTGCCTTCTTAGTGGCAATGGCTGCAGCAGAAGGGGCCAAGATAACGATTTGTCTGGAGAATGAACAAATAAATAAATAAATGAATGAATGAATGGACCCTATCTAGGGTCCTTGTTTCTCCAAAACCCGAACAGACACCCCGGTCTTGTCACAAACTTGGCCTGTGACCTGCAGCACATGACTGTCACTCTTGGGCCTCAGTTTCCCCATCTAAAAAACAGAGGTCATGTGAAATGATGGTCTCTAAGGTGCCTTCTAACTGATACATTATGACAATCTTTCCAAAAGCAATTGTTATTCAATGGCTGAGCAAAAAAGTTATAAAATTATCCCTTGTGGGAAGATTCAGACCAAGGTCCAGTTTTCTCTACATGAAAATGCAACACTTTACAATGTTGTGTAAGTGCAGAAAGTGAAAAGACAATCATTAAAAAGCTGAGAAAAATAAAGTCAGGAAAGAATGCTACATAAATCGCTCAGTCTGACTTCAAAGGGAAATTTTTTTCCAAAGTAAGATCATGAGAATTGATTTATGTCCTCAGAGCCAATGCAAATGCAGGATTTGTACAATATCCATTTATCAGTTCCAAAGGAGCTGATTTACGGCCCACCTCTTCTAGTTTGTATTCTGTCCAGCTCAGAAAGTTAACTGACAACACAGAAAGAAATATCCTCTGTCTCATTGCAGATGACGGGTTATAAATGAGCACAACTTGATTCTCTGTTCTGGAAAATTAGTGTTTTGAAACTCTCATTAGAAATTAGTCATTAAAGCTGTTCCCAAACTTGCCTGCTTGGCCCATCACTTTGTTGCTGTTTTTGGTTGTTTAACGTTCTGACAATGTCAGCCAGAGAAACGACTGCCTTTGTCTTAGGTTATTCTAGGTCGACTTCCGTGTCTGGATGTAACCAAATCACCAGCCAGACCGTGACCAGGACACATCATACCGCTTGCCCCCGGCAGAGATCCTGTGCCCACATGTGATAAGGTGGGTGATGCAGACCTGGTGCTCAGTATGTCAGTCACAAACTGTGTAGGCCTGGAGGAGGTGGAGACAGAGGTACCACTTGACCCTCCTTCCCAGATTAGTGGAGAAGACGGAACTCATGTTTCCCAGACTGACGCCTAAGGATAGATTAGATCCACAGGATACACAAGACCCGTTGCAGTCCTGCCTGTGTGTTGAGTGAACGGATCTAGCTCTCTTGGCCACCATGCCTTTGTTTATCCCATTTCCTCTGCCTGAACATCCTTGCCCTGGTCTACCTGCAAGTCTGAGCCCAGCTGTCCCTTCCTTCCTTGACTTTGACTGATGTGCCTTTCTCTCTGCTGCTGTTATATTGTAGTGTTTTCACCTCAAATGTCACTTTCATCATAGCTTTTATACTAAAAGGGTCTGTTTATTCATCTCTTTCTTTCTCTAGACTGAGTGAAACTGGATGACAGAGGCCATATGTGTCGTGGTGACTGTATATCCCCACTATCTGTGAATCAGGGCTTAATTTGCATTGATTGGCCTAATGAGGACACCAATAAGGGAGTCCCAGGGGTAGGATGATCCTGCAGCTGGAAGAAAGGCTGGGAAGCCATATAGAGTTGTACCCAAAGGCCATCTCAAGGGAGCAGCTCCTGGCTGCAGGTTACAATATAGCCCCTGCTCACCCAGCTGGTTGTGTCCCTGCTGACACTTCATCAATCATCTTGCTCCTGACGCTGACACTGCTCAGGCTGGGAAGGGAGGGGAAAGTAAGGATACAGGTGTCTAGGAGAGAGCTTAGGAGATAGGCTCCTTCAGTGAGATGGTAGGAGACAAGCCCCAACATAGTCACAGGGGGCTTCAAGTAAGACGCTTCCTCCAATCTGAGCTGGTTTGAGCTTGTACAACTTCATCCATCCATGTATCCATCCATTCATGCATTCATCATTCATCCATGCATTCATCCACCGACTCATGCATTTATCACTCACCCATGCATTCCACACTCATCCATGCATTCATCATCCACCCATGCATTCATCATCCACCCATGCATTCCTCACTCACCTATGCATTCATCACTCACCCATGCATTCATCACCCACCCATGCATTCATCCCCCACCCATGCATTCATCACTCAGCCATGCATTCCACACTCATCCATTCATTCATCACTCACCCATGCATTCATCACCTACCCATGCATTAATCACCCACCCATGCATTCATCATCCACCCATGCATTCCACATTCATCCATGCATTCATCACCCACCCATGCATTCATCACCCACCCATGCATTTATCACTCACCCATGTATTCATCACCCACCCATGCATTCATCACCCACCCATGCATTCATCACTCACCCATACATTCATCACCCACCCATGCTTTCCACACTCACCCATGCATTCATCACTCACCCACGCATTCACCACTCACCCATGCGTTCATCACCCACCCATGCATTCATCATCCATCCATGCATTCCACATTCATCCATGCATTCATCACCCACCCAGGCATTCATCACTCATCCATGTGTCTATCCATGCATCCATCAATTCATGTATCCATCCATCTATCCATCCATCCATCCATCCATCCATTCTTCCATGGATCTATGCATCTGTCCACCCATCCCCTCATTCTTTCAATATTTATTGTGTAGCTATTATATGTCAGACATTCTTCTTTACTCTGCATATATGAAAGAGAACAAGGCATGAAATTCCTGTTCTCATGGAGCTTCTGTTCTACAAGAGGAAGGGAGATCATAAAAATAGTTAACACACAATACGATAACTTCAGAGAGTGGTATGTGCTCTGAAAGCCGTCCCATTGGGCAACAGTACAGGGAGTGACCAGTGACAGGTGGGCAGAGTTGAGGAGGGCTTCTTTAGCGAAGGTGATCAGGGAAAGCCTTGCAAAGGAGATGATAGTGAGACTGAAGTGAAAAGGAGACAGTCACATGAAGGCCTGGGCAAGGGAGAACATTCCAGGCAGAGGGAGCCACAGTGAGCTGATGTCACTGAGGAGCCTCCAGCTAAGCAGCAGCTTGGAGACAGAGGGCCAAGCAGAGGCGAATCAGACAAAAGCACACTCAAATCTTGGCTCAGCCCTTTAGTATCTGTGGGACATGGAGAGAGGTGCTAACCTTCCAAGCTTTTACTTCTCTATATGTGAAATGGAGACACTAAAACCTCACTCATAGGGTGGGTGAAAAGATGAAGTCGTATACAGAGCATGGTCCTTGGCATGAGGTAGCTTATCAAGCCCAGATACTTCCAAATCCTTCTGCCAAGTGAAAGTCATCGTGCTTCTCACATCAGCATCCTAAGACAGGCAGGAAGATTGATCACCTTGCTTCTGGTAACCAGTTTCAGACTGACATGTCTGCATGATTCCACCTTCATTCCATATTTTAAAAATGCACCATGTACTCCCTTTATTAAGCATGTCACCCAGCTCTAGTTACTGTGAAACTAGAAGGTCACAGCTCAGCTCTGTGCTCAGAAATATGGCACCTGTCAGGTGCATGATTTAGGAACTTGGCCTTCCTCAGTGGGACCTCAGTGTAGTAAAATCAAGTCAACGATTCAATCCATGGCTGCTGATAAAGACTGGGAGAAATATGAAGCTGCTGTCTTAGCAATACACTTTTCATTAGTGAACTTTTTTAGTAAGATGACATTGAAATCCACCCCCCCAGCCTGGTTTCCAAATAGCTCAGCACTGTAACCTGAATAAGACGTGGTGACTCTGCTGGACAAAGACCAAAAGCCTTGCGAGGGTGTGGGACAGACAACAGGATACATCAGTGCAGTTGGCTCAGTTTTGCAAGGTTAGACTTCTCTCATTTGATTTCACTTACCTCTGGCTATTTTCCTTTTCTTTGCCAGAGGAACACTGGCAAATGTTTAACATCTGATTCTCTGGAGGTGGGGAAAGCTTGAATTAATAGTGTTTGTCTAATTCCATGATAGAAGTATTTCCAATGTGGCCAGTTTCGAGTTACTCCCACGATGTCACTGAATGCACAGCTACAAAGAGATGGTAACAACTGGCCCCTGCAAACTGCTATGAATTGGCTCTAGGGCAACACTGCTACACCATCTCCCTACGAATAACAGGGATCCCCTTTGTGGGGTTGGACACTGTACATATGTAGCTGGCACTACATGCATGATATTTCATATAATCTTAACTATCATTGTTTGAGGCTGGGATTACTATTGCCATTTCAGGGATGAGAATAGCAAGGCTCAGAGAGATTGTGTAGCCAGCATCGGTTCACATAATTAGCAGGCAGCGAAGTTGGGATTTGAATACTGTGGGCACCTTTCATGTGGCACACTCCTCCCCACTCTGAGTCCTCCTCTTTCTTCCCTGGGAATGAGTAGCTTGCTTCCTAACAAGCTCCAGGGCTCCAGTGTCCCCTGGATCCTCCCACAGTGCTCTTTTGCACATGGACCCCTCCACTCCCAGTTCAGAATGAAGTCCAGTTTACTTAGCTTGGCTCCAGGGTGCAGCCTGTACTTCCTCATCCAATCTCTCTACTCTAGCAAAATGGGTTTCCCCACGGTCCCTAGATGTGTGTGAGATGGTTGACCTTCTTGCATTATCAGCTTCTCCTTATTCCACTTAGATGCAACGATCTCATTCAAACTCTGTCTTGTCCTGCTAGTCCTGCTAGCCCTGCTAAACCACTTGAGCCCCTGGAGTCTCTTCCTCCCTGGAGCTTCTACAGCATTCCTATCTGGACCATTCGCCAGGTGGTTAACACTGGAAACAAAAACTATGTTGTTTGCTGGTTTGGATTTCTTACAGCTCCCAGGAGACCACAAGCTACTTGGAGGTAGGACCAAGTGGTGTACATAACGACCAGACAGCCACAAAGAGTCCCTTGCTCAGACAGGTGTTCAGCAACTCTTCCCAGAGCAAAACATGCCTGTCTTGCCCACTGCGGAGTAACTGCAAGGCAGCGCACTGCTCCTCTGGGGTCTCAGACCCAATGGCAGCCTTACAAGAATAAACTCAAGCTGTTTTAAAAAATATTTTTAAACAGCAAACCTCTCCTCTCTAAATGACATTTAATTGCTTCAAAGATCAAGAGAAGGCAACTTCTTTGTGGCTGGGCGTGCAAACAACCTGCGTTCTTCAGGGCTCTGGGTATGGGTTACAAGATTCATCGTGACTCAATTCTCCAATCCACTGAGTTTTGGAGGACACAGGCAGTGTGTCACTGCAGATGGACTGCCAACCCCCAATTAAACTGTTCTGGATGGCTACTGGTGGTGACCTTCAGGTGACATTGGTCAAGCCTCAAAGGAGTGTGGCCACCCAACCCTAGCAGAGTTTGAGTGTGCCAGGTGCTCATTACTGAACCCACTTCTCAGTCTACATCAAACAACCATGCTGGCCAGAAATGGTGTGCTGAGTTCTGACGATACAGAAACACCACACTACTGATGATACAGGTGCATACATGAAACCTCCTGGTGGCAGGAAGACTCGTTCCTGAGGGCCTGATGGCTCCCACACCGAGGAATGCTCTGCCAGAGGCCAGTCCATTTCAGGCACAGTTATAACCCACTCCATAAAGGTTGTGCCAGGGAGAAAATTATGACAGGACCTTGCTTGAAAGAAGAGGCAGTCACAAGGCCCCATGGGGCTTACCTTCCAGGATGGACTGGCCCTGGGTTTGGGATTGCATCAATTTCATTTCTGGCTCTCATGAGTCGGATTCCCTCTTTTCTCAGAGTATGGAAGCCAGTGGAGCGTGGCAAAGGTGTCTGGCACCCTGTCTTTGCTGCTTCCTGTGAAAACGAGATGGTCTGCCTGAAATGATACATTGGCTGTTTCATTTCTGGGCTCCCCTTGTGTCTTTTTTTTTTAAAGACAGAGACGGGGTCTCACTATGTTGCCCAGGCTGTCCTCGAACTCCTACGCTCAAGGAATCTTCCTGCCTCAGCCTCCCAAAGAGCAGGATTATGAACGTGAGCCATTACGCCCAACTTCCCCTAATCTCTTGTGCTTGGCATAATGCTGGTATGCAGTAGGTGCTCAATAAATGCTGACTTGGGTGTAATATTGATGAACTCCAAAAAGCTTACTGGAGAGTGTGTGCATGTGTGAGTGCACATGTGTGAATGTGTGTGCATGTGTGTGCATGAGTGCATGTATGAGTACTTGCATGTGGGTGCAGATGTGGGAGTGGTGTGTGAATGTGTGGACATGTATGTGCATGATGTACACATGTGTACATGCACAAGTGTGTGAACGTGTGTGTGTGTGTGTACGTATGTACTGGATCAAGGTCAGGCAGAGCTGGCACTCAGATGACCACCAGCACCCCGGTCCCAAATTCGGCAGCAGCAACCATTTGGTGCCTACCCTGTTCCCTTCTCATTTAGTGCCATCTTCACCAACCCGCCAGGAAGACAAGCTTGATTCCATCTTGAATATGAGGAAAATGGAGGCTCGCTGATGTGCAGTAGCCCTTGCAAGGCCTCACAGTGTGTGCAGGGAGATGTAGATTCCTACAGTGGAGTCTGACCCCACTGTCCCCTATGCTGCAGTGCCTTCTGGGCAGATGCCAGGCATCAGACCAGGGAAATTCTGCCCCACAGTGAGTGGGGCCAACTGACGCTGATGTGAGTGTATTCCATAGTGGCTGTGTGTGATGGAGAGGGAGTGGGATTGGTACTCAGGGGCTTAAGGAATGGCATCTGGTATAATGGTATCTGAGGACATGGCACAGAACATGGTATGCCACAGCCTCCTCACCTTATAATGGAAGTAACCGTGCATACCTCCTAGCGTCACCGTGGGGGTTTAAATTCTTACATGTGAGGTGTGTATAACTGCACGTGGTATGCAGGAAGCGCTCGGTAGCTACGCTCCTAGTACATCCTCATAAGCGAACACTTACTAATCTAGTTGTTGTGCTGGAAAATGTGGCGCTGGAAAAGACCTGGAGCTTGACCATGACACAGACATTCAGGCTACGGATCCTGTGTCCACCGTTTACTGAGAGGGCCGTGGGTGAGTGACGTGGAGTGTGGCGTAACCTCCCCATGTCGCCCTCTCCTAGTGCAGAAATTGGAGACAGTGGGGGATCCCTCACAGGGTTGCTGGGATGACTGAATGAGGTAATAGACTTCACAGATCCCACATAGGGTCTGGTACGCAGTGGTCCCTCAACAGTGGACAGACATTATTAGGATCTGGTCATATTCTGAGAACAAAGCTTGACAAGTTCTGGAATCAAATGTCATTGTCAAATGTGCCTGCTCAATGCAATTCTACTTGGCTACTGGACTCTCTGCAATAATTTGTCTGAAAGAGAGGCAGAAGCCCCCAAGAGATGAATGGGCTGGTTTTAAGGAGAGAATGATTTTAAGAGGCATTGAGGGTGCCCTGGAAGCCATCCCCCTACAGTGCATATCAGGCCAAATGCACCTGTCAGCACCTGCATTCCTTTGCCAGAGAACTTGCACCAGCAGCCAAAGGCCTTTGCTCATCTATGCAGCAGGCTGAATGCGATGAGAATCAGCACCTCTCTCAGGAGCAACCCTCACCCAATGACTGGGGTACTTATACCTCAGCTCCCTTGCTCCCCATGAGACAAGAAGAATACAGGGTGGTCATAGAAGAATAGAAAATTCCAGGCAGTAGTTTCACATGATTAGCAAAAGGAAAATGTTGAAATAGCTGCAGAAGCTAGGGGCTGATAAGACCCTGAAAAAACAAGAGTGTGGGCCAAGCTGGCTAAGACCAACTGGACCCATCGTGGTGGTGGATTTCACTTAGGTTTTCCCTAGGACCTCAATATATGCTCGTTAACATACTATATCACACACCCACCGGCACCTCGATGGTTCCAGGAACACCCATATTTGGTGCAAAAATGGGTGACACCTCAGTTATGAGAAATCTCCACCTTTTTCCAGGAATCTTCATGAACATTCCACTGCTTGGTTAAAGAAATCCATAGAGGTAGCAACCCCAATCCCCCTTGAGAGCGATTCCTTCACTCTTGAAAACGCTCACACTCACCTTTCTTGAGTGTATACTTTTTGCTTTGCAATAAACCATACTTTCACTATTTTCTGACTCATTCTTGAATTTCTTCTCACAGTCAAGAGCCTGGACAATGACTGGGGTCAAGGACTCACTGGCGTTTGGGGACCTCCCCCAGCCTACGATATTACTTGGATGGAATAAGCCCAGGAGTGTGTTCCTCTGGGATTCAGCTCCTGTACGCATAGTGGTGGCTGGATGGACAATGCAGAGTGTGTGGGCTGTGTTCCTCTCCTGTCCCACTTCCTGCTCTCCCGCTGGTATTTTATGGGATTTTCTGCCAACTAAACTATTTTCACCCTAACCCTTGTCTCAGCATCTGCTTCGGGGGCAATCCAAAGTAAGACTGTCCAAAGTAAGACAGTCACAGTCATGTTAATAGAATTCCCACCAGACAGCGGTTGATTGTTCCAGAGGCCAATGCCCAGAGCAGCAGGAAGTGACTTCATCAAGCCAGAGTGGTGAATTAGTTCCAGTTGTTTTTCCTGAGCCTCTCAACAACAGGAGAGGCAAGCAGAGCACAGTAGGAACTGAATGGGGTTTGCGTGAAAGAAAAATCCAGGGAAAGGTGTCCTGCAGAACGTGCACGGTAAGATTTTAAAGAGCTGCCTCTGTCACAGAGAAATAACAAGCTTTGCATGCAGGGGAGCTGGTTAATTGGCCTACTTTTTCTCCAAACTAGCTCTCAAACTCTCACAATAGTCCTGGAGGAAGGAATTATCGTCGCCACTTACAGGTAAGGAAATTGAGGCAGTGAGAGGTGAAAGGAGCTCACAGCGTCCCCGTGATCATTAAATGAAGAAATAGACACCAAGAGTCAGCCCTTGGCTCATAGTAGGTGCCCATTTCATGTCACTACCTGTTTCTTCCTGATGGTGTCGTCCTTCAGCAGGATGGCCTGGGCCTGTTTCTCAGCTGCCCTGAGCCTGTTTCCTGAGACAGAAGAAAGTGGAGACAGGGACTTTCACGTGCGGTGAACCAGGCAGTTCAGACAGATTCAGTTCAGACTGAACCCAATGGGAGAAGATGGAAAATATATACAAAAAGTGGGGAAGAAGTCAGGGGAGATTAGGGGATTATAGTAAAGCAATCACTACAAGTCTTCATTTGCCTCACTTTCTTTTCTTTTTTTTTTGGAGATAGTATCTCGCTCTGTCATCCAGGCTGGAGGGTAGTGGTGCAATCTTGGCTCACTACAACCTCCGTCTCCTGGGTTCAAGCAATTCTCCTGCCTCAGCCTCCCAAGTAGCTGGGACTACAGGTGTGCACCACTACCCCTGGCTAATTTTTGTATTTTTAGTAGAGACGGGGCTTCACCATGTTGGCCAGACATGTTGGCCAGACGGGTCTTGAACTCCTGACCTCAACTAATCCACCTGCTTCGGCCTCCCAAAGTGCTGGGATTACAGGTATGAGCCACCATGTCCAGCCTGAGTCTGGCCTTCTCATTTTTTTAATGGCTGTTACCCCATTTCAAAGAGGGTCTTAAAGAGTTTTACAGGCAATGATGTTGATCTGAAAATTCAGATATTTCCAAAGAGTTTCTGATTTTAGAGAGAATGAAAAGGACTGGAAGACTTTACCTACCCAAGTAAACAATCATTAAAGAGGCCAGGGCGGGTGCGGTGGCTCATGCCTATAATCCCAGCACTTTGGAAGGCTGAGGAGGGCGGATCATGAGGTCAGGGATTTGAGACCAGCCCGGCCAACATAGTGAAACCCCATCTCTACTAAAAATACAAAAATTAACCGGGTGTGGTGGCACGTGCCTGTAGTCCCAGCTACTCTGGAGGCTGAGGCAGGAGGATTGCTTGAGTCCAGGAGGTGGAGGTTGCAGTGAGCTGAGACTGCACCACTGCACTCCAGCCTGGGTGACAGAGCAAGACTGTGACTCAAGACATAAAAAAAGCCAGTAAGAGGTACAGCAGAGTGGGGATTAATGACTGGCAAGGGTTGGCGGGAAGGAGGGATGTACGGGTGGAGCACACGGGATATTTAGAGTTCTGAAACTACTCTGCATGGTATTACAATGGTGGATGCATGCTGTTATACATTTGCCCAAACCCACGGGATTTCCAACACCAAAAGGGAACCCTAATTTGCACTATGGCCTCTGGTGATCATGACGTGTCAAGGTAGGTTCATTAGTTGTAACGAATGTCCCAGTTTGGTGGGGGATATTGATTATGGGGGAGGCTGTGCATGTGTGGGGGCAGGAAGCATGTGAGAACTCCCTGTACCTTCTGCTCAATTTTGCTGTGAACCTGCAACTGCTCTAAAAAACAAAGTCTATTAAAACAAAAAAGTGGGCAAGTCTAAGTTTTCCTAGCTTTATGGAAAACAAAATGAACTCAGCAAAATGGAAGACTGTACCAAGAAGATGACATTAAAGGTAAATTGCATATACTGGGGAAAGATTTTAACAATATCTGATAGAATAGTCATCAAATATGGAGAGAAAATTACTGCAAAAGGGGAGGGTAGTGGACATCTGTTGTTTTTTTCCCCACCCAGGAAGGCATTTCGTCTTCCTTCACTTTGGTAAAAACACCCTAATTGCTATGACTCCACCCTTGTCACACGCTGTTGTCAAGGTTGACCATCCCCGAGCTAGGAAGTGGGCCCTGACCCAAGCCAAGGCATCACAATCTCTCCCAACTCTGACTCCTGGCCTGGGCTGACAGTTGGCACCGAGCATCAGACTGTCCACCAGGGCTCCCCTGAGGGACCCGCCTGCCTGTCAGCGACACACAGCCCTCAAAGACACTGTTTTTGCATTCGTTCTTCAGAGTTAATTTCTATTGCTTGCACTCAACTCTAATGGATAAAAATACCATTTAAGACACAGGATAGTATTGGAAAATGCATTTTACTAACGCTGCTGCTGCTGCCAGGAAGGAGACTTACCAAGACCTGGTACTTACAAGCCCCAGGATCCTGGCTCCCTTACCGCAGCCAGTATAAATACTCGAAAATGCTAAAACAAACAACTGCCTGAGGAAATCCTGGCACCACCTGCCAGGGTAAGGTCAGTGAGGATAAAGTAGATGGATTCTTGCAAGCGAAAAACAGCTGTGAATGAAGCATTATCCAAACCCTGATCAAGTAAATGGGAACGTTAACCTCTGATGGGAAAATAGACTTTGCGTTGGCCATAAGTAACTCTGCACTATGTACGGGAATAGCCCAAGTGATTATTACACAGAGCTTAATATTTATGCCAGCATGAACTCATAGCAATAAAGCTCCATTTCATATCTTTTGTGGAATAAGGTGGGGGTATTTATGAGCAAAGGCATGCATGAACGAATGAAGAAATACTCTAAATGATAGCAATAAAACTCTTACTCTCGAACCTAGCTACTGCTTTATCCAATCCTAGCTGGAAAGTCCTTGCTCAGCAAATAACAAGTACCTGAGCTCGCAAATGATGTAAAGAAACAGATGGGCAGAGGCAACACACTCAAGACTTTTCCTTTCTCTTAAAATCACAAGGGAAATAGATAAAGGTAGTTGGCAAAACCGTTAATTAGGAATTAAAGATAAAGACCCATTCTCATCGAAGATAGATGAGTATCATCAGAACCCTCTCCTTCAAGCAGATTAAGAAGGCATTTCCCATTTCTGTCTTCTATAGAAAAGCTACTAAATGTAAAACAAACACATCCAAAGATGCCAGGATGTCAAACATTTTGCCCATTTAACTCATGAATATTCAACAGTTCCTGAGTCTGTCTTGTGATAGTCATATGTTACAGTCTCTATAGACAATGTTTTGAAACTGTCCCTCCTACTGATAGCTGAGAATCCAAGTCAATAGGTAAAAGTCTTTAGCTTTAGTTACAGAGGTAGAAAGCATCACATGGTTAGTTACTGAATGTTTGCAGAACATTCCTTTGTGGGGCAGAAACAGTTTCCCCCAGGCTTACCAAATGCCCTAATGAAAACACACTTGAGCTCACTGGGGCAGCATAGCTAGGTATGCGGTCACTTCAGAAGTATGCTTCACAGTGTTTTGTTTAATTTTTATGCCAGCTATCTATGACCGAGAGCGTAGATTTCATTTCTATTAAGTATTTCTACCGATAATAAAAATCAATCTTTTAGGGACAGGGATATTAATAGCACTTGGGGCAAGACACTAAAGCAACGTGATCCTCTCTACATTTCTGGAAACTATAGAAGGGGTCTAAAGTGCCATTTACTATCGTGTGATTTGCAGTGGATGGGATTGTTGTGGCTTCTGCGGCATCTATTTTCACTTCTTCCTGTAAGACCACCTGATTTGGCGTAGGGCAGCCCCCCCTCCACTCACTGCCCCAGAGTTTTGGATGGGGCCAGTGGCCAGCGATGGGTATAGGGTGGGCTAGAGATCTACTCTGGACAAGTGAGCATGAGCCCAGGAATTTTGGAGAATACTGGACAGGCATTTCTCTGGGGTGCAGAGCTGGGGAGCTGTAGACCCAGAGCTACTGCTGGCCTTTTGAAACCTGACCAAAGCCTCTTTGAGAGTAATGTTGACAATGAGGAAGGCAGTCAAGAGGGAGAGAGATTCCTGATAGCCCCACCCTGACGGCACATGCAGGGCTGACGTCACTGGCATGGACTGTTTTGATTGGCTGGTGTCTGCTCTTAACTGTTCTAATTTGAATATTTCCCACAAACCCTCAGATCGAGTTCTGGTTAAAACCACATCCACCCTTGGATCTCCCAGTTATGTGAGATACATCAATTCACTTTCCCCACCCCCATTCTGGTTTGAGTTAGGTTTCCTTTTTAACTAAAAGAGTCCCAGCCGATAGATGAACATACCATTTGTGAGAGGTAAAGTTAAAGAAACACGTCTTTTTACCTACAAATTTGAAGAGGAAATTTTTTTTTTTTTTGGTGACGAGAAAAGTTGAGAGATGCAAATATCTACCTACTTGGTTCGTGTTTTCCCCCTTCAAAATCTCCCTCCCTCCCCAACTCTGTATAAAAGAATGCAATGCTCATTACAAACCAGTGTGGCTTTGTCAAAAATAAGTCGGACTCAAAGAACCTCATTGGAAAAATGTGGGGTGGGAGGCCAATGGCAGAAGATGAGGTGAGCTCCCTGGTGGAGTAACCATTTCTGGTGTGTGCTGGATTGGCACACTGTCATCTATCAATGCGTCCATGAAGGACCCCAGCCCGTTAGACGGAGAGAGGGTTGGAAGAATCCTCAGTGAATGAAGTGCAGGCAGCTGCTCCTTTCCCAGGTTGATCTGTTTGCTGCTAGGTGGTAGAGATGGAGGCTCAAACACACAGCTCCCTAGCTACTGGCTTGAACTATAATCCATACATTAGTAAAAGGCCTAAAGTGCTCAGATCATTTTAAACAGGGATATTTGGCCAGAATTATACTAGTATTTGAAAGCAACAGAGCTCTCCACCTTAACATTTCTTTAACGTGGCTCAGAATCGTACTGTTACTTCAAAGTCACTTTGCGGAACATTTTTACTACTTTAATAAAAATCCAGGTGATGTACCAACAAACTTAATAGGGCTGAATTTTTAGAGAAGCAATGCTGTTTTACATACTCCTCTATGCTTTTATTAGTGTGTGACAGCACATGGCAGATATGATGTTGTGTGGCGAGCTAAACAGAGAGTCTAGTCACTTAGAGGAAAACAATGTCTGTAATACTGAAACTCAAGTGGCAATATGGTCTTTTTCCAGAAAAGGATAGATGTGTAGACAAATTGAATAACATAAGTAAAATATAAAATGTTGCCTCACATCTTGCAACCAGGCCTCTTTGCCTTGCTGGCTTGTACAGGTACAGCACCTGTGCTTCTCCAGACCTTGAGGGGTGCTCCTGAAAACATGAAATCAAATGCAGGGCGCAGAGCATGCCCTGATGATTCTTGCCCTGGGATATTTCCTTCTGTAAAGACAATTAAGGCAATATGTGGGAATTTTTATTTTGCTTGCATTTTTTTCTTAGATGCATGCCTCATTCTCCAACCTTCCTGTTGGGCAAAGATCCTGTTTTCAATGCTAAAGCAGGCCTGTCCCAAACCAGGTGTGCCTAGACCTGGAGTTTGGTCTCATGAGATCGCAAGAGCCCCCAGTGCTCTGGCGGCTATTGTAAACCACAGGTTCTCTCCTTTCCATTCAAGGCCCTTTTAAAAGGTGCTGCCAAATTTTAGTGGTGCCTGTTCTGGTCTGAATTGTGTTTCCCCAAATATATATGTGGATGTCCTAATCTCCAGCACCTCACAGTATGATTGTCTTAAACAGGTAAGTTAAAAGGAGATCACTATAGTGGGCCCTAGTCAGATATGACTGGTGTCCTCATGAGAAGAGATTAGGGCACAGACAGACAGAGAGGGAAGACTCTGTGAGGACACAGGGAGAAGACAGCCATCTACAAGCCAAGAAGAGAGGCCTCAGAAGGAACCAACTCTGCCAACACCTTGATCTCAGACTTCTAACCTACAGAATTGTAAGAAATTAAATTTCTGCTACTTAAGCTGCTCAGTCTATGGTACTTTGTTATGGCAACCCTGGAGAAAGAATGCAATGTCTACTAAGCACCTAAAAACATGCTGGCCAGCTGGGTGTGGTGGCTCACGCCTGTAATCCCAGTGCTTTGGGAGGCCAAGGCGGTGGATCATTTAAGGTCAGGAGTTCGAGACCAGCCTGGCCAACATGGTGAAATCCCGTCTCTACTAAAAATACAAAAATTAGCCAGGTGGTAGTGGTATGCACACGTAATCCCAGCTACTTGGGAAGCTGAGGCACGAGAATCGCTTGAGCCTGGAAGGCAGAGGTTGTGGTGAGTCAAGATTGCGCCACTATACTCCAGTATGGGTAAGAGAGTAAGACCTTTCTCAAAACAAAAAACAAAAAACAAAAAAACCAAAAAATAAAAAACCCCAAAACACCAAACAAACAAACAACCACACACATGCTAGCCAGTGTGCCTCTCAGCCATTAGGAAAGTTTGCTAATTGACTGATTACACTAAGATAAAGCCCCCCAAGATGCCAAGATAAACCAATTCCTACTATGTCATCTGTTATGCCTACCACAGCCCGTCTGGCATTTGTTTCCCGCTATTGTTTGCTCACAGAATGCAATGAGCACAGGAGGCTTTTATTCCTTCAGCCCACTTGATTAATTATGGGGCATCCTTGCTAAAGAATGAGGTAGGCAGACTATTGACTTTCTAATGGGATAGCTTCAAAATCTCCCTGCATCTGAAGTCACAGATACTTCTAACTGGGGAGAGTGGAGAAGGGACAGCTTTAGTTGTCCACGCAGGCTACTGTCCAGTGGCACCTGCCCCAAGGTGGTGGCGTGTAGCAAGGCACCTCTGCTGGTGGCCAGAATGAGGATCACTGATCCATGCTGAGCAGCCTGCGGGGCTTCCCCAGGTTGAGTCCCAGTATGCCTGTAGAATTTTGCTAACATTCATCGTAGTTCAGCCCACCAGAGACAGCCTCCTTCAAATGCTACACAACGATGATCGAGTCTGTCCATCACTCATTCCTTTTCCAGCTCCAGCACTTCCCATTGTGCCTCAGGTGCCCGAGTTGCAGCCCTCTCCCGTTCCGAATAACAAGCATAAACAGCCCTGTTTATTGAGTGCTTAGAGGTGGCAGTCACGGTGCTAAGCGCTTCACACATGAACTTTAACTCATTACAATCTTCCTGTTAATTCCCAAGACAAGGAAACTCTGGTTTAGAGATGGTGAGTCAATTTCTCGAGGTCTTATGGCTGCTAAGTGGCAGTAACAGGGCTGGAGGAATCTGGGTTTCTGTGCTTCCAGAGTCCTCCTTCTTCAGCTCCCCGCAACACTCTTTTTTTTTTTTTCCAGGTTGCCTCCCTTGAACACACCTGAATTTGCCAACATCCCTCTTAAAAAGAGGCACCAAGAGGAATGCAGAAGGCCAGCATGCAATGCTATAGCCCAAGTTCCATGCCAGCACTTGAACTTTGAGATGCTCTTAGCTTTTCTAGCAGTCATAAGGCACTTTTGCCCAAGACCAAGCTTGCAGTCAGGGAAAGCCTCCAGGTTTTTCGAAATGGCCTTGAACAGGTTTTAAGCCAGCTCTCTTGCTTTTAATCAGAGGTCATTTGGCCAAGTTGCAGCCTGTTGTTCCAGCCCAGGATTTCTCCACCTAAGCAGATACTTCTAATTGGGGAGAGTGGAGAAGCGGCAACTTCAATTGTCCCCCCTGACATCTGGGGTTGGATAATTCTTGTTGCAGAGAGGCTGTCCAGTGCATTGTGAGAACTTTACCAGCAACCCGGGCCTCTGCCCCCTAGATGCCAGTGGCATTCCCCTCGCACCCCCTGAAATGTTCTAGACACTGACAAATGTCATCTGGGGGCAAGATCACCACCTTTCTAGTATAATTCAATCATCTAAAAATAGGCCATTTTTTGGACTATTTGGAGAAATCCAAGACTCTGAAGGAATGAATAATGTTTCTTAAATATCTCTGTTCTTTCTACAAATCCAATGACTAGAGAGAGGTGGAAATAATGAACTGAGAAAGACATAAGGTCAGGAACTGAGAACTACACATCAAATAGATTTTCCATATGTCTGATGTTCTAAAATGCAGAGTGAATACTCAGACCCTATTACACAGGATGACAAAGTCTATGAATAAAATGTTTACTTCCTGATGGCAAAAATAAAATTATTCATTTCATTCTCCTACCATCATGCATGACTAGCTCTGGACAAATATAAATGGGTCTGATGAAGAATGTATTTTAAGAGGCTCACTGTGGATGGCAATGGAATACTGGCTTTCTATGCAATTAAATACATGTTTACAGGGTGTTTGCTATGTATAAAGCCCATGTGGGCAACATGGTGGATGCAAGGATGATTATGATGCAATTCCTGTGCAGAGGCCGTGTTTCTCAAATGGTGCACACACGGCACCCCTAGAGTGGAAAACTTGGGGTGTGCATGGATGAATGCTGAATGGACCGTACTGATTATAGAGGGAGTCCGCTGGGGGAACCCTCATAGATTGGAAGAGAAAGTAGATGAAGGTTAATATCTCAGGTTCCTGTGTCTGCTATGCAAAAGACCACAGACCTAGTGGATTAAAACAACTCAGATTTATTCTTATAGTCCCACAAGTCAGAGTCTAAAATTAAGATGTTGGCAGGGCTGTGTTCCTTTTAGAATCTTCAGGGCAGAATTTGTTTCTTTGCTCTTTCCAGAATCTAGAGATGCCTGCATTCCTTGACCTCTGGATTCTTCCTTATGTGGCTCCAATGACTTGCTTTTGTGATTGCATCTCCTTCTCTGACTCTGACCCTCCTGCCTCCATTTTAATTTTTTAATTTAATTTTTATTTTTTAATTTAATTTTTTGAGACAGGGTCTCGCTCTGTTGCCCAGACTAGAGGGCAGTGGCATGATCTTGGCTCATCACAACCTCCGCCTCCTGAGTTCAAACCATTTTCCTGCCTCAGCCTCCTGAGTAGCAGAAACTACAGGTGTATGCCACCACACTCAGCTAATTTTTGTATTTTTAGTAGAGATAGGTTTCACCACATTGGCCAGTCTGGTCTTGAACTCCTGGCCTCAAGTGATCCACCAACCTCAGCCTCCCAAAGTGCTGGAATTACAGGCATGAGCCACCGCGCTTGGCCCTGCCTCCTTCTTATAAGGACTTTTATGGTGAAAATGGGTGTATCCTGATGATCTAAGGTCGTCTAAAGACCTTTCATCTAATCATAGCTGCAGAGTCCTTTTTACTGTATAAGGTAAGGACTAGGATGTGGACAGCTTTGGGGAGTGGAGGCGGTGTGGGCGTTACTTAGCCTAGCATGGTTAGCAGGAAGAGAGGCCACAAAGGCTATGAATTCAGAGAAGAGGACACTCATGATAGAGAACCTAGACAGAAAAAGACAGAAAGAGAACAAAGCATGCTGAGGGGTGAGTAAGCCAAGGGCGTTGGGGAATTTCAGTTAAGAAAGTGAAAGGACTGGCTTAACCCCACTTCCAGAAACCTGAACCACCATGCTACCTCCTCTGGCTAATGCCATTATAATGAGGTTGAACCCAAGCAAATGAAAAACACATTTGAAGAACATGTGGAAGCACACGTCTGGTTGACTGTCCCTTACGGTGAGGTCCTGGGAAGTATTTGAGAGGAGCTTGTGCTGCAAGGCATGTGGCCATGAGCAAAAGGACGCTTTTGTCGTCTGCAGGGATGTGTTGGTTCTCCCGGTGGCTTTGGGTGGATCCTCTATGGGTGGTGAGTCTTGCACTTGATAAGGCACTCTGGCTTGCCTGTTCTTCCCATCAGCACTGCTGGCTGGAAGAGCCTTGGCTGGGAAACATGGAGCTCATGCCTTCTGGTGCCCTGGGCAAGTTGCTTGGGAATAATGGTCATGGTGGCAGCTGCTGCTTAAGCTGCTCCCCATTCCCCTTGCCAACTCACAGGAGGATGAGTCCAAAGAGAAGGTGTCATTAGGGTAGAAGGAAAATAAAGTATTCTTGCCTTCTCCTCAAAATTCAACTTTCCCAGCTCTTTTTTTTTTTTTTTTTTTTTTGCCTTTAGGGTCTCTCACCAAAGATGAGTCCCACTCAGTTCACTTTAACTTCATTATTTCATCTCACTCTTTCTCCTTCCCTCTTTCTCGCTTTCTATTTGTTCACTCAATGACTTTTTATTGAACGGCCACCAGATCAATAGCACAGTGCGGCATGTCAGGGATATGATACACGGGGAATCTAAGAGCTGATCTCTGTCTTATAGGAACTCAGCCAGAATAGGGAAGAGTAGTAGAACAGGGGATCAGCAATTATTTTAAACATTTCAATAATATTTGTTTTAAAGTGAATGGTAAAAATATAGCTGGCATATCACAGATATTATTGCTAAGTTAAAAGAAAGACAAGTCAAATTAAAGTCAACTTAAAAGCATTCAGTGAATGACAGTACACAGAGAGCAGATAGGTTACAGGAGATGAAGGTGCCTGGTGTTTGGAAATGTTTGGATAAAGCAAAATGGAAATGGCTAAGACAAAGAAGGAGGTAATAATGGCCTAAGAAAGTTATAAAATAGAATGGAGGAATTCAAGGAGAAAGAGATTACTTCCTACTCACCGAAAGTGTTACGGACCATGCAGTATTTGAAACTGACCTAGAAAGACCAACAGGATTGTGATGGGTGGAGGCAGGAAGGGAAATATTTTAGGAAGAGTGACTGACAGTCAAGTTCTGGAGCGTGAACATGCATGGCATATTGGGAAGCGGGAACAGTACACCCATATTCTGCTTTCCATCTTGTATCCTTCTTAGTCCTGCAAATGTCCAGAGTAGATGTGCTGTTTATCCATTTCTCCTTCTTTGTGGGGACACCTGCATTTTCCCATGAGTTTACCCCATTCTTCATGTAGCCTTGCTGAGACTTTCCATTATGGTGCCTCTCTCTCCTATAGTGAAGGGATGAAGTGAGTCCGACTCAAGACAGGCCACCCAGGACTTAATATGCTGGGAGCGTACAATGTTTTCAGAGAGACATAAGGATGGAAAATACTTGGAGCTGATTTGTCCTGATCGTGAGAGCCTAAAAATATCATCCATTCATCCCAGGAACCTAGATCGCTGAAGCAGCTTTTTCCGGCATTCCTGAAGCTTGCTTCATCCTATTTTTCTTTGCTTCTCTATGTCTTGTGTGTGTGTGCACACACATGCCTGCATATGTGTTTTCTTCTCTTCATAAGGTTTGGTTTCCATGGCTTGCAACCAAAGAAATGATTGTATAGCCTGACATAATCAGTCAGCAATCACAGTCATTTTACAAATAACACAGCAGTAAAGGGTTCACTGATTTCCCCATGCCACAGAGCTAATGAGCAATGAAGCTGGAATCTGAACTCAGGTACCTCTGATTCCCAATCTGTTCTCTCTTCATGCAGACTTTGGCTCTATAGCATTTTCCAAAAATGGCCATGCTAATATTTCTGACGCTCCTCTCGTTCACAGGTGGAGTCTAGTTCCTGTCCCCTAGAGTGTGGGTTAGCGTTTATGACGGCCTTCATGAATGAGTGCAATAGAAGTGACACTGTATGATTTCTGAGGCTGGATCATAAAAGGCGAAAGAGAAACCACTGCAAGCTGGCTTTTGGGATGCTCACCTTTGGAACCTGGCCGCCATGTTGTGAGAGAGCCCAGGCCTCGTGGAGAGGCCACAAGTAGATGTTCTGGCTGACAGCAATCAACAATTGCCAGATAAACAACTGAATAAGCATTCAGATGACATCAGCTCCCAGGCCTTGGGGATTCCAGCTAAGGCCTCAGACATTGAGGCACAGAGATAGGCTGCTCCCAGTGTGCCCTGCTCACATTCCTGAGCCATTAAAACCACAGAGACACGAAAACGATGTTGTTTCCAGTCACTAAGTTTGTGTGTGATTTGTTATGCATGAATGGGGGCTGAAAGAGGCAACCAGCCCTAGGGCAGACTTATCTACTCTCCCACCTAAACAAATCCTTTGTTTTATAAAATTTAAGTTAGGATGGGAGACATAGAGATTGTTGGTGCTTGAAGGAACCCTGGGGATCACTTGACCCAACATTCCCTCCTCTTCTCCTGAGAGTCAGATGTAGAATGAATGGTGAATGCTTGACAGTAAGGTCAGCTTTAGGGTTGTTTGAAGGATGAAATGATAAAATGCACAGAAAAATGCCTGGCACTTAGTAGTTGCTCAATAAAGCTTAATTCTCTCTTCCTGCTAATATCATTCTTTTTCTTTTCTTTTGAGACGGAGTCTCCCTCTGGCCCCCACGCTGGAGTGCAGTGGCGTGATCTCGGCTCACTGCAAGCTCCGCCTCCCGGGTTCACGCCATTCTCCTGCCTCAGCCTCCCGAGTAGCTGGGACTACAGGCGCCCACCATCATGCCCGGCTAATTTTTTGTATTTTTAGTAGAGACAGGATTTCACCGTGTTAGCCAGGATGGTCTCCATCTCCTGACCTCGTGATCTGCCCGCCTCAGCCTCCCAAAGTGCTAGGATTACAGGCGTGAGCCACCGGGCCCGGGCTTCTTTTTCTTTTTTTAAAAAAGTCAAAATTCTCAAAAAGCTTGGTTGTCTACTTTGTTTTCCAGGTGGATTTCTGGAGTCAGGTTTAGTGATTAGAGCATGACATTTTGTATGAAAGCATAAAAGACAGAAAAAACTCAAAATCAGGTAAAGCATTGTCTTGGTTCACTTATTAACCTATAAGAATGATTACCTCAAATGACCTTAAATTCCTTTCCCATACTCTATTTAAGAATCGGGGAAACCTATGTTTTAGAAATGAAGTCAATATATAGAAAGATATAGCACTTGAAGTGGTGAGCTTCAGTTTCACAGAAAACTCATCTAAGTGAGATAACTTATTCTTGGATGTTGCCAGAAAAATCTACAAGTTTCTAAATGATTGGAAACAAAAGTTTTTAAATGATTGTTGGAGTTCAACTCCAGGGAGCACTGGCCTCTGCCCTGTGTTGGAGGACAGCTTTGATGCTGCATAACAAACAGTGTGATTTCACTCATGCTGAAACTATTTTCCTGAAATTGGAGCCTTATTATTAAGTTACTGGGAAAAAATTCCAATTGAACTTTGGAAATTTTTTTTCTATTGTAGTACCATTATAGAGTTCAGTTTGGTGAAAAATGAGCACTGAAGGCTTTCAACAATTTTCTATCAGAGCTTAAATTCAATTCTAAGGATAGTGACCATGTAATTGGCAAGGAAGGAGTACTTAATTCTTAGAATTGCACTGATGGGGAGACACAGCTTTCCCTGGCATTGGAGCCTGTGGCAGCGGGGCTGTGGGCAGACTATATCTCACAATGGCTTCCTGGTGGGATATGGGAGTGGTGCCTGCTCTGAGATACAGATTTGGTTAAATCCACTCACTGGGTACACTGCAAACATTTCCCTAAACACCCTAAACTTTCTTTTCTAGGACCTGACCCGAGTCTAAGCTTGTAAGGGGCTTGGTGCATGGGAGTTGGAGAACCATCTCGGTGTTCATATTCTGGCATCGAAATGAGAACATGAGTGCATTTTATTGTATCTTTGAGGGTAAGATTGTTATTTTTGTTCATTATCTCTCTTGCCTTAACAACCTAACCTGACTGAATGAAAACCCCACCTAAGAGAAGACATTGAAAACACCTTTCTATCCCTTAGCTTCCTTCGAGGCAGTTTTCTCCTCCAGACCACACTGGAAATCACAGCTTCAGGTGAAAAGGGAAACCACTTTTCAAACTTCCATGAACACTTTTGAACTGTAACCAAAGTTAGGGATGGGTGTGAGGTGAAGTCTGGGTTGAAGGGTTCTTGTCATTTTCTAGATGCCAAGAAATGTCTTTATGGAACTTACAAAGCAAAAAGCCTTTTTCATTTCTCCATATATAAAAAAGTGCAATGTGCAGGGTTATCTGGATGAGGTTTTAGATGACATATTTTGTGCAGTTGAATGGATGTTACGGTGGCTGAAAAGGTTGTGTACCAGGGAGTAATTGCGAGTTCGTGCCTATTATGGAGTCAGAGGCATGTTGGTCTAGGCAAGCATTTGAGTCCTGAGAGAACTGTAGAAAAGAAACATAGTACCTCTGAGGGAGTCTGCCAAGAAAGGATGGTTTTCTTAGTCTCCTTGCCCCTTGTTTCTTAAAAAGTACTTTTCTGTTTATAAAAGTAATGTATGTGTTCAACATTAACAACTTGATAATACAAGACAGTGTGAAGAAAACATGAAAAATCACCAAATAATTCCAGGAGCCTGAAAGCCCGCTCCTATCCTTAGACATTTTATTCAAAGTCTTCTCCACGTGTGATTTGTATAATTGGAATCGTACCGTTTACCAACTTGGATGTCCCACTTTTGTCACTTCAGTTTATATCAGAAACAATTTCTCCTGGCTTCAAAAATTTTAATCACTGCATATTATTCCATCATATGGCAACTCTGTAATATATTTATCCAGCCTCCTATTGTTGGACACTGGGGCTGTTTTCTAACTTTTTGCTACCATAAATAAGGCTTCAGTGTACAACTCCGCACATAAATCTGTTTCCTGAGTGTATACATTTTTGACACCATTTCTGATTATTTCGAGATATATTCCTAGGAATGAAATTACGGGTATGGAAGAGTGTGACTGTTGGAAAAAAGTTAATACATACTGCAGCGTGTCTTTTAGAAAGTTTATGCCAATTTCCATTCCTTGCCTGTTCTTTAAAGCACTACTCAATACAATATGTTTCCTTGGCTTAGGGATGCAGCTCTATTCAAAGAGATACATGACCCAAGGAGGAACGCTCTTGTTAGCCTTGCCATTGGAACCAAGGAAACATAGGCTCCATAGCAGAGGCAGACAGGATCAGAAATGCTGGCCTCTACCCAGAGGACTGTAAGCTCTGCTCTCCTGGGCTGCCCTGGCTCATCCCTGCCCCACCTCCACATGCATCCTATGCTAAGGTGGTAACGAGCTATTTTTATGCAGTAATATGTGTGCAGCCCAAGCAAATGTTGCTGTGGCTTGTGGTTCCCTGAAGCGGCCAGTTTTCTCCCAGACCCTCTGTACCTTTGCATCTCCTATCATCTGTGCTTGGAAAGCCCCTCCCCACAGTGCCACCTGCTCAGCTCTGGAGGTGACCAGGGAATGCAGAAGGGAGCTAACACTGGATAAGAGACCCAAGGCACATGGCCACCGACCTTGAGCATCTCATGGCCTGGTGGGGAGATGAGAAGCACTCCTGTGGTCAGAGATAATTTTATCTTCTTTTTGAACATACAGGCGGGCTGAACTTCTCAGTTTCTAATGCAGCTAGATTAGGATAGAGCAAAGTTGGTAGATGTGATAATGTCACTTCTGGGCCTGGCTGCAAACCCCCTGCAAGACCCTCCTTGCTCTCTCTTTCCCTTCCACAGCAACCCTGGAGGCTACACCTTGAAGAGGCAGCCTCATGAAATGGAAGGTGCCAAGGATCTCTGAACGTTATGGAGCAGAGCCATCCCACCCCACCATCTGCAGTTCGACTGTAATAGGAGTGAGCAATGTAGTTTTGTGTTAAGCCATTGAGATTTGAGGGGTTATCTATCACAGAAGCTATTATTACTTATCCTAACTAGCACACTCATGAGCAATTACAAAATACAGTGTGATGGAAGCTATGCCAAGTGAGTACCAAGGAGGGTATCCAAGCCTCTGGAATACGTCAGATTTTTGTATTACACCCCAAGGAAATGATGAGGAAAGGTTCTTAGCACAAGGTATATTTGGGATGATTCTTGACAGATTACAATAATAGTTAATATGTATTGGGTTCTTTCTATGTTCCAGACACTGTGCTAAGAGCTTTGCTAGATTAGCCTATTTAATCCTCTAGGTATTATCTCCCTTTACACCTGGAGAGAATGAGGTCTGGAGAGGTTAAGTAACTTACCCAAAGTCCCACAACCCTCAATGGCAGAGCTGGACATCAACCTCAGTGTTACTCTGCTGCCAGCAAATACGCAGACATTAGCCAGGCAGCTGTTATTTGGAGGGAGAGAGGGCAGAGGAAGCAAACTGGGCAGAGGCACAGAGAAGGGCTGATGTGCGAAATACCTAGCAACCCAGTAGCAGGAGTGCTGGGCAATTGGTGGGTGCTGACCGTGGTGCTGAAGTGGGGCTGGATCGTAGTAACGTCCTGAGGAAGAAGAGAGGATAAGGGCGCAGGGGTTGTTGGGTGGCGGTCAGGGTAGAAACCCTAGCACAGAGGCAGAGAAGAACCTGACACATTTGGGGAACCACCAGATGTTGGCAAAGGCATGCAGAGACTCCAGGGTTTTAGTTGTAGCTCAAACAGATATAGCTTCAGTCTCCCACACGGCGAAAGCATGTTCAGTCAACTGTGCCAAGAGGACAGCTGTGCATGGGGTACGGCCTACGACCGGATGTGGCCTCTATGACTGGCACACAGAGTGCACCGCATGGATACGTGTGGACCGAATGAAATGATGAAGGAAACATACAAATATGTCATTTAGAAAAGAAATGAATTGGGAGCGCTGCATCCATCATCAGACTTCTTTATGCAGCCACCCGATGGCCCCATTCGGCTGCCCTCTTGCTTTTTCTGTTCCTAAACATCCTGACACTGAGTCTCTCATCTTTTCAGGGACTGAGAGTTTTATTCTGGCTCAGTCGTTTCAGCCATCACAGAATTAAGTAATGACAAAGTGAATTATCATCCAGCCCTGGCTTCGGCAAGGAATGTAACCTGCAGCCGAGATCCCTCACTGCTGGAGCACTCACACGACTGTCTAGGTAGTGACATGAAAAATGTCCCTAGAATCCCCCAGCTCAGGGCCATACATCCTCAGAGTCTCGACTCCACACTTGGTGGGGAAGAATGTTGTTTTATTGAGAAGGGGAAGAGGGTGTAAATAGATTCCTCTTAAACATTACATTCATCCTTGTTAATCAAAAATTAGTAGCTCTTAAAAAAAATAAACACAACTCAGCTCCCCAGGAAGCTGATAGTAGTTCCCGTGGCCCGTTTAATTACACAAAATGAAACAAAACATATTCCTCTACTCCTCGCCTGTGGAATTAACAAAATGAAATATAATGGTGGCCATATCTGGGCAGTGGGATTAAAGGTGATTTTTAATTTACTTCTTTATGCTGCTCCATGTTTGTTAATTTTTTTGTGACGAGCATGCATTGCTCATAAAAAAGTACTTCAATGTGTAAAAAAAGGAAATATGGGATTGCATTCCCAAAACCTGTAAACAAAAGAAATATATGTACACCTGTTGCAACTTTTTAGCAGTTCACCTGCCCATTCTCTGATCATTCCCCAAGAGGAAGGCCATGTTTTCCTGATTCCCACTCTGTCCCTAACAACAGTGCCTGGCACATAGTAGGTGCTTATTAAGCAGCTGCTGAGGCAACTGAAAAATAGCTATTTTTAATCGGGAGAAAAATGGCTATTTAACAACCATGGGTTTCTAAAGACAGAGAGCCCTTTTGGTCTTCTGGCATGTTTCCGTCTGTTAAAAGGGAATCTGAAGTTCTTTCGAGGTGGGGACTGCATAGAATTGAATCTTTCTGCAGAAGGTCTTTGTCTCTGTGTAACTGGTGACACAGGTGACAACACGGATGAATCCCACAATAATTGTGCTGAGCAGAAGGAGCCAGACAAAAAAGAGGGCATACTTTATGATTCAATTTATATGAAGCTCTACAAAATGTACACTAATCTACAATGACAGAAGGCAGATCAGTGGTTGCCTGGGGCTGAGGTAAAGGAAAGGAGGGGCAGAAAGGAGGATGCCAAAGGAGTCCAGGACGTTTCTGAGGATGCTAGACACATGCACGATCTAGATCACGGTGATAGCGTCAAGGGAGTGCACATATGTCAGAACTCATCAACTTGTGCACTTTTGCATGTCAATCACATCTCCATGGAGCTGTTTAAAAAGAGAAAGTGCAGAGGAGAGGGAGAAATTGGAGAGAAGAGTCCCAATATGTGCTGAGGCTGGGTACATGCTGGGATGATGTGCCTTGTGAGAAATACAGACGGATGGGATGCTGAGAAGGATGGAAAATCGAGGGCTTTCCAGGGTCTCAGGTTGAAGTTGTTTGATGTGATGTGATGTAACTGCCCTTTCCATGCCTCTAAACATCCTCAGTGAGTTAGATCACATGCAACCAATTCTGATGACAGTGAGTGTGTGTGTATGTGCGTGTGCACATACACGTGTGTGTGCATATGTGTGCCAAGGGAGGACTGGGGAGAAGGGCGACATGGGATGCCACAGGCTGGCACAGGCAGGAGATTGAGACAGCTAAGAAATGGAACTAGCTTGCAGAAGTGGAAGCTTGAAGCCAGATGTGACCTCTGGAAAGTCAAGGCTTCCTTCTCCAATCCTCTGGAATTTGCAGAAATCTTGGGAAGCCTCTGGGCTGCTACGGGGCATGCAGTCAGGACTTATCAACTTATCACATATTTATTTAGTTCTCAAAGGCAGGCAGATCCCAGCTGACATCTGGATGCTGCTCCCACACTCAGTGGCTGTTTGTTGAACAAATGCAGGAATATTATTTTGATTTGTTGACAGAAAAACAACTGGTGCTATTTTGAATATTGGCAACAGGAGGCAGAATGATGATGAATGGGCTGCCACTGGGGCTTAGGTCACCTTTCATCTGGTTAGCATGTTTCACAATGCCCGTGCTTTGGGGGCCATGTCTTATAAGTCATGCATTTAGCAAACATTGGCCGAGGGCTTGTCACGGGGCAGGCACTACACAAGATGTTGAGAGGAAACCACTGGATGAGATTCAGGCCTTCCCCTAAAGAGCTCGCAGCACAGAGTAGAACACACACAAATGAAGATACCATAATGCTGGTAGGGGTGTACCATGGGGGTTGGCAAACTATGGCCCATGGGCCAAATCTGGCCCTCTGACTCCCTGTGTCAACACAGTTCTATTGGAACACAGCCATGCCTATTCACAGATGTGGCAGCTTTTG
The DNA here is from genome assembly GCF_000001405.40 of Homo sapiens. Taxonomy (NCBI): domain Eukaryota; kingdom Metazoa; phylum Chordata; class Mammalia; order Primates; family Hominidae; genus Homo; species Homo sapiens. The sequence goes on along the minus strand of NC_000016.10, from coordinate 83,698,859 downwards.
GATTACGATGGTCGAGTTGAGTAGCTGAGACACAGATTGTGTGGTCCATAAAACCTATATTGTTTATCATCTGGCCCTTTATAGAAGAAACTTGCCAACCGTGCTCTAACAGAAGACAATACAGGGCAAGACGCTGGACTGAAGTAAGAAGGTTGGGGTTACTGACCCGGCTTGTTAGCAAACCCAGCTCTCAGTGTTCCAGGCTAGATCATAAGATCAGTTAGGGCTAAGCATCCTCCTCATACCGCCTGTGTGAGTTAGCAAGAAGCAGAATGGACTTCCAAGAGCAGCCCCTGTCTGCCCAGGAGGAAGCACAAAACAGATGCTCCTGGCCGCATCAACTTTCCAAGAAAGCAGTGTCTTGAGAGCCTCAGCACTGGGAACCAGGCAACACCATCTCCCCATGGTGGCCTCAGGGAGGTTCATCAAAGCCAACGGTGCCTAGTCAGTGACACTGGGAGAAAGTAAAGAAACAGAAGCAGTTTCTTGTATCTTTTTAAGCCCAAAGGGGAGGCCCAAACCAAGGAAGTGCATCAAATAATAATTAAGTGAAGATATTTAATTAGCATTCATTTGCACTCTTTATATTAAAGTCAGTCCCTGATGGAAATCCTTTGTTATCCTTTGCAAAGACATATTAAATATTAACTCCTGAACAGGACACACTACAGTCCTGTACAGTACAGCCTGGTTAAAAACTGTCTTTGGAAATAATTTATTTGCAATTCATTCGTTAACTAACAAACATGTATTGAGTGCCTATTATTTGCCAGGCCCACTTGAAGACCAACATGGTCCGTGCCCTCAAGGGGTTTACAGTTTAGTGTGGGGAGACAGGTAGTGAATGTTCAGGCAAGCAAGCACACTTGATCTTTGTTACTCACCATAGCTATGTCCTATAAAACTACTGTAGGCTGGGTGCAGTGGCTCACGCCTGTAATCCCAGCAATTTGGGAGGCCGAGGCGGGGCAGACCACTTGAGGCCAGGAGTTTGAGATCAGCCTGGCCAACATGGTGAAACTCCATCTCTACTAAAAACACAAAATTAGCCAGGCATGGTGGCGCATGCCTGTAATCCCAGCTACTCAGGAGGCTGAGGCAGGAGAATTGCTTGAACGTGGGAGGTGGAGGTTGAAGTGAGCCGAGATTGCACCACTGCACTCCAGCCTGGGTGACAGAGTGAGACTCTGTCTCAAAAACCATTGCTCTCGGGAAGAATACACGGTTAGGTTTCCTCAAGCCTCTGGTCACAACATTTTTGTCAACTCATCAATACACGGCCTTATCTTATGTGCACTTCTGCTTAAACACACCTTCCTTAACGTATACAGTTGATCACTAACATTGCACTCACGGTCAGCAGAGCTGTAACTCATGCCTGAAGGAAGGTTATCCTAACACCTGTTTCTTCTGTAAGGCATGGCGCAGCCTTCTGTGCCCAGAGACGCTGGACAGCACTTCCGCACTGTGCTCAACGCCATTTCAAACAGCAAAATTGCGAACAAAACGTGCAAAAATAAAAATCACGGCACTAAACAGATCACAAAAAGGGCACTTATTTGTACTATGAGAGCTGAAATAAGAAGGCAAAGCAAAAGAAGGCCTTGTTTGAGCTCAACTGTGAATGTGCACGTCAGGTGAACTCAAATTTTTCCCTGTTCTGCACTCCTCCAAGAATAACCATGAAAGCGCCATGAGTATTAATGTTGGGGTGACAAATACATTTTATTGAGTGGGTGAGCTCACAAATATGGAATTTGTGAATAATAAGGATCGACTGGAATTCAAGGCAGAGGGAATGATGTTTGCACAGTTCCTGAATGGGAAAGAAGTTTGAGGAAGAAAGGCCGTGTGGTTGGAGGAGAGACTGCCAGAGGAGCGAGAGGAGAGGAAGCTCAGCACCGAGGCCAGCCAGGGGCTTCCTGGGCCAGGGCAGGGGGTCTGGGTTTTACTTCAGTGTGAAATGGGAGGCACTGAAGGGCTTCATCAGGGGAGAGACGGGATCTGAGCTTCAGTTTAAGAGGATCACCGCGATGTGGATGGTGCCTTGTAAGAATGGGAGACAAGTTAGGGCAATTATTGTCATCTGGGTGAACGATGGTGGTGGCTTAGACAAAGTTTATGTAGTGCAGTTGCAAGAACTGCGGAGATTCTAGATATATTTTGGAGATGAAGGCCAGTTGCTGTGTTTTACCAGTGACTAGGTAATCTATGTTTTAAGTATTTGGGAAATGTTTACTTGTTGAGCTGTAAAATGTTGCATCTTTATAACTTTAGGGTGAAGCATCAAACAGTAACCACTTGCCTAAGAATTCTCCCTGGCAGCTGCCAAGTCCCCACTCCCAGTGAACTCCCTGGTGGGAGTTCCAGGTGGATCCAGTGTGGGCTTGAAGGACGTCTCTTCATGTGCTCACTCTATTGGATTCCCTGGTCCTCCCACCTTTACAGATTTCAAAAGAAGCCCCAGACACAAAGAACATGAATGAATGGGGAACAGAGATGAAATGGGCCCGCTGCACATGAAGACCCCATCTTACACAGAATTATAAAAAGATATCACAGGTGTTTAACGAACCTGCACACTCTACTGAGCATGACTTTTTAAAAAAATAGTGTTTTCTCTTGCAAAACAAAGGAAAGAAATGTTTCCCTGTTGAGAAGTTCCTTGAGGCCAGTTGTGGTGGCTCACGTCTGTAATCCCAGCACTGTGGGAGGCAGAAGCGAGTGGATTGCTTGAGCCCAGGAGTTTGAGAACCACCTGGGCAACATGGCGAAACCCCATCTCTACAAACAAATAGAAAAATTAGCTGGGCATGGTGGTGCATGCCTGTGATCCCAGCTATTCAGGAGGCTGAGGTGGGAGGATCCCTTGAGCCCAGGAGGCAGAGGTTGTAGGGAGCCGAGACTGCACCACTGCAGGCCATCCTGGGTGACAGACAGACCCAGTCTCAAAAAAAAAAAAAAAAGTTCTTTGGCATAAATATATCTGGATTTGAATTCCGTCTCTTTCACTCACGAAAGGTTCGACCTCCCTTCCTCATCTATAGAACAGGGATGATCACACCCATCTCACAGTTGTGTCCGAAGTATTAATGAGATAATGCTCTATCAGATTTCTAGACTTTCTATTTAGTTACTGTTCACATCTGCCTTTTCTATTTCATTATGTTTTATCCTTTCTTCCTGGCCCCTATTCTTTTCCCCTAATCATTTTAAACATAACTATTTTATATTCTAGTTATTTGTTAAATTCAGAGATTTATCTTCTTTTTCTTTGGAGCCTAGCTGTGGGTTTCCATGGGTGAAAGGGTCACAGTTTACTCAACATTGCTAACTGTCTGTTGCAGAAAGGGCACCTGCTTTCGCCTAGTCCACCAGGTTGTAGGCACAGGCTTGGCCCAGAGCATCTGCCACGCAGGTTGAACTCATTTCTACTCTTGATCCAGGGATCCACAGAGTCACAGCATTTGCGATCCTATTTAAGTTTACAGAAGAAGAAATGGGCCCAAAGAGGAAAAGGAGCTTGCGCACAGCAGCGCCATGCTGAGTCATATGTGAGCTGGACACAAAATGAAAAATCAGTAACAATGATCCTGCTTTACTTAAAAAGCTGGTATTTTGCTTATTATGAATTTTTGCAATAATTTTTTTTTGAAACAGAGTCTCAGTCTGTTGCCCAGGCTGGAGTACAGTGGCATGATCTTGGCTCACTGCAATCTCCACCTCCCGGATTCAAGCGATTCTCCTGCCTTAGCCTCCTGAATAGCTGGGACTATGGGCACGCGCCACCACACCTGGCTAATTTTTGTATTTTTAATAGAGACGGGGTTTCATCATGTTGGCCGGGCTGGTCTCGAACTCCTGATCTCAAGTGATCTGCCCACCTCAGCCTTCCTAAATGCTGGGATTATAGGCGTGAACCACCGTGCCTGGCTAATTTTTGCATTAGTTTTGATTTTTAAAATACTGCATTAAAACATCTATCTGGATGATTGAGTTTTTCGGTATCCCCTTAAAGCTTATGACCAAGATGAGGGCCTGGCTTGACTCTCCCTAGTCCAGCCCAAAGGGAGGTATTGGGGCAGAGTGCCTTCTCTTGCCCTGATGGTCTGCCCAGAGCCACACCCTGCCCTCTGCAAGCCACAGCCCTGTTCTGTAGCATTCTTGGCTCTTCATGCCCTGCAGAGATTTACCTGGTTGCTGGCCCATGTCACCTGTTCCTGCTTTGTGACAGAGACACTCTTTAGTGTGGGAACTGAATATGCAAATGTTTACCTCTCACCTCATAAGCACCCATCCTCACAGAGGGCAGCTGGGGACAGTCATAACAGCAAGTCTGCTGTGGAGGTCATCACGAGCACTGTGGAAGACTCACACTTGTGGAAGGGTTTTGGAGTGGATGTTTCTCATTCCTGACTGCTCCCCATCCTTTATCATCCCTCATAGCATCCCAACCCCTCTTTTGGAGAAAACCCTGTTTTGTGCAGTGTTGGTGGGAGGTAGTAACCCACTCCCATTCTCTCCCACTGCAGCAGGAGTAGATATGGGACATGAGACAACTCCAGCAAACTGGATGCTCTTGCATGAGTGATGTGGGGGTGAACACAGGTCATGTTCATTGCATGGGAAGCCTAACATGAGAACTCAGCTGTTCTCTTTGTGGTGGTCCCTAATCCCTCCTTCCCTCCCCTTGAGTTCTATCTGGCGGCTACTCATTTTTTCCAGTCTGTCTTCTGGTTTTCTATCCATTCTGTGATGCCTAATGTCAACCCTGTCTGTTCTTGTTTTATTCCACCTAACATAGCCCATGCTGGTTTCTGTTGCTTGTGACCATGAATCCTGACAGATAGTGGACTAGGTATGATTAGAGGTTCTGAATTGTCACGTCCTCTTTTGCTCACAGGAACAGTCTCCTCTGATTCATTTCACTTCAAACATTCAACCAGATCCTAAACTTGTTTGGGTGACAGAGTATCTACAACTCATGGTGTTATTTGCATAGTGTGAGGTACTTTGCAGAGCATCTTAAAATACTGATAAATTTAATCCCAATGCCCAAACTAGGAACAGTTTTACTAGCAGAAAATATGACTAGTTATATGTGTGCTCTAGAAAAATTGCAAAATCAAGCCTACCTCCACCAAAGGGCCAAGCTGCAAACGTTCATAAATCAGTTGTTCAACTCCTACATTTAATAGCAGTTCGCCATTCATTCACTGGCACTGTCATCTCTGAGTGCTTGCTTACAGGCAAGCAAACAGCAGATGGCAAAACTTAATATTTAGAAACTCCTATCTGCTCCCTTGGATTTTACCAGGAATGAGGAAGAGACTGTTATCATGAGATTTAAGCAGTGAGGTACCCGGGGCTGGCTTGTGGAAAATAAAAATAAACTAATCCACAAGGCATGAAAACCAAATATTCTAGAAAAACACCCCTATCAGTCTCAAAGAGACACCTTTAGTAAATGACTACGCATTATGCTCATTTTGCTAAAAATGCGAATCAGTTAATTTAATGCTATGTACCGTGCACTGTGTTCTAAACACTTTCCCTGAATTCTTTTATTCTGTATCCATCACAGTGACTCCATAATCTAGATATTACTATTCCTCCCCATGTTTCAGGTGGGGACACTGAGGCCCAGAGAGATTAAAAATCTGCCCAAGGTTACACTTCTGGAAGATGGACAAGTGGGGATTTGTGCTCAGGAAGTCTGGCACTAGTCTGGCAGTTGTGGCCACTTGGCTATGTACTTTTCTTTTCTTTTTTTCTTCGAGATGGAGTCTCACTCGGTTACCCAGGCTGGAGTGTAGTGGTGCAGTCTCAGCTCACCACAACCTCTGCCTCCCAGGTTCAAGTGATTCTCTTGCCTCAGCCTCCTGAGTAGCTGGGATTACAGGTGCATGCCGCCATGCCTGGCTAATTTTTGTATTTTTTAGTAGAGGCGGGGTTTCACCATATTGGCCAGGTTGGTCTTGAACTCCTGACCTCGTGATCCACCTGCCTCGGCCTCCCAAAGTGCTAGGATTACAGGTGTAAGCCACCGTGCCCAGCCGGCTATGTGCTTTTCTTTGCAAGGCTGTAAGAGACCAGGGGTCTGCCATTTCCCATGCAGCTGCTCTGGGGTAGTTTCTAGAGACAGCCTGAATCTAGGATGAAATAAAAAGAGTCAAGGTCAGTTTCCTTTGCTTCCATAAGGAAAACACATCCTTCAAGTCCGAAAGTCTCTATTTGCCTATAGTAAGTTTGGCAAAATAAGGAAGTTTATGACAGATCCTTGTTCTCCTTAAGGCAATCACAGGAATAGAATGCACAGGGAAGTGGGCATGAAAGAGTTAAATGGAAAGAAACCGGGACAGACGGAGTCTGTAAAAACATTTCGCATCATCAACCCGTGCAACAGGTGGATGTCCAGCAGGCAAAGCCATCCCTGTCATCAGATGATGGCAGGAAGAGCCTCTGTGCTATGGAAAGAGCAAGCCGGGAAGAATGCATCCCTAGGGACCTCCTGCAACCTTGAGTCCAGGGAGCAACCTTGAGTCCATGGAGATCTGGCCAGACTCCCTCCCCATGCTCTTACAGGCATCTGGCAGCAATGATTTTTGCTGTGGCTATCAGCAATGAAAGCTGTCATAAATCCATCAACTAAAATCAGAAATGGAACAAACAATTTTATTCTGAAAAACAGAAGTTGGAGAGAGCAAGCTATTGGGTCTGGTAATTGCACACACAGGGCACGCTTCTCTGGCTTCAGTTTGGTTTGGGAGGCAGAAGAGCAGAGAGGTGACGACGGCTGTCATTGAGTCACATTTCCTGAGTGTGAATCTGAGTGTGAATTTCTTTGGGTAATTTCCTGAATCTTCCTAATCCTTATTGTCTTCCCCTGTATAAAAGGGGTAATCAGAGACCCACAGGGTTGCTGTGAAATGAGGGGTGATCTAATGCAGAAGGCTCAGGGAACAGTGCCTGGGACAAAGTAAATGCCAGCTACTATATCGTAACCTTGAGCAATTTGGTGTAGCTATAGCAGAAAGCGGCCAACCTAGCCTGGCTGTGTTAGGGAAGTGGATCAGACATGCTAGTGAAAGAAGACAGGAGATGGAAGGAGGCAGGATGGCCCAGGTCCGTTCGACTCCTGGGGACAATGTACACTCTACCCTGGGGCCTGCATAGACTCAGGATATGCTGATTTGCGGTCGGGCTGCCAAGTTAACAGCACCGTTGTACGGAACTGTGCTGGTCTTGAACTCCTGACCTTGTGACCCACCTGCCCTGGCCTCCCAAAGTGCCAGGTGGGTGTGAGCCACCGCACCTGGCTGGCTATGTACTTTTCTTTGCAAGGCTGTAAGGGGATTCTCAGGAAGCAGTGCCTCATGTGAAACAGCACCAGGCAGGGCCACTCCTCCCAATATGAGAGTGTCCCAGGGCTTGGCCACAGCCCTACGTTCACTTCCCTCTTTGGGGATCATAGTCTCAAGGATTTAAATTCCATCTGGATGTTGATGACACCCAGGCTTCTATCTGTAGCACAAACGCCCCCTGATACCCAGCTCATGTGCTCCCTTTGTCTACCTCAAACTCAACAAGAACAAGACCGAATTCCTGTACTTTCCTCCCACAAGTTACTTTGCCACTTCTCCAGCGAGCTTGCAAAGCTCAGAGATGTGCCCTCTGTGCTTCCATTTGTTTGGGACAAAAATCTTGGAGTCAATCTTTATTCCTCTCTCTCTCTCTCTGACACACACACACACACACACACACACACACACACACACACACACACACGGCACAGTTGGTTAGCAAATCCCTGTCACCAGTACCTTCAAAACATTCAGGGCCTGGCCCAGTGGTTCACACCTGTTATCCCAGCACTTTGGGAGGCCGAGGCAGGTGGATCACTTGAGGCCAGGAGTTCCAGACCAGCCTGGACAACATGGTGAAGCCCCATCTTTATTAAAAATACAAAAATTAGCTGGGTGTGGTGGTGCATGCCTGTAATCCCAGCTACTCCAGAGGCTGAGTCACGAGAATCACTGGCACCTGGGAGGCAGAGGTAGCAGTGAGCCAAAATCGTGGCACTGTACTCCAGCCAGAAAGACATAGCCAGACTCTGTCTCAAAAATAAAAACAACAACAACAAATTCAGTGTCTGCAGCTTCTCACTGCCTGCACTGCAACCATCCCTGCCCAGACCCATATGGCCTCTTACCTGGATTACTATGGCTACCCTACACTCCAGTCCTCTGCTCTGCCTCTGTCTCCCTTTCCCTTAATTGCCCCCTTTCCTAATCCCACTAGCATGCTTAACACTTTCCCCATCTTCTCCGGAGCATCGGCCTCATTTCCCACCATCCCCCAACTTGCTGTGCGCTGGGCACAATCCTGCACACTCTGCCTCGGGGCCTTCCCACTTGCTTCCTCTACCTGGACCTCTCCACCCGGGATAGCTGTGTGGCTCACCTCCACTTCCTCCAATTCTTCACTGAAGCATCACAGCACTGGTGAGGCTTCTGCTGACCCTCTATCTAGAGTGATGGCTCCCCTCCTTCCTTCTCTGCTTCCTTTCTTTGCATTAATCACCAGTTACTATGCTACTTATTGTATTTATTAATTCTCTCATTCATTTTCTCTCTTCCACAGGAATATGATTTCGATGATAACAGATTTCTTTTTCTTTTTTTTGAGACGGAGTTTTTGCTCTTGTTGCCTAGGCTGGAGTGCAGTGGCGTGATCTTGGCTCACCACCATCTCCGCCTCCCGGGTTCAAGTGGTTCTTCTGCCTCAGCCTCCCAAGTAGCTGGGATTACAGGCGCCCGGCTAATTTTGTATTTTTAGTAGAGATGGGGTTTCACCATGTTGGTCAGGCTGGTCTCAAATTCCTGACCTCAGGTGATCCACCCACCTTGGCCTCCCAAAGTGCTGGGATTGCCGGTGTGAGCCACTGCTCCCGGCCAACAGATATTTTTAATTGTTTCTGGGGCTACTTTATCCCCCAATGCCTAGAAAAGCACCCAGTATGTTGCAGGTGTGGGATGAATGAATGGAGAGAGAGGTTTTCCGGTCATAGCCCTAATCCAAATCCCCAGGTCCTCCTTTCACATGTGCAGCCTACACTCAGGGACCCAAGAATACTTAGAAGCAGCCATATAAGGTCGGATCTTCTAGTGAGATTCCTGCCAACGCTATTGGAATGCATGAGGAAATCCCCAAATTAAGCATTTGTAGGAGGACTGTAGTTTAGAGCCTCATCACTTGAAAATACAAGCTTTGAGATTCATTTGGAAAGCAGATTGGGAGCAGATGATGAAATGCATTTCTTGAATTAGTTACATGACTCACTGCCTGTGGTTTCATTACCCGTGTTAGGGTTAATGCCATGATAAGCTCCTCGTGCTTGCTGGCTGACTGGTGTTAGTGATTGATAGACAAACTCAGATAATAAATCAGCTATTTTCCCTATGCAACTGACTTCTGTTGCAATCCTGAAATGTGTGGCTTTTTCAATCAGTGCTATGTTAGTAGCTTATATAGCAATCCTTATCTATTTCAAATGGGTTTATTAAAAAAAAAGCTAAGTAGATTTAACAGCTTAGAAAATATTGGTCAAGGAACAATATTAACATTTGTCAATATTTTCTATATTGGTTCTGAGGATTAATTTCTAAGGCTGACAAGAAGGACCCTGATAATTATATTCAAATATAGCCAATTTGAAACCATGTTTTCAATAATGAAAGTCTGGCCTATGGCAAATTTATAACAACATATGTAGATGGATGTTAAAAAGGTGGTCGATTTGTAAAATAGCCTTTCATCCATTTACCCAAACGGCCAGATGTTTCATATTAGCCAAACTGAGCACCTTTAATTGACATGAATAATGAAAATCTTCAGTCTCTGGATCATTATAAAAGCCAGGATTCTATTTTTAGCCAGTGAAGCCCTTAAAACTTTAAAAATCCCATAGTTTAATTTGTGAGGCTTTGTTTCCCCCAGCATCTTCATAACAGAACATCTGACCACTAAAAACAAGAGTCATCTGTGCTAATATATTTGCATAAATAATTAAAAATTCCACAGCAGAATAGGCAATAAAATGTATTGCTACCATAAACTTACAATGGAACAACACCGCTTTAATTAAAAATTACAAAGACACCACTGTAAACAATCCATTTACATTTCAAACTCTGTGTTTGTTGACTTAAAAAAGAAAAAAATCTTAACTCATTAAAAACAAGAACCAAAAAAATGACCTCATCCCAGATCCTGTTATTGAGGTCAGTAACCACATTTAATTAAGATGAAGTGTTAATAATATAGTTTAGAAGATGAAGGCCTTCTCTTAATTTCCCCAGGTAGAAATGTTACAATTTGGCCTTTAACTTCTGATTAAAATTTAAAAGGTGGGAGTCACCCCAATTTAAACTCTTAAATCTGGTTTTGAAACCTGGTTTTGGGATTAGAAATCCTCCTTCCTCCCAATAAATGGTAGGCTACTACATATTTTTGAACCCCTGTGTTTCTGAGAATGCCAGTGATGACAAAATTTGCATTTTCAAGAGAGCTGATTTTTGCCTTTTTCTTCCAAAGGTCTTAGAAGATACAGAATAAAATGTCCCATCGCCAGTCAATGATGGTTTTTGCTTAATTTCCCAACATTTTTTGTGATTTCCTTTGAATGAGCTCCAATATTAGATTAAACAAGGTGTTAAAGAAAAGGACTTGATGAATCATGGGAAGACCAGTAAAAATGGAAATTGGGCATTTTAACAAATCTTTTGGGGCTGAAATATCATTATTCTATGTTGTATTCTTTACCAGTTTGAATGCATGAATGAATTCTACTGTAAAGTTAAAAAGCATCCAGGTCAGAAAGATGAGGAGGAAGGAAACGACTTAAAAAAGACAGAGCCCCAAAGAAATCAGGACAAAGCAGTTGTAGTTTTCAAAGAGATGAGTATCTAATTTGGATCTGATTCAGATATTCTGTGTTCAAAGAATAGGCTCAATTTGGATCAAGGCTTCGGAAGAAGGGTTGGCTGACGGCAATGGCTCTTCAATGTAACTTTCATGGACTTGGAAAGTTCTGTGAGAGACCTGCACATCCTTCTAAAGTCTCCCTGCTAGCACTGGCTACCCTTCCTGGGATTGGTTTAAAACAAGGCCAAATGTAAATGTTTTCATGGTTGGTAGACATTAGTCAATGTTTGAAGATTAAAAGAAAACAAAACCTATGATGTGGTTTGGATTTGTGGCCTCACCCAAATCTCATACTGAAATATAATCTCCAATGTTGGAGCCTGGTGGGAGGCGATGGGATCAGGGGAGTTAACGCAATCCCTCCTTGGTGGCGTCTTCGGGATAGTGAGTTCTTGCGTGATCTGGTTGTTTAAAAGTGTGTAGCACCTCGGCCCAGCTACTCTGGACATGTGAAGTGCTGGCTCCCTGTTTGTCTTCTGCCACGATTTTAAGTTTCCTGAGGCCTCCCCAAAAGCTGAGTGGATGCTGCCATGCTTCCTATATAGCCTGCAGAGCCATGAGACAATTAAATCATTTTCTTTATAAATTACCCAGTCTCAGGCATTTCTGTGTAGCAATTTGAGAATGGACTAATGCAAGCTATGTCTACATTTTTTTTTTCTAGACGAAGTCTCACTCTGTCACCCAGGTTGGAGGGCAGTGGCACGATCTTGGCTCACTGCAACCTCCACCTCCCAGGTTCAAGTGATTCTCCTGCCTCAGCCTCCCTAGTAGCTGGGACTACAGGCAAGCACCACCATGCCTGGCTAACTTTTTTTGTATTTTTAGTACAGATGGGGTTTCACCATGTTGGTCAGGCTGTTCTTGAATTCCTAACCTCAAATGATCTGCCCACCTTGGCCTCCCGAAGTGCTGGGATTACAAAGCATGAGCCACCGCATTCGGTCAACCCATGTCTACTTAATGCAGAAAAATGTGTGCATGCAGTCACCCCCAACCCAGCTGCCATTAATCTATTCCACCTGGTTACTGAGCACTGGTCATGCACCAGTCCTTATGCTGGGATTGGGCTGTTTCCAGACATTTGAGCCCTTAAAAATTTTTCTCTGTCTTTGGTGGCCTCACCCCAAACTGTATCAAATGTACTAAAATGTACCCACACTAAAAATACATTTTTTTCCTATCACATGTTTGAAATTATTTTTATACTTTTGCTTTTGGAATTACTGTGCCATAAGAAATATTCTGCTAATAATCACTTATAATTTATCCACCGTTCTTGCAAGGTGAGAGCTACAAATAGTTTGCAAATGTAAAGACACTTTTGCAAATATTAGGTTTAGCCTGCTAAAGTTGTCATGATGCCGTGGGCAGTTGATATTTATTAATTTCAATTTTGCTGCTTTCTTTTTGAATTTTGGAGTCAATAGACTATGTATTCAGGTCCCTGACATTTTTGTAGGCCCGTGGAAAGTCTGAAGGTCTTAGTCCTGTGCCTAAAGTGCTTAACTAACTCAATGGTACTGAGGAAGCTCTGGTGGCTCATTAGGGAAGGAGATAAAGATGATTGTTACTCTCCCTGAGCACAAAGTCTCGTGGGAAGATGGACAATGATGTCAAGGATTGAGGAAGTGTGAAGCTTGGTGAAGTTACACTAAGACATGTTCAAAAAGCCTTAAGCCAACATCAGCAGTAGGCGCAGTGGTACGGAGGAAGCTCCGGCGTTCTGATTCACATTAACTCAGCCTCTGTAAACCCTGCTTGTGTGCTTTCCTCCTTTAACCACGGCTCAGGGAGGTTCTCTCTCCTCATCAGTAAAAAGGGAGAACAAGATGTTCTCATTTACAGGGTGGTTATGAAAATACAAGAAGACTGGTAACAGTGCTTTTGGTAAAGTTCTACATAAAAATGTTAGGTATTTTAATCATCCTAGTAGCCATATTATTACCATCATTCTCAAAACCCATGTCTGCAGGGCGTTGTGAAAATCTTGGCCTAGTTTGGTCTGGCACCCTATTCCCTAGAGGCAGAGGCCTGTGCACAGGCAGGACGAAAGCAGGGTTTCTGGCGGAATCCAGCCATCTGCTGAAAGTCAGCCGGGCATGGTGCAGGGGAAGAAGCAATTTGTGCCACTCTGCTCCTTCTTCTCGACTTGGGATCATTGGTTCTTAGTTCCCAAGGAAGCAATTTATTTCATTCCTTCTTCCCTTCCTCTCTCCCTTTCTTTCTTCCTTTATAGGGACACCATCATTTGCAGCAAAAGTTCTTGCTCTTATGACGATAAGCTCCCTGGGAGGCTGCAGACAGAGACTATTTCTTTCACCAGTGAATTTACAGCACCTAGCACAGCGTCAGGCCCACAGTGGGCTCTACATAAATACCATGGCATGAATGAATGAATTGCTGTAATCCATATGCTCTTCTCTAGCACTAGTCTTTAGCAACATCATCTATTATTTTGATTATGCAAATATCTAGTATCATGGGATATTTTTCCCTTTTAAAATGTACCCTGTAGTTATTTATTAAGCAGAAAGGTTCCATTTAAAAAGGCATTCATGGCAGAAAGTGCCATCTACCTTACACTATCCATTCTTCCTTTCTTCCTTAGTGAAGAACCTTGGTTTAAAAAACAATGCACATTGCTTCCCAGTCAAATGACCATACTTCCCATAATCCCTTGCAGCTAGGTATGGCCCTGTGACCAATTTTGGCCAATAAAATTTAAATAAAAATGTGGATGACTTCCAGAAAGTCTCCTTAAAAGAGAGGGAGTATCCCTCTTCTTTCTCCATTTCCCATCCTGCTGTCTGGAATGCAGATATGAAGGTTGGAGCACTAGCAACCATAACAGACCATGAGGAAGAGGGTGCCAGCCTAGACGTGGTAAAATAGTGAGCAAGTAGAACCCTGTGTGGGGCCGTGTGGGGCTGCCACTGTCCCTGAACTGTCATGCCTGCTCTAGACCTACTTTATGTGAGAAAAAAAAAATCAACTTCCGTCTGCTCTGAGCCACTGTCATTTTGAATTTTCCTGTTATGTTCAGCCAAACTTAGTCCCCACAGATAAAATGCTTGACATATACTCGCAGGGCTCCCTGGATGAATGACCCTTTCCAAAAAAAAGTGTTGAGCAGTGATATGAAATTTTACATGGGTAGGAACAATATTTTTCTTCAACACATATCTTCTATATTCAAAGTGTAGGCAGAAGTCTCTGCTGTGGAATTGTTTACTATAGATCCTGGGCAAGATGAGTTCTGTCTGAAAAATGTTTGGAATAGGAATTGCTACTTGGTTGCCCTTGATTGTAGAGAGAAAGAAGTGAGTCCTCCCAGCTATTCAGAAGGATTTAGCTGCCGGCTGCCTCCCTAATGTAACCAAATCAGGGATCTGATGGAAGCGTTAGTTCCCATGTTTCATTTCACTGTAGGAGAAGGTTTAGCAAATGTAGTTACTTCCATTTTGCATAATTATCTTTCGGCTACTTTTTTTTTTTGTGATGGAGTCACGCTTTATTGCTCACACTGGAGTGCAGTTGCACCATCTCTGCTCACTGTAACTTCTGCCTCCCAGGTTTAACAGGTTCAAGAAATTCTCCTGCCTCAGCCTCCCAAGTACCTGGGATTACAGGGGTACACCACCATGCCCAGCTAATTTTTGTATTTTTAGTAGAGATGGCGTTTCGTCATGTTGGCCAGGCTGGTCTCGAACTCCTGATCTCAAGTGATCCACCTGCCTCAGCATCCCAAAATATTGGGATTACAGGTGTGAGCCACTGTGCCCAGCCTGGGTTACTCTTTCTAACAAGTTCAGTTACATAAGTCCTCTCCTCATTAGAGATACTCGAATATCATCAGGATATTTTACCTTGTGCACCTGGAGGAACGGTTGCTACGCTGAAAGTGGAAGCAAGTCTTATCATCATCTCACCTGGAGACGACAGAGTGGGAACCTGATCTGTTTTAGAACCTGATGTACATGATCTTGGAGAGGAGAAGGACTTTCTAAACTGTGACATCAATTTAGAAATGATGGAAAATATAAATTTGACTGCCTAGACATAAAAACAAAGAATTCTGTATATGCCAAAAAACATTAACAATACACAGTAATACTTTTGCTCAACCAAAGTATTTTCAGGGACTTGTCTTCAGGATATTAATGATGCATTAAACAATTTCACTATAAGCATACCCACTAATGTTTTAAAAAACTGCAAACAAGTGTAAACAATGTAAATAGTCAACAACAAGGGAATAAATAAACAGATGAGTATATCCCTGTAATGGAATAATAGCACACTATTCAGCGACGAAAAATAATGGCTATTTCTTGGGACAGAAAGCTGTTCAGCGTATACTGGGAAATAAAAATGGTGAGGTTTGAGGGTGGATAATGCAAGCCAATTTTGGTAATGAAAAACAGAATACTCACATACGTGATTGAGGGAGACAGATCCAAGCTGTGGAAAAGGGATTTCCTTGTCTGAGATGATGACAGATACTTTATTATCTTCCTTATTCTTACCTGTCTTTTCAAAAGTTTCTTCCAGAAACTATCTTAACTTTATAATAAGGATAAGAAGATAAAAGTCATTAAAAAGAAGAATTTCATCTGTCACTAGACCACTGCTGTTCATTTTGATTTGACTAACAACACAATGTGAAGGGCTTTTTAACAAGTCTTAATAACCCAGGCTTTTTAGTGAGAAGATTCCCTCTGATGTTTGGACACCCCTTGTCTTTGTAGTCACAGGTTCCTTGGAGATCAAGGCGCCCTTTGCTGACTTGAGCATTCCCTGGGGAGATGAAAGGGTGTCTGGCCGCGGTCAGCCGAGGAGCAGTGGTGCCTGAGAAGTGCATTTCCTCATGCGAGGCAGGACGTGGCCCAGGAGTTGGACTTAGCTGGAAGTGCGTTCCTAAGTTTCAGTGGGGTTGGGGTTGGGGAGAAGGCTTCCCATGTTGACCATGGAAGGAGCCCCCTCAGGGAGGAGGTGACAGTGGCCATTAGGATGGGCAGGCCCTGCTGCAGGATCTCAGGGTCCCGGTCTCTCATGGGGGCTTTTAGTTTCGAGGGCCTGGTGACTAATGTGACATGAGATGGGGTTGTTGGAGCTGAGTCACAGGGAATGTCAGAAAAGACAGAGATGGTGGGGTGGGGAGAGAAAAAGAGACAGAGCAGCAGAGAGACAGACAGGCAAAGAGACAGAGGAAGGAGGAGGAGTGAGGCCGGATAGGTAGTTAAGGAAGTGACCGTGTTCTCGGGACACAGCAGCAACTGTGGTGACCGCACAGCCAACACAGTCAATCTCAGGATGCGCACAGTCAGTGAGCTCATTCAAGCAAAGCTGTCTTCAGTGGCGACTTTCCCCTCTACAGAACATGCACATTTTAATTTTACCTGTCCTCAAACTGACTCTGCTCATCATAATTGTGAAAAACACAGCCCTGGGTGGAGATTTTAGATGCTAAAGAGACATGCGACTTATGAACGACCTTGTACAGCTGCTGCACATGTGCACCCGGAAGACCACCCAGAACAGCTTCCTAGTAACGCCTCTTCCCACCTCCTTATGAATAATCATGGAAGACTCCCAGAAGGGAGCCTCCCTGGTGTGGGTCTTTGCTGCCTCATTGTTGTGAGCAGCCTGCCCGGAATCATCTCTCTCAGAGGATACTGCTATTCTGCACCTAACTTTCAACATATTCTTTTTCTGTTGCAGTAGATTACTCTATGCTGCACTTCTTTTGGTGTGTGTCTCTTGTTTAAATTCTTTTAAACTAAGAAGACAAGAACAGAGGTATCACATCAGCAGTCAACACAAGGAAGAAGAAGAAAAAGATATTAGAGATACTAAAATGTTATCAGGAGACACCTGATTCCTGTTTTGTGGAGGAGGAGGAGGAGAAGAAGGAAGAGTTCTTTTCCAGCTAAGTTTCTTCTTCCAGTGCCTGCTCCCTGAAGAATCATCACAACAGCAGTAACATCACAACTTGGAAGGCCGTTGCATCTGTCTGAGAAGCCGGGGTAGCCCAGCGCAGATGATTAGATTAGAAAAGTGTCTCCCATCCTGGCCCCTCTCTGCAGCCCCACTCCTCCTCTGCACACACAGGCCCCAAGGGAGAGCACTTCTCAGTGTGCAGGATCAAAGGCTGCAAATAATTAATGAGCCTCTTTTTCCCAAAGAGCTCCCATGACAATAGCTCAACCTGTCGGTGATGTTATCCCGACTTTACTCCAGGAGAGGAGAGGGGTGGAGGGGAAGAAAGAGAAAGGAGGGAAAGGTGGGTAGGAGGGAGTGAAGGGGAGAAGAACGGAGGAGGGGAAAGGGGGTGTCCAGCCAGTGCCAGGCTGAGAAAGAGTCACGTGTGGGCCGCTGTGGCTCCCAGCAGGAAGGAATATGCCTGAGGAGTGAGGCCAGAGAGAGAAATGTGTGCAGCACACACATATGCACATGCACACACACATTTACTTTGCTCCACGGCTGGGAAAGGGATTGGTCCTGCCATCACTCAGCTAGGCCAATCTGTAAATGCTAGAACTCTTAGACCAGCTGCAGAGACACACTGCAGCTCTATTTTCTGTGGGGTTCACAAGGTTCACCTTTGGGCCAGGGGCTCTCTGTGGTTCCTGATTACACAGCATTTGTTCCCATCCTCTGGGACTAGCCTCCCGCACTTCCTCGGGTAGCCGCCCCTGCAGGCCCTCACAGCTGGGTGCTGGGGTCTGTGGCAGGCTCAGGCACCAGGACTCGTGGCACAATCTGTCCTGCTCATCTTCTGCTTGGTTCAGAGAGTTGTGCTTGTGACTCAACCTGGGCCTTGGGCTGGGCTATTGATTAGGAAGGAAGATGTTGCTTTCCTCTGGTAGGATCAAGGAGAGGTGTTTGCTGGTGCCTCTTCCCTCTTCCCTCTACAGATGTGCAAATATGGCTGAGGATGGAGACAACCCAGGGGAGAGCAGAGCCAGATATAGAGAAGGAATATGTTCTGAGCACCTGAATTCCATCATGCTGGAGGCCTTTGTTCCCATGGACTTTTCCATTAGGTGCGCTGACCTATGCAAGTAAGCAGGACCCCTTTTGGCATAAGTCACTGTGAGTTGGGTACTAGTCATTTGTGATGGAAGGCCAAAGCTGTGATGATTACACTGGCTAGAGAAACAGGAAGATCCTCAGAACTTTCTGCGTTCCAGCTTCTCCCCACAGGTGCCACCTCAAGTCATTTCTAGGTTGCTTTCTCTGACCTCCTTCTTCTCTCACACAGCGGTAGGATGAAGTCCCTTATCTGCCTGTGCTGTTTAATAGTAAGGTGACCTTTGCTCCCCATGGCTCAAATCTTGGCCTGGATGTTCCTTAATGTCTCAGCTCTCCCAGGCACCCCTCCCTCCCCAGGCTGGAATCCTGTTCCTAACTCAGTTTGCTGGGACTGCACCTATGGGCTGCCTCCATACTCCCAGCAGTAAGCTTCATTTGCCAGACAGGATGTTCATCCCTCCTTCTCAGTCAGCGGCCCTCTGTGCTGTGTATCTGGGAACATCATCCCGGTTGATCACTAGCCAAGGTGCCTGGAGCAGGGAGGTGCATGACCCCAGCTCCAGCAAGGCAGAGCTGCCCTGGGAATGTGACCATGGGCCGAGTGACACTAGAATGGAAAACAGCTGGAGCTGGTTTATTCTCACTGTGAGATCCTGAACTGCAAGTCTGTCTGTTCCTGTGACCTAGAGCCTGAAGGATGCCCTAGCTCCTGTGCTATCTCGAGCGGGTTCTTCAGATATTCCTCCATCGTATATAGTATCCATAGGGTCCTCCAGCACGTTCTTTCTTTGCCCAAGTCAGCAGAGCTGGTCTTAATCAAACAACCCAGCCTGACCTTCCTCTCCCACTGTCTGTCCCATCTTAGTAGGACATCTAGTCCTGGGTCCCAGACACCTCCATCCACCCCTACCCATTGCATTAGCTCTTTCATGACTGGCAGCATCCCAAGTTGTCCCAGCAATGGCAGAGACACAGGGTCCAAAACATCAACCTGATTTAACTCATTTTATTGCCTCCAGGGTCCCTGCTTTCACCTCCAATTGTAGAAATACAAGATGACACTTAAGCTCACCTGGAGACATCCTACCTTTGTCCAACTACCTTGTAGTCTGTTAAGCTACGAGTTTTCCCATCTAAGTACTTAAGAAAGACTCTCTCTTTGATGTTTAAATTGCATGTTTCCATTGTCAGATAGCAACAAGAAAAAAAAGAATGGCTATTTCAGATTCACATTATTATAGGATTTGGTATTATTTCACACGCTTGTCTAGTTCATCTGGCATTCAGAAAGCTTAGCCGTAAAAATAAATCCACTTTTGGTGTTGGAAAATAACTTCTGCTTCTTCTCCACCGGCTTGCTCTAAAGTAAAGTGGTTGACTCAGTCCCTGTTGCACATTTTCAGGTGTTTCAAATCAGGAAAATCAGACACATGTTCGTTTTAAGTGTGTCCAATACTTGATTATTTGTACCTCATATGAGAAGAAGATTAGATTTTGGAGGAGGAACATTAATAACTTTCTTCTGCAGAGACAGGCGTGCATTTGGATCTGCACGCTGATTTAAGTTTATTGTGAAACCATGTACCAACGAGGGCATCTTTTATTTGTGAGCATTAGATGCACCACGGGTGGATAGCGACCATTTAATTAAATCTCATTACGAAAATGCTTTCTATCTAAGCACTGGGCAGAGCTTAAGAAATGAAGACAGAAATTTCTGAAGACATTATTATTATTAATTTTTGCCTGCCCCTCATCAGGCAGAACGCCAATCCCAATGGTCTATTTCCAAGCACCAGGAAGTGACTTTGCTCCTTCCCCTTCTGGCAGCTCAGAGTCAGTGAGCATTGAGCAGCTAGAAGGAGCATGAACTTTGCAGAGTGTCCTGTTTCCATCCTGATTCCTCTACCACCAAGCTGGGCTGCTTGAGCAAGTACCGAACCTCTACGAATCTGCGAATCCACAATACCTGTATCTGTAAACGGAGTTAGCAAAACCTTTGTCATAAAGCAGTGCTGATGACAAAGTAGGCAAGTTTCTGAGATGCAGGAGGTCACCCAGAGTGGCTCCCTTCTCTCTCCGTTCAAGGACTGTGCTCAGGGCCAGCAGACCCGGCTGGTCATTTGGGAACACAGCACTGAAGCTACTCTTCTCCCAGGCTGGAATCAGGTGGGAGCAGCATCCTCACCAAAGAGCCTGGCCCTCTGCAGCCGTCAGCCACAACCTCCTCTCTATGACGCTTTCCTCCCACTTGCTGAGATTGTTAACAAGTTTAATTTAATGGTGTCTGCTCCTGACAACCAGCTTCTGCGACTGGAAAGGAAAAGCCATTCCTGCCCACCTCCCGTCTGTGGTTCCGGAGCCACTCACCCACCTGATGGTTTGATGCTGCAGGGAGTCGGGGTCCGTGGCATTCACTGTCAGCAGCACGCTGCCCACAGAGAGGTCCTCCTGCCTGGTCACCATCATGGGGTCTGGGTAGAAGACTGGGCCCTCGTTGACATCCAGGACAGTGATGTGGACGGTGGCTGTGGAGCTGGGGCCGTAGGAGACGTCGGGTACGAGTGGGTCTTCATTTTCCACTTTGATCAGCAGGGTGTGGAAGGCAGAAATTTCATAGTCCAATGGCTGGAAAGCAGACAGAAGGGTCTCAGGATGCACACCAGCCACAAAAGGCAGGTGGTTTGCATCAACTTCCTCTGAAATTCCACGAGCAACAGTGGGCCTTCAGGGATGGAGCTGGGCTTTGGAGGCTAAGCCTGTGTAACTGGGGGGCTATCTTTAAGATAAAGAATATGAAACATGAAAATGTGAGATTAAGTATGGATGTTGGTTTTTTTTTGTTTTTGTGTTTTTGATTAAGAAATGAATGACAACACATGACTTGAGCCTTAGTGATCCGGACACTGAGTGACTTGAACCTTAGTGATCTGGGCAGTGAGTGACTTGAACCTTAGTGAGCCTCCCTCTGAGATATCGTTAGGCAACTCCCTGGCAATGGTGATGCCTAAAGCCTCCCTGCCTGGAACCTGTAACTCCGTACCCCCGACACCCACGGGGGCTCTGGTAAATGAGACTCCAACGCCCAATCCTCAGTAGCTTTATAGCAAGATAACCCTGCCTCTGTGATCACAGTGGATCAAATGGAACAGGAAAACCAAAGTTTTATATTTAATGTTTCTCACTCACTTGCCATGAAGTTAAAGGGTCTCTATGTCCCTTCAAGTATAGCCTGGGTGCATGGTTTCTAGTAGAGTATGATGTAGGGAAAAGGATTTGAAAGTCTGAGCCACATGGAGTTAAGCCGCTGGGCCCTGGCCCAACTGAGGGCATGTGAAAATGTATGGGAGCATTTTCAATTGACTCGAGGGCTCTACAACCATTTGCCGGGCGGGGGACAGCAATACTAGACTCAAGGCCATGCCCAGGACAGTCCCACACAATGGTGGATTGTCCTACCCCAGTGTCAATGGGCAGCGTTGATGAGGACCACTCTAGGTGATTTTGCAAAGGGGGCTGATAGTATCTACCTCCCCCAGCCACTGTGTGGACTAAACCAGAGGATGTCAAAGAAACTCCATGATAAACATTGGTAATACAATGGCGCTGCCAATTGAGTGTCTGTCACTCTCTTTCCCAACCACGAGAGCACATGATGTGGTGGGTGCAGCATTTCCCAGAGTGGGTCTCTGTCAGCGGTGCATGGGGAGACATTTAGGTAAGATGAGGGCATACTGCTTCTATCAAGTTCCTAATGCTTACTGGAACAAACAGCTAACCCATCAGACCCATGCCGTAATGGGTATTCTTGCAAGAAGGACAAGACTAAATAAGTCAAGAGATTTGATTTACACTCAACTAAAAGTAAGCAACAACAGTTGTAGAGGTTGCAGTGGACATGGGAAAATGAAAGCAGAGATAAGGACCGTTGATGCTGGGGAAAGAGCTGGCACCGAGGTGGGAATGGAATCTGGCAGGTTGGGTCAGAGTGTCTTTAGGCAAATAAAGTCACTTTCATAATAATTACGGCTGACATGTATTCAGTGCTAAGCACGCCACACATGGGAGAGTGTGTGCCCACATACACACACTGGAGATGCTTCCTGGTTGTAACTGGACTTCCTCTCTTCACCTAGAACAACTCCCAGCAGGGTCAGTAATAGGATTTTAAGAGTTAACAGATGCAAAGCTCTTAGTGCTGAGTGGCTGCACAGTGATGTGTCGGTTCAATCCTTGTAACACAGCAGTAATTCACCATTCTATCCTTCTTTCTATGGATCCTAATAATGGATCTCTGTCCATCCCAAGTGATGCCAGAATGTGCAACTTCGGTAAAGTAAACCTCAAACCAGGGCCAGGGAGCTGCCATGCTTGGAAAATACAGCTATTCATCTCAATTAGGATCCTGGAGGGGACAGAGCCTTTGGCTTGCTGGGCCATGACGACGCTGAGGGTGGGCCCTCTGAACAGCAGTGAGATGCAGAGCACCCCAGTCCCCCAAGGGCCATTTCCACCCCACACCAGCACTAATCACAATCTTGGCCTAGTTTGGTCTGACATCTGATTCTCCACAGCCGGAGACGTATGCACAAGCAGGAGGATAGTGGGGTTTCTGGGGAATCCAGCCATCTGCTGACAAGTGAGACAGTCAAAATGCTTGGAAATAACCAATTTGTGCCGCTCAGCTCCTTTTCCTCGGCTGGGGACAACTGGTTGTTTTTTCCCAAGGAGACAATTCCCTCCCTCCCTCCTCCTCTCCTTCTTTCCTGGGGATGTCATTATTTGCAGCAAAAGTTCTTGCTCTTATAACTATAAGCTGCCTGGGAGGCTGCAGACAGAGACCATTTCTTTCACCAGTGAATACACAGCACCTAGCACAGTGTCAGGACCATAGTGGGCTCTAAATAAATATTGCATGAATGAATGAATGAATGAATGAATTGACTGTAATTCTTGTGCTTTTCTCTAGCACTAGACTTGTGCAACACAATTATCTATTATTTTGATTGTGCAAAAATCTAACATTCTTGGATATTTCTGCCTTTTAAATTCCCTATTTTTTTATTAGATAGAAAGATGGGTGGCAGTCAAGTCCTGGCCCTGATGCATCATAACTCTGGGACCACCAGCAAGTCACTGCCTCCCCTGAAGTCTCAGCTGTCTCTTCAATAAAATCCTAGTACAGAGGATTGTTGTAAAGATCAGCGGACAGGATGAATGTTGAATATTTCCCATGGAGCTAGGCCTGGTGTTGGTATCAATAACAAGAAGCTGTTAAGATGGTGAGGAAGAAGAGTGGGGAAGCAAGAGCTGCAAGAGTCATTTCCCCGGCCCCAGTGTTTCTCCTATGTTCCCAGGCTGACACTCCCTGAACGGAACGCTGGCTTCAGAGGAACTATGCCATGCAGGAAGCCACAGAGGGAGGGGAGCAGCGAGGGAGGGAGCCATACAATGTGAGGCTGGCCTTAGGAAGGGAGCAGGGCCATGCTAATGTTTATTTCCATTTGCCTAAGGTGGGATCTACTAACTCCAGCTGTATGATGCCCAGGGCCAGACCACCTGGAGCTGCTGACACATGGGTCTCTGTTCCTAATCCCCTCGGAGTGCTGTAATTGGATTAAGAAGCCCTCCAAGATCTCACAAAGCACACAATCTTACTAATGTGCTTTGTCTGTTGCTGGGCCTCTGTGTCAGGGACAGGAGGAAATTGAAAATACTCCTGATGGAAGCTACAGAGAGGCAATTCAATTAATATTTTTTCAAGTGACAAGAGAGGGTGTAAACCACTGCCCTGGGAAATTTAAAGCCTGGAAAAGTTGACCCACATGGGAAGGATGGAGGACCTGGGTTTGTTGGCTGGAAGAGGGAGGATCCAGAACTGAATGAATAGCTATGTTTAGGCCTGTGAAAGGTTTGGGGAATAACGGATGCTTTCTGGATACTACCTTCTTTGAGGACAGAATAGAAAATAAACTTAAAATGTAGGGTTGATTATATTCAGCTGAAAGAATAACTTTCTGGTGGTTTTAGAATCGGTTTAGAAAGCAGCTAAGGGTGCTTCTGATCTGAAGGTTTTAAAGACGAAGCCGACACTCATCTGTCAGAGCCACTGGGATTTGGTCCTTTTAAGTGGCAGGACCTTGCTGGAAACCAGCAGCATCCTGAGACTCCAAATAGTTCTTCTGTATGTTGGATTGCTAACTGGTTAGGGCAGACCTGCTTGTGCTTGACTGCCCAACAGCAATCACCAGCCCCCCTCTGCCTTATGCACTGTAAAGGCCCAAAGGCCAGATTTGGACTTTCTCAGCTTTCCTTGAAGTTAAGGAAGAACGTATGTCATTGGTCAATGAAACATCACGGGAAATTGGCCGGGGGACCCTTAGAAAGGATGTTTTCTGCCCCGATAAGAGGAGAGGGTCTCATAAGAGCACCTTCTCTCATTTGCCTGGCTGCCTCCTTGTTTCCTGCATTAGGATGCAGCATCATGGGAAGATATGATGCCTGGGGCTTTGGCAGCTACTTTATGTCCAAGAGGAAAATGTCAAAAGCATCTGAGGCACCCCACTGCTGGCTCTCTGCCACCTGGAACTGTTGGCCAATCCTGGACTGGCCTACCTTCATCTAGTTATAAAAATTCTTAAATTCCCTTCATTAGTTAAGCCACTATTAGTCTAACATTCTGTTACTTGCAACAGAATGCATCCCTGATGGTTGCACCAGTGGCTGGCACAGTGGACAGCAGCAGAGAGCATGGCCTAGCTGGCTTCTAGAAGGTGTTCTGGGGCTCTGCCTCACATGTGCTGAGAGACAGATAGAACTCAAGGCCCTTCCTACTGACCTGGGAGGCAGCCAATGTGGGGTGAGGGAGAGTCTGCATCCCAATTCCAAAGCAAAGAAAGTCCACTCACTAGCAAAGCTGAAGTCAGCAAGAGCATCAGCCTCTGTGGGCACCTCTTCCCCTGGAATTTGCAGGGAGGGCGGACAAGCTGATGGAAACTGCTTCCCCTAAGGCCATGCCCCTTGACAAGTGGTGTGCCCTGTGAACAACAGAACCACCTGGCACACCTCTCTCTCATATTCTGACACAGCAGGTCTGGGGCAAGCCCAGAAATCTGCATTTTAACTAACATTGCAGATGATTCTTATATATGCTAGCATTTGAGAGCCACTGCATTGTGGACCAGCACAGGAATGTAGGGAGAGGAGAATGGCTCCTTCCTGCAAGTCTGGTTTTTCTTTTTTTTCTTTTTTCGTTGTTGTTATTTTGAGACAGAGTCTCACTCTGTTGCCAAGGTTGGTTAATAGGCTGGTAGTCACTAGTCCATCGAGATGTCTTAATTTAAGGGTAACATGTGGGTGATCTTAATGTTATGGGTCTGAAGTAAGAGCCAGATGCCAGGTATAGTTTCAGAATAGTCACCCCCAAGTGTTATAGGTCTGGAGCGAGGAGGGTAGTACTCCTGAGCGGGGATGATTTCTCGGAGATTGGTAGATTCAGAGGCCAAAATTTGGTAGGGGATATCCATGTTGGCAAGAGATTTCTTGACTGCAATGTGCTATGTCCGATGAACGAATGTATGTACTACGTAATATTAAGGATTTCTAGTACGGGTCAGTATTCGTATGGATTAGGTTTTATTGTGTACTTGACAACAGTAGATGTGCGATAGTTAATTAAGGGATTGTTAATACGTGCTTATGTGTATGTAGACTAGGTTTGTAATGTACTCCTATATATGAATGTACTATGTATGAATAAGCAATTATAGTACTGTATATTATTCATGGGGACTAGCAGTAATGCACGAAGTACATAAAAGCACTAATGTATTGGGCAATGGCAAAGTTATTAGGAAACCCTGGCACTGGCCCTCTGTGTCCATGGCTGTTGCACTTTCGAAGCTGTAAAAGTCATAGAATGACATAGCCACTGGCTGTCCTCCGTGGCTAGTCCTGAGTCTATAAAATCTGTCAGACAATTTTCCAGACCTGAAGTTTGGAAGATAAAACTTGGGTAAATAGACATCTCCATCACATATCCTGGAGCTCAGGCCTCCCCAAAATGTGTTTGCTACAGCTCAAGGAAAATAGATATGAGCAAAACAGGATTTGGCAGGGTGCAGTGGCTCATATCTGTAATCCCAGCACTTTGGGAGGCCAAGGCGGGCAGATCACTTGAAGTCAGGAGTTCAAGACCAGCCTGGCCAACCTGGTGAGACCCCGTCTCTATTGAAAATACAAAAGTTAGCTGGGTGTGGTGGCATGCACCTGTAATCCCAGCTACTCGGGAGACTGAGGCAGGAGAATCACTTGAACCCAGGAGGTGGAGGTTGCAGTGAGCCAAGATCAGGCCACTGCACTCCAGCCTGGTGAGAGAGCAAGACTCTGTCTCAAAAAAAAAAAAAAAAAAAAAAAAAAAAAAAAAAGAGAATCCAGAGAGCTGCCTCACTCTATCTACCATGTGAGGATAGAGAGAGAAGAAGATGGACATCTATCAAAAAGTGGGTCCTCACTAGACACAGAATCTACTGGAAGGTTGATATTGGACTTTTTAAGCTCCAGAACTGTGAGAAATGGATGTCTGTGGTTTATAAGCCACCAGCCTACAGTACTTCATTATAACAACTCAATGGATTACAACAACAACCCTAAGAGGGAGGTTACATTAACATTCTCATTTTACAGATGAGGAAACTGGTGCACAGAAAACATGGGTGTCTTGGCCAAGGGCACACAGGGAGTGGGCAGCCATTTCCCTGCTCTGCCCACTGGTACTATCACTATAAATACAATTGATCCCTGCTGCTCAGGCAAATGGCTTCATCCACTAGAAAAGAAAATGTGTTCCCATGAAGGTCCTGGTCTCTGGCAGAAACTCTCCCCAGAACTTCCCAGAAAGAGTGAAACTGTGTAGAAATGCCTTCTCCCAGAATACCAAGGCCACCTGTAGCAAGCCTTCTGTGCTACCACCCCCACTAATATTTCTGGATTACCAGCATGAGCTAGAGGTTTTACATTTATAATTACATTTCCTCCTTGTTCTACTTGTTGCCATAGAGAGGGTCAGTGTGTGAGTTAGCAAGGGTCACAGAGGGTTTCACACCAATAACTATGTTGTGTGTGTTTTTAAGGAATAATTGAGCTCACTAAGGAAGATTAAGAAGTCATGTCGTAGCCCACGTTTTGAGCACAGATCTCTAAAAACACCTTCACACATCTCATTTTGGCATATCTGTTAATAATTCCTTAGCAAATGTATAAAGAATTTCATTTAAAACTTAAGTTTGGGCCAGGCATGGTGGCTCACACTTGTAACTCCAGCATTTTGGGAGGCCAGGGCAGGTGGATCACTTGAGGCCAGGAGTTTGAGACAAGCCTGGGCAACATGGTGAGACCTCATCTCTACTAAAAATACAAAAACTGGCCGGACATGGTGGCAGGCAGCTGTAATCCCAGCTACTCAGGAGGCTGAGGCACGAGAATCACTTGAACCTAGGAGGCGGAGATTGCAGTGAGCTGAGATCACACCACTGCACCCCAGCCTAGGTGACAGAGTGAGACTGTCTCAAAAAACAAAAATGAAAACAAAATAAAAAATGCACTTAAGTTTGGTTTTCTTAAAGTTACACATAAGTTTGGGTATTTTAGAACCTATAAAACAGGTTTGTTTTATGGCTGCTTGTTTATGCTGCTGAGGATACGAGTGCACCCTTAAGCCATGAGCCTTTTCCTTTGTTAATTCCCAGAAGGAGGAGACTGGGGGAATTTATCTGTGGCCTTCTAAACTCAATGATTCTATGAGCTGCCTCATGGGGCCCTCCGTGCTCGCATGAGGAGAAAGAGGCAATTGGAAGCACCCTTACTTTGACAACAGAAAGCATCCCTTCGTTGGTTTGAGGGTTGGTGTGGATTTCAAAGCTCTGCCCGGGGTTTCCGTTGATGATGGTGTAGGCAGCCCTCCATGCACCTGTGGTGGGGTCATCCTTATCTTCAACTGTCAAATTGACAATAACTCCCACAGCTCCTTCCTCGACTGTGGCTTGAAACTGCAAACAAAGCAGATGGTAATGGTCACTATTTTGAAAACACATAGTCATTTACTACATGCTTTGCATTGGGTATGTTACACACATCATCTCACTTAAAAATAAATAATAACATAAGAGGATTACGGTTGGAAGATACTATGCTCTTCTTCTCAGCTTTCCTTGAACTTAGGTGAGGCCACGAGACTAACTTCTCTCCTGCAGAATGTGGGCAGCAATGATACTGACCATGGCTGTGCTGTGCTGCTCTGTGGTGGGAGGGTGAAAAGAACAGCTGTGCCTCCTCTCTGTGCTTTTTCACCCTCTGCCTACCTGAATGCAGAGGACCACAAAACCCCAGGGAAGCAGGGAGCTACAAGGAAGGAGGAGCTTGTGTCCCTGAGTCACCACATGGAGGGGAGCAACCTGGTGGCCAAGAACACCTGTCCTGAACTATCATTGAATGAGAAACAAATTTTCATTGAGTTCAAGCCATTTTTGTTTGCATTTGTTCTCGCAGCCTTGCCTCCCCAAAATAACAACATAATCAGATGAGTCAAGCGTTAAGACTTGTAAGTGGAGAGACTGGGATTTGACCCCAGATCCTCTGCTAGATACTGCTATTTTCCCTAATGAAGAAAACCAATCCCATCCTTCCCACTCCATATCCAGTTTTAATATGATCTTAGAAACCATTTTCTAAGAAATCATCTACATGAATTGTTTGGAGCCTTGATGTACCTGTGTTTCTATTGTAATACATCTCAAATTCTTGTTTCAAGTAGGTGTGGTGAAAATAAATCAATAAATGAAAAATCAACTTTCTCATAGATAGAGAATTTCATGAGCTTTCATTAGCACATTCCTTTGAGCCGAAAGCATAAAGTATTGTTTTGGTGCTTACCTCTGACACACTACAGGTGAATAGTAATGTGTTTGCAAATATTTTATAAACAAGTAACACCAATAAGCTGACAAAAAGAAGAAATATCTTGGAATTTCAATTAGTAGGAAAGTGAATCTAGAGACAGTAAGGTGATATCAAAAAGCCCTTGTGTTCAAAGAAAAGTAATTTGAGAAATGAGGTTTCAAAAGCAGTGGCTGATTAATTGACTTGGAAATCATTAATCATAAACCTTAATCCTGAGGCCTCTCAGGGGACAGGGCGGGGACTGCAACTAATTTGTTTATTGCGCCTCGGCAAACCTGGGCGAGTTGTCTTCCATAAAAGGAGAGCTGGAAAATTCTTAGAACATGCATGGAGGCTAGAAAATAGTGGGAATGAGAAGGGATACTGAGGCTGCTGTAACACAGAAACAACTCCAGGGTGCAATTATTTTGATCTGATTCGTGTGATTCTTGTTTAATGTCTACCTATCTTCTATCTTCTCTTCTCACAAAAATCATAGAATTCTTGAGCAAGAAAACTATACTAACGGTTCTCAGCCCTGTCTGCACATTAGAATCTCCCAGAGGCTTTGAAAAACTTCCCGAGTCCTATTCCAATTCAGGATTCCCCAGGGTTAAAGCGCATGAAAATCTATTATGGTTATTATGGTTGGAGGGGCTGATGAAAGAGAAACTGCCCGGGGTCCTCTAGCCAGGTTGGAGCGCATGGGAGATCAGTCCATCTCTGGTCTTCTGGGACAAGCAGTCAAGTGGCAGAATCAGGCATCAGTCAGGGAATCAATTCAGATTCAGACTCCCCAGATCAATTCAGATTCCCCAGGCTCTGGGGTAAAGCCTAGGACTCAGCATTTTATTCACCTGCCTAGATAATTCCAATATGTAGTCGGGGCAAGAAGCAGGATAGAGTCCCAGTCTAAGGACGGCAGGCAGGTGTCAATGACATGACCTACCCTTGTGAATGGGTGAAGCTGCCTGAGCCTGGTGTGGACAGGCCTGCAGTACATCTGGGCTCAGCAGGAAAGAATGCTGTGATCAATTAATGCTACCTGCCATGTAGTCAGGAGGGGGCTTGGTGACACATGTGTGATCTAATCCCTTCATATTACAGATGAAGATGATTGCACAGAGAAGGAAGGAAGGAAGAAGGAAGAGTGCTGCCCAAAGTCGTTTAGTGACCCAAAGATCAGACCTAAGTCTCCTGGTTTCCAGTAATCTTTGCTCTGCCACTCCTGCCCACCTTAGATCCCCATGGCTTAGGCCAGTCCTTCCTTCACCCTCTTGCTGCGGTCCAGAGCCAAAGGACTGGTTCTCTGCCCCTGCTTATCAAAGTGGATGTCAGCTCATAACCCGTCCTTGTGGTTCTTCTGACACCTGTACCTTAGAAAACCAGGTATCAATCATGTGGGCATGAAATGGGCTAAGGCTAGAGGATGCTGGGAACCACCAGTCAGGTAGAAACGCTGTCATGTCCAGTGCATAAGTGAGAAGTTGCTCTGTCAAAGCAGATGAGTGTCATTGCCAAGATGAAAACACTGTGAGAAATCATGATTTGAGGAGGCTGGAGGCTCTATGTGCACCTGTCTCTTCATGGCTTTATCTCCAGTCTCTTGCATGGTGCTAGGTGCACAGAAGAAACTCAGTAGATATTTGTTGAATGAATGAATGATCTTAAGTATAGGAAGTGGGATCTGGCAGCAGAGGTGAGGCCTGAGGGAATGTGAAGGGACAAAGCCATACAGAAGCAAGACTAAGAGGGACTGACTTGTTGACTGACACCTGATTCTGCCACTTGCCTGAGTGTTCCAGAAGACCAGGGATGGACTGATCTTCCCTGTGCTCCAGCAGAGCTGCGTCATGGCTGGTGGACCCCAGTCACCTTTGCCTTCATCAACCCCTCCTATCATAATAGAGTAATGTGCTTTAAAAAATTTATTTTGGGGGCTGGGCATGGTATTCTAACACTGTAATCCTAGCTCTTTGGGAGGCTGAGGTGGGAGGATCACTTGAGCCCAGGAATTCAAGATGAGCCTGGGCAACATAGTGAGATTCCCATCTCTCTAAAAAAAAATGTAAAAAATTAGCCAGGTGTGGTGGCACGTGCCTGTCGTCCCACATACTCAGGAGGCTGAGGTGGGACGATCTCTTGAGTGTAGGAGTTTGAGGCTGCAGTGAGCTATGATTACACCACTGCACTCCAGCCTGGGTGACAGAGCAAGACCCTGTCTCAGAAAAAATTATTTTTGTGATGTGAAGAAAAGAATTAAAAATTTATTTTACCCTAAAAGTTCTTTTTATTTCTTTCGATTTTAGGGTCCTAGCACTGTGATAATGGTGCCTAATGGATGACTCAGCCCTGATCCTTAGTAAACAGCACAGTGCCCAACACATGAGCAGGTCTGAAGATGGGACGGATGGATGGATGGGTGGACAGATAGATGGATAGACGGATGGGTGGATGGATGGGTGGGTGGTGGATGGATGGATGGGTAGGTGGGTGGATGGGTGGATGAATGAATTAATAAAATTAATATTTAGGCCATGTATAAGTGAGACAAACCTGTGCAGCTTCTTCCATGACACTGATAGTTTTATGTCTGCAGCACCTGCTGAAGGGGCTGGTATAGAATACCTTTTTAGTGTGTGGGCAAATGAATTCAAGTAGAATGGAAAGGGGCTGATGTGCTAGGAATTCTCAGAGATGTGCATTGTGGCCCTCATATGTCCTTGGATGGGTCCACAACGGCATTTACCTGCCATCCATCTATCTATTTATCCATCCATCCATCCATCCATCCATCCATCCATCCATCCATCATCCATCTATCCATCCTTCCATTCATCATCCATCCATCCTTCCATTCATCCATCCACCCATCCATCCATCCATCCATCCATCCATCCATCCATCCATCCAGGGTTACACCACTAAACAAAACAGACATGATATATTTCCTCAGAGAGATTACAGGCTGAA
Organism: Homo sapiens; assembly: GCF_000001405.40. Classification (NCBI taxonomy): domain Eukaryota; kingdom Metazoa; phylum Chordata; class Mammalia; order Primates; family Hominidae; genus Homo; species Homo sapiens. Next base: position 83,666,927 of record NC_000016.10, on the reverse strand, counting down.
AGGAGAGACAGATGGGAAAGAAATGTATAACAACGTGTTAATTGTCAAGAAATAAAATTACAGTTCTTGGGGAGTCTGTGTGTGTGTGTGTATGTGTGTGTGTGTATGTGTGGAGGTGGGTATCTGATCCAGTCTGGAGAGGATCATCAGGGAAAAATTCCCTGAGAACTGAAAGAAGAGGAGGCCTTAGAGAGGTGAAGGGGGTGAGAACATACCTGGCATCTGAAAGAGGAAGAGCAAAGGCCAGGTGGCGGGAAGAGCCAAAGGTGGCTTTGCAGAACAAAGGCAAGCTGGGTGTGGCTGGAATGAAGGGGAGAGCCAGAGAGAACTCTATGACATCAGACTCCAGAGGTGGTAGAGTCACCTTATGCAGGGCCCTGTGGGCCATGGGAAGGCATTTGGGATTTACTATGAAAGCAAAGTGTAGCCTAATCAAGGAACTGGGTTACGTTTAAATCTACTCCTGAGAGAATACAGAAAAAAAAAATCTTTAAATATGGAAAACATTCAACACAATTATTATAGTATTTGTTAAGCCCATTATCTGATTTCTGCATAAACTATGAAGCAGTTTCTTTGAGCATTCATTTAGAAGCTCATTATTCCTTAATTAAATACTCATTCTATTAATTCTATTCAATGTTTTAACCCCATTATATAATTCAAGAAAGGAAAATTAAATAGATTAAAATGAAATGGTACCATTTTACATTTCTATAGCAATGCTCACTTTGTGATTTAAAAACAATAGAAAGACATTAATTTACCACACTAGAGCAGGAGGAATTATTGATTGTACTATTACTACCTTTAATTGGAAAAAATAGATAAAGTTACTTTTCTGTTAAACTGTGTGGCAAATCAAATACAAGATATAAAACGTATTTTTACACAATCACTGTGGCCTGTTGGGACTATGTACTGGGCTTATGATCTCTTCCCTCCAAATTCAGGACTGATTATTTTCTTTTCTTTGACTTACATCATAGACATTCAGGATGAGGCTGCCTGGATGAGCCACAAAGACAATCACAAGTAGGAAGAGGGACTTGAATTTTATTATACACCAAGAATGCATGTTCTTCCTCCAAGAGCAGAAAGTTGACCTTTAGATTAACATGGAAGATGGAAATAATGATCAGAAGGCTGGAAAGACACAGATGGGAAAGAAGTGACAGAGGACAAGTTTAAAGGACTGCACATATGCAAGCTTGCATGCTTGACTAGTTGCATGTTTGACCTGAATACTAGACTAAGTTCACGAGCCATTAACCCTAAAGTTTCACAGAGAACTAATATGGAACTTGAAAAGCTGGGATGTAGTCATCTGGCCCTTAGCTTAAAAAAATTATAGGGTCTCACTAATTTCTATTTGTGATGATAAAAGGGTAGGGGAGAGACCATCAGAAATATAACTTGCAAACATTTTTGAGTCTATGTTTACATAAAAGATACAGCTTATTGGAAGGCTCTTCCCAATAGTCTAATGGGTAGCAACTGTGACTGATATAAATAATGCATTTAAGGAGCTTGGCAAATAGCCTGGCATATGTATAACAAGGAGTCAGTATTTGTTAGCAAGGATAATGATGATGGATTTTGCCCTGTATCATATGAAATTCTTACTAAGAAATTGGAGAATTTGGTTTAAACCCCTGTGACTCTTTCTGCTCTTATCACAGTCTGCCATATAATGTAGTTATGTATATATGTATTTTATTTTCCTCGAGTGGTGTGGAAGAAGCTTTTTTTTTTCAGTTATGTATGCCTGGCACTCACACACTTGCTCATTCTTGTTATGCTCCAACAACAGACATGAGGCAAATGATGTCAATCCTATCATGTCCACATTTGGAAGGGAAAGCGGCATTAGATATCTGGTTTTCTTCTATGATTAGGATTTATCTCATGGCGGAAAGATACAACAATTCATTTTAATAAATATTTGTTGTGTCTGTTGCATGCTGGAGACTCCACTAGGCACAAAAATACATCAGTAAGTGAGAGGGCTAGTATTCCCTCTGGGTGTCCCCTTTCTTTGTAGGTACTGTACATCTACAACATATCTGACAATTTGCTTTCTACCACTTCTAAAACCATTTCCTTCACTGTCATACATCCAAGGCTGTACCTGTGGCCAATTATGGATGCTTTTATGTTTTGACATGATTTAATTTCCAGGTAACGGTCATTTCAGTAAATGGTGCTAGATCAATTGGATATCCATCTGCAGAAAACAATGAATCCTGACCCCTACCTCACACCATACACAAAATGTGAAATGTAAACAGTAAAGTTCTTAGAAGAAAACGTATGAGAACATTTTCATTCAGCCTCCACATCATGTTTGTGTGCACTATATATATATATATACACACATATATAATATGAAATATAATATAAAAATAAAAACTAATTATATAAAATATACATAAGATATATATTTACATAAAAATTTTAAACAGTATACAGTACAGAGTTCTACATAAAGCTCATTCAATGTTTTAAGAAAGCCCGATGTCTCAGAACAGATTAATAACAGAGCCACTCAAGGGACCTGTGGTTGCTTGCCTAAGAACTATGGTCTGTTCACTGGCAAGTCTTCAAGATGATTGGAACCTACTAAGTCCTTCCCTAGCTACGTCACAGTAGAAAAGGCATAGTCAGGCCCTGAAGTGACTACAGGAGCCAGATGAAAGAATATTCAGGAACCCACCAGATCATCATAGTCCTAGTCATTGGTGAGCATCTTTTTCTTCTCCTTTTTTTTTTGAAGCAGATCTTGCTCTGTTGCCTAGACTGGAATGCAGTGTTATGATCACGGCTCACTGCAGCCTTGACTTCTTAGGCTCAAGTGATCCTTCTGCCTTAGCTGGGACCACAGGCCTAAACCACCATGACTGGCTAATTTAAATTTTTTTTTTTTTTTTGTAGAGATGGGAGTCCTACTAAGTTGCCCAGGCTGGTCTCAAACTCTTAGGCTCAAGTGATCTTCCTGCCTTGGCCTCCCAAGTTGCTGGCATTACAGGCATGAGCCACTGTGCCCAGCCTTCTCCTCTCTTTATCTGATTAAAATTCTGTAAATGATTTGTTTTCTTTGAAGATGCGGAGTGGTGTCAGAGACTTGATTTTTAATGCCCATGGGAGGTAGCTCACACAGGAAAGAAAGAAATCAGATGCTAGAGGTGAGAATTCCAGTAACCATGAACAGAAAGAACTTGGCACAGACTTCCCTGCCTCTCAAACACAGACAACCTGGGGCATGCCTCTCCCATTGTTGAGCTCCTGAAGAGTCGGAGTCATGTCTCTGCTTCCCCAAAATGCTGAATGTCACATCTTTCATAAAGTAAGAGCACTGTAAGTAGACACTAACTTTTCGGGTTATTTTGTCTCAAGAATAAAAACACAAGGTAGAAAGAAAACAACGTACATGTGTTTGAGAGTCTCCCAATGAGAATAGTAACCAGTTCTTCTCTATTTCTCCTAAGAAAAAGGAAAGTGGACTCAACTGTAGTCCAAATGACAGAGATTATATAATTTCTAAATGGCAAATTAGAATATTTCTTTCCTGAAAATCTTAGCGGTTTTGAGTAGATATAGCTCAGGGTGCCTGCATAATCCATAAAACATTTGAGGGACCTAAACCTACCCCCAGTCCCTGCTGAAAACAGTGGTACTAGGGAGTCATTTTGTATCATGTGATCCTAGCTTCCTTGGCCATAGCTGATTGGACCCAGAGCTGATTACCTGACTCCGGGGTAACCACTCCATCAGTTGATTCATGAAAAATGGGATTATTTCTTTGATAAATTTGAACTAAGAGAAATATAGGTTTCCCAGCATTTGTGCAAGGGGTGGCCATTTTTTGTCATTTGGATAAGGATAAATTATCAGAGAAATCCAATATGCATGGAGAAGCAAAAGAATGGAGAAATTGAGAGAAAAATTTACAAAAGAGATTTTTTTCTGGGACTCAAAGACAAAAGACAAATAGGAAGTGCTCTCAGTCGCTGACTGGTTTCCCAGTCCTGCTCTCAATCCTCCGAGGTTCCCTGTGTTCTTGTCTGTTGGAACCTCTGTTCCCATCAACAACCTCATTTTCACTCCAGCTGCCTTGAGCAGGTTTCTATTCCTTGCAATAATGGCGCCCTGGGGAAAACAACTCTGAAGATGTCTACTGATCTCATCAGGTGAGTGGTCCCTTTGATGGTGCTTTGGGTTTCATAGATGTTTTCTCAAGTATTTTTTCTTTTTCACATCTTGTTATGAAAAATATTAAACATGTATAAAAGCATGTACAATAGGATAATACCCCCCACATGCCTGTCTTCAGGCTTTAGAGATCCTCAACTCCCTGCTCCTGGTGGTTCATCTCCGCAGCCACCCCGCCCCGATTCTGCACTGTTTGGAGCAAATCCCAGACATGCCATTGCATCTGTAAAGATTTCAGTCTAAAACACAGAGATTCTTTTTAAGAAAACATAATCAAAGTCCTTTCTTGGTCCAACTAACATTAATTTCTTCTACGGACAATTTTGTGTTTCTCTTTTGTGCCAGATGCTTTGCTAAAAGGATTTGCATGTTATCTCCATCATGCAAAGAGAGAGTACCTACTAGCTATGGTAATGGACAGTGACAGAAAGGTCTACTAAACATCCAGAGTCTTCCCAGTTAAATGTCTGAAGCCATCCACCATTACTAAACAGGTGAGAAAATGCAAAACTCGAATGTGGAAATAGTTCAAAAATAATAAGGAATAGCATCTCAACAAGAAAGAAACGTCCTGAGTGAAGAGTCCTCTCCAAAACCCATTGGCATCCCAGGTAGTGTGGTTCTTGATCCTGGACTGATACTAATGTCCCCCTCACTGATGTCCTGCCCCATGTGACCCACCCACCCAGGGTGATCCTGGGTTGAAAGGAAAATGATGTTCCTAGGCAGCAGCTGTCTGTGGGTCCCATTCCACTGAGAGAGAAAATGAAGCATCCCTCAACCTCCTGGCTCTACAGGTGCTGGGGAATGAACCAAAGGGCAAGAAAGGGAAACATTCACTGCATGCCCTGGCAGGAATTGCTCCCTCTTCCCCTCAGGGCACACTTCTCTGATTCATTTCCTATGAGATATTTCCATGTGTTGGCTGCAGATACACAGAAGGTGCTGAGTCCATGGCTTTTGAGGAAGATGCCCACCTGGCACAGTCCACCTTCCAGTGACTGTACTCTTCCTCTACATGACCCTGTCTACACCAAATACAGAACTGCACATATGCAAAACTAAAAATGAAATGCATTTTCACGGAGAAGAGGCTTGCATAACAAAGCAGGTCTTTGCCCTACAAAACAAAATGAAAAGACATGGCCACTGAAGACTGACAGGAAAACGATGCAGTGGAACGGTGGTTCTTAAACTGTGTTCCTGAGAACAAGATTTTTTTTTTTTTTTTTTGAGACAGGGTCTCGCTCTGTCACCCAGGCTGGAGTGCAGTGGTGTGACTGCGTCTCATTGCAGCCTTGACCTCCTAAGTGCAAGTGATCCTTGTGCCTCAGCATCCCTAGTAGCTGGGTGTGTATGTGCCACCACGCCAAGCTAATTTTTACATTTTGTGTAGAGACAGGGTTTCACTATACTGCTCAGGCTGGCCTCGAATGCCTGGGCTCAAGTGATCCTCCTGTCTTGGTCCCGCAAAGTGCTGCAATTATAGGTGTGAGCCACTGAGTCCAGCAAGAATGTTTGAGATGGTACAGGAGTCCTACCAAGGCATCAAACATTTTCCTTCAAATAATAAGAATTTAAACTGCCTGAGGAATCTGTTAATTATATTTTATCTGTTTTGTATATTAGAATTCCTGCCTGGGATTTTGTTTGAAAAAAAAAAAAAAGTTTTGCTGCTAAAGAGAGTTTGAAAATCATTGCCTTAGGGGAATGATTAAATAAATATTACATTAGATGGTGACAGAAAAATAAAAACCAAAGAGCAAATATGCCTACATTTTTTTTTCTTCAATTTCAGGCTTGGATACTTTATTTCATTGGACGTTAGTAGCTCTCCTTCACTTGAGTTTCTCTCTTTAAAAAATGAAAGAAAATGCAAAACACATTTGTTCATCTGACAAGATAATTGAAAATAGTTTAATTCGGAGAAGCAGAGAGATTTTCTGTAGAGATACTCATTTGACCACCAACATCTGAATCTGGAGGAAGAATGGCTTTTCAAGAAACAATAACATAGTCTGCTTTCTAAAGACACTGGAGTTTGGCTTATGCAATTCTGCATATTTAAAGGAGTAGGGAATTCAATGAAGTGGGGCAAATTCTAGTTGGCCTCTAACTCAGTGGTTCCCAACCACCACTACTGGTCTGTAGCCTGTTAGTAACCGGGCCACACAGAAGGAGGTGAGCTGTGGGAGAGCCAGTGAAACTTCATCTGTATTTACGGCTGCTCCCCATTGCTCATATTACCACCTGAGCTCCACCTCCTGTCAGATCAGTGGTGGCATTAGATTCTCATAGGAGCACAAACCCTATAGTGAACTGCACACACGAGGGACCTAGGTTGTGTATTCCTCATGAGAATCTAATACTTGATGATCTATCATTGTCTACTATCACCCCCAGATGGAACCGTCTAGTTGCAGGAAAACAAGCTCAGGGATCCCACTGGTTCTACATTATGGTAGTTGTATAATTATGTCATTGTATATTACAATGTAATAATAATAGAAATGAAACACACAATAAATGTAATGTGCTTGAATCCTCCCAAGACCATCCCCGCAATCCTGGTCCGTGGAAAAACTGTCTTCCACAAAACCAGTTCCTGGTGCCAAAAAGGTTGTGGATTGGCTGGGCGTGGTGGCTTCTGAGTGTAATCTCAGCACTTTGGGAGGCCGAGGCAGGAGGATCACCTGAGGTCAGGAGTTCGAGGCCAGCCTGACTAATATGGCGAAATCCCGTCTCTACAAAAAATACAAAAATTAGCTGGGTGTGGTGGCGGGTGCCTGTAGTCCCCGCTACTTGGGAGGCTGAGACAGGAGAATTGCTTGAACCCGGGAGGTGGAGGTTGCAGTGAGCCAAGATCATGCCACTGCACTCCAGCCTGGGCGACAGAGTGAGACTCCATCTCAAAAAAAAAAAAAAAAAAAGGTTGTGGACTGCTGCTCTAACTCATGGGTACCTTTCTGGTAAATTCTGCAAGATCTCTGAGTCCCAGTTCACTTATCTGAGAAAAGGGTATCAGACTAAAGCTGTCATTCTTAACCCTGACTACACATTAAAACACCTGAAAGCCTTAAAACAAACCCACTAATGATATGGGGTCCTGCTTTCAGAGATCGTTCTTGGATGGGGCCCAGGCATACGTATTTCTGAAAACACCCCCCTGTGATTCTAATGAACAGCCAAGGGCTGAGAACAACAGCTTGAGGTAACCACTGAGGTCCCTTTTAGTTCTAAGATCAAATGATAAAAGAAACCTGATGGCACATTCTAACTTGTGTTGGGACCTTGCTGGTGAGGACATGGGACCTGGTGTTGAGGACATGGGACCTGGTGGTGAGGACATGGGACCTTGCTGGTGAGGACATGGGACCTGGTGGTGAGGACATGAGACCTTGCTGGTGAGGATACGGGACCTGGTGGTGAGGACATGAGACCTTGCTGGTGAGGACATGGGACCTGGTGGTGAGGACATGGGACCTTGCTGGTGAGGATATGGGACCTGGTGGTGAGGATATGGGACCTTCCTGGTGAGGATATGGGACCTGGTGGTGAGGACATGGGACCTTGCTGGTGAGGACATGGGACCTGGTGGTGAGGATATGGGACCTGGTGGTGAGGACATGGGACCTTGCTGGTGAGGATATGGGACCTGGTGGTGAGGACATGGAACCTTGCTGGTGAGGATATGGGACCTGGTGGTGAGGACATGGGACCTGGTGGTGAGGACATGGGACCTTGCTGGTGAGGATACGGGACCTGGTGGTGAGGACATGGGACCTTGCTGGTGAGGATATGGGACCTTGCTGGTGAGGATACGGGACCTGGTGGTGAGGACAGGAGACCTTGCTGGTGAGGATACGGGACCTGGTGGTGAGGACATGGGACCTTGCTGGTGAGGATATGGGACCTGGTGGTGAGGACATGAGACCTTGCTGGTGAGGATATGGGACCTTGCTGGTGAGGACATGGGACCTGGTGGTGAGGACATGAGACCTTGCTGGTGAGGATATGGGACCTGGTGGTGAGGATATGGGACCTTGCTGGTGAGGATATGGGACCTGGTGGTGAGGACATGAGACCTTGCTGGTGAGGACATGGGACCTGGTGGTGAGGATATGGGACCTTGCTGGTGAGGACATGGGACCTGGTGGTGAGGATATGGGACCTTGCTGGTGAGGATACGGGACCTGGTGGTGAGGACATGGGACCTTGCTGGTGAGGATACGGGACCTGGTGGTGAGGACATGGGACCTTGCTGGTGAGGATATGGGACCTTGCTGCTGAGGATACGGGACCTGGTGGTGAGGACATGAGACCTTGCTGGTGAGGATACGGGACCTGGTGGTGAGGACATGGGACCTTGCTGGTGAGGATATGGGACCTTGCTGGTGAGGATACGGGACCTGGTGGTGAGGACATGAGACCTTGCTGGTGAGGATACGGGACCTGGTGGTGAGGACATGGGACCTTGCTGGTGAGGATATGGGACCTGGTGGTGAGGACATGAGACCTTGCTGGTGAGGATATGGGACCTTGCTGGTGAGGACATGGGACCTGGTGGTGAGGACATGAGACCTTGCTGGTGAGGATATGGCACCTGGTGGTGAGGATATGGGACCTTGCTGGTGAGGACATGGCACCTGGTGGTGAGGATATGGGACCTTGCTGGTGAGGACATGGGACCTGGTGGTGAGGATATGGGACCTTGCTGGTGAGGATATGGGACCTGGTGGTGAGGACATGAGACCTTGCTGGTGAGGATATGGGACCTGGTGGTGGGGACATGGGACCTTGCTGGTGAGGATATGGGACCTGGTGGTGATGATATGGGACCTTGCTGGTGAGGATATGGGACCTGCTGGTGAGGACATGGGACCTTGCTGGTGAGGACATGTGGCTGGCAGTGCTGAAGGATGCCACTGGCAGGGAATGTTGCGAATTCTTGCTGTTCTATGGCAAGGAGTTCACAGATATTGCTAAGCAAGCAAATGCAGTACCTTTGCCAAGGAAATCACAGTCTCCTGGAGGTCATCTCTTCCACTGACTGATTCTGCAGACACATCCCTCACTCATCAGTTTGTTCTCCATATCCCCAGCCCACAGCCTCTCCAGCAAAGAAGCGGTCTGCTGCAGAGGAAGGTGGGCTGTTCAGTAAAGTAGAAAATGATTGTCAAGGAACACTTTGGAGCTACTGGTTGGCTGTCATCCTGAGCATAGATGAACTTTATGTCTAAAGTGCTGCTCTGGGGGTCAAAGAGGAACTAGGAACTCAGTGGGATTCTGCCTACTCATGAACCTAGAAGCTATCCCAAGGGGATCAGAGTAGAGATCCCTGAAAAGCAGCAGCCTGTCTTCTTGACGGTCTATGGGGGACACCTTGTTTGACCTCATAATGTCACTCACTGTCCCAGAGACATGGTGGCCAGGACACTTGGCTCAGGAACAATGTAGCAATGGAGTGGTACTACAGATAAATGATCCTGTATTGAGGGATTAATACCCTTTACATCACTCATATGGCTGTTTCTTTACAATGAGCTGGATCCACAGTCTGTTAGTTTCTCAAAGGAAGAGCCTACATCATTCATTTTGCCATTACATATGCAGGGCTGAGATCTTATTCATGTGACTTTAGTCTTTCCTAAGAATATGGAAGAGTGAAGCCCAACTGAGTGCCCTGAGTTTACTGTACCTGAAGTGCAAGTTTTATTCTCCATAAATGTTGGCATCAGCCTGTCCTTTAATCACCTTTCCTGGAGCCCAAGAGCTGGCATTCCCAGAATGTACCACATCTGAAATTCATAAGCCACCAGCAGTGTCGATCCCTAAAGATTGACTTGGAGAGATGAAATGCCTTCTAAAATCAAGTAATTCCTTACACCATGCTGTCTTATTCCTATTACAGGCAAAGGATAACTGGGAATGGTTTGTGTTTGTGCCCTAAAATTGGCTGTGATATTGCCAAAACTGTAGGGGAGAGTGGCAAAGACCACGATTCTCTGTGCAGTCATTCAAAGATGTCTACTTTCCCACAGGAAATGGCTCAGGAGCCTTGATCAAGATTCCACTAAATCACCTTTACCATTCAAGGGTAACAATGCCTGGATCTGGTTGACTTTTTCTTAACATGGCTCAGGGGTTCTGGTCCCAGCTTGGGCAATGGCAGCTCTTCATCAGTCAGCACCTGGATGAGAACTTCCATGCCCTGCCTCTCTACTGAGGAATCACACACTCACACCCCCAACCCTGGACTCTGCCCTGTATCCAGGATTGTAAGTGCCAAGTCACAGCCAGCATCTGCTTCTGGGTGTCTAACAGGCACCTCAAACTTAACATGATCGAAACAGAGGCCTTTCCACCTCCCGACTCCACCAAAACAAATCTCATCTTTCCCCCTTCTCCCTTTTCTTGGCAAAGAGCACCACCATTTATTCATGTTGTGAAGGCTGAAAATGCAGGAGTCATCTTTTGATTCCTCTCTTTTCTCATTTCTCACATCCAGTCCATCAGCAACAACTCTTAAAAACTATATGATTCCATTTCTACGAAATATCTGTGAGGCAAACTCAGACAGACAGAAAACAGACTTATGGTTGCCAGGGGCTGGGTGTGAGGGGTGGGAATGGAGAATGACCACTTAATGGGTGTAAAGTTTCCCCTCGGGTGATGAAAAAGTTCCAGCCTTAGATAGTGGTAATGGTTGCATGCATGCAGAATATGTGCTGAATAGGCCTATTTCTCTGTGTCCCACCCCTACCAACCTTGGTGGAGCCATCAGAAGCTCCGCTCAGGTAATTTGATTATCTCCTACAGGGGTGTTTGACTCCTCCTCTGTTTTCCCCCCTGCCACTTTCTCTCTACAACCTGTCCTCTGCATAGTAGCAGCCAGAGTCATTTTGTTACAAATTTAAACATGATTCATTGATTCAATGAAGCCACTGAACACCTGCTACATGCCAGGCTCGATTCTGGGTGTTTGGGAGTCTTCACTGAACAAAGAAGACACACATTCCTGCCCTCATGGAGCTGACATTCCTCTGTCTTCGCAGCCCTGCAACAGCTTCTACTTTACAAAATCCAGAGCCTTTTCCATGGGTTCCCAGGCCTTCTGGGATCTGCCCATCTCTGCCTTTTCTCCCTCATTCACATGGGCTCTGCCATGGGTTTGTAAACAGTTGCTCAAGCTGCAGGACTCTACCTGTGTCGTTCTCTCTGACAGACTCTTGTCTTCATGTACTGGCACCATCTTGCCATTCGGGCCTCTGCTCAGTGCCCCACCTCAGAGGATCTGGCTTTGTCACTCAACAGCTGGGTGCCCTGACACAAGCAACTTCACCTCTGTAAGCCTCGGTACTTCCTTATCTGTAAAATGGGGATAGGGTCACTGCTAACTCCATAGGTGATTCTGGTGAATAAATGAACAAGTGCAGATCAAACTCTTACCGTGGTGTCTGGCACATCCTAAGAAGTGGGTACCTGCTATCCAAAGGCCAGGCTGGAAGGATCAGACAGACACAAAGGATGCCAAAGGGAATCAAGGTGAGAGATTTGCCAACAAGATTTGCCAAGTTTCTCATCACTCAGTGTGTTCAACAACAGGAATCCGTCCTACAAAATTCTAAATCAGACAGGATCTCAAGTAGTGCCTTGTATGCCTCCGTCCTTGCCTTCAAAACTGGAAAGCATGCTGCCTACTGCTGGGTCCAAGGTCATGGGCTGTGCATCCCATGTGCCAGGAAGCAGGTGGGCTGATGCGGCATGGCCCACTGGTGGACTGAGAACACGTGCCCCAGGGAGCAGCCCGCCTGGAGGAGTAGTACCTGGAGCCACAGTTTTGAGCCACCTGGAGATGCTCTTTCACCTCTCCAGAACCCAGAGTCATAGGGTTGGTGGGAAATCATGCAGGGATCAGGTGGCAGCATCCATTAACCCGTAGGCCTAATGCAGAAAGGGGACGAATGATGGGGTGAGTGGAGCAATAGGAAACTATTTTGAGTATATTTGCCTGGAGACGAAAGTACAGGCATGGTAGTTCTGTAGCAATAAAGAGCTGTTTGGAACATCCTGGCATTATTATATTTTAATTTTCTTTTATTGCTCTCTGATGAAACAGATGAGACTCTCAGGCCTGTTTCCTCATCCTGGGGCTAACAATCTGCAGGATTCTTCGTCTGACCTCTTGTGCTTCTTCTCCTCTTGGCCCCTGATCCCGACATCTTGCAAAGCTGCCTTGTTGGGTCCTTTCTTGCACATTGTCCTATACAGGACCTCTGCCCATCCTGGTCTCCTGACCTGCCTTACTTGCTTCAGGGTCTTTCTCTGTTAAATTCAGGGGCTGTTCCTAACTATGGCCTATACCCTAATGTTCAGATAAACCCCACCACGTGAGGGTGCAGGAGGGACCCTTCCCCCAGACATGCTTATAGATGTATCAGGTTGGTGCAAAAGTAATTGCAATTTTTTGCCATTTTTAATTGCAAAAACTGCAATTACTTTTGCACCAGCCTGATAGAAAGAACCGGAACAAATTCAGTCATGCTGGCTGCCTACAAGTCTCTGCTGGAATGATTCATTCATCCTCTATCCACACTTTTATCCTCCATCCATCATCCCCTAGCCACATGCCCATCCCTGTCTATACTATGTATTAAGTCTCTGATTTGTGCATTCATTACCCCACCCATTTGTTCATTCCCTGTCAGTATGTTAATTCCCCCACCCATGTGTGTGTTCCTAGCCACTCGTTCATTTCACTCTCCAAGGACATATTCCCCTATCCAAGCCTTCAATCCCCTGTCTGTACATTCCACAAATATTTATGGCTGATGACGCCGTGCTGAGCGCCTTTCTTAATGCCGGACACAGCAGCGGACAAACCATAGGAGGCCCCTTCTGTCATGAGTGTTGTCCCTATGTGGGAGTGAGATGCTACATAGATACATAAATAATCAAATACCCAGCTTGTTGGATTATTTGAAGAAAAATAAAGCAGGGTAAGAGAATTCCTAAGTGATTTCTTCCTTTCTAAACCTCTTCCCAACAGATTGATTCTTCATTTACCTCCTGGGTTCTGTTTCCTGTCAACTCTTCAACACCTAAGTACCAGAACTATGCTAGAGTGCTGATGATATTAAAAGTAAGCTACAATTCCTGATTCTAGGAGCTCTATATATTTTAATTTTCTCAGCTTTTGTGAGTTTTTTTTCCCTAGAAAGATTTTCCTCAATCTGGTTTGATTTCTGAGCTATGGAGGAAAAAAAAAAAACAGCTTGTGATTTTTCAAACCTTAACAAGAGCTCAAGTTCTGCCTAAAAAGGTGACCCTTTGGGTGACATCCCCTATAGTCTTTAGACATGGTGCTATGCAGTTTTTTCTTTGCTAACAGTTTTATTGCGCTATGATTCACATACCAAAAAATTCATCAATTTAAATTGTACATATGAATGGATTCCAGTACATTCACAGAGTTGTGCAACCACCACCACAATCAATTTTAGAATTTTTTTAACACCTCGAACAGAAGCCCCACCCCCAGGAGCAGCCACTCCCCATTCTTCACCCACTCCCGGCCCCTGGCAACCACTAATTGGCTTTCTGTCCCCGGAGATCTCCCTGTTCTGGACATTTCATAGAAATGGAATTGCGCAATATATGGCCATTTCTGTCTGACTTTTTTCACTGAACATCGTGTTTTCACGGTTCATCCACACTGTAGCGTGGATCAGTACTTCAGTCCTTTGTGTGGCTGAAAGCATTCCGTCATGTGGATGGACCATGTTTTGTTTCTCCATTTATCAGTTGATGGACCTGGAACTGTTTCCACTTAGTGGCTATGGGGAATAATGCTGCTGTGAATGTTCACATCTGCAAGTTTTGGGAGGACTTATGCCTTCATTCTCTTCGGTTTACACCTAGGAGTGGAGCTGCTGGGTCATATGGGGACTCCAGGCTGCAGGCGCTGGGGATTCAAGTCATTTGTTAACCCATATGTAGCCCTTGGGTTGCTCCTTTCAAATACAAGAGACCGTGGCCTGTCAGCTTCCCAGAGCCCAGCCTCCAGCTCCTGAGTGAGGAAAGGCAATATTTGAGAATGAGGGCTTGCTTTGTGAATGGCATGAGGGGCCAGTAAAGAGGGGGTACAATGAGAGCCTTGTCTCTTTCAAAACCTTTGGCTAAACCACGAGGACCCTCCTTCTTCCCAATTTCCATGGGGTGTTGCTGAAGTTAATGGAGAAACTACACAGACCCCTGCAGCCCATGGAGAATCCCACCCCCAGCATGGCACTCACAGCCGTCTCTAACTGGAGAAAGCACATGTCTAATCTCCAGAGCTGTAGGGAGATTGACACACTTGGTTAGGCTCGTGATGCTAACACCACAGCACAAACAAGGACAAGAGAAACCTTCTGCTTTCATTACAAGGGATTTGTATAAATTCATACACGGAATTGACTTACAGCTTCTAATTTGCATTTAAATTCCAAATGTCTTAGTCAGAAGAAACTGCTCTAAATCCATTCTCTGTGTTTGCACCACTGATTCCCATTTCAAATAGACCCCTTGGGCCCGACTGTAATTCCCATGAGCACGTCGCATATTCCTTCCAGAGGTGGCTGATGGAGTTTCTGAGTCCCAGAGGGAGAATAAATGGATGAGAATCGTTCCCTTGGGAATCAGGCTCAATGAGATAAGGAGGATTAAAAAGCATTCTCTGTCCCTCCTGGGCTCTCATCACAGGGTGGAGTAACATAATGAAAATCTGCGTGAGGAGAGACGCACTCCAGTGGCACTCTGTCACATTAAAAAAGACCTATGGGATGGGTGTGGTGGCTCACGCCTGTAATTCCAGCACTTTGGGAGGCTGAAGCAGGCAGATCACCTGAGGTCAGGAGTCTGAGACCAGCTGGCCAGCATGGTGAAACCCTGTCTCTACTAAAAATACAAAAATTAGCCAGGCATGGTAGTGGGCGCCTGTAATCCCAGCTACTTGGGAGGCTGAGGCAGGAGAATTTCTTGAACCTGGGAGGCAGAGGTTGTAGTGAGCCAAGATTGTGCTACTGCACTCCAGCCTGGGTGACAGAGCAAGATTCCATCTCAAAAAAAAAAAAAAAAAAAAAAAAAGAGGAAAATAAAAGACCAATGAGGAAAGTGATTCATGTTGAAAGCCACAGGAAGCTGCATCTTGTTATCTTTGTGACTTTTGGCAGGTCATTTAACCTCTCCGTGTCTCCATTTTCTCATCTGCAAAATGGGAATAATTAATAATAATAATACCTACCCTTACAGGATTATGATGGATTAAATAATTTATAAAATGCTTACATGAATGCCCAGCACATAAGCAATAAAATGCACATTGTTATAATGAAAATGGATAAATAAAATACATAAAGAAACGATGTTTGTTGCACTGAACATCATTTTAAGGAATTTCATGAGCAAAGAAATACACGTTGTTCTTTTGGGAACTTTTTGTTACAGTACCCTAGTCTCTCACTACCTAATATTCCTACCAATAGAAAGTCCCCTTGTTATCTAAACTACTTAGAGCTAGGGGTCTCTTATAACCAGAAGTGTTCTGATCAACTATTTTTATTTTATTATTTTTTGAGACAGGCTCTTGCTTTGTTGCCCAGGCTGGAATACACTTGCGTGATGATGGCTCACTGCAGCCTTGACCTCCCGGGCTCAATGGAGCCTTCTGCCTCAGCCCCCAGAGTAGCTGGGACTGCAGGCATGTGACACCACACTATATATATATTTAAATTTTTAAAATATATTTTATATATTTAAAATTTTTATAGAGACAGGGTCTCACTATGTTGCCCAGGCTGGTCTTGAACTCCTGGCCTTAGGCAATCCTCCAGCCTCAGCCGCCTAAAATGTTAAGATAACAGGCATTAGCCACCGAATCCACCCTGCTTTTTCTTTTCGAATTGTAATCTAATCGTAATCCTAATCTCACTTAGAGTCTTTCGACCTCGCCACTAATGACATTCTGGGATGGATAATTGTTCATTGGGTGGGGGCTGCCCTGTGCATTGGGAGATGCTGAGCAGCATCCTTAGTTCTTACCTACTAGATGCTGGTAGCACCATCCAAGCTGTGACAATAAAAAATGTGTTCAGACATTGTTGGGTGTCCCAGCGGGGTGTGGAAAACCCTCTGGGGTTGAGAACCACTAATCCAGCTAAGATGTGTGTGTCAGGTCTCCCTACATGACAGTTGCCTGTGTACGGCAGCCCACAAGCTCCCCTAGGACAAGAGTTATCACTTATTTGGTCATAGATTCAAACATCATAGGAAAATGCTGGAAGAGCATAGTAACATTTTCTGGGGTAATTGAATCAGATGTTGCCAGAAAAACATTCAAGGGTAAAACCAAAGACTATAATTATTATGAAAATTATTGATGTAGTTTTCATTACCCTACAATTTTTGAATTAGCAGCTGATAATCCCTTTTATAAAAGAAGAAAGGTATTTTTTTTCCTGCTTTCTGTACTTCCTGCTGCTTTTCAATAAATACATTTTATACCTGTGGGTGCCAAGTGGATGCAGGTGCAACACATTGATTCTGGTCTTACAGCCAGGGTCAAGTTCCATCAACCTACAAAGGAGCAGAGGCTTGAAAGGAGGCAGCTGTGTCACCCTTGGGGCTGTCTCAATGGGCCTCAGAAAATTAAAACACCGCATTTTCCATTTTGTCCAATTAGAACGTGTTCAGACTCCAGCTTACTTGACAATGAAGAAAAAATGGCATGTCATCCATTTTCCCCTCCCTATGCAAAGTGTGGGCTTTGGACCAGCTTAGCTGTGAGCTGGTTAGAAAGGTACAACCTGGGCCCGCCTTTTGAATCAGGTCCTCAGGTGGCTGGGTGCTTCAGCAAAGCTGCAAAGTGGGCTCTAGACCCCTGCCTCTCTCAGCAGCAGACCTTGCTGCTTGACCCACAGGGGAAGAGTGCGAGAAGGCAGGTGCCCTCCGTGTTCAGCATCCCCAACCTGGAAACCCACAGGCCCCCTCCCTTTGCCTCTTTCTTGCCTCCTTCCCCTGGCTGCAGGAGGCTATCTTCCTTGCTGCTCAAAGTGAACTCCAGTCCCTGGCTCCCACCGGCTATGTACTCCTCAGTGCCTTACCCCTTCCTGCCCTCCTTCCCTGCACATCAACTTATTTCTCCTTGCAGGTCCATAAACATGTTCATGACTCTCCAATTAGAAAACAACCACAACATGCGTAACAAAGAAAAAGCAGCTCTGAGCCCAACCACCCTCTCTTTCCCTTCACAAGAGGGGCCCGTATTTCCTCACCTCCCACTGTGTGATTAAAGTGTATTAAATATATTGAAAAATGCAATGAAGGTAGGGAGCACAAAAATAAGCACTGTAAATTTATTTGCAATCAAGGAATAATATAAATGGTCACTGTTGAGATGTAATTACAGTAGAAAACATACTGTTCCAAAATCCTCATTGGGTCTGATTGAACAGGTGCCAAGGGCACATTTTATAGAACCCACATGGAGCAGGAAGGCTCACTCCAACAGCAGCCTGTGGCCACTTTAACCTCACTGCCACACCTGAGGGGAATGGGGGGCGAGGAGGCTGGACTTCATAAGTAGAAAACAGGAATAGTCACAGAGTTAAGAAATTTTAAGTAAAAAGGTGAATTCTTTCAGCTTGAATTTCCTTCCCCAGTGATAAGATGTCTTGCCACAGTTCCCCAGTGGGAATTGCCAGATAGCATAGTAGGTGGTGTATGTGTGTTGCGGGGAAGCTAGAGAGCTGGGGATAGAGTGCAGAAAAAGAAGGCAGGAAAAGACACAGCTACATATGCAAAAAAGTTAGGAAAAGAGACAAAGAAAGGAAGAAGAAAGAAACAGCGAGGGAAAGAGAAAAAGGGGGATAGATAAGGAAGAAAATAAAGACAGGAGACAGAGATGGGGAGAGGGAGAGAGAGAATAGAGAATAAAGATAGAATGATACTGACTCGATTTTTGCACAAGAAATTTTCTTTGTCTTAAATAAGAAAATCTGAGCGAATCAAGAGCTGTGTTCTAGTGTTTTCAGCATTCCCAGGGGGTCGGTGTCAGTAGAAACCATGAATGGAAATTTCCATGTCTATGGAAACCCAGTGGTTGAAGCCTCCAGTGTAACTCACTGACCACTCTGGGCAGCTGCAGAAAGACTGAGCATTCAGACTAAGCCTGGGACTTCTGGGAGGGAGGAGGGGTGGCAGGAACCATGGACACCACCCAGGAAGGATTCTGGCAAGTCACGGTGATGCCTCTGCATTAACTACCATGAAGCCTTACCTTCTTGCTACAGTTTCTAAAATCACTGCATCACACAAACTTGCGTTGAATCAAAGTGACCCTTAAGTCTCCAAAACAGTCCATATGGAAAGTTCTCCTGGGAGTTGTTCTGCCTCGAGACCACCCACTGGCTTGTTCTTGCATGTAAAATACACATGTGACTCTGAGAACACACGGCCAGACATGTGTAATTTACACGCCTGGATGATGAAACATCCGTGTTTTATTAACCCCATACCTTGGTCCTTCCAAGGTATGGCTTTGGTTTCCCTTAACTCCTGCTTTGTTGCCTTTACAAAGCAACAAATTCAAACACACCTTGAGGGAATATTTAAGAGGTTCTAAGTCAGGGAACCAAAAAAAGGTGTGGTCACTAGACTCCAGTTTCCTTAGGCGAAGAACTGGGATAATGCTGTTACCTTATCAGGCAGTTGTGGGGCTTTAGGATCAGGTTTGTAATGCATCTTGCATGTGTGCTTATAACACATCCCCATGGCATGGGGATTTTAACAGGGATCATAATGGGGATCGTGGCTATCAACTTTCTGGACCCAGGTAGGACTGACCAGTCAAGGAGACTCCTGGACAGAATCTCTTCCCCTTTGGTCCTACCAGCACCACTGCTGGTACCCACCAACCAGATAACACTTATTCTTCACGTGTCACAGATCCTATGATTGTTGAGGATAAAAAGATGGGCCATTTGAGGGGAATCATATTCTAGATAATCCCCGAATATGGAAAAATCTGTCAATTTTCCTTCTCTGTCAAAAACAGCTATTTCTGAATGGAAACAGAGTCCCTTGATTATCAGGTTTTGCAGAAGCCCAGCTCATAAGTAACTCAGTTCAACACACACACGCATGCATGCACACACATACACACATTTATGTTGTAGGAAGGGAGTGTTTCCAAAGTGAGCCAACATCTAGCATCATTGCTATGGAAGCACAAGCAAAATGGGGGAGAAACTTTCACAAACAAAACAGAAAGGTAAGCCTCCTGGGGTCACCCGTGAGCAACACGGTACTTCCTACAGGTAGGGTAAGAGTGGATGCTAGTGTAATTTTTTTTTTTTTTTTTTTTGAGACAGAGTCTCACTCTGTCACCCAGGCTGGAGTGCAGTAGTGGCATGATCTCGGTTCACTGCAAGCTCCGCCTCCCGGGTTCATGCCATTCTCCTGCCTCAGCCTCCCGAGTAGCTGGGACTACAGGCGCCTGCCACCACGCCTGGCTAATTTTTTGTGTTTTTAGTAGAGACGGGATTTCACCGTGTTATACAGGATGGTCTCGATCTCCTGACCTCGTGATCCGCCCTCCTCGGCCTCCCAAAGTGCTGGGATTACAGGCGTGAGCCACCGCGCCTGGCCGATGTTACTGTAATTTAAGACCCAGGGGAGAGAGAAAGCCTGCAGTCCCAGGTGCCTGGTGTAGACCTCCAGGAAAGGACAAAACGTAAATGATGCTGTGATGTGGACTGCAAGTTCCAGGCCTCATTAGCAGGTGAAGGGGAAAGGGGGGAGTTGCCTTCTTTTGATACAAGCAGCTAGAGAAGAAGCCATCAGACCAGGTCTCATGGCTCTGCGGTTACTGGAACAGGCTGTAGGATGGGAATTTGGTAGAATTGAGCTAACTCAAATAACAGGATGCAAACACAACTGTGTGTGTGTGTGTGTGTGTGTGTGTTTTTTTTTTTTTTTTTTTTTGAGACGGAGTCTTGCTCTTGTCACCCAGGCTGGAGTGCAATCGCGTGATCTCAGCTCACTGCTTCCCGGGTTCAAGCAATTCTCCTGCCTCAGCCTCTGAGTAGCTGGGACTACAGGGATGCGCCACCACGCCCAGCTAATGTTTTACATTTTTAGTAAAGATGGGGTTTCACCATTTTGGCCAGACTGGTCTTGAACTCCTGACCTCAGGTGATCCACCCACCTCGGCCTCCCAAAGTGCTGGGATTACAGGTGTGAACCACTGGGTCCGGCCAACACAACTATTTTCTAAAGAAAGTTGAGCCCTGCAGAACGGCAGCAACAGAAAGCTTATTAGTGGAATGGTGATAATCACAGCTAACGATTACATACATCCTTCATGTCATGACCCGGGTACGCTACTCACCCAGTGGGGTAGGTTACCGTCATGAGCTCCAAATTACAGGTGAGGAAACTGAGGCACAGAGAAGTACAAGCACTTGCCTAGGGTAGCAGAGTTAGGGAGTGGAGAGATGGGATTCAGACCCCGGTTGGTCTGAGTCTAGAGTCTATGTGCAACCCTACCTGGTGGCTTTCACGTATGGTCCCACACTAGGGCCCAGTGGGAGAGCATCAGTACTCTACACAGACACTGCTCCAACCCATACAGCTCCAAGGCTTCTCCCAACGGGGCGAGGCTGGATGTGGAGCAAACCTACAGCAGACATTTCCCCCAGTTTATGTAGCTATGGTTTAAAACCAGGAAAGGATTCACAATTGGTTTTCTAAGTAATGGCAGAATGATTTTTCACCTCAATTTTCGTCTCCCTTTTTCTTGTGTATGATGAAGGATCTTTTTGACTTTTTTAGTATTTCCACTGTCTAAGCAAACCAAGCCTGTGCTAGATTTACAGGAAATGATGCCTCCTCTCCTCCTGTTTTCCCTGCCCCTTCCCTTATGCTCTACCACCAAGAACGGGCCACCTGCAGGGGCTAGCAAGTTCTTCTCATGTGGCCTTTCTGGGAGTCAGCATAGTGCTCTGGTGATTGGAGAAGGATGGGGAAGGGGCTTTGCTGCTGAGGTTTCTGTAATGCCACACCTGAGGGTGCGGGAGGTTGGGGGTGTTCTGATGGAGTACCTTTAAAAAAATTATTTTATTTTAGATTGGGGGGGGGCATGTGTGCATGTTTGTTATATGGGTATATTGTCTCTTGGTGAAGATTGGGCTTCTAGCACACCTATTACCCAAACAGCAAACACTGTACCTGATAGGTGGTTTTTCAGCCCTCATCCCCAACATCTCTCTCTCTCCCTGCATTTGGAGTCCTCACTGTCTATTGTTTCCACGTTTATGTTCATGTGTACCCATTGCTTACCCTTCACTTACAAGTGAGAACATGCAGTAGTTGATTTTCTGCTTCTGAGTTAATTCACATAGGATAATAGCCTCCAGCTCCACCCATGTTGCTGCAAAGGACAGGATTTCATTCTTTTTTATGGCTGCATAGTATTTCACCTGTGTATACACCACCTTTTCTTTAACCAGTCAATCGTTGATGTACACTTAGGTTGGTTCCATGACCTTGCTATTGTGAATAGTGCTGTGGTGAACATATGAGGAGTAGCCCTTTTAATATAATGTAGCTCAGGGTGGTTAGAGGATTTGGGAGTGGATGTGAGCATAGAAGGAAACTCAGGAATGGGGTTAGGTTCAAGAGTGGGGAGCTTGTAGGTTTGAAGTCCAAGCGAGGAGCCCAGAATATTTAGCACCTCCCTCCTGATCATTAGCCCCTGGATTCTAGAGGAGCTACAGCTGCAAAGCATACTTCATATCTGCTCCTGCCTTGCTGTGCCTTAGAGGCTTCCACTGCAAGTTCAAGTTCATGCCCGTGGAAGCATGAAGGATATTAGTATCCGTCCAATTGCTGTGGCCTTTGGGATCCTACTTCACTGGGGACCCCCACTGCTGATGTGAACCATTCACAGGCCTAGAATTCCACCTCTGCTCTGCGCTTGAGTACCAGATGCGTTTCTGGACCATGAACCTCATCCTCTGTATGGCAGCCCATTTGCAGTGGAGCAGGCTAGGAATCTATGCAATACAGAAACCAGCGTAACTGAGGGATGACAAAAGTGAAGGTAATTTAAAAATACTTTAATCATATTAGAAAAAGAGCTATAAACTGCAATGTAAAGTGCTCATACTTTTGGGCCAGGCATTTTGCTTTTGGGAGTTTATCCTACAAAGACTTTCATATATGTACGTGAAGATGTACATTCAAGCATTTTTATTGCTGTAATGTTTATAAAAGGGAAAACCAGGAACCACCATCAAAATGTCCATTTATGTGAAGTTGGTCAAATGGTGGGACATCTATAAAACAGAACACAATACAAAGCCATTAAAGGGAATGAAGTAGCATATTGTTTGGCATTATGGATCAGAAGGGAAATCCGTTATATTGGACCATGGAAGCACCTTGGGTTTACTTAGTGGAAATAAAATGTGCTAAGTTAATGAAATTGGGAGAATGTGGGCCATTCAAGGGACACATCTGAAGGCAGAGCTGAGATAAAGAGAAGGAGATTACAGAATTTTTATGTTCTTAGGCTGCAGGGTCCAAGGACTCTGTTGGGTTTCACTAGTTGGAGCTGGCGGGGGCTGATCTGATAGGCTCTGCTTCTAGCTGCCCTCGTTACAGCTTATGTTAAAGATCTGAAGATAAGACAAACCACATGCAGGTTCCTCAAACGCTCTCTAGGAGCGGAGCTCTGGCTTTCTGGGAGGATCCCACTTAGAGGAAGAGCTGGGTAGTACGTAAAGCGTGGGTAGGTGGCTGTACAGTGGACAAGTGGACAGGAAACTTGGGGGGCTCTCCAGGATGCTGTTGACATGTTTGACATTATGATTAACGTAAGTAAACTATGAATTTGCAGTACTACCTGTCTCATTCATTCTATTTGGTAGGAAACCTGGACTGAGTGATGGAAGAACCCATTCTCCTGACTGCTTCTGCAAACTGACTTGGATTACTAAACATTATGGAGTTTCTCTGCCCTTTATTGCCACCAAGAAAGGCCAAGATCACCCAAAGCAGGTAGCATAAGCTGAAGGGGGAACAATAAAAATAACATCAACAAAGACATTACTATGTAGCAGGTGCTGGGTTAAACTCTCTGCATGTGTTTTATCATTTGATCCTCACCAAAGACTAAAGAAATAGAGTATTATTAATAGTTCTCCCTTTTTACAGACAAGGAAAAAGATACAAATCGTGAGACAGATGGCAATATACTGAAGAGAGTGTGATCACACGTTTGTAAATAAAAAAGTAGAACTTGATATATACGAAGGGAAAGAACATAGTCCTCTCTCAGGTGTGTGGAGAGATCTGTTAAATTTTTTTTTTCTTTTTTTTTTTTTTTTTTATTATACTCTAAGTTATAGGGTACATGTGCACATTGTGCAGGTTAGTTACATATGTATACATGTGCCATGCTGGTGCGCTGCACCCACTAATGTGTCATCTAGCATTAGGTATATCTCCCAATGCTATCCCTCCCCCCTCCCCCGACCCCACCACAGTCCCCAGAGTGTGATATTCCCCTTCCTGTGTCCATGTGATCTCATTGTTCAATTCCCACCTATGAGTGAGAATATGCGGTGTTTGGTTTTTTGTTCTTGCGATAGTTTACTGAGAATGATGGTTTCCAATTTCATCCATGTCCCTACAAAGGATATGAACTCATCATTTTTTATGGCTGCATAGTATTCCATGGTGTATATGTGCCACATTTTCTTAATCCAGTCTATCATTGTTGGACATTTGGGTTGGTTCCAAGTCTTTGCTATTGTGAATAGTGCCGCAATAAACATACGTGTGCATGTGTCTTTATAGCAGCATGATTTATACTCATTTGGGTATATACCCAGTAATGGGATGGCTGGGTCAAATGGTATTTCTAGTTCTAGATCCCTGAGGAATCGCCACACTGACTTCCACAATGGTTGAAGTAGTTTACAGTCCCACCAACAGTGTAAAAGTGTTCCTATTTCTCCGCATCCTCTCCGGCACCTGTTGTTTCCTGACTTTTTAATGATTGCCATTCTAACTGGTGTGAGATGATATCTCATAGTGGTTTTGATTTGCATTTCTCTGATGGCCAGTGATGATGAGCATTTCTTCATGTGTTTTTTGGCTGCATAAATGTCTTCTTTTGAGAAGTGTCTGTTCATGTCCTTCGCCCACTTTTTGATGGGGTTGTTTGTTTTTTTCTTGTAAATTTGTTTGAGTTCATTGTAGATTCTGGATATTAGCCCTTTGTCAGATGAGTAGGTTGCAAAAATTTTCTCCCATGTTGTAGGTTGCCTGTTCACTCTGATGGTAGTTTCTTTTGCTGTGCAGAAGCTCTTTAGTTTAATTAGATCCCATTTGTCAATTTTGTCTTTTGTTGCCATTGCTTTTGGTGTTTTGGACATGAAGTCCTTGCCCACGCCTATGTCCTGAATGGTAATGCCTAGGTTTTCTTCTAGGGTTTTTATGGTTTTAGGTCTAACGTTTAAATCTTTAATCCATCTTGAATTGATTTTTGTATAAGGTGTAAGGAAGGGATCCAGTTTCAGCTTTCTACATATGGCTAGCCAGTTTTCCCAGCACCATTTATTAAATAGGGAATCCTTTCCCCATTGCTTGTTTTTCTCAGGTTTGTCAAAGATCAGATAGTTGTAGATATGCGGCATTATTTCTGAGGGCTCTGTTCTGTTCCATTGATCTATATCTCTGTTTTGGTACCAGTACCATGCTGTTTTGGTTACTGTAGCCTTGTAGTATAGTTTGAAGTCAGGTAGTGTGATGCCTCCAGCTTTGTTCTTTTGGCTTAGGATTGACTTGGCAATGCGGGCTCTTTTTTGGTTCCATATGAACTTTAAAGTAGTTTTTTCCAATTCTGTGAAGAAAGTCATTGGTAGCTTGATGGGGATGGCATTGAATCTGTAAATTACCTTGGGCAGTATGGCCATTTTCACGATATTGATTCTTCCTACCCATGAGCATGGAATGTTCTTCCATTTGTTTGTCTCCTCTTTTATTTCCTTGAGCAGTGGTTTGTAGTTCTCCTTGAAGAGGTCCTTCACATCCCTTGTAAGTTGGATTCCTAGGTATTTTATTCTCTTTGAAGCAATTGTGAATGGGAGTTCACCCATGATTTGGCTCTCTGTTTGTCTGTTGTTGGTGTATAAGAATGCTTGTGATTTTTGTACATTGATTTTGTATCCTGAGACTTTGCTGAAGTTGCTTATCAGCTTAAGGAGATTTTGGGCTGAGACGATGGGGTTTTCTAGATAAACAATCATGTCGTCTGCAAACAGGGACAATTTGACTTCCTCTTTTCCTAATTGAATACCCTTTATTTCCTTCTCCTGCCTGATTGCCCTGGCCAGAACTTCCAACACTATGTTGAATAGGAGCGGTGAGAGAGGGCATCCCTGTCTTGTGCCAGTTTTCAAAGGGAATGCTTCCAGTTTTTGCCCATTCAGTATGATATTGGCTGTGGGTTTGTCATAGATAGCTCTTATTATTTTGAAATACGTCCCATCAATACCTAATTTATTGAGAGTTTTTAGCATGAAGGGTTGTTGAATTTTGTCAAAGGCTTTTTCTGCATCTATTGAGATAATCATGTGGTTTTTGTCTTTGGCTCTGTTTATATGCTGGATTACATTTATTGATTTGCGTATATTGAACCAGCCTTGCATCCCAGGGATGAAGCCCACTTGATCATGGTGGATAAGCTTTTTGATGTGCTGCTGGATTCGGTTTGCCAGTATTTTATTGAGGATTTTTGCATCAATGTTCATCAAGGATATTGGTCTAAAATTCTCTTTTTTGGTTGTGTCTCTGCCCGGCTTTGGTATCAGAATGATGCTGGCCTCATAAAATGAGTTAGGGAGGATTCCCTCTTTTTCTATTGATTGGAATAGTTTCAGAAGGAATGGTACCAGTTCCTCCTTGTACCTCTGGTAGAATTCGGCTGTGAATCCATCTGGTCCTGGACTCTTTTTGGTTGGTAAACTATTGATTATTGCCACAATTTCAGAGCCTGTTATTGGTCGATTCAGAGATTCAACTTCTTCCTGGTTTAGTCTTGGGAGAGTGTATGTGTCGAGGAATTTATCCATTTCTTCTAGATTTTCTAGTTTATTTGCGTAGAGGTGTTTGTAGTATTCTCTGATGGTAGTTTGTATTTCTGTGGGATCGGTGGTGATATCCCCTTTATCATTTTTTATTGTGTCTATTTGATTCTTCTCTCTTTTTTTCTTTATTAGTCTTGCTAGCGGTCTATCAATTTTGTTGATCCTTTCAAAAAACCAGCTCCTGGATTCATTGATTTTTTGAAGGGTTTTTTGTGTCTCTATTTCCTTCAGTTCTGCTCTGATTTTAGTTATTTCTTGCTTTCTGCTAGCTTTTGAATGTGTTTGCTCTTGCTTTTCTAGTTCTTTTAATTGTGATGTTAGGGTGTCAATTTTGGATCTTTCCTGCTTTCTCTTGTAGGCATTTAGTGCTATAAATTTCCCTCTACACACTGCTTTGAATGCGTCCCAGAGATTCTGGTATGTGGTGTCTTTGTTCTCGTTGGTTTCAAAGAACATCTTTATTTCTGCCTTCATTTCGTTATGTACCCAGTAGTCATTCAGGAGCAGGTTGTTCAGTTTCCATGTAGTTGAGCGGCTTTGAGTGAGATTCTTAATCCTGAGTTCTAGTTTGATTGCACTGTGGTCTGAGAGATAGTTTGTTATAATTTCTGTTCTTTTACATTTGCTGAGGAGAGCTTTACTTCCAACTATGTGGTCAATTTTGGAATAGGTGTGGTGTGGTGCTGAAAAAAATGTATATTCTGTTGATTTGGGGTGGAGAGTTCTGTAGATGTCTATTAGGTCTGCTTGGTGCAGAGCTGAGTTCAATTCCTGGGTATCCTTGTTGACTTTCTGTCTCGTTGATCTGTCTAATGTTGACAGTGGGGTGTTAAAGTCTCCCATTATTAATGTGTGGGAGTCTAAGTCTCTTTGTAGGTCACTGAGGACTTGCTT
The DNA here is from genome assembly GCF_000001405.40 of Homo sapiens. NCBI lineage: Eukaryota > Metazoa > Chordata > Mammalia > Primates > Hominidae > Homo > Homo sapiens. The sequence continues at coordinate 83,639,625 of NC_000016.10, read as the reverse complement.
TATGAATCTGGGTGCTCCTGTATTGGGTGCATAAATATTTAGGATAGTTAGCTCCTCTTGTTGAATTGATCCCTTTACCATTATGTAATGGCCTTCTTTGTCTCTTTTGATCTTTGTTGGTTTAAAGTCTGTTTTATCAGAGACTAGGATTGCAACCCCTGCCTTTTTTTGTTTTCCATTTGCTTGGTAGATCTTCCTCCATCCTTTTATTTTGAGCCTATGTGTGTCTCTGCACGTGAGATGGGTTTCCTGAATACAGCACACTGATGGGTCTTGACTCTTTATCCAACTTGCCAGTCTGTGTCTTTTAATTGCAGAATTTAGTCCATTTATATTTAAAGTTAATATTGTTATGTGTGAATTTGATCCTGTCATTATGATGTTAGCTGGTGATTTTGCTCATTAGTTGATGCAGTTTCTTCCTAGTCTCGATGGTCTTTACATTTTGGCATGATTTTGCAGCGGCTGGTACCGGTTGTTCCTTTCCATGTTTAGCGCTTCCTTCAGGAGCTCTTTTAGGGCAGGCCTGGTGGTGACAAAATCTCTCAACATTTGCTTGTCTATAAAGTATTTTATTTCTCCTTCACTTATGAAGCTTAGTTTGGCTGGATATGAAATTCTGGGTTGAAAATTCTTTTCTTTAAGAATGTTGAATATTGGCCCCCACTCTCTTCTGGCTTGTAGGGTTTCTGCCGAGAGATCCGCTGTTAGTCTGATGGGCTTTCCTTTGAGGGTAACCCGACCTTTCTCTCTGGCTGCCCTTAACATTTTTTCCTTCATTTCAACTTTGGTGAATCTGACAATTATGTGTCTTGGAGTTGCTCTTCTCGAGGAGTATCTTTGTGGCGTTCTCTGTATTTCCTGAATCTGAACGTTGGCCTGCCTTGCTAGATTGGGGAAGTTCTCCTGGATAATATCCTGCAGAGTGTTTTCCAACTTGGTTCCATTCTCCACATCACTTTCAGGTACACCAATCAGACGTAGATTTGGTCTTTTCACATAGTCCCATATTTCTTGGAGGCTTTGCTCATTTCTTTTTATTCTTTTTTCTCTAAACTTCCCTTCTCGCTTCATTTCATTCATTTCATCTTCCATTGCTGATACCCTTTCTTCCAGTTGATCGCATCGGCTCCTGAGGCTTCTGCATTCTTCACGTAGTTCTCGAGCCTTGGTTTTCAGCTCCATCAGCTCCTTTAAGCACTTCTCTGTATTGGTTATTCTAGTTATACATTCTTCTAAATTTTTTTCAAAGTTTTCAACTTCTTTGCCTTTGGTTTGAATGTCCTCCCGTAGCTCAGAGTAATTTGATCGTCTGAAGCCTTCTTCTCTCAGCTCGTCAAAATCATTCTCCAACCAGCTTTGTTCTGTTGCTGGTGAGGAACTGCGTTCCTTTGGAGGAGGAGAGGCGCTCTGCGTTTTAGAGTTTCCAGTTTTTCTGTTCTGTTTTTTCCCCATCTTTGTGGTTTTATCTACTTTTGGTCTTTGATGATGGTGATGTACAGATGGGTTTTCGGTGTAGATGTCCTTTCTGGTTGTTAGTTTTCCTTCTAACAGACAGGACCCTCAGCTGCAGGTCTGTTGGAATACCCTGCCGTGTGAGGTATCAGTGTGCCCCTGCTGGGGGGTGCCTCCCAGTTAGGCTGCTCGGGGGTCAGGAGTCAGGGACCCACTTGAGGAGGCAGTCTGCCCGTTCTCAGATCTCCAGCTGCGTGCTGGGAGAACCACTGCTCTCTTCAAAGCTGTCAGACAGGGACACTTAAGTCTGCAGAGGTTACTGCTGTCTTTTTGTTTGTCTGTGCCCTGCCCCCAGAGGTGGAGCCTACAGAGGCAGGCAGGCCTCCTTGAGCTGTGGTGGGCTCCACCCAGTTCGAGCTTCCCGGCTGCTTTGTTTACCTAAGCAAGCCTGGGCAATGGCGGGCGCCCCTCCCCCAGCCTCGTTGCCGCCTTGCAGTTTGATCTCAGACTGCTGTGCTAGCAATCAGCGAGATTCCGTGGGCGTAGGACCCTCCGAGCCAGGTGTGGGATATAGTCTCGTGGTGCGCCGTTTCTTAAGCCGGTCTGAAAAGCGCAATATTCGGGTGGGAGTGACCCGATTTTCCAGGTGCATCCGTCACCCCTTTCTTTGACTCGGAAAGGGAACTCCCTGACCCCTTGCGCTTCCCAGGTGAGGCAATGCCTCGCCCTGCTTCGGCTCGCGCACGGTGCGCACACACACTGGCCTGCGCCCACTGTCTGGCACTCCCTAGTGAGATGAACCCGGTACCTCAGATGGAAATGCAGAAATCACCGTCTTCTGCGTAGCTCACGCTGGGAGCGCTCACGCTGGGAGCTGTAGACCGGAGCTGTTCCTATTCGGCCATCTTGGCTCCTCCCGAGATCTGTTAAATTTTTCTATTAGACGTTTTTGATATTTTAATGTTGTTTACAATGGAAATGAGTTATGTTTTAATCAGAAAAATAATTTTAGAGGGGATAAAAAGCTGTTGAGTTCAAACTGTATTTAAAATGGTTTTCTACAAATAACCATTAAAAAGAGGGCAAAGGACATGAACAGACATGTCTCAAGAGAAGACATATGAATGGCCAATTCACAAATGAAAAAATGCTCATCATCACTAATCAGCAGAGAAATGCAAATCAAAACCATAATGAGTTACCATCTCACACCAGTTGGAATGGCTTTTGTTCAAAAGTCAAAAAATTACAGATGTTGGTAGAACTAGGAGAAAAGGGAACACATATATGCTGCTGGTGGGAATGTAGATTAGTTCAGCCATTGCGGAGAGCAGTCTGGACATTTCTCAAAGACCTAAGAGTTGAAGCACCATTTGGCCCAGCAATCCCATCACTGAGTAGATACTCAAAGGAAAATAGGTCACTCTACTGAAAAGACACATGCACCCATATATCCATTGCAGCACTATACACAACAGCAAAGACATGCAACAAACCCAGGTGCCCATCAATGGTGGGTTAGAAAACACCGTGGAATACTATGTAACCATAGAAAATAATGAAATCATGTCCTTTGCAGCACCATGAATGGAGCTGGAGGCTTTTGTCTTAATGAACAGAAGCAGAAAACTAAACACTGCAGGTTCTCAGTCCGAAGTGAGAGTTAAACATTGGGTGCAAATGGACATAAACATGGCAACAATAGATACTGGGGGCTCCAAAAGTGGGGAGGGAAGGAGCAAAGGTTGAAAAACTACCAATTTGGGTGCTAGGGTTCATCATGCTCCAAACCCTAGCATCATGTAATATACCTTCGTAACAAACCTGCACATGTATTCCTGCAATCTAAAGTAAAAGTCGAAAAAGGAAAAAAAATGTTTTCTGAAATACTTTTGAAAAAGAAGAATAAAGCAGAGGACTCATTCTACTTGATGTGAAGCCTTACTCTACAGCTCCGGTAATAAGACAGTACAGTACTGGTGAGACAGAGACATAGATCAATGGGACAGAACGGAGGACACGGAATAGACCTGCACAAATACACCTGCACCCACATGATTTTTTTTTTTTTTAATCAAGGGGACAATAGCAATTCAATGGAAGAAGGATAGCTATTTCTAAAAGGCTACTGGAGCAACTGTGTGTCCACTGGCAGATAAATGAACTCAACCTAAACCTTACACTTTACATAAAAAAATCAGTTCCGAAAGGATCATGGACTTAGATGTAAAAATACAACTATAAAAATTTGTAGAAGAAAACAGAGGATAAAATCTTTAACACCTAGGGCTAGGCAAAGAATTCCTAGAGTTGACACCAAAAGCACAATCTATAGAAGAAAAAAGTATAAATTGGACTTGCATGAAATTAAAAACTTTTGTTCTGTGAAAGATTCTATTAAGATAACGAACAGACAAGCCACAGATTGAGATAAATATTTGCAAGCCACATCTCCGACAAAGGATGTGCATATAGACTACATAAAAGACTCTCAACACTCAAACATTAAAAGATTCTGTTAGAAAATGGGGCCGGGCGTGGTGGCTCACACCTGTAATCCCAGCACTTTGGGATGCCGAGGCAGGCAGATCACGAGGTCAGGAGTTCGAGACCAGCCTGGCCAGCATGGTGAAACCGCATCTCTACTAAAAATACAAAAATTAGCTGGGCATGGTGGCATGTGCCTGCAATCCTAGCTACTCGGGAGGCTGAGGCAGGAGAATCACTTGACCCCAGGAAGCGGAGGTTGTGGTGAGCCGAGGTCACACCCCTGGACTCCAGCCTGGGCAACAGAGTGAGACTCTGTCTCAAAAAAAAAAAAAAAAAAAAAAAAAAAAAGAAAGAAAATGGGCAAAAGTTAAAGTCCTGAAAATGGCCTGTAAAACAAAACGAAACAAAAAATAGGCAAAAGACATAGTTAGACATTTCACCAAAGAGAACACTGACGGCAAATAAGCACATGCAAAGATGTTTCATATCATTAGTTATTAGGGAGATGCAAATTAACATCATATTGCTATACACCAAACCAGAGAGCAGCTATTACTATATGCTGAACAGAATGGTTATAATGAAAAAGAGTGATAACACCAAATGCTGGTGAGAATGTGGAAGAACTGGATTTCTCCTCTATTGCTGATAAGGATGAAAATGGTTTAGCCACTCTGGAAAACAGGCAGTTTCTTATAAAACTAACATGCACTTAATATATGATCCAGCAGCTGGTACCCAGAAAAATGGAAATGTATGTTCACACAAAAGCCTTACACAAATATTCAGGGTGGCTCTAACTGCAGTAGCTTCAATCTAGCAACAAAGTCAAATGTCCTTCAGTGGGTGAATGGTTCAACGAACTCTGGCATACCATACCATGGAATATCACTCAGCAATCAAAAGGAACCAGCTATCGGCTGATGTGAGTACTTGGATGAATCTCAGGGGCATCATGCTTAGTGAAAAGAGCTCATCTCAGCCAGGTGTGGTAGCTCACACCTGTAATCCCAGCACTTTGGGAGGCCGAGGCAGGTGGATCACCTGAGGTCAGGAGTTCAAGACCAACCTGGCCAACATGGTGAAACCCTGTCTCTACTAAAAATACAAAAATTAGCTGGGCATGGTGGCAGGCATCTGTAGTCCCAGCTATTCAGGAGGCTGAGGCAGGAGAATGGCTTAAACCTGGGAGGCGGAGGTCGCAATGAGCCGAGATTGTGCCACTGCACTCCAGCCTGGGTGGCTGGGAAAGACTCCGTCTCAAAAAAAAAAAAAAAGAGTTAATATCAAAGAGTTACATATTGTATGATTCCATTATGTACCATCCTTGAAGTGACAAAACTACAGGTGGAGAACAGGTTAATAATTGCCAGGGGAGAAGCCCAAGAGTAAGGGGAAGGTTAATACAACTAATAAGGAGTAGCAAGACAGGTAGCCCTTCTGTGACCATGCAGCTGTCCTGTATCATGATGGTGGTGGTGGTCACACAAATCTGTACGTGTGATCAAATGCGTAGGACCACACACACACACACACACACACACATACACACACACACACACAGAAAACACACAAAAATGGGTGGAGACTTCGTGAGGTCTGGTTAATAGTATTGTGCCCACATGAACTTCCTGCTCTTGGTATTGTTGCACTACAGTTATAGGCGATGTTACTACGGAGGAAGCTGAGAGAAGGGTTCAAGGTGCTTCTGGCACTATTTTTGCAACTTCTGTGAGCCTGTGATCATGGAAAAATGGAAAAATAAGGAAACTAAGTTGCTTTTCTTTATAAGCCTGAAATGATGCATTCTGGGATCACATGGCCTATTTTACTGTTAATTTGGAGGGGGGATACCTTGTTTATGATGGAATCTACTTTGCACTTGGGCTCCCACAGACTGTACAGGCCCAGAACCCTAATTCAAACGCAACCTGTTTTGAAGGGCAATAAATAGTGATTTTGGAAACAAAAACGAGAGAAAGTGCTACGGAAAGCCAGTGTGCGTCTTCCTGGAAGCCAAGCCTCCACCAATGAGCAATCAGCCCAGGAAGATACCATTTTCTCTCCGAGTAAGATCATAATGATAGACGCAAAGTAAGAGATGTTTTCAATGGAGAAAAAAACCCTTATTAGAAAACACTCCCTGCAACATGAAAACAAACTCCTTTCAGACCTGGCTAAGGCCTTTTGTGCTGACTCAGCTAACTGGAAAGACTGTTAGAAAGCGGTGAGGAGTTTCAAAACACTGATGTCAATATGTTCAAAACTAACTTCAGATGTGCTCTTCTACGGTGAGGTCAAACCTCCGGAACCACTGCACGCAATGTGACAATTTCGGGGTTCTTAGCCAATAAAATGAACACCGGTGCCACCTTTATTCACCTCATGGATGCAGTATCTGTCAGAGGCTTTGAACCAGAGCAACTCCATCTTGAATAGGAGCTGGGTAAAATAAGGCTGAGACCTACTGGGTTGCATTGTCAGGAGGTTGAGGCATTCTTAATCACAGGATGAGATAGGAGGTCAGCACAAGATTTAGATCAGGAAGACCTTGCTGATAAAACAGGTTGCAGTAAAGAAGCTGGCCAAAACCTACCAAAACCAAGACGGCAACAAGAGTGACCTCTGGTCATTTTCACTGCTCATTATATGCTAATTATAATACATTAGCATGTCAAAAGACACTCCCACCAGTGCCATGACAGTTTACAAATGCCATGGTAACATCAGGAAGTTACCTATATGGTCTAAAAGGGGGAGAAACTCTCAGTTCTGGGAACTGCCCACCCCTTTCCCGGAAAACCCAAGAATAATCCACCTTTTGTTTAGCATATAATCAAGAGATAACCATAAAAATGGCCAACTAGCAGCTCATGCTGTTGCTCTGCCTATAGAGCAGCCATTCTTTTATTCCTTTACTTTCTTAATAAACTTGCTTTCACTTTACTCTATGGACTCGCCCTGAATTCTTTCTTGCATGAGATCCAAGAACACTCTCTTGGGATCTGGATCTGGACCCCTTTCCAGTAACCTATCTATTGATCATTATCAGTAATATAGCATCAATGGTGACAAAATGTCACTACTCCGTGGGGCACTTGAGGATAACCTGCTGTAACCTGGGTGCATTACCTTAGCTCTCTAACCCTCAGCTTCCTGATCTGAGAACTGGAGGGTCTAGTAGAATGCACCTCACAAAGAAATCATAAGGATTCGGCGTGATAATAAACAGAAAGCATTCAGCACCTTGTCATGCACGGAGCTGCTGGCCTTCATTACCAAAATCCCTATTCTGTAAGTGAGGACACTGAGGCCCAAAGCATCTAAGGAACTTGTGCAATACCTAAGAGGGGCTGACTGATGGAGATGTGACTGAAATTAGGAGTCATCTCTAATTTCACTGTAGGACACGTCTCTACAGTGTCAGCCCATCCTGCCCTGTGAATAAGAACTCAGAAACAGAACTGGGATTCAGGGAAATAAAAACAGCCCTTCTAGTCAAACTGACAGTGTGATGGAGTAACAATGAGGAAACATAAAAGCTCCTTCTCTTTCCTCCCTGCTTGCCTCCTCCCTGCATTCTATCTTCTAAGACTCTGTGGATCCAAATAATTGGGTTCGTTCTTCTTTAAAATCCTGTTCTCTCAAACTACCACATTTCTGTCAGCAGCACCTGCTTCCTTGCTGGAATGTCAAAGCCTAAAAGCAGGCTTGTCATATGGACAGTTTGTCTCATGACTTTGCTCAGCTGGCGAACGAGACTTCTTGAATGTCTTCAGGGGCACCTGGGATCCATGACCTTGATGCGTGGTTTGGTCAAGCAGAGATGAAGAAACTGCCTAGGGCCCCTTATCCCACAACAACCTACAAGTTCATTGGCGGCAGCAGTGACTGATTTAATTCAGGGACTGTTGACAACACAGGCAGACAGACTGCTGCCGGGAGCTGCTAGGAGTCACCAAGGCTGGCTCCCCTCATCAACATTTTGTTGTGTGGATGCTGACAAGTGTCACTTCCGTGGTTCCTAAGGAGCATCTCGTTGGCGCATCCTGGAGTGACATCCCTCTTTCCTTTCCTCTTTGGGGAGCTTGCCATTTTGACACTGTCCACCTCAAGCTGTAACTCTGCTAAATGAAAGAACTCCATCATTTTGCTGTGGATCTTCCCGAGATCAGGAGAACCCACCTTCCCCTCCCAAAAACATTACATGAGAAAAAGACAAGCTGTGTTTGAAATCACAGGATGGTCACAGAGTTCAAGCAAATGAAGTTAACATGATGTTTCTTCTCCAAGCAACAGGGCCACCGAAAGAACAAACAACAACAAACCAAACACTCAAAATCTGATTAAAGCCCCAAACCCAAGAAGCATTTATGGACACAGGGCAGTTTTCCATGTGAAACTAGAGACTCCGGCAAGTTTTATTGCTCAATTCCAGCAGCATCTCATAAATAGAATTCTTCCAGGAGCAGAATTCTGCCAGATAACCTGAGGGCTTCATTCTGCAGCCTTTACAACTTGCGCTCGTTGACTGCATCTGCTGGCTGCAAAATGCCTTTCTTACATTCACTAGAACCATGCCAGCAAATGCAGAACTGAGGAAGAGGAGAGCTCTTTTAGCCCAGCTGTTCTGCGGCAGAGATGTATCTCCGGGATGCCATCTTCATCACAATGGCCCCCTTACTGAACCACATGTCAGGCACTGTGCTTGCCATATATTATTGACCTTGGCATTGTGAAAGGAAAATAAATCTTGGGACCCCCAATTACTAAGCTAAAGGGAAAAGTCTAGCTGGGACCTATGGGAGGCAAACCTGCTCCCATTTTATTTTTAATAAGATAGCTACAAATATAGAAAATATCTCCCTCACAATTTGCCTGCAAGGAAATTCCTTGTGGGCCTCAAGATCTTTACTCTAAAAACTTCTGTTGAATTTCACCTGGGCAACGTAAACTGATCGCTCATCTTCACAGGTGCAGGTCAAAGGACAGACAGAACTCAAAGTCATCCCTCTGCTCACCTGAGACAAATGCATATCTAATTGCTTCCTCAGTCTGATTGTTTACGTAAAAATGCAGATTCACTGAGCTAGACTAAGACATAAGTGACTATTCCTCTACCGCCGTCTTTGATCAAGGACTCAAAAGAATGCAACCATTTGTCTGTTACCTACTTATGACCTGTAAGCTCCCTGATCGCCCACTCTCCAGACTGAACCAATATACATCTTACACACATTGACTGATATCTCATGTGTCCCTAAAATGCATAAAACCAGGTTATACCCTGAGCACCTCGGGCACGTGTCATCAGGACCTCCTGAGGCTGCGTTATGGGTATGTCCTTAACCTTGGCAAAATAAACGTTCTAAATTGACTGAGACCTGTCCCAGATACTTTTAGGTTCATAGCATCAAAATGTTGCACTTTATTTAACCTTTATTACAAAGCAGGTCCACTTATCTCCATCATACTGAAAAATAACCCAGATCTCAGAGAGGTTAAAAACTATGCCTGATCTCACACCATCAGAAAATGGTGGTGCAGGGATGTAAAGGCAGGTCTGAGATCAACACGTGGGTTTTCAAAGCTAGGCTAGATGTTTGCCAACCCGAGATGAATCTGTTAAATGCCTGTCTGCCAGCCTGCTGTCAGATGACAGGTCATGTGGGAAGTAAGGGTGGTATCAGGGCTCTATGAAATACGGCAGCTAAAATACATTTCTGTTACTGACGTTGACTTTTAAGTGTGATGGTTCTAGACTGTCCCATCTACCTGAATGGATTCAACGCTGTTGTAAGCTCTCTTCCCCTGCATCTGCCAAGGTGTAAGCTCATGTGACTGAGCTTGTCAATCTTCTACATTGATGGCCAAGGAGTTTTCCAATTGGATGCTGGGTGTTCCACTGCCTTGCTCTCATTGAATAGTCTTGAAGAGATGGGATTTAAATTGTGTCGAGGATATTAGTCCAAAGTGAATGAAGTGGAGAGTAGACTTCTCGTTTATGTCCCCAGAGTGATAAATGAGGGAGTGTAATTTTTTTTCTAAGGCAAAGAAAATGGGAAACCAACGTGGATTTCAGACACATGAGAAATAGCTTATGAATTTAGATGATGGCTTGGCAGAAATAAATTGTACATCTGTTCATTCATTTTAATAAAGTGGAGAGATGGCATGCTGCTGAAGCCCTTGGAGAACCCTGGGTTTTTAAAATTATGATCCTATAATAGTAGCATTAAAATTTGTAATGTAGCCAGTGCTTTCTGAATTGGAGGGAAAATTCATTTATAAAATAACAGTTCAGACTTTGGAATGTAAATGGGAAAATGTAATTTTTCTTGGCTAGATATGAATTAGTCCTGGGAGGATGCTACAACCTCTTGACCATAAAATATATTTTTAAAATCTTATGAGAAAGTTTTCAGAAGCCAGCAAAACTTCTTTGGGCAATCTCTATTTAGGTAAATTGTGCAGGTATGAAACATATGCTTAACTGGCTTTGTTATTTTTGCCTTGAACTTGGTGTTTCTCGTATAAGAACAATTACAGATTAATATTTCCATTTGAAATGAATCTAGTCTGTTACAAATACAAAAATCATTTTTACTCAGTAGCAGGAACATAAGGAAGAGAGCTTTTATAGGCCAGCAATTACCAGTTACCATGAAAATTTACGTATTCAACAAAGGGCACTGGGTTCCTTATTACTTATGCTCCTTATGTTTGATATTGGTGCAAATACAACAATCCTGATTGTAGGTTTCCTGCTGATTCTAAAAGCCAGAAGCATTATTAAAATTTCTTTTAAAAAATAGGTAAGTTTAAAACCCACAGAAAGCTTTTAGACAGATTGAGCAATTTTGGTTTTATTTCACAAATCAACCATCAAGGTTTCAGGTGGGAAAAAGGTATAAACAAACCAGGAGAGCTGGCTGGCCATGAATAACACGGGCCCAGCTAGAAAAACCCCAGATTGCCTCACAGAGATCTTCGCCTCCTATTGAAATACCGACTAGATAGAGAGGACACACTCCAGCCTGCAAATGTGCAAATAAAAACTACAGACTGGGAAGAGCTTGTGGTTAGTCTTAGCATCAAGGGCAATTGCCTATTGTCTCAGGTCAGCTTTTGCCCAAAGATGTACGACACTTCCTCCCAGGTCTGTAGGAATCTTGATATCTCAAGAAATCACATGGATAAAAGGGTCTGGAATGTGACTTATCAGTGGAGACAGAGAAGAGCGATGTGACAAACATAAAAAATAAACTATCCAGGCAGAGCCCCGGGGCTCACATCTGTAATCCCAGCATTTTAGGAGGCTGAGGTGGGCAGACCACTTGAGCTCAGGAGTTTGAGACCAGCCTGGGCAACAAGGGGAAACCCTGCTTCTCCAAAAAATATGCAAAATTAGCCTGGCATGGTAGTGTCAGAGGCGTTTGAACCAGATCAACACCATCTTGAACAGGGGCTGACTGAAATAAGGCTGAGACTTACTGGGCTGCGTTCCCAGGCGGTTAGGCATAAACAGGATAAGATGGGAGGTTGGCACAGGATACAGGTCATGAAGACCTTGCTGATAAAATAGGTTGCAGTAAAGAAGCCGGAAAAACACCAAAACCAAGATGGCGATGAGAGTGACCTCCAGTCGTCCTCACTGCTACACTCCCACCAGCGCTATGACAGTTTACAAATGCCATGGTAACGTCAGGAAGTTACCCTATACGGTCTAAAAAGCCCTGGGAATTGCCCATCCATTTCCTGGAAAAGTCTTGAATAATCTGCTCCTTGTTTAACACACAGTCAAGAAATAGTCCTTTGGCCCTTGGGGCTGCTCTGTCTATGGTGTAGCCATACTTGTATTCATTGATTTTCCCAAAAAACTTGCTTTCACTTTACGGACTTGCCTCGAATTCTTTCTTGTGTAAGATCCAAGAACCCTCTCTTGGGGTCTGGATTGGGACCTCTTTCCGGTAACAGTGGCGTGTACCTATAACCCCAGCTACTTGGGGGGCTGAGGTGAGAGGATTGGTTGAGCCTGAGAGGCCGAGACTGCAGTGAGTTGAGATTGCACCACTGCACTCCAGCCTGGGTGACAGAGTGAGACCCTGTCTAAAAAACAAAACAAAATGAAAAACAAAATAAACTATCCAAATTCCTCGCAGGCAGGACAATGGTGTGGATACTCCAGATGAGGAAAGATAAAAGTCCCCAGAAAGTTTTGCAATTAAGGTCTTTTGTAGCTAATGCCTGGAGTTGGCACTATTCAGATCAGAGGCCTCTCAGGAATTCTGCTTCGCTGTATGTATGTTCATCTCTGTCTAGTTTATCCCACTCCACTCCTAGAAGTGGGGTATTAGGTCCATGAATAGGAATCTTTTTTTTTCTTCCCCGGAGACGGAGTCTCACTCTGTTGCCCAGGCTGGAGTGCAGGCGCACAATCTCGGCTCACTGCAACCTCTGCCTCCTGGGTTCAAGCAATTCTCCTGCCTCAGCCCCTCCAGTAGCTGAGACTACAGGTGCAGGCTGCCACACTCAGCTCATTTTTTTTTTTTTGTATTTTAGTGGAGATGGGGTTTCCTCATATTGCCGAGGCTGGTCTTGAACTCCTGAGCTTAGGTAATCCATCGGCCTTGGCCTCCCAAAATGCTATGATTACAGGCATGAGCCACAACGCCTGGCTGAATAGGAATCTTTTTAAGGACCATCAGGGAGCATGAGAACTGGGAAAGAGCCGAGAGAGGTGAGATGCTCTAGGATGTTGTCAGAACACCAAGGCAGAAGGTGGTCCAGACAGCACAGGCGCAGCGGCATCACGGAGGACCATTCCGAGGCGTCCTAGGGAGAGCGGGTACAGGGAGTCTGTGTGGGATTCAGGACTAAATTCAGTAAAAGTAGAGACTCGGCAGTCTCGACCCAAAGTCTGCTTTTGGTCATGGCTCCGTTGCTTCTTCCAGCAGGATTTATTTTGAATTGGAAGTAGGAGGCAAAGTCATCCTCCGAGAAAGAGAGAATGGACAAAAGAGAGCCTTGGGGGCAGAGGACAACGTTGAGTTCAGTTGCCAAGTCAGCAGCTAAAGGAACCATTCAGAGATAAACAGAAAAAATGGAAGAAATCCCTGTCAGCCCCACCCAGTCCAGGTTTGGAAACCACACATTTGTGACTTGCATTCAAATATTGTCCACTGACCTACTCATCTTTAGGTCCCCAGCAAAGACCCTGGCTCATAGCACGTGCTTCATTAACGCCTGCAGAATGACCTGAGCGCCAACTACATCCTAAGCACTTTCACATCTCTCCTGCAGTTATCCCGGTGACAACGCCAATCATGTTATTCACAGAAGGTCCCAGACAGTGTGTGTCTCATCAACACGTCCTGATGGCTGGTGCTTTCCTGCATTCCTCGGGGCCTCTAGCATTGACTCCGGTCATGAAACAATTACAACGAGGAGGAAGATGAAACCGGCACACGCGGTACGGCAAAATCAGCTGAAGAAATTTAAAAAGCTCAGGAATAAGAAGCAAACTTGTGTAGCCCCAGCTACGCAGGAGGCTGACATAGGAGGACCATTGGAGCCTTGGAGGTGGAGGCTGCAGTGAACTGTGATTGTTCCACTGCACTCCAGCCTGGGCAACAGAGTGAGACCCTGCTTTGAAAAAAAAAAAAAAAAGAAGCAAGCTTGTTTCCTCACGTTTTACCTGTGACAGTGTTGCTTGCTGCATCGGACTCCCAGGGAAAGACCCCAATACACCTGACTTTGGGGTGCAGTGTTTCTGCCCTATCTCACATCACACTATTGCTTGCATTTGTCTCTGGCTACCGCGTGGCTTACGTAAAAGGGTAGGCCGACCTTGCTTTTGTGGATTCACAGACTTTGGGCTGAGGTACCTCCTGGAAAAAGCTGTAGACCTCCCCTCCCTAATTTCAGGGGGTGGGGGCTGCCCCTTCTTGAGCTAGGGACCACCAAGCTGCCCTCCCTCAGGGGACGATGGGTCAGATGTGCTCCAGCTAATTACAAGTGCATGAGACCCACCACTTTTTCGAAGCCAAAAGAGGGAGGAAAAAGAGCGGCACAAATGCCAAGAGAAAATAACTTGTTTTCTGCAGTTCTGAGAGGTAAAGAACAAATCTTGGGACAGGGAGAGGAAGCAGACAGCCCTGTCATGGGGAAAGCAGGTAACAGGCTCGGCTCTCAGCACGCAGTCCTGTTAGCGATGGTCAGTAGCATGTGGAAGGAGGATGAAGAAAATGGACCTGAAGAAATCAAATGAATGGGTGACCCTCCAACTGTATAGGGTGGAAGTGGACCGTCCTTTAAACAGGGTACATGCGGAGCTTTGGAACACAGGAACCAATAAACCAGCGTGGAAGAATTAAGCATGGCCTGAGACCACGGATCTGCAAAGATAACACAGGGTCCGTCATTTTGGCTTAAATTACACACACACACACATAGACACACGTGTGCACACACACATGCACACACACACATGAGCACACACACACACATGAGCACACACACACACAGAGTTTCTTTAGGTGGGCAAACACCATAACTAACCCACAGTATTGTGCTGGTAAATGTTTAATGGCAATTCAGGGGGAAAAGCCCTGATTTGTAGCTTGTGTCCATTTTTGTGCTTAAATATTCCCCCCATGGCCAATTTCAAGCTATGTACTCGATATCACCGCACACATGCAGAACCGGCAAGACATGCGGCAATCAGCTCTCCCAAAGCTGGTGCAGACTGGCTGCAACACACCAGCTTTTCACATGCAAATCATGGCCAGGCTCAAGGGAACTGGTTCTGTTTGAATAGGATCTGGAGTAGATGGGAAATGTAGCTTTGATCTGGGGGCATTGCTTTCTTCAGGGAACCACCACAACCTGCTCCTTGAGGTCACGTTGGTGCAGTCAACCACAGGCCTCATTTTCTCCCCATCTTGTTTCCCAGAGGTGGGCAGGTGATCTAGGGCAAGGGTCCCCAACCCCTGGGGCTGCGGACCTGTACTGATCCATGGCCTATTAGGAACCAGGCAGCACAGCAGGAGGTGAGCATCCTGTGAGTGAGCATGACCGCCTGAGCACCGCCTCCTGTCAGATCAGTGGTGGCATTAGATTCTCATAGGAACGGAAACCTTATTGTGAACTGGGAATGAGAGGGATCCAGGCTGCACGTTTCTTAAGAGAATCTAACTGATGCCTGATGATCTAAGGTGGAACAGTGTCATCCCGAAACCATCCCCCACCACCCCTGCCATCTGTGAAAAAATTGTGTTCTACGAAACCGGTCCCTGGTGCCAAAAAGGCTGGGGACTGCTGACCTGGGGCAGGGGTGGGGGCGTTATCTCATCATTTCCTGGGAATCAATGCCCGGTCTGAGGGGGTACTGTGACCCAGAGAGACCAAAAGTCTTTCTATGAGAGTAGCATTTGGATCTGGGAGAGAGGATGTGGGTGTTCCTGCCTTTGTGTATAAGGCATCAGGGCTGTCAGAAGTCACCTTTCTTGCCACAAGGAGAGAGCCTAGCAGAGAATAAAGCCAACATAGAGAGACAGGCAGAGCTGACAGCTGGAGCTGCAGACAAGGAGCATCCCGTCCACATTGTCTGAGGGCTTAGACGCAGCTGCACCTGAAGCTGGAAAGCCCCGGAACCTCCCCCAGTGATGAGTACCAATGCCTTCCAGGAAATTCGTTTCTGCTGGTTGAAAGTGGATTTCTGTTCCTAACAACGAAATGAGTGCAAACAGGGGATCCTTGACTCCGGAGAAAATACAAGTGAATTTCCTTGTCGAAGGGTGAGCCTCTAGTCTTAGGCTTCCGCTAACTGATTTGTCTTTTCAATTTCCCAGAGCTGAAGGAAAAGAGGTATTTTGACCATTCCTGTGTGAGGCTGGTACAAGTGGACAATTCAGTTTGTTTGGGTTTGTTGAGACTTTCTTTTCAGCCACAGGGTCCAGTGCCCATGATGTGAGAGGCCAGTGCGTGGTTATTATAGACCAGACAGCTAACTGGTTCTGGCTCTGATATATGGATTTACAGCCCTGAATTGAACCGTGCATTCAGGGGCGATTAGCAAAGACACCTGTTCCTATTTGTAGAGCTGCCGGGAAAAAGTGCTGTTTGTTAGATTTGATTTAATGCAACGGACATTCTTTGTGCTCCCTCTGTGCACACCGCTCCGAGGCCGAAGGGGACGACCATGATGAGTGAAGCTCTGTCTGCCCTCAAGGAGCCCCAGAAGAGGGGCTGCCCAGAAGACGCAGAAACCGATTGCAATAAAGCCGATAGTGCATGCTGGGAAGGATGCTGAGATCCAGGGAGAAACAAGGCGCTGAAAGGGCCCAAGTGAAAGAAAAGAGAGCCCGTTAATCGTGACTGGGGAGTGATTTGGGGGAACTCGAGGGAAATGCATGGCTTCCTGGAGTCTGTAATAGGGGACTGAGTCCCTGGGTGTGTGCCACCTCTCCCACCCAGCCCTGGCCCCACCTCTCAGCCCCTCAACCGGGCTCTTGTATGCCTCAGGGCATCTGCACACAATGTTTGCTCTTCCTGGATTGTGCTAACCTTGTACCACCCCTTCTTACTCTACCTAGCAGAGCCAAGTCTTAAAGGACAAGATGTCACTTCATGAGCTGACCTTCCCAGACTTCGGGTCCATTTCCCTTAGGTCATGTTCCCAAAGCACTCTGAATTTATTTGTAAGATTCACCCTTGTACTATTTTTATACCTGTCCTCCCTGCTAAGCCTCATGAAAGCAAGAATTTGCTGCCTTATTTCAATCTCCAGCCTTCAGCCCGCAGCCTGTGTTTGGTAGGCATGCGGTGACTGCATGAACCAAAAAGCTGAGGCCGCTGCAACCCTGCTAACTCAGAACAAGTATATCAAATTCACAGAGACTGGTGAACTTGAAGAAGCACATTATCTCACTAATGATTCTGAAACTGCAGTAACGACTATCATAAATGTAAAAAGATTTAAAAATTGTTATGTAGCGAGAGCGGGCTAATGTAAAAATGAGCCTCATTAATGAACTAAAGTTTCTCTTGCTTTGCAGGACTTTGCCCAAATTCTCCAGTGAGTAAAACCTGGATTTCAATTATGATATCTAATTATTGGAGTATCAATTATAAGCTATTGATGGTGATGCAGGAAGATTTTAAAGTAGATACGCACATGAATATACTGAAGTGTGGAAAAGTTAATACTGCTGCAAGAATGGTGCTGTGTTCAACATAGGTTTTTTGACTTTCTCGTCCGAGTCTCCTGATGAAGGCTGGTCTTTTGGGGGCCTGATTTCTCTCATTTCGGAATCCCATGGGGCCGGAAGAGTGTGTAGAAGCTCAGGGGAGTGCAGTGCTGTGTTTGAAAGCTGCCTCTGGAACCAGGTGCTCTGACTCACACCTCACATTCCTGCCCCACCACGCTGAAGTCTCAGGTATCGTCCTAAACCTCTCTGTGCCTCAGTTTCCTCATCTGTGAAATGGGCACAATAAGAGTACCTACGTCATAGGGCTGTTGTGAGAATTAAATGAGCTACAGTTCCCAAAGCATCTCGAACAGTGCCTCACACAGATAAGCACTTGATAATAATTAGCTTTCGAAAAGTTATTTATATGGATGAATTTTTTTATCTATTCTTTGCTCATAAGAAATGATTAGTATATTTTCCCATTGGACCTATCAAAATAAAGATACAAGGTTGCTAATCAACTTCACTGGCTATTGAAAGAAGCCCTCCAACCCTTTTATAATGAGAAGAAATGACGGAGGGACAGAGGGTAACTTGAACTTATCCTAATGAACCCAGGAGAGAAATCTTTTGTGTGCTGTAGTTATATCCAGGCCTTGCACAAAACATTGTCCTGATTTGAACAGAAAGGCAGGTGAGGTGGCTGCGTGCGGTGGCTCACACCTGTAATACCGGCACTTTGGGAGGCCGAGGCGGGTGGATCACTTCAGGTTAAGAGCTCCAGACCAGCCTGGCCAACATGGTGAAACCTCGTCTCTACTAAAAATACAAAAATTAGCCGGGTATGGTGGCACATGCCTGTAATTCCAGCTACTCAGGAGGCTGAGGCAGGAGAATCGCTTGAACCTAAGAGGAGGAGTTTGCGGTGAGCCGAGATCATGCCACTGCACTCCAGCCTGGGTGACAGAGTGAAACTCCATCTCAAAAAAAAAAAAAAAAAAAAAAAAAAAAAGGCAGGTGAGGTGAGAGCAAGAGGGCCAGCAGTAAGTTGAAGTTTGCAAGTTCAAGCAGAGTGGAAAACGGTGGTAATAGACCTGGGCTGCTTCAGCAAACCCTTGGTGCACAAGTGTAACAAGAAAAACAGGATAGGTATTCCCCGAGGAATAGCCCTGGCAAGGAATCCTACAGAGCTGACCCCAAGGGCTAGACCACTGGAGAGTCATATAATGGCTGCCACTGAATCCGGCAGAAATGCCTGAATAGTGGGCTCTACTGGCACTGGACTGGTAAATTGCTAATCCTTTCACGGGACAGAAGCAGCTTAGCAGAGGGTTGAGAGTTGGGGTCTGGAGCCTGGGTAAGTTCTTCAGCTGTCGGAGCCTTCATCTCCATACCCACGAAAGGGGTATTACGATCATGGTACCTGTCTCAGTGCTGGCAGGAGGAGGGCTCGAGGGCGTGCATATAAAGGTCTCTGACCCTGCTGCGTACAAAGCAGGTGCTTTCAGATATTCACACTGGCTGGGGGATGTTTACTTAACAGCATGGGGCCCCAAAAGAGCAAGTCTGGGGCATGTTGGACAGACAGAAGTGATGGAATGACCAGTCTTGCTTTTCACAGAAACTCACGACACAATTGCCGTTCTTGATAGGACACTTGCAACTTGAAGGAGAGACGTCTCTTTGAGTTTGCAAGGGAAAAGCAGATGCAGAGGCCAGACTCTTACCATGTAGCTCCCAGTGACCTCAGGGAAGGAATCGGTGCCACTTAACCTCAGTTTCCTCATCTACGTGGAGGGACAACAAGACCCTCTTTGCTGGACGGTGCAAGTATTAGGTGAGAGAGAGCATGTGGCGTGTGGAAGGGCTTCCTAAGCTTGAAACTTACTACATAAACGTCTACTCATGTTGGCTGCCTGTGGTTGGCGTTATTCCCACTTGGGTGAAGGACATAGGTGTTGGGTCTCATGCTGTTGGCATCCCCAGCAATCTCCTAGCCATTGACTCACTCTTGTGGACTAACAGTATTCCTAAGCAGCATGGGGGCTCTGAGTCTTGGAATGTTCCTCCCTATATCTTTTTTTTTTTTTTTTTTTTTGAGACGGAGTCTCGCTCTGTCGACAGGTTGTAGTGCAGTGGTGCGATCTCGGCTCATTGCAACCTCCGCCTCCTGGGTTCAAACAATTCTCCTGCCTCAGCCTCCCAAGTAGCTGGGGCTACATGCACATGCCACCACGCCCGGCTAATTTTTGTATTTTCAGTAGAGACGGGGTTTCACCATGTTGGCCAGGCCGGTCTCCATCTCTTGACCTCGTGATCCACCCACCTTGGCCTCTGAAAGTGCTGGGATTACAGGCGTGAGCCACTGAGCCCGGCCCCCCTCCCTATCTCTTTTAACATCTGCCAATGTCTTCCCCATGCACTTGGAATAAATCCAGCCTCCTCGTCTTGTGGGTGAGATCTGGCCCCTCCCGCCCTCTCCAGCCTCACACCCTCCCTGACTCTTTCATGTTGCTCTGGTCACCCTGGGTGGCTTTCAGTTCCTCCTGCCAGACATGCCCTTCCCAGGCCGGGGTCTTCCCACGGACGCTTCCATCTGCATCCTCCACTTCTGTGTCACTGCTAGACTTTGAATTGTGTCTCCCCCTAAGGATACACTGAAATCTGAACCCTCAGGACCTCAGACTGTAACCTTATTTGGAAAGAGGACCTTGACAGAGAGAATCAAGTTACAGCGAGGCTACTATGGTAGGCCCTAGTCAAATATGACTGGTGTCCTTCTGCAAAGAGGAAATGTGGACACAGGCATGGGCACGGGGAGAAGCCAGGTGTAGATGGAGGCAGGAACTGGGGGGATGCTCGTGCTCATGCACAAGCCCAGGAGCACAAAGGTTGCCGGCGGCCACCAGAAGTGTGGGGACAGGCATCAAACCAATTCTCTCTCCCAGCCTCCAAAGGAACCAACCCTGCCAGTGCCTTGCTCTTGGACTTCTGCCTCCAGAGCTGTGAGGTAATAAACATCTGTTGTTGAAGCCACATGGCTGGTAATACCTTGTTATGGCAGCCCAGGAAATGAATACAGTCACCTCCTCTGAGAAGCCCTCCCTGAGCTCCATGCCAAGTGCCCTCGCAGTCCCCCTCTGTTATGACTTTACCCTCTTCCATCTCATCATGAGGGGTCATTCAGGATCGATGTGCTGGTTGGCTGGTTGTCCCCAGCCATGCTTCGTGAGGTCAGGGACCCTGTTCACTTCACTCACTGCCCTGCGCTCTAGCTTATCACAGAGCCTGGAAAAGAGGAGGCATAGCGCACATACATGTCTGATGGGCAAGCAGGTGGATGAATGAATGAATGAATGTACTTTGGAAAGCGACAGCATAACGTTATCACGTGTGATACACAAACGCAGGCACACACAGGCAAAGCAGGCTGAAGGTGACGCTTCTCATAAAATCCTGTCTTTCAGATCTGAGCCGGTCAACAGCAAAAATAAAGTGCCAACACTGGAAAAACTGATACTCAGTCTGTAACTGAAATAGATAGTAGTTTGCAAAGAAATGAATATATTAATCCTGAATTATTTTGTTTAATCTCACAAGAATGAGCTCAGCACACTGGAACTGTGGAATATTTTCTTGCTTTCATTTTTTTTTTTAACTCACAGGATAAGTTGAACCTGTCTCCACTCTAACGATTCCTTTATGTATTATTTATTAACATTGAGTTTTCTTGATTTTTTTTCTTTTTACTTGACCGATAGGGAAGTAGATTCAGGGATCTCTGCAGTTTATGTAGATTCATTTATTCACTTCTGAGATGGAATTTAACTCCAACTGTCTCGGCTCTTGGCAGACTACAGTGCAATGATAAATCTTGGGGATGATCCTGTGACTTGCTATGTTAGTGCAGGGCTGGAGCCTGGGTTTCTCATCGGCAGCAGCATTTTGTGCCACAGTGAGGTTGGTCTGGGATCTGTTTTCTACCTTGAGCAGGACCCCTCATCTATAAAACTATGTATTGAATGAGATGCCTTCCTAGTGCTTTTCTTTTTCTTTTTTTTTTTTTTTGGAGTCTCTCTCTGTTCTCCAGGCTAAAGCTCAGTGGCACAATCTTGGCTCACTGCAACCTCCAACCCCTGGGTTCAAGCAATTCTCCTGCCTCAGCCCCCTAAGTAGCTGGGACTACAGGCACATGCCACCATGCCTGGCTAATTTTTTGTATTTTAGTAGAGACAAGGTTTCACTATGTTGCCCAGGCTGGTCTTGAACTCCTGAGCTTAGGCGATCAGCCCACCTCGGCCTCCCAAAATGCTGGTATTACAGGCATGAGCCACCATGCCTGGCCGCAAGTGCTTTGCAACAACATGACTCAGAGATTCTGATTGTCTTTGTTGTCAAGCATCGACCATTTATTCATTCATTCATCAGTTATTTGATCATGCACTACACGGCAGGCTGGGTGCGGGACCACAGCAGATGACAAAACAGATAGTTTCTTTCCTTGAGGAGCTTACATTCTAATTTAGTGAGAGTGGCAATAAGCAATTAAATAATTATATAGCACACCAGAAGTTGAATATTGCATATTTAATATTTTATGTCATATATTATTAGAACAGAATATGTACGTATTAGGACATGTGCATATTAGAATAGAATAAATATTATATATTAGAACAGAATACATGCATATTAAGATATGTGCATATTAGAATAGAATAGATATATGCATATTAGGATATGTGCATATTAGAATAGATATTATATATTAGAATAGAATATGTGATATTAAGATTTGTGCATATTACAATAGATATTATGTGCAAATTAGGATATGTGCATATTAGAAATATATATTAGAATATGTGCATATTAAGATATGTACATATTAGAATAGATATATATTAGAATTGAATATGTGCATATTGAGATATGTTCATATGAGAAAAGAATAGATATTATATATTAGAATATGTGCATATTAGGATATGTGCTTATTACAATAGATATTATATATTAGAATAGAAAATGTGCTTATTAGGATATGTGCATATTACAATAGATTTATATATTAGACTAGAATATGTGCATATTAGGGTATGTGCATATTAGAATAGAATAGCATACATAATAGAGTATTACTTATACGCAGCATATAATGGTATACAGGTAACATTGTATATAATAGTGAATGAAAGGATAGTTAATAGTACATCAGAAGCCAAAACACAGTTCTGTAATAAGTATTTGCTGCATGAATAATAAACTCATCTCTAATTAAACACTTGATGTTGCCCCTGTGCTTGGCCCTAGAGGCGGAGATGAAAAGGAGATGGGCTTAAAGAGCAAAGCATTCCAAGCGGATTAGGGAGAGGGGTTGTGAGTCCACAAGCGAAAGGCAATGTGGTAACTCTAGGCTAGGAAGGGGGCTAACATGTTTTGGGACAAGGAAGAGGAAGTAACAAAGTGCCTGGGGGATTTATAAGTTGGGTGGTGAAGGATAAATTGGAATTTTTCAGGCACAAAGGAAGGAAAAGGCATTCCGGGAAGAAGGGAACAGAGTGTGTAGTGGCACAAAGACATGCCAAAGCTTGGCACGTAGGGGTAAACAGAGCTCCCGTGTGGCCTAAGACGAAGGCAGGCTGTAGCCAGGTGGACAGTGTTTGAAACCATGTATGCATCAGACCCATGATCTTACTTCTAAAATTGTTCAGTACAAAATGGCTTCCAGGTGCAGTGTGGACCTGGACGTTTCATCTTCCAACAGGCTCCATTTATGCTGCTCTTGGCTTTCTATTTCTGAACTCCTGTGTTCTCATTCTGCACACTGCATTATGGAGGTGTAGTCATGTCATATTCTTAGAGTTAAAAAAGTAGATGTTTTATGGCTTTGTGGTTGTTGCTCTTAGTATGAGGATATTATCTTTGAATAGAAGGAGGTGGATGAAGTCTTCAGAGGCCACTGTGCTATGGAGTGGCTCGGTGGTAAGACTCTGCCAGCTATAGTGAAAAATTGCTTTTATTGTCACTGAGTTGCCACTGACCCTTGAGCATAACCAGAGGTTTAGCAAAGGCACGGAATTCGCATAGAGGTTCACACAGGGATGATGGGGATCAACACATCACGAATATAATTATGAAAGAGTGATTAATGCAATAAATCATCTGGCTGCCTTGTCTACCTTTAGGAGTGACTTGAAGAAACAGCCACATGGTAGATTATATATTTTTTCACTTAAAAATCCAGATGTTTTGACATTCCACACAGAGTTTATAATCAGCGTGGGCATTTCCAACAACGCAAGACAGCTCATCCTTGTGTGTATGAACAATTAAATCCAGGAATGCACATACCACCCTTTTCCTTAGTTGGAACTGTACTGCTTGGATGATGGCTTCTATTTGTAGATCGTTGCTTATATTTGTACAAACGTTTCCCTTCACTCTCTTTTATTCAAAAACATTCAGCGGCATACCTGCTGTTTCCAGGGCCTCCGATATTTGAACGCTGGAAGATTTAGTTGATGATTTCGTGTCTTCCTATGGTCTTGGTGCAGGAGAAAAAAGTGATGAACTCACCCCTTTCAAGTGAAGATAAATGTGAAATGAAGGTGTTGGCGGTTTTGCAGCAAACCTCTCTTCGATTATGTGATGGGAAGTTGGGAATGCAATTTGCAGTAGATGATCTCTTAGAGTCCTTGGACAAAGTGTTGGCCAGGACAAGAAAGAACAGGAAATGATGTAATCATGAGTGATGGCACTGTTTACAGAGTTGGAAACTGCTAGTACCCATGCACTGAAATCACACTGTTCTCTTCTCTCCAAAAATACCATTTCTTTAAATATTGATATTCCCCACCATTCTGTACAAAATATGAGATAGAGATCCCAGTAGCATATAGTTGGGTTGATTTAAAACCTCAGCCACACTGAAAACTGTCAGATATGTGATTTTACAGTATCAGGAAAAAAAAGCCTCACATATATCACTATAATAGCTATAAAAAGCCTCATAGGAAGAGGGAGTCTAGACTATTTGGAAAAACATTTAATCGGCTTCAAAGATTTATCTGGTACTTAAAATGTCTTGGACTCCACCCTCCAGAAAAGTCACTTGAGTCAGATAATTGAAATGTGTTCCATCTTCTAAGAAATATGTGGTTGGCTTTCTGGATTAATCTCTTTGGAGCAAGCAGAATGTGTAATTACGTGGTCGGGGTTTAGACACAAGTGCATCTGATGTTAAAGAGCTCTTCTCCTAAAGGAAGTAAACGCTTATCCAAGTAGGAGGCTTTTCTTTGAAGCACTCAAATATATTGCACGGAATCCTGGAGGACTGGATAAATATATTTACTTCAATTAGACTTCTGGCAAAGGGTGGAAGCACAAAGGTGTGTCTTCTAACTTCATAGCTGGAGTCACCAAACTATCAAAAACAGAGGAAAAGATCCCAAAGAGTTAAGGGAACTGTAGATATTCATGTCAAATCAAGTGAAGAATCAGAAAGAAAAGTTTAGCTTTCTTGGATTTAGAGTTCCCTTCTTGCTTATCGATATCATCAAGTAGGAGACACTTCAAACATTTTAAACTTTTACTGAAATAAGTTGATTTTGAAGCAAATGGTATGAGATGGAGTGGGTACTGTGAAGCCATTTAATTATATTTCTCCACATTTTAAATGAAAATATTATGCTTTCTGCCACAGGAATTATATCCGCACCATGTCTACTGATATTTTCCTGATACTCCAGATTAAAAAGCTAATCCAGATTTTTTCTCTCTTTATGATGATTGGGGAAAGCTTCTTCCTGACCAACCCTCAAATCTAGAACAACCAGGATATGGATTTAATATAAAACCCCCCACTTATTTGAAAGTGCCGAAGAGCTGGTAAGGCAGCCAATACTTGAGAGTCCAGGATCCTGGAGAGAAGGAAAATTCACTGAAGCGAGGCCAATATTCCATAGAACTTTTACCCTTGAAGGCATTTCCCAGATTGTGAGGGCAGAGGAAGAGCAGGCTAAGCATCTGAGCAGAAGGTGCTGTCTAAGAGGCCAGAGGGCCAAGGAGAGCTTTCAGCAGAGACAAGGGACTGAGAAGTGAAATGCAAGGTCGGCCAAAGTGGAGGAGCCCTGGAAACATACCAGACTTTCAGTTAGGACCCCAGGAAAGCTGCATCCGAGGAGAAGGGAACACTGGGAAGTAGACCCACCCTTGAAAAAGCCTGAGTCCCACCACAAACCAACTCCATCTCAGACTGACTTAAAGTCATCCTGTCCTACTCTTATCTGTTTACAGAAAGCAAAAGGGAATCCTCTCTGGGGGAATCATCAGCCAGAGCCTCTACTAATCTCTAAACATTTTCATATATGTTGTCCAAAATTAAATTAAAAAATTCCTAGGTATGCCAGGCGACTATAACCAATGACCAAAAACCAGGAGAAAAGGACTGATAATAGAAATAGACTCAGAAGTATCTATTAATGGATGCTGGAGTTAGCAGACATTGAATTGTAAATAATTTGACTAAAATATTCATGAAAATAGGTAAAATGTAGAATTTCAGCTGATAATTTTATTCAAAAAAGAATTTGAAATTACATAATTTAAAATATGAGTGTAATTATTATTTATTAATTAAAAAAAATTTTTTTTGAGGCAGACTCTCATTCTGTCATGGAGGCTGGAGTGCGGTGGCATGATCTCAGCTCAATGCAACCTCCAACTCTGGGGTTCAAGTGATTCTCGTGCCTCAGCCTCCAAGGCAGCTGAGACTACAGGTGGGCGCCACCACGCCTGACTAATTTTTGTATTTATTTAGTAGAGACAGGGTTTCACCATGTTGGCCAGGCTGGTGTTGAACTCCTGACCTCAAGTGATCTGCCCACCGGTCTCCCAAAGTGCTGGTATTACAGGCGTGAGCCACCGTGCCTGGCCTGAGTGTAATTAAATCAATAAATGGGTATAGTAGATTAGACAGAAGAGAGGATTGGTGAGCTTAAAAATAGCTCAACAGAAGCATAGAAAGTCTATATATATATTTATGTGTGTGTGTATATGTATGTTTGTATATGTATGTGTGCATACAAACACAAACACATTCATATATAAAATTAGGGTCCCAGTGAAGATAAAATGAGTCAGAAGAAATATTTGAAGAGATGGGTTTATGAATTGAGATATTTAAGGAACAAGTATAATTAATACG
The DNA here is from genome assembly GCF_000001405.40 of Homo sapiens. Taxonomy (NCBI): domain Eukaryota; kingdom Metazoa; phylum Chordata; class Mammalia; order Primates; family Hominidae; genus Homo; species Homo sapiens. Next base: position 83,613,279 of record NC_000016.10, on the reverse strand, counting down.
AATTAAACCACAGTTCAGCATGTCACAGTTAAGCTGCTGAAAAGTAAAGACAAAGAATGTTTTTGAAAGCAGCCAGAGAAAAGAGACACGTTTCTTTCAATGGAAATAAAAGTAACACTGACAGCTGACCTTTTGACAAACATGATAGATGTCAGAAGACAATGAAATGTTATCTTTGAAGTTCTCTAAGAAAATAACTGGCAACCAAGATTTTACCTCCAGTGAAAATATTCTTCAAAAATTCTGGCAAAAAAGACATTTTTTAGATAATATATGAGAGAACTTATTACCAGCAGACTTGCAGTATTTTTAAAATAAAAGGAATTTTTTAATCAGAGGGGAAAATTCTTCCATGTGGAAGCACAAAAACAGGGATAAATAAATAATAATACAAAGGGTAAATAAGTAGAAAAACATAAACTGATACAGAATTAAAACATAACAACAATATCTCAGAAGGTAGGAGGATGATAAAAGGAGCTCAAATTTTCTAAAGTCCTTGGATTATCCAGTAAGTCCTAAAAATTCTACTTGATGTTAGAGTCCAAAAGTTGAGAATATATATTGCAATTTCTCAGAACCCACTACAAGAATATGAAAATGAAGTATAACTAATAAGTTATTAGAGCTGAATATGAAATTATAAAAAAACCCAAGTAAATGTGAAAAAGATAAGAGATAAGAGGAAAAGAAATTTATCAAAAAGGAGCAACAAATAGAAAACAAATACTTAGACTGGTAGATTGAAACCCGAATATGTTGTACTTGCATTAAATGTAAATGGGCAAAATAATTCCAGTAACAATAACATTATTGGAATTGATTTTAAAAAATCAAAGCCCATACATACACCACTTAAAAGAGACACAGACTAAATATAAGATTACAGAAAGTCAGAAAGAAAAAAATGACAGAAAGAAATATACCATGATGACACTGACCAAAAGAAAGGTAAGATAATTATTCTAATACGAGATGAGATAAATGTTAAAGCAGAAAGCATTTGCAGAGATAGAGAGGTACATTTCATGATGGTAAAGAGTCAATGCATTAGGAAGATATAACAATTTTAAATTTGTATACATCTAATAAGACAGCCTCAAATTAAGTTTTTAAAAATTTAATAGTACCAACAGGAGAAATAGATAGATCTGTAATTATAGATATCATATCACTCTTTCAGTAACTGATACAATAAGCAGATTAATAAAACATATATAGAAGGTTTGAACAACAAAATTGTAAACCTTGGCCTAACTGATGTATATAGATCACGATACTAAACAACTACAGAATTAACATTATTTTAAAGCATTCATGGGCCATCTATCAAAATTGATTACATGTGAGCTTGTAAAGCAAGTCTCAGCAAATGTCAAAGGACTGTAATCATATAGTGGATGCTTTCTAACCACTGTAGAATTAAGATAGAAATTAATGGAAAAGAATAAAAAACACTCCCAAATATGTCACATTTAGCAATATACTTCTAGAAAACCACAAGTCACAAAAGGGACCCAAGAAAATTCAAAAATATTTTTGATCTGAATGATAATGAAAATACATCATAGCACATATTATGTAATGCAACTATAGTCATGCTTAAGGGAAAATTTATATAGTCTTAAATCCATACATTAGAAAAAAAGAAAGATTGAAAATCAATGATTAAAGTATCATTTCTAGGGAGGGGTTTGAAAAATAAATGGTGAAAGATACCCAAAGAGATAGAAGGAAAAAAACAAAGAAACACCCAATAGAGAAAAATCCACAAAACAAAAAGTAGTTTCTTTGAAAAGATTAATAAAGTGGATAGAATGACTCCATGGCAGGACCAACCAAGAAAAATAGAGAAAAAAAATGAAATGGACAAATTCCTGGAAAAACACAAATTGGCAAATTGAAATATACATAGTTTCATATCCATCAATGAAATTAAACCTTTGGGGTAGGCAAAAATAGAGCACAGATGACATTAACCATCAACCAACATTGGAATTCATTAAAATTGGGACTCTACCTTCATTCAGAGAGAGAAGAGGAAAGCCAGAGTGTAAAAAAAAAATTGCAACATGTATATAACTCAAAGGACTCACATCCAGAATAAAGATAAACACGTCGATAAGAGAAAGACTAATAACCCAACTTAAAAAATGGTTGAAAGACTTGAAAAGGTATTACCCAAAAGTAGAATCCCAACAGCCAGTGGATGGAAGATGGTCAACTTCATCAGCCACCAGAGAAATACAAATTAAAGCCTCAGGGAAATGTCACTACATACACATTGGAAAGGCTAAAAATAATAACAAACCAAAAAACTGATAAAACCAAATGTTGGGGAAAATATATAGCAGTCAAGATTCTCAGTGAGTGTTCCACTGTAAACTGGAGTTAACTACTCTGGTGGAATCAACCGAAGTTGAATTAGCAATTTCACCTGTAGATATACCCCAAACAGAAACACATATAAGCTTCAAATATGCACCAAAAGACACATTCAAGAATACTTATTCCACTATTACCTAAATTATCCCCAAACTGGAAATAACCCAAATGCCCACATGTAGTAGGATGAAGGAGTAAACTGAAATATATTTGCATGGTAACGAACATGAATAGATTACGGCTATGTGCAACAACATAGATAAGTCTCACAAAAGTTAGTCCCAAGGGTCCACACTATGATTATTTATATAAATAAGGTAAAAATAGGAAAAAAATTAGTTTATAGTGAAAGACGTCAGGAGAGGAGCTGTTTTACCGAGCAGGTGGTGGGACTAGCAGGAACCCTAGGAAGCTTTTGAGTTGCTGATCATATTCTGTGTCTTGATTTGGGTTTTGTGTTTGATCTGTTGAGAATTAAATCACTCAGGATTTGTGTACTTTTTTCATATGGAAGTTACATGACAAAAAGAAGTTGATAAGTCTTGAATAAGTCATATTAACTGCAATTTAGAAACGCATTTTGAAATGTTTCAATAAAACAACTGAGGAATTACAGATTACTAATTTGGAGTGATATTATGGGTACTTTTTTTTTTTATTCTAGCTGTTTAGGATGTGAGAGAAAACGCAGATAAAGACTTAATGACTTTTACATGAATGTTCACAGCAGCGTTACTCACAATAGCCAAAAACTGAAACTGCCTAAATGTCCCTCAGTGGATGAATGCATAAAATGTGGTATAACCATGGAATGGAGTATTATTCAGCCACACAAAGAAATGAAGTACTAAGACACACTAAAACATGGGCAGACCATGAAGACATAATGCTAAGTGAAAGAAGCCAGTCACAAAGGACCACGTATTGTATGATTCCATTCATATGAAATGTCCAGAATAAACTAATCCATAGAGGCTGACAGTAGATCAGTGGTGGCCAGCGTGGGGGAATGGGCAATGGGGAGTAACTGCTCATGGGTTCGGGTTTCTTTTTGGGACGATGAAAATGTTCTAAAATTAGACAGTAATGATAATTCGACAACTCTGTGAATATAATGAAAACCAATGAATTGTACATTTTAAAAGTGTGAATTTTATGGCATGTGAGTTATATCTCAATAAAGCTGTTAGTAAAAAACTTGAATGGCCTATAATCAAAAGTGATAAAGTTAAAAAATGAAATAAACAGGTATCCTGACATCATTCTGCCTCAAATAATTTATTAAGAGGAAAAGGTAAATTTCTAACACAAGAAATAAAATAGCTTCTTGATTGTTTAATAAAGCCACTAATGAAGAAGAATGAATCATAATAAACACATTGGAAAAAGATTTAAATTCTTGCCGATTTGATCTTCCATGCTCACTCCAATAAAGATAACATAAAACTCATAATATGCCTCATACGAGGATGTGGATGACAACTTAGCTAATATGTGTCATTGATTTAAAGATTAGTTTTTACACAAGAAGACTGGAAATTGCATAGTTCTGGGTTGCCCAATCTTTTGGCTTCCCTGGGCCATACTGGAAGAAGAATTGTCTTGGGCCACATATAAAATACACTAATATGATAGCTGATGAGCTAAAAAAAAAATCTCATAATGTCTTAAGAAAGTTTACGAATTTGTGTTGGGCCGCATTCAAAGCCATCCTCAGCTGCATGCTGCCAGCTCACAGGCCGCAAGTTGAACAAGCTTGGCATAGCTCATATATATGACAGAAACGTCCTTAAATTTGATGATATTCCTCAAAATGTGCACAAGTTTTCCAATAATAAAATGTGTTGTGAAAGCAAAAACAAAAAAAAAGTTTCTAAACTCTTGATGACACAGAGAAAATTTCTATCAACCCTGCTAGAAGAAAGCCTATACCTTTTGTTCTTATATTTCTATAGACAATGATCTTATGTAATTGTTATATGAAGAAGTGACCATAGAGTTTGCAGCCAGACATGGAAGAGAAAAACTATTAGAGGTTGTATTAGGCAGTTAATTAACACAATATTTTAATTAAAAATGCGAATACTGGCTGGGCACAGTGGCTCATGCCTTTAATCCCAGCACTTTGGGAAGCTTAGGTGGGTGGATTGCTTGGGCCCAATAGTTCAAGACCAGCCCGAGGAACATGGCAGAACCTCGCCTCTACAAAAATACCAAAAAAAAAAAAAAAAAAATACAAAAATTAGCCAGACATGGTGGTGTATGCCTGAAGTCCCAGCTACTCAGGAGGCTGAGGCAGGAGGACTGACTGAGCCCAGGAGCTTGAGGTTGCAGTGAGCCGAAACTATGATTGTGCTACTGCACTCCAGCCTGGGTGACAGAATGAGAACCTGTCTCAAAAAACAAAAAATGCTAATACCCCACAGGAAAAGAAGATACTTGAGGCACCATGTATTCTTCAGGACTCCACACTGACTTTTAGAAATTGGAGCCTGGACTCCAGCATTCATTTGATAACCTGATGTGAATTTCTGCCTATGGCTCACTTGCAGCTTGACAGCTCCTAACTCCTACCATTTACCTTTGTCCCTTTGTGAAAACTGGAGCATTTGCCCATCTCTCATTTTCCAGCTGGAGGACAGGATCTTATAAGTTTTATGTCGTTTTTATTATAGGTATGATAATGTTATAGCTTAAACACCAAAACATTTACCTTAGAAAGAACTCATTGAATTGCCAAAAAGTCCTAAATTATTAAATCTAAATGACCAATTGCCATTTTAAGGTAGAACTGGAAAATGAAATTTGAAATTTTCTGTTTTTTTTAAATTTTATAATCACTTGCAAACACATTCTTTAATTAATAGCGAGTTTATTAATCCCCATGACCTGAGATTTATGTGAAAATATGACTTATTCAATCAGTATTTGTTGGGCATCAACCATGTTCTAGCTACAAATCAGAAATCTTTTTTTTAATAAAATAACCTAAGAGACAAGAATGAAAAAGCCACAAATGGGGCTGCTGAAGTTTTCATGTATATTTCAAAGTCTGTATTTGAAGAGTTTAACTAGATTTTCTCAGATCATTTCAAAATACCTTATGTAAGAAGTTCAAAACTAACAGTTAGTTGAAGTCATACGTACAAGCTATTAGGAAAACTTATAGAAAACTCTCCACAGAGAAAAACTAGCGTTTCCAACCTAAATTTGCATGAACATCAATGACTGAAAATTGATTTCATGTATCAGCGGCAATTTTAAGTACAATCTTCGTTCATCGTATGCAGTGAAGCTGTTCTGAAGTTAAAATTATCTTCAGGAAGCGTTCAGCAAATGCTCTGTTATTGAGTGCCTGCCGGGATACAACAGAGGATAGGAGAGATGTGGCTGTTGCTTCTCAGCAAGTGTATAGTCATTGTAAATGAACACGAGAGGACTAAAGAATTGAGCTTACATGTTTTTCTTTTTTTTTTGAGACCGAGTCTTGCTCTGTCACCAGGCTGGAGTGCACTGGTGTGATCTCAGCTCACTGCAACCTCTGACTCCCTGGTTCAAGCAATTCTCCTGCCTAAGCCTCCCAAGTAGCTAGGATTACAGGCATGTGCCACCATGCCCAGCTAATCTTTCTGTATTTTTAGTAGAGACAGGGTTTCACCATATTGGTCAGGTTGGTCTCGAACTCCTGACCTCAGGGGATCCACCCACCTCGGCCTCCCGGAGTGCTGGGATTACAGGTGTGAGCCACCGTGCCTGGATGAGCTTACTTTGCAATAAGAATTTACTTTTAAAAGTAACCTTTAAAGTATCTCCTTCCTTAAACAAACACTATAAATGCAACATACCAACTGAAGACAACTGTAGTTATTTCTCAGCCTCCCTTACAGGTAAGGGAGGCTACAGAGATGCAAGCAGAAGTCACTTAGTCTTCTGGGGAAGTTTTCAAGTGACATTTACTCAGGTGGCCGGTTCTCCTTTGTTCTTCTCATTCCCTGCTTCTTACTTCCTGTTACTGGCTGTTATACCTGGTGCTGCAGTGACCCTATTGTACCACAAGGCAGCCGTGAGGGCGGCGGAGCAGAAAGCTAAGGGGAACCTGGGAAATTGATATCATGTCATTACCAAACTGGCCTGGGTCTGTCTACCTGCAAACTTTTTTTTTTTTTTTGAAACTGGGTCTCATTCTGTCACCCAGGCTGGAGTGCAGTGGTGTGATCATGACTCACTGCTGTCTTGACCTTCCAGGCTCAAATGATCCTCCTACCGCAGCCTCCCAGGTAGCTGGGACTACATGCCTGGATAATTTTTGTATTTTTTTTTGTAGCGACAGAGTTTCACCATGTTTCCCAGACTGGTCTTGAACTCCTGGGCTCAAGCAATCCTCCCACTTCCGCCACCCAAAGTGTTGGGATTACAGACACGAGCCACCACTCCCAGCCTTCACTTCCAAACTTTTAAGTGAGAGAAACTACCTCTATTTTGTTCAACAGTGTTATTTCTAGTCTCTATTATTTGTGATCAATCATAACTCCTCTTTTATATAGATTTCAAAAACAGATAAAAGGATACATCTCTCCGGAGAGGGAAAGTCATGTAAGATAGAATTTAAAAACCTCATATATTCCCAAAAACCATGTATTCTTATCAACTTCGAAATGTCCTAAGATATGAAAAAATTTACTTAGGACAACATCTCCTTAGAGAGCTTTCTGGACATCCTCAACTCCAAATGATCACCATTTCTATTTTGGAATGACTAAACCTTGATTTTCATCTCTAAAATTTGTTTCAACTTCAAGATCATAAGCCCCATCTTTCCTCTCTGTTTCTAGGGCATCCTGTTTTCCTACCTCTTCCATATCCTAGAGGCCACTGCATCTGAGCCAGTCCTCATTAGGAGCTCTCCTCTCCCCAGCAGGTTTCTCTTGGTCTCTCTCGCTTTTGTCCCGAGGCCTGATCTCATAGTGATGCATTTTACAGATTCTGCCACCTCTCCTGCAGAATTGCTTCTCCCCTAGAACTCTAGGGTCCTAACCATGTATTTTGAAGTGCTTGAGCAGATTCATATGTCACTTTAAAGGAAAAGAGTAGCCTTTTAACCTGGAGGGGAGGTGGCCCTTTCGATAAGAATGTCAATTTGGCCTCTGACATTTTGGAAACATCACTGTCATAATAATATCTTTCTCATCACAATCTTCTTCTTCATCATGGCCTTCCTCCCACCATCCTCATCAGCGGTGTCATCACCACTGTCCTCATCTCTATACTTTAGAAAATACTGGGCGACAGGCACTATCTAGGTTCTTTTAGTCATTAGCTCATTCACAATGACCTAATGAGGTGGGCTCTGCGATCAGCCCGTTAACAGGTGAAGAGACTGGGATGTAGAGCACTTAACATGCTCCCACCACATGGCTGGTCAGTGGGATGTGAACCCAATTCCGGCTCCAGCGCCCCCTCCTTACTTCTCAATCACATTACCCCCAGCAGTGTTACTATCCAAAGTGTATGAATCCCCTTCAACAAAGAACATCAGCCTTTCAGGAACACGACAGAAAGTTTAATCATGAATTTAAATTATCAAACATTGGGCAAAGACTCCTTTGGGACATTTAATATCCAAATGAGAGTCTAGTGTACTTGTTATCACTTCCTTTCATCTGATTACTTATCTCTCTTTATGAGTTTAGGTATCAGCTCTGCCTTTTGGGAATCTCAAACTCATTGTCTAATCTCCATTTGAAGAAAATGTGTGTGCTTTTGCTGGTATTTACAGGCAGATACATTTTCCTTATGCTACTCAGTGTCTCTTTTTTCAAAATTTATTTTTTAAGATTGACAGATAACATTGTATGCTTTTAGTGTTTACAATATGATATTTTGAAATCAATATGATATTGTGGAATGGTAGCTAACCTTTAGAGTCCATGTTAAATTATTCCTTGGATTCAATGACATTAAAAACAATAGTCTGTCATTCACAGTGTTTAGTCCACAACTGAGCAAAGATTTCTTTTTTTCCTAAGTCACAGGACCCAAATTCACAGTGGCATTGAAGTAACTAATTAATCTCACACAGCTGGTAACACAGATTCATCTTCATATTTTGGGTTGGGGTTATCCTATTTTTGTTCCCATCGTTAAGTTTATATTGAATATTACAATGTGCTCTGAGTTTTTATTTTGAAATAGGTTGAAAAGAAATTATAAAGATAAACAAAAATCCCCCAGTGAACATTCCATGAAACACCAGCTCCATAAGCCATATAAGGTAGCCTAGAAAAAAAAGCCCCCAGGCCAAAGAAGAATGAGAAACCCCACAGACCATACCTAACCCTGTTAGAGAAACACAAAGCATTTTAAAGTTAATCAGAAATCCTGCAGTTAAATAAACCATTTAAAAGTAATCAATTCAGTGTTTCCCACATCTACTTGACCCTGAAGTATATTTTTTTCATTCCTATCCCCACCCCGGTGGTGTAATTTTTGTGACTAATTTCTTGGAAGTGAATTAGAATTGTTTGGAACTAATTAGAACTGGTGTTCTTGAAATGCCAGTTTGGAACCATGGCAAGAGTGAGCAGTCTGTATTAGCAGCTAGAGGAACCCTGCCATGGGAAGTCAGAGAATGGAGCAAATCAAGCTCCCGTGGACTTTGCTGTTTTGAGGTTGGAATCCTGAGTGCCCAAGACACCACAGGGAGAAAGGGGGACGTCTACCTCCTGAGTGAGCCATGCAGGGGGATGCCGAGGTGAAGAGGCTGATGTGGCTTGGTTCTGCATCCCCACCCAAATCTCATGTTGAATTATAATTCCCAGTGTTGTAGTTGGGGCCTGGTGGGAGGTGACTGGATCACGGGAGTGCTTTCTAATAGTTTAGCACCCACCCCCCTAGTGCTGTCTCATGATAAAATTCTCATGAGATCTGGTTGCTTAAAAGTGTGTGGCACCTTCCCCTTTGCTCTCTCTCTCCTACTCTTCCATGTGAAGATGTGCTGGCTTCCTCTTTTGCCTTCTGCCATGACTGAATGTTTCCTGAGGTCTCCCCAGCCAGGATCCCTGTACAGCTTGCAGAATCATGAGCCAATTAAACCTCTTTTCTTTGTAAATTACCCAGTCTTAGGTAGTTCTTTATAGCAGTGTGAGAATGAACTAATACAGAGGCCATTGGGGAACTCGGGGGTTGAGAGGATCCATCTGTCTCAAGCCACCCTGGGTAGCCTTGAGATTCCTCCAGAGAGCAGTGGGGCAACTGCAGGTCCCTATATAGGTTTTTTTCTCCAAACACCCTGGAGGTTGGAAGCATTGATGGCAGATGAGGAAAGCACAGCATCACAGTTAGGACTGCAGCTTTTGAATCACAGGAACCTGGTTCACTTCCTGTTTCTGCCACTTTTTCTGTCCATGACCTTGGAGCTTGTTCTCTGGATTCTCTGAGCATCACAGTAAGCTCATTTGTAAAATGGTAAAGCCAGGCTCACACAGTCAAATCAGGCAACAGATCTCAGGGGGAGACACCATGGTAGATACAGTAAAGACTCTGCAAAAGTCAGGGGCCATCGTACCTATTCCATATTCTTCACTTGGTCAGTAAGAAGGGCATCAAATCCATGCCCTGGCCCAGGCCCCTAAAGAAGCCACAATCTTAGCACATTTCCATCAGAATGTGCTTAGTGCAAATGGCTTCCTGGTTTGGGTACAAATTTAGCAACTGAATGTGATCTTGTGTACTCAGCCCTTCCCCAAACATCGCTCCCTTGGAATAAATGGGAAACAACAACCATGATCCATAATCATAAAAGCACAGGGACTGAGAATGAATAATGGCTCTCCTGGATGAGCTAACTTTGTTGTTATTTATAAGCTCCTGGGCCACATTGTTATGGACTAGGAAATCTGCTTTACCTCCTTGCTACTGTTCCGTCTGGCCTCTCAATCTGCACTTGCTGGAAAAAAATAGTTATTGTTATGCTAAAATCACAGTGGGACTCTCATAACTCACTGCTAAATAACAGCAATAAAACTATGAAAATGGCACTTGGGCATTAAAAGTTATTTTCTTATGGACTTTAACAAGATTCAGTGCTCTTGTTCTCACCGTGCTCTAGTATTTTAGCCTCACACACAAACACAAAATAAAAATGTGAGAAAGAATTCCAGCAAAACACCATCGTCTCTCCCACAAAGGAGTATTTTGATTTTGAAAGGGGGGCCAGCAGGTGCTGTGGTACGTGAATTAACATCAATCAGTAATTGTAGCTGTGACCACAGTGGTGGTTGGTGTTTGGCACAGGGGTTTACCTCTTTCTTGGTGAATTTTGGTGAGTGATCATTTTTGTCATCGATCATGATCGTGGCTGTGGCCGTGCCTGTTAATCCAACATCCAGTCCAGCCATATCTTGAGCCTCGATGATCAGTTCATACTTGGGATTTTCCAGAGTCTACAAAGCACAAGCACAAAGAAATAATATGACATTTAGATTTGGGTTACTGCTTTGGAAAGGTGGCAGGCGTGTTGCTGGAGCTGTCTCTCCCCCTCCTCCATCTAGGGTAGGCATCTTTAAAGAGTGATAACATTTTTACCTATTGTGTATAAATGTGCCTTTGGAATCTCTTCAATATAAGACAGTCACTATTCAAAGACTGGAGTTTGCCATGGGGACAATATATTTACTGTTCTTTTTTAGGGAGACATTTGATATATCACAGAATGTTCCATTTCCTGGGCTTGGGTATACATTGTCCTTTGGGTTTTTTTTTTTTTTTTTTTTTTTTTTTTTTTTTTTTGTTGTTGTTCTTTTTTTTTTTTTTTGAGACAGAGTCTCACTCTCTAGAGTACAGTGGCGCAATCTCGGCTCACTGCAACCTCCGCCTCCCGGGTTCCAGCGATTCTCCTGCCTCAGCCTCCTGAGTAGCTGGGATTACAGGCGCCCATCACCATGCCTGGCTAATATTTGTACTTTTAGTAGGGACAGGGTATCACCATGCTGGTCAGGCTGGTCTTGAACTCCTGACCTCGTGATCTGCCTGCCTCAGCCTCCCAAAGTGCTGGGATTACAGGTGTGAGCCACCACGCCCGGCCCCTACGTTGTCCTTTAATGTTTACATCCATATCTGCTATTTCAGAGACCTCAGGAAGCTGATCTGAAAATGAGGTTACCTTTGATGATGAGCTTAGGACAAAGATGGCAGCTTTAGGAACTCACATTTACTGAAAATCTGATGAGGCAGGCATTGCATTACCTCACTTTATAGAAATCCTTGTTAATCTTTTCAACAAGCAGCTCAACTTGCAATCATTGTTCCCATTTTACAGATGGGGAAGAAACCCCACTGAAGTTTAGAGTCACTTATACCACACTTCTTTCATGTCTTTTTTGTCGCACAGGCTGTCACATGTGGAAGACGCATTTAATCCAATAATGATTTGATAAACTTAACACAAGCAATATTGCACTATTCTCTCTCTTCACATAAGTGTTTTTCATCTCAATATTTGACAAAGATTTGGCTATCATGTTTATATACTCAAAACAACTAGCCAAATAGCCCTGATCCTAAGATGAAGAAGAGTGCAGTCATTGGTAAATAACAGCCCCTATATTTAAATTATCTTTGGTAGTAGGTTTCTGCTTGAATTGGTCCACAATCATACCATTCATCTGGTAAGGCAGCACCCCGCATTTCCTTTGGGGACCTATCCTTTACTTCTTCTCTGCTCATGTGGTTTGGGTTAGGATTGCCTTTCTCTATCTCCTACCGATTGAACTTTTGGAATGAGTCCTAATTAGAAGAAGTCAGTCAGTGCATCTTATTCCAGTGATATAATGTTAAGTCCAGGCCCTGTGTTTGACAGTTAGGTGAAGGAAGTTCTGTTTCCCTGTGGTGTGGACCTGGAAGCATTTGGCAGGGGGAGCTAGAGGAGTCATCTCATGACCACAGGAGGGGTAATGCAGAAGAAGACCCTGCATCCAAGAACAAAGGCAATATCCTAAGAGAATTAATTATACTGGAATCTCAGAAAAGAAATGGTTCTTAGTGGTTGTACTGGAGCCGCTTCATCATGCCACTCCTGAAGCCAGACCCGCCTGTGAACTTTTCAGCTAATGAAGGCAATAATTTCCCTTATTTGCTTAACTCACGTTGGACAGATTTCTTAATCATCACACAGAGAGTCCGAGTTGAACTACCTTTAGTAACAAAAATAATAGGTGTTTACAATCACATAAATAGTCCTACCAGTATGACAGCTTCAAAAACAGCTGGTTATACCAACCAATAATTAAGAAATACCACAGGAAGCAAGGAACAAAAAAGCAATGGAGGATGTCCAATTTTCTTCTGAAGTCCTAAGTTTACATGGTAAATTTCAATAGCTCAACGCTAGCTCTCTCAAAAACTTTTAAGTATTTTGAAGTGCAACTGGCTGTCTGCTCATAGGGACACCATTCATTGCTGTTCCTTTAACTTCTGAGTGGTTTCTGAGCTACTATTTTAAGGAGTCCTGGTTCTGCTGGGTGGTTTGTTAAGGCCCTCCACTTCAATTCACGGTGATGAGTGGGAAGTTAGTGTGCTCCTGTGATGGCTCTACGCCTCATGTTTCGGTTTCAATTCCAGCTCCGCCAGGATCGAAGGTCACACGGTTCTCTGACTGCTGAGTACAAGTGGAATTGACACCGTACCCAGTTCCAGTTCTGGCTGGGTCAGCCGGCGCTGGTCTGCGAAGGTGCTTGAGATGCCATCTGCCCTGGTTCTGCCTGGTTCAAGAATTCTGGTAATTTTGCTCCTGGCTGGTTTCGTTGGCATCTCTCGGTATAGATGCTTGAAATCCCATCTATTCTCAGGCTGAAGCTGGAAAACTTGAGCCTAATGGAAGTGGCTTTCTGCTTGTCATCACTGACGAGCTGGACTGCATGTACTATTGGCTATAATTTCTGCAGCTGGACCATATGAAACCAGTAAATTGGCTACCTTTAAAATCTTTCCCGAGTGTCTCTGAACATGTGAACCACTACCCTGGACAGCACAGGTCTAATTTCTTGCATAACGCTTTCACTTTTGTCATAAAACATTGTTACTTATTTTTGAAAGCACACAATTACTGACAAAAAATTATGTGGATTCTCCCCCAATATTGAAGAGATTATGGTAAATATCATATTATTTTTCACATATAATATTTACCAATATAATTCCTAGATGTTATTTTAAGGGTTGCCTACAATATAATCATATGTATATTTTATAATTTACTTGTCTTCTATTATTAGGCCTTTTGGTTATTTGTGGTTTTCAAAATGTTGACAATTTTAAATAACAGTGCAATTAACATCTTTATTCATGAAGGCTTATATACATTTTGGCTGCTTTTTAAAAATTTTTTTGGTTTGTTTTTGACTGATAGATCCCAAGATGTGGAATTACTAGGATAAAGAGTATGAATGTTTTCAGGCTTTTTATTCATATTTCAATGTTTTTATCCAAGAGGATGTTACTAACTTTTATACCAGTCCTACGAGAATGTTTAGCTTTTGATCTCAGACAGGGCTGGTCTCTAAAGGACAGCTCCTGACATTGCGCGGTGAAGCAAATTGGGAGACTAGGGTGACTCTATGATGGTGGCATAAGAAGGAGATAAAGTTCTCATAGCATTCATTCTTCAACTTCCAGTACAGATTGCTGTGGGGATGTGCTACAGGACTGCCTCAAGCACTAACTATAGCAGGAGTATGCTGCTTAACTGTCCTGATACCCACTCCCTCTTCTTCTGGTACCTATGTTATAATTCCCTCGGGCATCACCCCTTCCTCACCCTCAGTACAGGTACAGTTCAGGTGGGTGGGGCTGACCCCACTCCTGATCTAGGGATGGTCATATGGTTCAGGCCTGGCCAATCAGGGCTTTCCATTCCTATCATCATGCGATGAGGACATAACCTAAGTGAGTCCACCCTGGGAGTGAAATTCAATTCCAGGACATTGTCCTTTAGTTCTTTCAGAACGCTTAGGGAAAGGAAGTTATCTTTCTGTTAAACTTGGAGGTGGTTAGGGCATCCATCTGGAGCTAGTAGTGGCCACCTGTAACCACACAAAGAAAGTCAACCTGAGAATGAAGGAAACACAGACTAAGAGGTAGAGATGGAGTTTGTTGTTGTTGTTGTTAATCATCATTCAAGGATGAGTTGTCATCCTTGAAGCCAGAATTTATTCCTTAGATTTTGTGAATTCTATGAGCTAATACATTTTGGCTTTCCTCAAGACACTTGATTCAGATGTTCCGTAGGTAGGAATAAGGCAGTTTTGACTAATATTGCAACTATTGCAATAACACTATGATCAATTCTCTGATTAGCAAGAAAGCATAGGAGCTATCACACCATACAATAGCATCAAAATAGGTTCTTCAAAACAGTATTCCTATCATTTTATGAATACATCGTTTTCTCTTTTAATACTTTCCCTTAAACAGAAAATTTTTTGTAGCCAGGGAAAGTTACTGTAATTATCTATTTAAAAATATTTATTTATTTTGAGACAGGGTCTCACTCTGTCGTTCAGGCTGGAGTGCAGTGATGTGGTCATGGTTCACTGCAGCCTCTATTTTCCTGGCTCAAACAATCCTCTCACTCCAGCCTCCTGAGTAGCTGGGACTATAATCACACGCCACCACACCCAGCTAATTTTTGTAATTTTGTAGAGACAGGGTCTCTCCATGTTGCCCAGGCTGGTCCTGAACTCCTTAGCTCAAGCAATTTGCCCACCTTGGCCTCCCAAAGTGCTGTGATTATAGGCATGAGCCACTGCACCTGGTCTAATTCTTTCTTTAACTAGTTTATGCATCTATTTAATTGGCAGTTAATGAACTTCTTGTCTAAATGTCGTGTTGGATACTAGAGATACAGTGATCAAAAAACAAGTCTCTTTCTCCAAAGAGGTCAAAGTTTAGCGTTGAGGACAGTCATATTCACATATGAGTGCAATAAAATAAATCAAAGCTTAGCAGAGGTATGTACAAATTCTTACGGTAGCACAAGGGAAGGATACATTGGCATAACTCTCGTAGTTCAACAAATTTTATAAATAATTTTAGAAAATGAACCAATTTCTATCTCCTGAAGTAAATAAAACTTTGCACCTATAATGAGAAATAGACTGATTAACCTAGTAGAGAATCAATTAGACTGTTATGTAGATAAACTGCAAAGTTTGTGATGAGGTTTCAAAAGTCTAAATTTTCTGGCAAACTTAAGGCTGACCTTAAAAATATTTTTAGTACTGAAGTAATATCCAATTATTGTAAGCAACATAAAAATAAAACAGTCATTTCAAAGAACTCTCCTCCACCCTTGCCCAACCCCACCTGTGAGAGGTAAATATTGATAGTTATCTCCTTTTTCCTATACAAGTGGACACACACGGAGGTACATTTTAAATACCCACATATTTAATATACACATTTATATACACACACATTTCATCAAAGTAATACTGTTTACATAGCGACACAATTTGTTTTACCATATCACTTTTATCTCAGTGTTTACAGAGCTGTTCATTTTAACAGCTGTCTAATAGTCCAATGTACAGATCCACTATAATTTATTTAGTCAATCCCTACTGGATGAACATTTGGGTTGCTTCTAAGTTTCTACTTTTTGTGTGTGTGTGTGTGTGAGTCAGGGTCTTGCTCTGTCACCCAGGCTGGAGTGCAGTGGCATGATCACAGCTCACTGCAGCCTCGACCTCCCAGGCTCAAGAGATCCTCCCAACTTAGCACCCCAAGTAGCTAAGACCACAGGCATGTGCCACCACACCTGGCTAATTTTTGTATTTTTTGTAGAGACAGGGTCTCCCTGTATTGCCCAGGCTGGTCTTGAACTCCTGGGCTCAAGTGATCCTCCCACCACAGGCTCCCCAAGTGCTGAGATTATAGGCATGAGACACCGTGCCCTGCCCAAGTTTTCACTTTTAAAAGCAATTCTAATATAAAAAGTTTATTGGCCTGTTATGATTTGGGGATTTTTCTGTAATGAACATTATTGCTTTCACAAGGAGAACAGTAACAAAATCCCCAAAACCGATAATGAAAGTAACCTCCTTTGGAATGTACAACACCCAGTTTGCACTTGAAAATTAGAGAAAATGCCACATGAACTCCCTTGCTCATACATGATCAGAATACCTTCCACTTGCCTCTGACCTACTTCCCGATCCTCAGAGCCTTTTCCAGAAAGTCACCCCCTAATTTCCTAGCTCTCGGAGTCACTCTTACTTGAAATATACACATGTATTTTTAATTCTGTATCCCTCGCTGGCCACTCTGCATTTGTTACTCTGCTGGAAGAGATGCTCTTTAGGTGTCCAGCCCACAGATGCCCTTTCTCCAGGAGGAAATTTTGATGCAGAGAAAGAGATCCCAGTGGCCACTTGTCATGTTTGTCTCTCTTGCCAAGAATTGACTAAATTCACAGGTAACTCCCTAATTCAAGCTGGGACAACTGGATTCTGAAAAGAGGAAATGTGGGACTGAGAGTCAGGAAAACAGGAATGTAGGGTAAACCCCGAACTCCTAGGACCAATAGAGGGATTTTTGCCTTGAATGTTTTGGGAGGAAACTCACCACCCTTGTGCTTCTCTCTGCCCATGAGGAAGGCAACCTGCCTCTTCACTTGTCCAGGTTCACTTTCACTTGTCCAGCTGCCCTGTCACTAGGTGAGTGAACTCATCAGTGAGAAGGGGGCCCCATTATCAAGGTCAACCCCATTCTCAAGATCAAGTTGTATTCTCCCTGGGCCTCACCTGATTCTGTGTTTCTTTGGTTCAAGGCTCAGAGGAAAGACGAATGTAATCAACTGCAACTCCAAACAGCTTTTGAGCTGAATTTTGCAAAAGGTGCTGCTCTGCCGGGAAGAAGCAGCTTGGCTGCCAAGGACTGGAGCTTTGATGGCCCCTGACTTCAACGCTTTCGTTGATTCTGTAACTCATTCCACTGTATACTCAAGAGCTCCTTTTAGGTACCAAAACCAGCCTGAATGAGTTTCAGTTACTTGCAAGCAAAGGAACTTGTGGTGAAAACAATGTTGTATGTTCACTGGATCCTATTTCCTTGGGTTCCAGGGGCATAGGGCTAGACTGTACAGCTCAGGCGTCCTTGCAGTCAAATGGACTTGTGTGGCTGATTGCGGTCAGTGGAACGTGAGCAGAAGTTATGTACTTGGTGTGGTTCTTAAACCTCCCATGTAACCTCTCACACTTTCTATTTCCTCAAAAGGAAGAAACCTGGATCTCCAAATGACTATATAGCTCAAAGCCCCTTTGGTGACCTGCTTTAGACTGTGATGTGAGCAAGACATAAGCCATTTTTTAGGTTTAAGGGCTGCTTATGACTGTGCTTAGCTTACCTTGTTTAATATGAAGGCTATGTGTCCCATTTTGCTTTATTTTGAATGCCCATTTACTATCTCCCTAAGTGGATGACAAAGTTTTCAAGGGCAAGGACCATGCCTTTGGCTGCAACACCTAGCCAGTAGTCAGCACACAAGGTGGGCGATTTACTTTCATTATTGATAATGATGATATATTACTGTTTCCCTGAACTAAATTATGTCTCAAAGGTCTGAGCATATCAGTGGCATTTCCAAAGCAAAGTCATTTATTCTCAGGGAATGACTTATACTTTGCGGAACTGCAGCTCAAGGAGATAGAATTTTATTTGGAGGAAGAAATGCACTGTGTCAAAACTGGAAAACTTAAATTGGCTCCTCTGATTTTATTTGAAGCTATCTGATTTGTAAGACATATCTAAGAGAGTCAAGCTGCTCTCCTGGTTTGAGTTCTGCAGTCATGCATTTCTATTGCATTTGCTGTCTCCTCCTGGGTGTCAACTAGCTACCAGCTAATATATATTCTAGAAACAAAAGCAAGATGGTATGTCTGCAAGAAAAAGCCTCGAGTGAATCTCCACAGACACAGGCCAGGTTCACTGATCACACTGATTTGAAAAGCAAACATCTCATCTTGAAAAAAGAATCAAGCCATGTCATTAAATCTGGCACTTAATCCATCACCAGACCCTCGACGTTTTGCACAGCTACAATGACTTCCACACAGGTATGCATTTAACAGAACATTTATCACTAATAACAAGCATAGTGGTAGCTGTGGGGGGAAAATCAACAAATAGATGTGATGTGGAAAAAGGTTTTCCCATTAACCCACACAGTACCCCATCTCTCTCTCGCCTGGTCTTGAACTGCACTC
Organism: Homo sapiens; assembly: GCF_000001405.40. Taxonomy (NCBI): domain Eukaryota; kingdom Metazoa; phylum Chordata; class Mammalia; order Primates; family Hominidae; genus Homo; species Homo sapiens. Next base: position 83,594,635 of record NC_000016.10, on the reverse strand, counting down.
TACATCTCTCTTTACAGTTTGTCTAGACCGAATTTCTTTCCATGGTACCCCACTTTTTCCATATCGAATGTTTCACCTCTAGTTCTTGCTCCAGGTGAATTCCTGCTCCTTTGCTGATGGTCATTATTCACAGCACAGAGGCTCCACGAAGGCAGGGACCTTGGTGCACAATAGGATGGTTGACATTTAAGAAGGAGTCAATCAATATGTGATCAATTATTATCACCCTGGCTCCATGACTTAGTAGCTGAGTGATCCCAGCCAAGTTGCTTATGTTCTCACTGCCTCCATTTCCTCATCTGTAAAGTGGGGGAGAATAATCCTTATAGGATACGTGAGAATTAAAAGAGGTAAAGTGCTGAATACAGAGCTTGGCATATGTAAATGCTGGAGAGATGCTACTGCTATTATTTAGTAGAATTTTTGGGAAGTCTTTCGAAGATGTAACAAGAAACTGAGGGTGGCCTTCAGGAAGAGCCAAAAGCAATTGCCAACCATGCTGCCAACAGCCACTGAGTGAACTTGGAAGTGGAGCCTTCCTTAGACAAATCTTCCAGCAAGACAGCAGATTCTGAACACATTGCTTGTAGCTCTGTGAGTGCCCATTAAGCACAGAGTATAGCTAAGAAATGCCCAGATTCCTGAGCAGGGAAACTGTGAGATAATCAGTGCTTCTTGTCTCAAGTCACTAAGTTTTGAGACAATTTTTCATGCAGCAATAGATAATGAGTACCGTTTTCCCCAGCACCTACCACTACCACAGTCTATAATGTGCTTGTTTACTGATTACTTGTTTAGTGGCTATCGTGGCTATGACAATCCGAGCTTCTTGAGATCAGGGGCCTTTTCTTGTTTAGAGGCTTTATGTCTCTGCCTGGGAGATAAAATTCACTGCCTGGGACATCATAGCTATGTAACAATTAGTCATATTATAACACAATTAGCCCACTATTACATAAATATGATTACATATTATTGCATAATATTGATTACAATTATTACAGGACAAATAACATGTTTTATATACTGTATGTTTATACACTATTACATAAATATACAATTATATATAATATATAAAAAATAATGAATAGAGTGGTATACCTGTAGCTGTTTAAGAACAGATTCTCCTGATTTGTACTGTTGTCAATTTTGGTGGTTTAACTACTCCTACCATAGCTGATTTCAAGCTACCCAGATGATTCCACTCCAAAAGCACTTAGTTGGAAACAGAGACACCAGTTGGCTATTGTGAGCCAGTGAGAATGGGCTCCAGCACACACATGCTGCTCTAGGAGTCAAGGAAGGCTGTAAGAAGGCATTTTTGTTAGCAAATCCCTTTCTAGTCTAACATTTAAGGTATCGTTAATGAGAAACATTAACATGAGCTACATAGCAAAGATGTAATGGAATTCATTCATTCGTTTCCTCTTTAGCTTTGTCCCGATCAGCTGGGCATCACAAGCGTCCTTGCAATATGAAGCCTAAACAGGGACCACATTCTTCCCCGGGCTGGCTGCACCTGACACCTAGTCTATAAATATTGCAAAAGATTGGTGAAAACACTATCTGAAGCAGAACGAGTTGTTGTCTGTCTGGAGTTTGATTTAACCACTCTGGCCACATAACACTGGGAATAGGTAGTCCATAAATCCAGCAGGAACCGCTTACACATCCTCATAAAATGTGCCTTATTCCCACTGCAGAGGTCGAGCGATGTTCTTCCATCTTCCCAGGCAGCAGGGTGAGCCTGGTTTGACTTGTGTTTGTCTTTAGGCCTCTTTTCACCTTACCTCTTGGTACGAATGTGAACATTCACATTCTTGGCTGTCACCTGCTGTTTTTTATTTTTTATTTATTTATTTTTGCATTCGTGGCTGGGGGCTGGTGGGCAAGGAGAAGGCAGCGCTCATTTCTCCAGATTTACTGGCTGCGACAAAGCTGGCAGGGTGGAGAAGCAGCAGGGGAAATAAACACTGTCTCTTAGACATATGTGGCTGGAATAGCCTAAATGATAGATTTGCGGTTGAGGGACACCAAAATCAAATAAAACATTTCCAGGCAATGTGTGCATCTTCTGCTGCCACTGATGAGTTACAGTAAATAAACTGCCAATGGCGTTCCTAGAACCCCTGGAAAAAGCATCTCCTGTAGGCTCAAGGTGGCAAATACTTGACATTCAGTGTGAGTTCACTGAAACATTTATTTAGTGTCTATTAGGCTCAAATAACTGCTAGGATGTGATAAATGATACAGACTCTGCTTTTGGTGCATTTCTGGTCCAGAGAGATGAACAAAAGGCAAGTACGTAAGGTCAGATGAGATAAGTGTTATCAGAATGGTATTAATACCAATTAAGGTTTACATGAAGGGGGTCAGAATGTGGGGTGCTCAGGAAAGCTATATGGAGCTTATTTAATTCATCAGACATTGATTGAGCACTTACTGTGTGCTAGGCATTGTGCGGGATGGTGCGAAGAAGTAACAGGAATCAAGTCCCGTGGGAGAGACCAACACCCTGATGAGCTCAGCACAATGAGATGGGGTAAGCACAGAGTTCTGTGGAATTACAAAGGAGGGGACAGTTGACTTAGACATTATAGGTGGAGAGGTGGAGGCCGGAAGAGATTAAGCAGTGATTCCTGCAGAAGGGCATACCCTACCATAGGATTAGAGATGGTGTCTTGGACTGAAAGTCAAATTATATGGAAGAAGGTGGGAGACCTTTAATCCCTAAACTCTATTAAAAGTAGTCATTGAATAAGAAGGGAAGGCTGATTCTGGTTCTGTTCAGGACACCAAAGGGACAAGAAAAAGTACGCTCTCGACCTTCAAGGAAGCCACGGCTTGGGTGAAGATAAAAGATATATAAGTGGCTCCCCAGGGCAGCAGGCAGCCTGTGCTAAGTTAGCTGTCTACTAACTGGGAGTGCTTCGGTGGCTTTTCAGTGGCTTCAGGTTAATGTAAGACTGCAGCTGAGCTTTGAAGGATGGGTGTGAGGGGAGAGAATTCAGAGAAGGAAGAAGGGCCTGGGAATAAGAGTGGAGACATCAGGCTGCAACAGGGCCACCAGCGTGCCTGGAGTCAAGGTTTGTGAGGTGAAGAGACACAAGTTCTCAAAAGTACCTTCGAGGCCTTCTCGTCCTGCCCTACCTTCAAGGAACTCACAGTGAGAGGAAACAGAGTGAATCCCAGGAGCACATGGCTGGTTAGGAGCAGAACAGAACAGGCTAATCTGTTAGATTCAGACAAGGAAGTACAGATTGTAACACTGAAGTAAAATAAAAAGTAATTGAGATGCTCAAGTACTATTTGCCACATTAGCTTTTGTTTTCTAGACCTGGGCCCTGACATAGCAACATTATGCCTGGTACATAGCAGGTACGTAAGACATAGAGTCAGAGTCACTGCTTCTTGAAAGTGCTTGTCCAGCTGGGTGCGGTGGCTCATGCCTGTAATCCCAGCACTTTGGGAGGAAGAGGCAGGTGGATCATGAAGTCAGGAGTTCAAGACCAGCATGGCCAACCTGGTGAACCCCCATCTCTACTAAACATACAAAAATTAGCTGGGTGTGGTGGCAGGTGCCTGTAATCCCAACTACTCGGGAGGCTGAGGCAGGAGGATCACTTGAAACCAGAAGGTGGAGATTGCGGTGTGCTAAGATCACGCCACTGCACTCCAGCCTGGGCAACGAGAGCGAAACTCCCTCTCAAAAAAAAAAAAAAAAAAAAAAAAGAATCCCCTGGTGGGTGTACTAAAACACAGATTGACAGCCCACCTGCAGCATTTATGATTCAGAAGGTTCAGGGCAGGGCCAAAGCATCTGAATTTCTCACAAGTTTCTTGGAGACGCTGATGTCGTCGATTTAGGGGCACACTTCGGTTAGCATTGTTCTGAATGAATGTATGACTCAATGCAGGTCAAGATGTACCCTTAGATGTTTTACTTTAAAACTCACCCATTTATGATGCAATTTAAATGAAAAATGAAAATCATAGTTTTCCAAAAGTTCTCTTTGAAACTTTCTTTTTTTTTACGTCCATTTCGAGAAAAAACAGACTCTCTCTAAGACACCAAACAGCATCTCGCCTGCTTTCAATCTTGTTATGGATGTCTCCACTAGATGCTCTCCCTTATCCTCCATGGGCCAATATCAGAACCCATCTTCCCCACAACCTGGCCGTTCTTCCCGGAGGGATCATCTCCAGCCGGCCCCTGGGAGTCTCTGTAGCAATTCCCTCTCTCTTACCTCAAACAACTGCTCATCCAGTGCTCCTGATTTTACCTCCCCTTCCTCTCGAGTCTGTCCTCTTTTCTCCACCACCTCTGTGTGCACATGATGTCAAGTCCCCATCTCTTCTTCCTTGACTTATGCAACAGCTTCCAGGTTGGTCCCCCTGCCTTCTTCTATGCCCCTCTCCACCCCAAAGCCAGCCAGAGCGAACTGTCCAGCTACCATCTGACCAAGGACTCTCCTTAAAACCCTTCAGTGGCTACAGGATAATGTCTGAGTTTTTCAAGCATGAAAGACAAACTCTTCATGGCCTCATCTGTTTGTTCTCCTCACTCAGTGTTATATTCTGTAAAGCTGAGCTATTTGTAATTCATACCTTCTTAGGCTTTTTCACTCCTCCGCATCTCTGCAGCTTGGCTTATGCTGTACCCTCTGCCCTCCCTGCACATTTCCCGCCCCCACCTCCTAAGCCCCAGGAAACAATCACTTATCCTTTGGAAGATAATCACTTCAAGCAAGTGATAATCAAACAATCACTTGCTTGAAGGTTGCCTCCATCATGAAGGTTTGTCTTCCCAGAGTCACTCCTGCCTTCCCTGCATTAGCCCTGGCTGTATGGCACGGTGAGTGTTTCTCTCTTGGTTGAGATAATGACACTGTATAGCAATTTTCCCTTCACACGTCCGTCCTGTGATTATGCTGTGAGATGCTCAATGTCAGGTTCATGTATCGAGCACAGTGGAAGTGAGCTCTAAATGCCACCAGGCTTTTGGATCTAGAAGCTCTCGTATCTTCTATGGCACACAGAAAAACATCTATCAAAGATGGCCATGTTCTAATTCCTGGAATCTGTGAATATTTTACCTTAGGTGGCACAAGAGGCTTTGTTAAGGATCTTGAAATGGGGAGACCACCCTGGAAAACTGAATGGGCCCAATGTGATCACGAGAGTCCTCATGAGAGGGAGGCAGAAACATCAGTGTCAGCGGGAGTAGATGGGTGATGGAAGCAGAGAAGATGGTGTTGGGGGAGAGGGAGAGGGCAAGGGAGGGAGGAGGGAGGGAGACAGAGAGAAAGAGGGAGGGGGAGAGGGGAAGAAGGGAGGGAGAGGGGTCCGGGGGGGGGAAAGGGAGAAAGAATAAGGGGAAAGAGAGAGAAGAGGGAGGGGGATGGGGAGACAGGGAGACGAGGAGAGACATTACACTGTTGGCCTTAAGATGGAGGAAGAGGCTATGAGCCAAGGAATTCCAGGGGCCTTTAGAAGATAGAAAAAGCAAGAAAATGGATTCTCCCTTGGAGCCCTCACAAATAATCCAGACCTGCTGACACCTCGGTTTTGGCCCAGTGAGACTTATTTTGGACTTCTGACTTCTAGCTCTGTAGGATAATATATTGTGCTGCTGTCTGCCACGGATTTTGTGGTCATTTGTTATGGAAGCCACAGGAAACGAGTACACCTTCTCTGGGGGGTGACCGCTGAGTTTCCTGGAACACTGAGACGCCCAGCAGCCTCCTGGCTCCACGTGGTGCGTGGCCTCACCAGCCGCACCTCATTCCTCGCCCACCTGCCAGCTTCCCAGGGGGCCTGCCTTCCCAGGATGACATCCTCTGTCATTTCTCTGGAAAATATTTCCATTTCAATCCTTTGAAGTGTGATGTCAACCAGACCTTTTCCTTCAAAATCTGTCTAGTGGGAAGATGAATGTCCTGCCATCTACAAAGTGGTAAATATCAAGTACCGGAGAAGCTTCCCTTTGGTGCCTGTGGTTTCCAATGTGTCAGTCACTTTCTAAGTATTTATTACAGCCCTTGGTGAGGGCAAGGATTCTGTCTTTAACTTATTCCTGCCATAGCCCCAGTGCCTTGCCCCTTGAGACACTGAGGTCCCAAGACACTGCCTGTATGTGGTCATCGGGTTATAGTCTTTGAAAACAAGTTGAACTTATTCTAAATCTCCTGGGGGAAAAATCACACAAACTAGTTCACTCTCAGTCACTCTCAGTAAATGTTCAATGAATGAGTAAATCAAGAAACGGTTATGTTGATCACCACACAGCAAATTTGGCCTCAGGTTGCTCTCATGGTCTGCAGATGTTACAGGTCCAAAGGCAGGCATGGGCAATGTTAGACAGGCTGAATCAGTCTCTAGAAAGCCTGGTTTTGCGGGGCGTGGCAGGGTGATGAGGCTTTGGCTGTCCAAGAGTGTGCAGGGAAGGTCCTTCTCCTTTGGAGAGGTGTCTATGCAGAGGGAGGCTGTGGCTGCTTTGGAGCTGATGGGCTGGGCTCTTTTCCACCTTGAGGCAGATGCCCCACTGGCTGGTCCCAGCCCCAGGCTCAGCCCTAGGCCAGCCACACATCTCCAGGTGTACGGGATGGAAGGAGGGATGTTATGGTATGACAACTGGGTCCTCATGTGGTGAGGTTTGGACGGAAATGATCTTTCAAAAAAAAAAAAAAGAGGTATAAGAGAATGTTGCTCAGATAAATCTCAACAAAGCCAGCTGGGGGCTGGCTCCAATGACCCTGGGGGGCCATATTTGCCACCGTGTAAAATTGGGAAACTGCTATTCCTGTCATTCGCCAAGCACTCTCCGAAAGCAAATAGCTTTCCTTGGGTTTCAATTTATTACCATCTAAAATGTCATTCTCTGTATGGGTAATAAAAGATAATACGTTTTATGGTGGCTCCGTATGTTAAGATTTTACAAAATCTGTTATTAAATGATCTGTGTGGAATCTAAATGAATCTTACCAGGTTTCATAAAATAGCAAGGTGATTCTTTTTCTTTCTTCTTCCCCAAATCAAGTGCAGTTAGAAGGGCGGCACTCTCTGTATGTTTTCTAATCACGCAGCAGAAGGTAATGCTTTTAAGGTCAGGCTAAAAATTGCGTTCTGCTGTGTAATCGGCTCCACACAGTTACATACTGGTCAAAACGTCCAGAAAATTCAATTACTGACTCCCAGTGACAGAAGCACAGGAGCTCACCGAGGGGTCGGTGGATGTTTCTAAAACTAGGTTTTAAATGTCTACGACTTGCAGCCATTCCAGCTTTACAACCTTTGCCTAATATCAGTCCTTTGCATGTTAATGGTCCCTGCCCACTAATTTCAGACGTTTAATCAGCACCACATCCTCCCCTTAGAAAAGCGCAATCAAAGTTGGCTTTGCTGAGCCTGATTCATCCTCCGTTCCCTCGAACCTGTTCCCATTCAGATGTGATCTCCTAATCAAATTTTGCCATGCAGGGTTACTTTTAATCAGCATTTTCCGTGGTCTCTTAAGTCAAATGCATTTTCGTGCAAAGCTGACTTTGGTTTAGAGTTCTATTGCTGGCCATAATTCCAGGTGGCTTTAGAAACGAAAGGAGCCCACGGAGAGAGTAATAAATCAGCAAATGACACCCACCCACTCTAGCCATGGACAGGAAAGCAATTTGAGACATGGCCTTTCTGCTGTCATTGGGTTATACTTTTTGAAAATAAATTGAACTAATTCTAAATCATCTGAGGGAAAAAAAATCACACAAGATGGATTCCAGTTACACCACAGCTGTTGTCCAAAAGCTAATTCGTGGACCAGGGAGAAAAAGCAGTGAGCATAACCCGGCCACAGATTATTCTGGAAGGCTCCCCCCGTGATTTTATGCCTGGTACAGTCAGCTTCTCTGACCACCTTTCTTCAGCATTATTTGCACAAGATGCCTAATAGACTGCCCTGACCTGCTCCCACGAGGCAGCCCTTTTCTGATCTGGGCTCCAGCAGTCATTTTGTTCTTGAAATTGTATTGGCTCTGCTGACAAGGGCTAAGCCTCTTAACAGCCTGGATCGTTAGCAGAGCAAGGAACAACAAGTCAGATGTTACGACTTAACATTTGGTCTTGCCCTTCTCGGCTCAGACTCCCAGACAGACAGGATGTTGATAAAGACAAGTGTGCTCTTCTTCGCCAATAATAAAACCCATAAACAAGCCCTTGGAGGGCTCCTTTTCATTTTATTTTTAAAAATAACAATAAACGGAGTCTCTGCCTTTCCTCCGCCCCTCCTCCAGAGCCATTTTCAAAGTGGAGGGGAACTGAACTCAACCGCCCTCTCTCTGGGAGGAAATCCCTGCCTCAGCGCCCTGTGCCGGTGGGAAGAAAAACCTCAGCCGTGGGTGCAAGCACACCTGTGTGCATCACGCTCCCTTGTGGTTCTAGCCCCAGGCTGCGGACCTTCCCGCTGCAGTCCACAGGTGGTCATCGCTTGCCAGTTCATCCGGGCTCCACTCAGACACGCTGTCATTATAATAATCATGGCTACGTGCACAGAGCACTTACTACATGTTGGAAATAGTATTCAACCCTTTAGGTGGGTTACCTTAGTTGGTCTTCAACATACCCCTGTGAAGTTGCTGTGGTTGCTGTGTTCATTGTGCAGTTGAGGATTCTTTTGTCCTGGGACACATAGCTCCTATGTGGTGGCACTGGGATAGAAACCCAACCTCTTGGGTCTGTACCTTATACTCTCAACTGCTACACCCTGGGGCATACACAGTACTATTCTTCACCTCCCCAGTAGCCAAAACCCCTGTTGGTACTAGTCCAAAGATTCCACGTGGGAGCCCATTTCCCAGCTCTTTCCACGAGCCCTGTATGGGTTGGGCTGGGAGAATGATAAGTTTTTTTTTTGGTAGGTTGCCACTCCTGGCAGCTCTTTAAGCAATCTCCACCGAGTCTCTAATGGTCAGCCTTCTTCTTGGATATCCTGCTTATTCCTCCAGCTTTGGTTCCACCCACCCCTGTGGACTCTGACAGCTTCCATTACCAACTGTCTCCTAATTCCCAGATCTACACTTCTAACTGCTTGTTCAACATTTCCAGCTGAATGTGTCACGAGCACTGCAAACACAGCATGGCCCAAAGCAAGCTCAGCAGCTCCCCAGCCAAGCACAGTCCTTCCCTGTTCTGGTAGATGCATCAAAACTGGGGCCCCCTCGTGTCAAGCCTCCTCTCCCACACCCACTGAACAGAGTATCACTGATTTCCTTCTCCAAACAGACTCTCACACGACTCCAACCTCCTCATCCCCACTGCCCTTGCCTTAGTTTGGGTTACTGTTGTGTCTTACTTTGCCATATCCTGAGATGGCAAATATAAATTCGGAGTGATCTGGGAAGTAGTTATAGAGTGCAGGAAGGTGGAAGGAGGTCCCAGGTTACCAGCATCACGCTGTTCAGGAAGGGAAGGCCACCCACGCCAGCTTAGGGTATGGCACACAGGAAGCCACCAGAGACACGTGTCTGCAGCAATTCAAATCTAAGTCATGGCTCGGGAGCATCTGATACGGTTTGGATATGTGTCCCCACCAAATCTCATGTTGAATTGTAACCCCCAGTGTTGGAGGTGGGGCCTGGTGGGAGGTGTTTGGATCTTGGGGCAGAGCTTTCATTGGTGCCACCCCCACAGTAGTGAGTGAGTTCTCCTAAGACCTGGTTGTTTAAATTTGGCACCTCCCCCTATCTCTTGCTTCTGTTTTTGCCATGTGACGTGCCCACTCCCGCTTTGCCCTCTGCCGTGATTGTAAGCTTTCTGAGGCCTCATCAGAAGCAATGCAGATGCCTGGCACCATGCTTCCTGTACAACCTGCAGAACCATGGGCCAATTAAACCTGTTTTCTTTATAAATTACCCAGTCTCAGGTATTTCTTTGTAGTAATGCAAGAATAGCCTAATACAGTGTCTCAGCATCATAACACTACATCCTACAGAAGCTCCTGGACACTATCGAGGGATCATGTGGGTGGTCCACTCACTTTTGCCTTTCTTCACAGATGCTGTTCCCTTTGCCCAGAATGCAATTCTCTACATTCAGACGCAGCCAAGTCCTGCTGTTCCCAAATGACCGCCTCAGGGGTCACTTTCTCTTTGAAGCCTTTACTAAAATTTCCAGGGTAGAAAGACTGCAGAGCTCTTGACACAGTTCCCTTGTAGCATATATTACATCGTGTCCCAATAAACCATAGATAGTTCTCTGTCCCTTCCTCTCTGCTTATGAGGTGCTTGGAAGCAAAAACCATGCATTTTTTAAAAATTTTTGAGATGCAGTCTTGCTCTATTGCCCGGGCTGGAGTGCAGTGGCACGATCTCAGCTCACTGCAAGCTCCGCCTCCTGGGTTCACGCCATTCTCCTGCCTCAGCCTCCTTAGTTTGGGACTACAGGCACCTGTCACTATGCCCGGCTAATTTTTTTTGTATTTTTAGTAGAGATGGGGTTTCACCATGTTAGCCAAGATGGTCTTGATCTCCTGACCTCGTGATCCGCCCATCTTGGCCTCCCAAAGTGCTGGGATTACAGGCGTGAGCCACCGCGCCCAGCCAGAAACCATGCTTTAACTCTCTGCTTTTGCTCACTTATGGCATAGTGAAAACAGCAAGGACTTTAAGCCAAAATAAGGATACAAATCTCAGCTCTGCTTTTTTAAATTTTTGTTTATTTATTTATTTCTTTGAGACAGAGTCTTGCTCTGTCATCCAGGCTGGAGTGCTGTGGTGCGATCTCAGCTCACTGCAACCTCTCCCTCGTGGGCTCAAGTGATTCTTCTGCCTCAGCTTCTGGAGTAGCTAGGTCTAGAGGCTCATGCCACCATGCCCGGCTTTTTTTTTTCTTTTTAGTATTTTTAGTAGAGATGGAGTTTCACCATGTTGACGAGGCTGGTCTCAAACTCCTGACCTCAGGTGATCTGCCCACCTTGGCCTCCCAAAGTGCTGGGATTATAGGCGTGAGCCACCAAATCACACTCTTTGATGCCCACACATCCTGGTTCTGCAAAATAAAGCAATCTTACCTTCCCTCCATCACTATTATGAGGATAAAATGGGATAATCCCTATACATCGTTGACCATGTGACCTGGTGCACAGAACAAAATCAGCAAGTGGAAGCTATTACAGTTAAAACTACAGAATAGATGTGCAATAAATCCTGGACAGAGATATGAGCTTTAAAATCAAAGGAACTAAGAATGATAGCTCCTCAAAGTGAAGTGAGTGCTATCTCCACGGGCTTGTATGTGTTGAATGGTGGTCGCCCAAAATATACATCCAACTCCTAACCCCCAGTACCTGCGAATGTGATCTTATTTGGAAAAATGGGTCTCTGCAGATGTAATTAAGTTAAAGATCTGGAGACGAGATGATTTTGGATTAGCTGGGTGTGCCCTAAATCTACAAGTATCCTTATAGGAGACAGAAGATGAGAAGACACAGGGAGAAGGGCCCCTGAAGGTGGAAGCAGAGACTGGAGCTTTGCAGCTGGAAACTAAGGAACTGGGGCCTCTAGATGCTGGCAGAAGCAGATGGGATCCTCCCTGGGACCACGAGAGACAGCAAGGCCTACCAACACTTTGATTTTGGACTTCAGGGCTCTAGGATTGTCAATAAACTGAATAAATTTCAGTTGTTGTTTGCCCTCTAGTTGGTGGTGATTTGTTTCAGGATCCCTAGGAAGTTAACAAACATGGTTAAGTGCAAACTCCACCAATGGCCATTCTGCTCAGTGGATGGACCATGCTTCTTAGAGTTCAGGCTGAAAGTCCAACTGGGCCAACACGGTTGATCGGACTCTGCTTAAGGTCCTCAGCAATTTTACATTTTCAAGAGAGCTCAGTCTTCAGGAAGCTCTGTCAACGCTGAGCTCCATTTCCACTGGCCGTCAGCACACGGTCTTATGCTATTTGTGGCTCTTTGCAGTGGTTTGGGTAAATGTCCCACGGCTGGGAAGTGAATGTCTCCACTCCTGAGAGACCTGGCCACTCAGGCTCCTGTGTGTCCTAACAACCCTTATGGGCAGCAGCCTCAGAACAGTGGGTGGGCTGGGAAGGATCCATTTATCCCTCCATGGGAAGCCTGCTTTGCTTTCTCTACATCTTTTACTTTTTTTTCTACTAGAAACATGTGTGATTTGCATAACAAGGCAGTACCTTAAATTTTGAAAGGCACAGTGTCTCAACAAACAAAAGACCCCTCAAAACAAACAAAAAAAACCTCTCCAAAGGGATGCTGCTAGCATTAGGTCTAGACCCTTAAAACATACATATTTTTTCATTCCTTTAAATTGTCTTATGGGCCTGATGGAAAAAAAAAAGGATTAAGCCAAGTGTTGTGTAACCCAGAAACATCTGCGTAAAGCAAGACCAACTCCAGCCCAGCATTGCCCTGCAGAAGTAGTCTGATCAGCCTAAAATGCTGGGAGCAGCCCTCACAGAGCCAAGGATCCTGGGACCCTGCTACTCTTTTTCCCTTACACCCTACTAACCACCCCCCTGACAACCCTGTGTTCAGGAGAGAAACTCAAGGCTCAGAGAGGGGTCATCCATTAATTCCACAAACATTCACCCACCCAGGACCAGGCAATCTTTTAGCCAGTGTGGACAGAGCCATAGACAAGGTCACAAAGATGCCCTCATCCTAGAGCCTGCATTCTGGATGAGCAGAATGATTGTAAAGAAGATCAACAGTGGTATGTGCTAAGGAGGAGATGAAATAAAAAGGGAGAAAGTTCTAGGGTGGAGACTCAGTTTTCTTTTATTATTTATTTATTTATTTATTGAGACAGGGTCTTGCTCTGTTACCCAGGCTGGAGTGCAATAGCATGATTTTGGCTCATTGCAGCCTTGAACTCCTGGGCTCAAGTGATCCTCCCACCTCAGTCTCCCTAGCAGCTGGGACTACAAGGGCATACCCCTACGCCTGGATAATTTTTGCATTTTGTTGTAGAGACGGGATTTCACCACGTTGACTAGGCTGGTCTCAAACTCGTGGACTCAAACAACCCACTGCCTTGGCCTCCCAAAGTGCTGGGATTACAGGTGTGAGCCACTGTGCCTGGCCAAGGCTCTGTTTTAAATAGGGTGGCCTGAGAAGACTTCACTGGAATAAAGTCATGAAAGGAATAAGGAGGAGATGTGGATATTTTGGAGGAGAAACTTTCAGAAAAAGGAGGTAGCAAGTGCAAAAGTCTTGAGGCAGGAGCATGTGGGAAGAATATTTAAGTCTGAAATATTAAATAACCACTGAAAGTCACCCTTGGTTCTTGATGACTAATTTCTGACATTCTATCAATGTTTAAGGAAGAGTAGCTGTTTAAAACAGGGGTAAATACTGAGGCTGTACTCAGGGATAAATGACTCAACTGTCAGCTTCGGAAGGGCAGAGACCATACCTGCTTTCCAAATGCCCACGTGCATTTGTTGGATCAATGAACAAATGCAGTAATGATTTTTGTAAAAGAGAAAAGATCTTCTCCTTCCATGCCAGCTGAAATACAATCTGCCCAACTTTCATTATAGATGCAAAACCAAAGGCTAGGATTTTAACAACATAAAAGCATTTTAAAAATAAACAGAATAAATGGCACCATCTATGGGTAATGCATCTTTCTTTCTTTTATAAATATTAACTCCCACAAATAGAGATCTGTTATGTAACAAAGATGCTAAGTATTGCTCTTCTGCTCAGCAACCAACCAAACATTTGGCCGTTCTCAACTTTCTACTTACAATTAACTCCAACAGCATGGAAACTTTAATAAGAACAAATAAAAGAAGTAAAATAATGGACTTACTAGAAATGAACAGGCTGGGTGTGGTGGTGCAGGCCTGTAATACCAGCACTTTGGGAGGCGGGCAGAATCACCTGAGCTCAGGAGTTCAAGACCAACCTAGGCAACACAGCAAAACCCTGTCTCTACAAAGAAATATAAAAATAAGCCAGGGCATGGTAGCGCATGCCTGTAGTCTCAGCTACTTGGAAGGCTAAGGTGGGAGGATTGCTTGAGCTCAGGAGTTTGAGGCTGCAGTAAACTCAGATCATACCACTGCACTATAGCCTGGGTGGCAGATGGAGACCCTGACCTGACTTAGAGAGAGAGAGAGAGAGAGAGAGAGAGAGAGAGAGAGAGAGAGAGAGAGAGAGAGAGAAATGAACAGAAATGAAAACTGGGTGCTGAGTTACCTTGATCTTAGAGTCTTAGATTTTGGACCTTCCTGGACCAATTTAATCAATTACTAAGTTGATCAATTCTACCTCCTTAATTTGCTCACACCTGTCTTCTTTCTATTCTCACTACCTCTCCTGTAAGTCAGGCCACAAAAAATAGCCCCAGTGGTTCCATAGCATCACCTCACGCACATATTTATTAAAATGATCTTGCTGACACTCAATGCCAATCACTCTGCTACACTTCTCTACAACCTTGCATGACTCCCTGTTGCTACCAGGATAACATTTAAACTCTGTGGACAGCACCATAGGCCCTTGGAGATCTGTCCCCCTCTGCCTGCATTTCCTCCCACTCCTCCCCTCATCCATTATCTATCAGCAGTACTTAATTCCTGGCCGTAGTTAGCCAAACATGCCATGCTCTCTCTACTTCTGAGCCTTTGAAAACGCCATTCCCTTTGCCTGGGACAGCCTCCGTCCAGGTGTCTCCCAGGTAAGCACATGCTCATAGTTTAAGTGTCAGCTCAAATGTTACTCCCCTGTGAAGCCTGCCCTAATTTGTCCCTGTCTAACTGGGAGTCCAGTTTTCTGCCCCCACACTGTGTTATACCCATGCCTACATTTAACATAATATCTGACTTATCACAATGGCACATTTGGCTTCCTGTGTCCTGTGAGCCTATCAAGGGCTGTGACTCCATTCACATCAGTACAGCTCCAGGGATGACAGGTGCTGAATACGCACTTGTGAATGAAATAAATGATTGATACGGTTTGGATTTGGGTCACCGCCCAAATCTCATGCTGAATTGTAATCCCCAATGTGGGAGGAGGAACCTGGTGGGAGGTGACTGGATCAAGGGGGTGGATTTCCCCCTTGCTGGTCTCATGATAGTGAGTTCTTGTGAGATCTGGTTGTTTAAAAGTGTGTAGTGCCTCCCCCTTCTCTCTCTTCCTCCTTCTCCAGCAATGTAAGACATACCTACTTCCCCTTCACCTTCTGCCATAATTGTAAGTTTCCTGAGGCCTCCCTAGCCATGCTTCCCGTACAGCCTGTGGAACTGTGAGCCAATTAAACCTCTTTTCTTTATATATTGCCCAGTCTCAGGTATTTCTTTATAGGAATATGAGAACTAACACAATGACAGTGTAGGAAGTCAGCCTTAGGATGGCTCTCCCTGGGGTGATTCACTCTCCCCTAGTCCAGCCAGGATCTCTGCCTCACTGAGGTGGTAACAGTGAGGTAGAGTGGGCATGGAGTGGTCCTCAGGCCACAGTAGGTACAGCCCTGCTCCACTTCTTACTGTGGGCCTGGACAAATGACAACTTTCTCTGTGTTTATAACACTGTCTTTAAACATGGGAATTTTATCATTGCCTTTGCAAGGTTGTCAGAAGGATTAAATAAGAGGAAATGTGCAAAATGCTTTTCATAACAGGAACAGACACTCAGTAGGCGGAAAGTGTTCAAAGATTGACTCCGCTACTAACTACCTGCACATAGGACTTTAGGTACGTTAACCTCACTAAGCCTCAGTTTGCAAATAGGGAGAATAATAGAATCTGCCTCACCGCATTGTTGTGAGCACTAATGAAATGATACACATAGGACACCGAATAGTGGACATTTATTGAGCAGTTATTAATATTACTGTATCCAGTAGTCTCTCCTATTGTGCTAACTATTGCTCTGAATTGTGCCAATCTGTAAGGTGTTTGAAGTTGGAGACCATCTATGTATGTTCATTGTCATATCCTTGACAGCAAGGGCACTGCTGGGCATGCAGTATTAATAGATGCTCATTAAACATCAGTGGAGTCAATGCCTGAATGAATATTTACTGCCCTTAGTACCTCTCCAAACTGGACCTGCCCTTGAAGGGTCAGCTCAGGCTTCTCCTCCCCTTTTGCTTCCTGTGGAATGTGACCTCTTCTGCTTTTGAACACTCATGACATTTGTGCGTCTCTCTTATTTGTGTCTCCCTGTAGCATATTTCAGCCTGGGACCTTCCAGGGTTATTTAAATTTTAACCAGCCCTGTCTCCTTTAACAGAGCTACAGATCTGCCAGGGATTGACCGCCCGGTCTGTGCCCTGGAACCTTAAGTCCCAGCAAATTTTCCCATCCAGAAAAGTAGCCCGCGGCTGTGAGAAATGGTTAATTTTACAGGATTTGAGCAAGTCAAGAATGACTAGACACTCTTCCTGCTCCAGGAATGGCTAGCCAGCGATATATTTTCACCCGGGTACCATTTAAACAAACTCATAATACTCTGAGCAGAAGAATGTATTCAAATCCACCAAGCATAGCTCTTTGCAGCACTGAAGATTGCTGCTGTTTAAGCCAGAGGCACCCACATTAAAAATAAATGCTTAGTAGGGGAATATTTAATGACATGGAAAATGTTTCTATTATATTGTTGAGAAGCAAAGGCAGGTTATGCAACTGTATGAATAGTGAACTCTCATTTTTGTGGAAAAGGTATTTATGTATTACAATATATAAATAGAGCAGGAGAATTATATACAGCAAGATATTAACAGCAATTATCTCTGGGTGATGTAGTTATGCAATGTTCATTTTATCCTTTGTGTCCTTTCCTTACAGTAAACACGTATTATTTAGTGGTCATAAAAGACTAAGCTTTATTATCAGAGCAAAATATAATGGTTAAGGGCTTTTGGATGCATCTACGTGATTTCGAGGGGGATGTATCACAAGGTGCATCCATCACAGGGTGACGGATGTGGCCTTCCTACCCCTTTCTCCTCCTCAGCCCTCTGGGAAGCAGTACAAACCCATGAGTCTCAGGCTTTGCTTAAAAGCAGACAACCATTCCCTGAACCAAGATGTGATGGCCATTAGTAATTCCCATAGGGGCATCTGGGAGGACCTCATATTGCAACAGAAAGAAGGTGTTAAATAAAGAATGCAGACCCCTCACTGGCTCTTTAAATGTCAGTGTGCAGGTCTGAGCATTTATATCTCAGACATCCCCAGAGAGCTGGACCCAACAGCTGCTGGGGAGGGAACCAAGAATTCAAGTAAATGTTAATTGGCAGTGAGGCGTGACATGGAGGTCCTGAAAAGGACGTGCTGGGAAACCTCATCTTCTCCTATTCCTCTCTTCTTCCTTCAATGTGATCATCCATAAATCATGAAGGGGACTTGGTCAGTGGACACAGTAGGACAGGGGCTGTTTAACCCTTCCTATATGAAGACATCCATTATTCACAAGTGAGTCTGCAGCTATGACGGCACCATGTGACCTGATGCTTGGATGGAAGTGAAAGCCCGCAGCCAATCAACAGACTGATTCCTGACCCCCAGGTATCCAGGGAGCTATAAATTAGTAATTGCATATGGGAGTCCTTGATTGTTTTGCCCACAAATGTCATCTAAATGCCTGTCACTGGACTTATTAGTTATTTAGTTGGTTAAAAATACAATGAAGTGGACATTATAAAGAAAGTGAAAAGACAACTTACAGAATGGAATAAAAATATTCAGCAAATCATACATCTGATAAGGGTCTACTATCCAGAAGATGTAGGCAACATTTATAACTCTACAACATAGTTAAAATGTAGGCAAAATACTTGAATCAACATTTCTCCAAAGAAGATATACAAATGGCCAATGAACACATGAAAAAATGTTCAGTATCACTAATCATGACATAAATGTAAGTCAAAACTATGAGATGGCACCTCATAGACACTAGAATGGCTAGCATAAAAAACAGCAACAACAGAAAATAGCAAGGGCTGGGAGGGATGTGGAGAAACTGGAATTCTTGTGTACTGTTGGTTAGAATATAAAATGGTATCACTGCTATGTGTAATACCACATATGGTGCTAGTATGATGGTTCCTCAAAAAGTTAAACATAGAGCTACTACTTCTAGATATATACCCCAAAGAATTAGAAACAGGCACTCAAAGAAATACATGTATGCACACGTTCATAGAACAGCACATTAGCCAGAAGGTAGAAACAGTGCCAAATGTCCATAAACAGACGAATGGATAAACAAAATGTGCTCCACCCATACAAGAAAATATTATTCAGCCATAAAAAGGGATGAAATACTGATGCATGCTACAACATGGAAGAACCTTGAAAACATTATGCTAAGTGAAAAACTCCAGACACGAAAATGTCACAGATTGAATGAGTTCATTTATATGGAAGGTCCAGAATGGATAAATCCATAGAGACAGAAAGGAGGTTGTTTTTAGCCAGGGACTGGGGTCAGGGAGGAAGAAGTGGGAGAGGCTACTTAATGGCTCTGGAGTTTCCTTTTGGGATGATAAAGATATTTTAAGACCAGCTGGAGGTGGTGGATGCACAACATCGTGAAAGTACTAAATGCCACTCAACTTGTCACTTTAACATGGTTAGTTTCATGTTATGTGAATTTTACATCAATTAACGTACTAAACGCCACTGAATTGTTCACTTTAACGTGGTTAATTTTATGTTATGTGAATTTTACATCAATTAAAAAAATACAATAAAGAGTACTATGTGCTAGTTTCTGGGGGTACAAAGGTGAGTGAAATAGTCCTGGACCTTGCTCTTACACAAACTATAGCCCAGTGTGGGAGGCAGATATTAATCATATAAGTTTATGCTAAATTCTAATGGTGAAATGATAGCTGAAGAGGTTCGGGTGCAATGAAAGCACCTCCATGAAGGACTTGACCGTCTCTCAGAGACCAGGAAGCTTCTCAAGAGACTGATGGTTGAGCTAAAATCTGACGGGAGGTTAAGAGGTAATGAGGACAATAGGATGGAGCAAGGTGAAAAAATACTCCAGGTCATGAATAGCATGTGCAAAGGCCCTGGGATGGGCATGGGTGAAGATGGAAACCCCCGGGCTGGAGGGCCGAGACAGAGGGACACGTGGTGTGAGCAGGGGCTGGATGGAGATGGGTCAGATGGTACTTGTCTTACAGATCTATGGACAGGCTCAGATTGGTCTCCTGAGAGGAAAAGGATCCCTGCGGTGGTGATTTAACCAGGCGGTTGACTTGATAAGATTATTCTGGCTATAGTGTGGGACACTTTTTGTTTTTGTTTTTGTTTTTGTAACAGCTTTCTGAGATATAATTCACATAGTGCACAATCCACCTATTTAAAGTGTACAATTCAATTGTTTTTAGCATATTTACAGAGTTGTCCAACCATCACCATCACCATAATTGATTTTAGAACATTTTCATCACCCCAAAGAAAAATTCCATATCCATCAGCAGTCACCATCTGCCTTCATTTTCCATGGCTGCCGGAACAAAGTTCCACAAGCCAGGTGGCTTCAGCAACAAAAATACGTCATCTCACAGTGCTTCGTTCATTTTTATGGCCAAATAATATTCTATTGTATGGACAGGCCCATTTTGTTTATGAATTCATTAGTGGATGGGCGTTCGGGTTGTTCCCACTTTTTAGCTATTATCGTAATGTTGCTATTAATATTCATGTTCATGGTTTCTCTGTGGATGTGTGTTTTCATTTCTCTTGGGTATTTCACATTGTTCCCTTTAGAAATTACTTTTCATGGGTTGGAGTTTTAAAACTGGAGTTCATGGATATTGCAGGGAGTAAATTCTGGAGCCCTGTTGGCCCCAGAAGTTGTATGTGAAATTCTTGTTTCATAGAAAGTTGTTGTTACATGGGAATCTTAACAGGGCCTGGTATGACTTGGTCGTGATTCGCGAAGCTACCACTGAAGTGGGAGGGGAAGAGAAGGAATAGATTTGTTAAGACCCATAGTGAATCGCAGGCACGGAATGCCATCCCTGTGATGCAAATGAGGACACTGAGCACGCAAGAGCTGCAGTGACTCACAGGTGTGTGGTTGGTAAGTGGTGAGGCCAAGATTTGAGCCTGGGTCTGATCTCAGAGCAGCAACTGTAAGTGACACACCTAATCCAGACCTGGGTATTTGGTTCTCAGCCTGCAGTCACAGCTGCTTTTCCTCACCAGTGTTTTTGAGGCACAGGCTTCAAGAGAACACCACCACTGAGGGCCTGGAGGGCTCTCCCTGCTTGGAGCTAGGTAGTCAAACGTGTCAATAATCAGGCCGACCTTGAGGCTCTAGACTTTGGAGGCAAGCTCAAGTGCATGAGCACAGTTTCTAAGAATGGAGAGCAAGGTGCTCCCATCCGATGCATCAGGGGTGTACACTGAGACAAAAAATAATGACGACAATAGCAACATCAGCATAATGACAATATCTGCTGCCATTTCCAGAGCATCTTCTATGACCCAGGCACTTATCTCTCTCATCTGAACCTCATGACAATGCTGCAGGGTCTCTTTTTCAGCAGCTGCCCATTTCGCAGCTGGGAAAATTGAGGGGCACGGCGCTTAAGGACTGTCTCGGGAAAACTGTGGCTTGGAGATACCTTTATACCTCCAAGCGTATCTGGGGATCCTCATCTCCTCTTTAAATCCCGGGGACCCAATTTACTGAAATCTGGAGCAAGATGGTCCAGGCTTCCCTGTCCCAAGGCTCAGAACTGAGAACTGCCAAAATAATGGGACAGCTACCAATTAGCATGTATGTTGCTGTCACAAAGCAGGTGTTCAATAGTTACCAAATAAATGAGTGTAGTGATTTGACAGAGAACTACAGTAGTTAAGCAAGCCTGGCCTTTTTGCCATTAAAGAATCTACTGGGTGATAAGAAAAGAGTTACCTACATTTTAAAAATGCAGCCTCATTGACAAAACTTGGGCTTCCTTCTACCTTTGTTTTTTATTTTTAAAAATTTTAGGAATGTTACATTTCAGTTTATATGGCAAATTGTATCAATTATGGCAACTGTGCATAGGCCCCTTTGTTAAGTAGGATCCCAAGGTTATATCTGGACTCAAAGGGCAAAGGTGCCGCCATTGATTAGTGATGTCTACTATGGGTACAAAAAAGGGAAGAGATAGCATGTGTCACAAGTGCTGGTCACTGTCCTTCCTCTAGTAGTTTCCTTACCTTCCACAGGTTCAGTGGTCACCTCCATGCTGACAGACTGTCATTCCGGTTTTTTTGCTGAACCCATTGGCTTCCTGACCCACCACTGAATGGTGACTAGGCAGAACTGAGCCACACCCACCAGTACTAAACCTAAGGATCCAAATCATTTAAAATACACATAGTTTGGCTCTAGTTCACTTGTTGGAAGCCACATAATCAGCTCCTAGGCATACTCCAACCTTCCTCCCTACCTCCCCAAATTCAATGATTCAAGGTTCTTTCAGTGTCTAAATCTTTTTTATTCTTTAAATTTCTTGGCAGCTCAGCAATGTGTTACTGCATTGTGCACAGTCATAAAACCAATATTAATGTTTCATGGTGTGAGATGATGTTCTTACTATATTCTGTGGATGAAAAATATTGCGTATGTCAACGTGTTCAAGGCCTAAAAAGAGAGCTTCATCACTCAGCCTGTGCTCGCTGTAAGTACTGTACACATTTCAATCCTTTATGTGTGAAACTTAATGAGTTTGGATTCTTTGCCTCATTGGTCATACTACTAGGAAATAAAACAAAAGGCGTAACTTTCCCACATTTAAATTTTAAATGCATCAAATCCTTAAAACAAACCAAACAGAAATGATTACTGAAATTTATAGGAGAAATGATGGATGATTTGAGTTTCCAAAGCATATTTTGGGTCTGTTCCGAATTCTTCTAAATCACGAATGCCATGTTTGGCTATTATACATGTTCAATAGCTTTTCCTCTGCCCATGTCCCGGAAGTGGCCAGGAATAACATCAATTAACTGGTGAGCGAGGGCTAGAATATTCAATTCAATGGATCAGGGATTTATTTTGGGGCCATATGTTGCCAGGCACTGTGCTCAGTACTGAGGACTTAAGAGGCGAACCTGACACTGACAGTATATCCATCCAGGTGAGACGAGATGGTCCAGGAGGGAGAGTAGCAGAGGAATGAAAGAGAGTTTTAGAAAGTGGAACAAAAGGCCAGGTCTGTGGCTTGTGCCTGTAATCCCAACATTTTGTGAGGCCGAGATGGGTAGATCACCTGAGGTCAGGAGTTCGAGACCAGCCTGACCAACATGATGAAACCCTGTCTCTTCCCAGCTACTCGGGAGGCTGAGGCATGAGAATCGCCTGAACCCAGGAGGCAGAGATTGCAATGAGCTAAGATCACGCCATTGCACTCCAACCTGGGCAACAATAGTGAAACTCACACACACACACACACACACACACACACACACACCACAGGAAAGTGGAATAAAAAATACCTAGTTATCAATTAGGGTTTTGATGATGACTGTAAAAATAAATAACATCTACTGATCACTTAACACATGTCAGCCTTTGTGAGTTTTCTGGAAGTTATCCCTATTTGACTCTCACCGCAACCTGTGACATGGTCCTCACCATCTGACACACTTCATAGATGACAAAACTGAGGCTCAGAATGTTAAATGACTTCCCCTAGTTAGTCCAGAGGAAATGACAGAGCCAGGATCTGTCCCCATGCAGAGCGACTGCTAAGTTCTGTGGCCGGAGTGCACGTTTCATGTGAGGAGCCAGGGGAATGAGGCACCAGTTTGGTAGGTAGTTTCTAGCTCAGGCACCTAGCTGCATAGAATTGAGACAAACCACAGGATATGAGCGAAAAGAAAATGCAGTTTGGGAATACAAGAGAGGGAGTAATTGAGGGGTGAATTACAGTTGAGAAGGAAAAAGGGAGAATAAACTTTACCCCTGGTCCTCCTCAGGAGCAAACTGCCTGTGCTGGATTCTCAAGGCACATGCCAGCGTTACATTAAGGAGTGGCAGACCCAATATTTCTTGATTATCTGGTATGGTAAAAGTGTATGGTCACCATTACCTGGGAGTACAAACTCGGGGCCTGTTATCTCGTGTTCAAGATCATTCTTTCAAATTTGCTTAAACTTAGATTCTGTTAGCCTAATTCAATACACAGATAATTTAAGGGATCAATATCTTATTGCTTTAAGGGCCAGTTTTTTTTTCTTTTAAAGAAGTAAAAACTTGGCCCAACATCAAGCTGAGAGAAATGAAGACCGTTAGAGCTTCTTCCAGGATGCAACTGTCAATTGTATTTCTATCAGCTACCTGTTCTCACTGTCCCTCATGTGACAATTTTCCATCTTTTGATTCTCTTGCAAATAAAACATGTAGACTGCTTTCTCAGTAGTAAAATAAGGTAGAAAATCCATATGGAGCAAATTGGGTGAAGATTTCCACTGGGAAATTCTCCCTGATAGTCTGGTAATGAAATAAAGTGAAAAGGACTTTTATGATGTTTGTGGAAATATGTGCATGTCAACGGGGTCTGTTTTGGCTTTCTTTGGTGAGTGTGGTTCCCTCACGCTGGAGAGGAATGCAGCTCCTCTGCTTTTGAATGTTTAGCTGGAGGTGCTGGCCCTTGGGTGGCGCCAGAAGGTTTTTATATATATATATATATATATATATGGATGAGTTATAAATATATGAATGTATAATATTAATTTATATAAAAATTATACAGTTTCATTTATAAATATAAATATATAAATATATTTATATTTATATATATAAAAATATAAATTTTTATTTATATTTATAAATATATATATTTATAAATATAAAATATAAAATATATTTTATTCATATATATAAATATATAATTTTTATAAAATATATAGAAAATATATAATAATTTATATAAATATATAAATAATAAATTTAAATTTTTTTTTATATATATAAAAGGATGAGAAAGAATCTCTGGGAATACTAGGATGGACTTTGTCTCCTGCTGTTGAGCTCCCCAGCCGTCTTTTCCAGTGATTGCATACACTGTGCTAGTTCCTTCCCACAGCAGCCCAGTAAAGCAGCGAGGCTGTTCCACGCTAGACCATGAGTACGGTGAGGGCAGCAGTACGTTTTTCCTTGGCTTTGCCATTCTCACTCCCTGGTGCAGGAACATGATCAGAACTCAGAAAGGGTTGGGTTAAATGGCAGATGAAGACATCATCTTGTGGGGCAGACACAGAGTCACATCCGAGACAAGTGTCATCAGAGACCAGGTGTGAGAGGTGGGGATTTTAGAAGGTGGGGTGAACAGACAGAAAAGACCCCATATGGCTCTTTTGCTAGTCCTCAAGGTGGTTTTGTGGCCACCAAGGTAAGTGGATACTCTGTTTGGCATCTACGATGCAAGACCTATACTAATGAAATCAACAGCATGAGTTAGAATCCTGTGTGCTCAGGTTCCTTTGCTTTGCTTTCTGGCCAACAATAGAGCTTCTTCCTGTTTTGTAAGAAAACAGGGGCTACACAGGACCAGGGACCTAAGTCTGAGAAAGGGAATGGATGATGATCAGTTTAAAACCACTGGCTCCTGGCTGGGCACGGTGGCTCACTCCTGTAATCCAAGCACTTTGGGAGGCCAAGGCAGGAAGATCACGAGGTCAGGAGTTCGAGACCAACCTGGCCAATATGGTGAAACCCTGTCTCTATTAAAAATACAAAAATTAGCCTGGCATGGTGGCGTGCACCTGTAGTCCCAGCTACTCGGAAGGCTGAGGCAGGAGAATCACTTGAACCCGGGAGGCAGAGGTTGCAGTGAGCGGAGATTGTACCACTGCACTCCAGCCTGGGAGACAGAGTGAGACTCCATCTCAAACAAAACAAAACAAAAACAAAAAAACCATTGGCTTCCCCAGAGAGACAGACAGGCAGAGAGTTAGATGCCTGGACGTCTCTGAGTCCATGTCCTATGTCTTTGTGAAGAGAGGACAGAAATCTTGTTATCTTGGGAAGAAGATAATTAGGAATCTGGAGGGATTTCACAATTGAGCCTGATGGAAAATGTGTAAGATACTTTTAGAAAAAAATAGAAAAATGTATTTTTACTAGATGTATTATTTTATTCATTCAAATATATTTCAAGCATAGTTTCCAGAGAAAAAACAGCATCAAGGCTGCAGCCCAGTATCCACTGCAAATTGTCTAAAGTTACTCCCCAAGGAAGGGGAACACACTATTTTGTCAGAGATAGCCCTGAGCAGACTGGCTTACAGGGACAATCTGTCAATCAACTGGTAGCCACATGTACTGTACATGCCAACATGGTGGAGTGCAGTGTGGAGCTGGTTCCAATGGGGAGAGGGAGGGGAGGTTTGGTGGGGACATTTAAGCTGAGTCTGAAAAGATCAGCAGGAGTCTCCCAGGTGGACGAGGGAAGGAAAGAGTGCAAAGGCTGGAGGAAGAGCATGTGCAAAGCACAGAGGGCAGGCAAGGTCCTCATAGGTTTGTGGAATAACATTATATTTGGCAGGAATCTAGGGTGTTCAGAAGGAGGGAAAGGAGAGGAGGCCAGACAGTGGTTTGGGACTAGATTATAAGGAATGTGGAATTGCTGCACTAGGCAAGATGAAGCCTTCAGTACTTTCAAGCAGAGGAGAGTGTTTCAGAAAAGGAGAATGTTCTGGAGGCAGTGAGAGAATGGATGGAAGTGGGAGCAGAGAGGCAGTTCTGAGACTCTGCAATGGTCCAGGAAAGAGAGGCAGGAGCTGGAAGTGGACAGAGGCCTCAAAGGACAGAACAGCAAGTGAGTGGCTTTGGGAGATGATCACGAGGAGCTCTGGAGGAGGAACTGGGACTGAGGGAGGAAAGGGAGAGTGAGGATCCTTTACAACTGCTGGAAAAGACACTGTTACAGACGTTGCAGATGTTAGCAGAATGCAAGCAATTTCCCCTCTGTCTTCTCAGTCCTTCCCATCTACCAGCAAGGAGGCATTTATTGTTGGTGCCCTTAGTTGAGCCCAACCCCCTGCCCCCACTCGGGAACTGGCCAGATTTACTCCGTTGGGTTAACTATCATCTCCTAAAGTGACAGCCAAGCCAAAGCACATTGAACTACGTGAACTGAGCTCAGAATAGAAACAATGATTCATCAATAACTCAGTGACATGTGCGGACATTCATTATGCTCAGAAACCTCATAAATGAACCGTGAACAAGTAATCGTTGAATTTGGAAATGACATACAAGACTCAAGAAGAAGGACCAGAATTTCATCCTGTGTTTTCTTCCTAGGAGATAAGGGAATTTTCTAGTTACCACTCTCCAGTTCATCTTTATAAGAAATTAATATTTTTAAAGGCCAAACTCGTGGCTTCATTTTTCATCTCGACAGCTCTGAAATGCAGACAGATTTTACATCAGATCAGCTTTTTTTTTTCCTTTTGTTTTGGGGTGAGTGTCATTTCGTTCCACCAGCACATGTATTCAGACCAATGAATGCCTTTGAAATGAGCTTGGGAGGAGAAGAGAATTTGATTTAAATGGGAAGCTCTGCTAACCGGACAGTTGGTGCGCATCCTGCCTGCTTGTGAGCTGGGTTTGGAGGTGAAGTAATGAGGTGTACATGCTGCTGATTCCCCAAGTGAATGTGGGCAGCACTCTGCAGAATGCGATGAATTGGGGCTTTGGTTGCAGTTAGAGGCAACAGAATTTACAGGGTTAAAACTTGTGTCTAGGCCGGGCGTGGTGGCTCATGCCTGTAATCCCAGCACTTTGGGAGGCCGAGGCAGGTGGATCACGAGGTCAGGAGATTGAGACCATCCTGGCTAACACAGTGAAACCCCATCTCTACTAAAAATACAAAAAATTAGCCGGGCGTGGTGGCGGGCGCCTGTAGTGCCAGCTATTCAGGAGGCTGAGACAGGAGAATAGCGTGAACCCAGGAGGCAGAGCTTGCAGCGAGCCCAGATCGCACCACTGCACTCCAGCCTGGGCAACAGAGTGAGACTCTGTCTCAAAACAAAAACAAAAACAAAAAACAACAGACGAACAAAGAAAAAACTTGTCTAGACAATTTCTTGCTTTTTAAAAAATTTTTAAATAAGTACATATTTCTGCCTTAGAAATTTTCACATGCACCAGCTCTGCCATTTACTAGCGAAGTCTTATGCAAGCAACTCTTCTTGTGACTCAGTTTCCCTGCCTGCAACTCGTACATGCAGATATTTGCAATTTTACAGGTACGCCCTGGACTCAAGGGGGCACTCATTCATCTCTGATTTATCTCTAGTCTGTGTGAGTTCACCCACTATGTGCCAAGAACCAGGAATACAAAGTTAGATTGATATGGCCTTTTCTTCTACAGACTCACAGATTGCTAGGGAAGGCGAAGAAGTCAATGGTTTTAGAGAATACACTGATGAGAGCCATGACTGGGCACTGGGAAAGCCCAGAAGAGTGGCAGCTAAGCCTGGCTGGGGAGTCAAGGATCTCCTGGAAGAAGGGAGGCTGAATCTGAGTTTTGAATAAGCAGGGGTTGGCTGGATGGCAAATGGGGAAAATTGTAAGGAATTTCAGGCACAGGCAGGACAGAAGCACAGAGCCTAGAACTGTATGACACACAGGGAATGGCAGATGGTAAATCTCCCAGGGATGGAGGGAACGTGAGGAAGTAGAGAAAGAATAGGTGAGGGATGAGGGTGGGAATAAGGAAAGCATTCCTCTTTCACTGTGTTTCTTCTTTTTTTTCCTCTTGGTTGCTGAGCTTTTCTGGAGGAGTGATTCTTAGGAGCTGACAGTTCCCTCTCTTCTCTGGGATTCTGCCTCTGGAAGCAACACGCAAAGAACACCAGGCAGATGAAAAATGATGAGCTAGATTATTATCTGAACAGGTGATGACAACCCTGAAGGCAGAGTGCTGTCATAAAGTGAGCTGGAGAGCAGGGCTTTGCCTGAGAGTGACCAGAACCTCCCATCTGATGCTCTGCCCGGCCTCATTAGATGGTACAAGGAGGGTAAACCCATGCCTGCTCAGGGCTTGGGCGGGTCCAGGGAACAGGAAGCACAAAACGGCTTGCTGCACCTGGATGGAGAGAGTGGAAGAGGGAGAATGGAGAATGGAGGTGGGGCTCTGCCTTTGAGAGCCAGGAACCTTATCTAACAGTATATGTGGCTGGAAGGGTGTTTCGGTTTCCCACAGTCATTTAGCAACTTGTCTTCCTATGACAGGAGTGAATAAGGGATTGAGAAAGAAGCTGGAACTCCCATTCCAGCAGGCCACCCCTGCCCCATGTTGGGGAAAGGGCAGATATTCTTTATGCATTGAGGTGCAAGTTAAAGAAAGGGAAGAACAGTCCTTCCTTCCCAGCAAATGGTGGGTGCTGGGGAACGATGCCAACCCTTCCTTCCACTGCAAGCAGAAGCAACTGGGCTGCCATTATCCAATGCCTGGACATCCCCAAGAAATTGGAAGAGGACTGTGGTACTGTCAGGCCAATTTAGAGCCCAACATACCATTCAGGGCATCTGAGCAGGTGGCAACTTCCATAGTCCAAGTCAAGAGACGGATGAACACAGTTCTGTAGCCTTGCAAAGCTTCTCACACCTGCGTTACAACTCAAATGAGTCCCAGTCTTAAACAATATGCAATGGAGTGCAAACGCTATAGCATGAGAGGTGGGTGCTGAAAGAAGAAAGATCAGACAAGTTACACATTTACAAACTGGTATCACAAAAGAAAAGTCATAAGCCAGAAAAGAATAAATCAGTTATCACAAAAGAATAAGTTATCAGAAAATAATAAATCAGTTATCACAAAAGAAAAGTCAGAAGCCAGAAAAGAATAAATCAGTTATCACAAAAGAATAACTTATCAGAAAATAATAAATCAGTTATCACAAAAGAAAAGTCATAAGCCTGAAAAGAATAAATCAGTTAAAAGCAAGGAAGAGAAAGGAGAATGCCCAGAGGTCCCCATGCAGCAGGAAAAAACGTGAAGAAGGAGATGAAAATCCATCACCTTCACCCACCACATAAAGATCGCATTGCTCAGATGTTCCACTGCCTTGTCCTTCCTCTCAGGGAGTTCCCAGAATTCATCCAAGCAGAGAACAGGAGATGAATTAAATGTCACCAAATGTCCTCAAGGAGTGGAATCATTTGTGACAAAGAAGTACTCTTGGGGAAAGAAGAGACTCGGTAATCAGTCCTTCCGAAAAACTCTGCAACTAAGAAAAAAAAAAAAAAAGAACAGTGGAAGAGGAACGGAAATCCCAAGGGCATGTGAGGTCAGGGTTGTCAGGGCTGGGGAGAGTGGTCTGTGCCTATAGCGCAGATGAGGGCTTCGAGAACTCTTTCGGATGGCATCCAGTAGGAGTCTGGGGTCAGGGTACTATGAGGGCAATTATAGCCAGAAACCGAGAAGTAAGCCTTGGGCGAGATCTGAATTGCTTTTCTAGAGGACAAGAGTCTGAAAAGGATCACTGGGCCTGAAGAGTATTGGAGAACTACAAACATGAAAGAGGACCCACAGACCTGGCAGGTGTAGGGCAGGGAAGTGATGCAGGGAGAGACTCAAAAGCGCTGAGGAGCAAGAGATAAAATGAGAAGTTGCCTCTGCCATGGGGGTCCTGTTTGGTATTTCATTTGTATGAATGACACTGCTTCTAACTGAAAACAACAAACAAACAAACAAAACAACAACAACAACAACAAAACCAACAACAACAGTTTACAGCATTTACTGCAGGACTCAGACAATTGTGCTGTGGCAGACATGGGGTCTCTGGAGCCAGGGCAGAGGAGGGCTGCCTTTCTCCAACCTCCATACTCTTCTCTCTGGCCTCTGCACAGACTATCCCTGATCCCTGAATGTATCAGTCATTATTCTTACCTTTTTGTCACTTGGTTTAAGATTCATCCCTGCTGGGTGCAATGGCTCATGCCTATAATCTCAGCACTTTGGGAGGCCGAGGGAGGTGGATCACCTGAGGTCAGGAGTTTGAGACCAGCCTGGCCAACATGGTGAAACCCCATCTCTACTAAAAATAGAAAAATTAGCTGGGTGTGGTGGCAGATGCCTGTAATACCAGCTACTCAGCAGACTGAGGCAGGAGAATCACTTGAACCCGGGAGGCAGAGGTTGCAGTGAGCTGAGATTGTGCCATTGCACTCCAGCCTGGGTGACAGAGTGAGACTCCATCTCAAAACAAAAACAAAAAAAAAAAAAAAAAGAGTCATCCCATATGTCACCTTTTTCAAGAAGCAGCCCCTCCCCTCCTTACTGCCCCTTGTCTGGGTTTATGTTAATGCCTTATTGTCACCTCACTTACCCAATTGTTCCCTGATTACTTGCTTGCCTGCCATTTTTTCTTGCTAGATTTTGAGCTACTTGAAAATACAGACTCGGTCCAATTTTCATCTCTGGGGATTCACCTGGTACCTGGTACACAGAAGGCACCTGATAAATACCAACAGTACTACTGATACTAGTAGTGCCTCTCAGATGTTGAACACTTACTTGCAAAACACCAGGCAAGGTGCTAATCATTTCACGTATTTGACCTCATTTAGTCTCATAATTGCTCTGTGAGGAAGGTACTACATCCCCATTTTGCAGATGAAGAAACTAATGGTTAAGGTTGTTTATCCCAGTCATACAGGCAGGCTGTGAAGACACAAGAGACTGAGATTCAGATCTGGATCTCTCAGATTCCAGGATGTGCACTCACAGTAACTTCACGGAATAAACAAAACGACCCATCCCACTTCAGTTTCTGGATAGTAGTGGTGCCAAGTTACCGAGAGAGATGGTAGGTCAGCTCTGCCAGGGAGCAGAGGAAAGGCAGAAAATAGGGCAGGAGGCTTTGGTTTGGGGAGAGTTATATGCTGCTTGACACTACTGAGTCTGTTTTTCAAGAAGTCTTGTCCAGTATGTGTTCTTACACAAACACACACATACACACACGCCCTCCTAAAACTGGTCGTTTCTAGAGGAAACTTGCACTTCAGTCAAAAGGATTCGTAAGGCTATATGTAAAATTTCCACCAAATCAAGCACATTGATTACAGTAAGGACAGGATAACTGTCACCACTCCCAAAAGACTTCAGATTAACCAATTTAGTCAACATTAAATTCTGAACATCTCAAACCAAATTAATGCATTTGCTCAAAGTCATTCTTTGTCTTTGTACATTGCCTTAAATTTAACCTTTTTTCAGGATGTAAAATTACAGCTTCAAAAACATTTTTATCATGTTGTGTTTGAAGTGAATAAATGCAGTTGTCCATCTCAGGAGTCCATCCTGGTTCCATGACTGCTTAAAATCTCCAAAAAGAATAGCCATTCACTCCGAGTTAATAATCTTGCACAAAGTCATAATTTAGTAATGCTTCCCCATGTTATTAGGCTCTGTTGGAGACTCCTAAGAAGAGGAAGCAGCTGGTAGATGCCATTTTTTGCCTCTCTTTGCAAGTCCATGGGCTATTCCTGGAATGTCGCAACAGGGAGAAGTTTGTTCATTAATTCACGCATCATTCATATACTTACTCTGTACTTCTGATCATGAAAGGAATCTTGTAGACCAGCTAATCCAATGGTCCTTCTACTACAGATGAGGAGACACACCCAGAGAGAAAAGGGGACTTATCCAAAGGGGACTTGTCCCTCTACCAGCCTGCCAAAAGCTCAGGACAAAATCCAGGTCCTCGTCCCTCTTGGCTACCCACAGTTTAACCAAATCTACAGTACTCAGGGTCCTTTATAGTAACAGTAGAATAGCACTTCTAGTTATTTTTCAGATGCATGTTTACCAAGTTTGTTATTAGTTTTATAGGAACACAGACATGATTTATTTCTTGATATTCTCCTCCCTTCAAGACGACTTTTGTTCTAAGTATCTTCTACCCAAAATAGACAGGCAGAAACCCTCCATGTGGGTAACAGACATCAAAAACGTTCTTCACCAAACCTATGTGGCATGAAGGTTGAAGGTTCATGAAGAACAAAGACAATCTATTCACTTAAGATATGTTTTATCTCAAATCTTACATCTGTAGGACTATTTATTTTCATGGGTCTCTTCTTACTCATGCAGATTTATGTGTGATTACCAATCTTTCATGAAATAGGCAAATAGAAATTAAACATCTAAAAATACATAGAATCCAAATGTAACCCAGTGTTGTTCCTGAATCCGATTGAGACAATTGCCTCTTGTTCACTGTGGGTTACATAAGAAAAGAAGTTGGTGCTGTTTGCTAATTTTTTGCTATATACTTTGCAATTTTTTTTTCTATTCTGGTAGTAGAGCTGAACTCTGCTGACACAGGAAGATGAAAAGTTCTTATTATCTGACAAGGATCCTGATGCACTAACACAATCAAGAATTTGATTGCCCTATCCAGGTCAGAAGATTCCTGTTCTGAACTATCCCTTTGGCACCCAGAGTTCCACTATGTCAGAGCCTCCAAATAAAACAAGATGAGACCCTTACAAGGCTGGAGCCCCATGCAGACTTTTGCACTAGTCTGAGATCTAAACTGTGGAAGACACTTGGACATCACCATGAGCTCTCCAAGGTCCTGACCACATTCTCTGGACATGGGTTTCTCAGAATTCTGCTCTCTAGGATCTTGACTCTGCGGCACTATCGCTCCACTGGATTCCAATTTGTGACTCTAACCATTTTTATCATTCACCTCCCATCCTTTGGACATCTGAATCCCCATTTGATTTTGGTGCTCTGTCTTCAGTTTAGTCAGATTCAGAGCAGTGGTCTCTTTTAAGGAACTACAAAACAGTGATGCCACTCAGCTGTGGAACAATGTTGTAGTTGATGATACCACTACAGCAATCAGCAGGCACAATTTATTCCGCATATACCATGAACAATAAGAAATTCAGGTACATTATCTCTCAAAATTCATCATCACCTTCTATATTAGGTAGTATAATTTTGGAAATAAGAAAATGAAGGAAATTCTGCTTAAGATCATTGTAGAAAATACATGAATTTAACCTGTAAAGTGCTTAGACCAGTGCTGATAGCCTAGTAAATACTCAATAAATGTTAGCTGGTAATAGTCTTTCTTCTTATATTGTGCTACTATTGACTTAAATGTAGACCCCTTGCAGAAGAGGAGGAAAATATACTTTGATAGCATAGCCTCCCTTGCTTGAAGTTTTTTTTTTTTTTTTTTTTGAGATGGTGTTTCCCTCTTGTTGCTCAGGCTGAAGTGCAATGGCACAATCTCAGCTCACCACAACCTCCGCCTCTCAGGTTCAAATAATTCTCCTGCCTCAGCCTCCCATGCGTCACCACACCTGGCTAATTTTTTTTTTTTAGTAGAGATGGGATTTCTCCATGTTGGTCAGGCTGGTCTCAAACTCCCAACCTCAGGTGAACTGCCCACCTCAGCCTCCCAAAGTGCTGGGATTATATGTGTGAGCCACTGCGCCCGGCCTGAAGTCTCTTTTGAAGGAATGAGAGAAGAACCTGAATGAGTATTTTTCAAGGGAAGAAAAGAACAACATCCAAACAAAAATGGTTTATTGGTTTGGGAGTCACAGAAGGTCTGAGAGGAGAATTAAATAATTAAGAAAAACCTCCAGAAAATGTAGCATGAACTTACAGGTGATCATACTTCTTACTTGTTCTAATTTGCTAGACATACCCTTTCCCTTCCAGGTTAATCTGCCCAACCCTCAGCCCCTGGGGCGGGGGGGGGGCCAACCTTATGGTACACTTGTCCTTGCCACAGCACCATGGCTTACTGGGCCAGAGGTGGGCATACCCCAAAGGGGAACCAACTCATATGATTAAGGTTGCGTCAATCATTGTGATCTCTTGGGAATTTGGAATAGAAACTTGGAGAGACTTAGTAACTAGGTAGCAAGGCAAAAAGATGTCAATACAGAGAAAGAAGCTAAGTAACATCAACGGCAGAGCACACAGCAGGGAGGCCCAGGGACCAATGACCATTTTTGTTTTCTCATCAACATTACAGAGAAACAATGTTAAGTGAAACTCTAAATAGTAGGTCTTTAGGAGTTGCTCATCTTGTATAAATGAAACTTTGTACTGTTGTCTAATACCACACCAATCCCCTCCCCCAAGCCCCTGCAACCATTTTCCCATGCAGCTTCCATGAGTTTGACCATTTTAGATTCACTGCATATGTGGTAACGTGCAATATTTGTCCTTTTGAGTCTGCCTTATTTCACTTAGCATAACATCCTCCAGGTTCATCCATGATGTTGCAAATGGCAGGATTTTCTCCTTTTTAAAGGCTGAGTAGTGTTCCATTGCATTATCTATCAAATGCAACTTTTATCTTTGTAGCATTAGGTTTCAGAGCTGGAAACTATGGATAAAAGTAAGAGAGAAGAATTTTGCCCAGTCAGAACTATGAATATGTCTACTATATTCCAAACTCTGTGAGAGGGAGACCTCTCCTATCTCGTTCTTGCCTTTGCTCTGCTCTTGTCCAGGGACTAACACAGAGTAGCTACTCAATACGTATTCATCACATAAAGAATTAAGGAGACACTGGGTTCTATTAGAAGGAGCTGGGGTGTTGCAGGAAGTTGAAGCGATGAGGGTTTCATGAGTTCCAAATCTGCTACTGTCAGTATGGGATGTATCAGGCAATGAGGCCTCCATCGTGTGAATAACCAACATGTATATTGGCCAACTGTTTGATCTGATTTAATCTTTTATTTTTATTTTAAAAATAAAAGAATTAGGAAACTAATTCTTTCTTAATCAGAGAATTTGGGCAGGCACGAAAGCACCAAGTTTCAAAAAGACGCTGTGGTGCCTTCGGCTTCTTGGCTTCCAATCCCTGTTCTTTGTGACAGTAAGAAAGTTGCTTGGCCACTCTGTGCTTGTTATCTGGAAAGTGGTTAGAATTAAGGTGAAAAATGGGTAGAATTAAGGTGCCTACCTCAGGGTTTTCAATTTTTCCTTCCCTCGCTCCCTCCCTCCCTCTCTCTCTTTTTCTTTCTCTTTCTTTCCTTCCTTCCTTCCTTCTTTTCTCTCTCTCTCTCTCTTTCTTTTTATACAGTTTCGCTCTTGTTGCCCAAGCTGGAGTGCAATGACATGATCTTGGCTCACCACAACCTCTGTCTCCCAGGTTCAAGTGATTCTCCCACCTCAGCCTCCAGAGTAGCTGGGATTATAGGTACACGCCACCATGCCCAGCTAATTTCATATTTTTAGTAGAGACAGGGTTTCTCCATGTTGCTCAGGCTGCTCTTGAACTCACAACCTCAGGTGATCCACCTGCCTCGGCCTCCCAAAGTGTTGGGATTACAGGTGTGAACCACCATGTCTGGCCTTCAGTTTTTCAAATAAAAATTAAAGACCATACTACATGTGAAGTGATCAACACATTGCCTGGCTCATCAAAACAACTCACAACATTATTATTCACTATCCTCACCCACAGAACTGCTTCCTTAACTTTTCAGAATACAGTCTTTGCATTTCTCTGTCTTCACTCTGCCCTCCTAGTTCCTGGCAGTGGATCTTAACATGATAGCAGTGTTTAAAAGAAAGGAGTTCACCTTCCCTTTAGCTCCCACCAGGAACTCCTGGAGAGGGCTCCAGCATGACTAATTTATGAGATGCTGACCCCATTGAGGGAGGTGAGCCTGTGGTCCTCCATGGTGTTGGACACTGACCTCTCTGTCTGCCCTTGTGCCACAGATACAGAGGACCCGATGTGACTGTGGACACCCAGCTTCGGATACCCGCACACTACGCATGACCACAGATCCAGTTTTCCTACCTACCCACGTGGGTAAATTATTTAAAGATGTACCCTTTCCCTGAAGTTATTTCTCTGTTGCTCTCATTAATTCATAACAAGGGCCCACATAACTTACTGTAAGTAGTAGGTATTCCAACAAAGTTGAAATGATGTCAACTAAATTAATTGGAACACTAACACTCAAATACAGGCAATTTAGCTTTTGAAAAAAAAGGGAAAAAAAGTTCCACTTGCATTCATAAATGTTACATGTAGATGCAGATGCATCTCTGACTAGATGTAGATTTTAAATATAAATTATTTAAGGTGCCCAAGACCTGTGGTCCACGTTGCTTATTCTAAGGCAGTGACACATACATTATACATACATTATTCATGCATAAGGCACCAGTGATACTACCCAAGGCACAACCAGTCAGGTAAGAAGTTGTTGCACATAACAGACAAATCTAGATGCTCTTAAATTCCCCATTTTTTTTGACTTCAAGCTTTGTTTTTGATGGAAGTATCTTTCATAGATGTTTGTGGCTGCTGGAAGACTCTTTAAAAACATCATCCCTCTCTGCTAACTGGTACCGCGCTGATCCAATCTTACCACTACAACCTGCGAACATCCCAATAAACAATGTAGGTTCACTCTTAAATCTTCAGGGCTTGCAGAAAGCAAATGTGATGGTCTCAAACTCTAGCCCCTCTACAACAGGTGACATACTGTGTCCAGCCAGAAGGATTCTTGTCAGTGTAGCAAAACTCTTCTGCCTCAGGAAGAAATGAGCCCTGTAGACTGTGTGAGCATTGCTGGGTGCCCTTTTTATATAAAGCTGTACAATCATTGATTTCCCAGTGCTCAATGCCCCCCAGGTCTCAGCAAACAACCAAGAAAAGCAATCTTCCCTGTGGAAGTGACGGATCTATAGACCCTTCACCCCAGAGACCCTTAGCAGTCTCTCTTTTATATTGTTTTTATCTGGAAGACTCTGTCACTCAAAATGATCGAAGCATGTGCCCTAATTGCCTCTCTACTCACTCTAAGTCACAGGTGGCTGGGGAAGTCTGAAATTGGGTGCTACTGGGGTCAAACTGGTATCACAAATGGGCATTGAGATGAAAGGTACCAACCAAGTAACAGTACTATCTAGGAAGACGGCAAGTCCCCGCTGCTTATCTCCTGCTGAGACACCTCCCAGTACCTCCCAGACTCAACTCCAGGGCATTTCCTATAACAAAGGGCAAGCAGAGTATGTCACCCTGAGTGCCTGATGGCCGACTTTTAGATGCCCCTGTTTCCGTATCTGTACTATTTCCGAAAGGCTTACAGAGAGCTTCGTTTGCTTCAACACAGAATAGTACATATAATGTAACATGTCAGTAACATGTTCTATCATATACATAGAACATCAGTCCCCAACCTTTTCAGCATGAGGGACCAGTTTTGTGGAAGGCAATTTTTCCACGGACCAGAGTGGGGATGGTTTTGGGATGAGTCAAGCCCATTACATTTATTGTGCACTTTATTTCTATTATTATTACATTCTAATGTATAATGAAATAATTATACAACTCGCCATAATGTGGAATCTGTGGGAGTCCTGAGCTTGTTTTCCTTCAACTAGATGGTCTCATCTGGGGGTGATGGGAGACGTGACAGACTATCAGGCATTAGATTCTCATAACTAGCGTACAACCTAGATCCCTCACATGCAGTTGACAATAAGGTTCATACTCCTATGAGACTCTAATGCTGCCACTCATCTGACAGGAGGAGGAGCTCAGGAAGTAATGGGAGCAATGGGGAGTGCCTGTAAACACAGATGAAGCTTCGTTCGCTCACCCACTGCTCACCTCTCCTGCTGTGGGGCCTGGTTCCTACAGGCCTGGGGGTCGGGGACCCCTTATGTAGAAAATCGGTTGAGAGTTGTCATTGCTGTCATGAGAATCTGTAGACAGGATGACAGAGGCACAGGGATGGAGGGACACAGCCCAGGAGGCGCTTCAACGTTTCCTTTGCTGTAAAGTTCCCTGGCATCAGCTGAGACTGTGAACATTTCTTCTTGCCTAAGTGTGGCGTGAAGTGTGGGGTGCCCCATGAAAAGATTACCTCTCTGTTAGGTAAGTTATCGAAGCCAGGCCAATATTGATTCTAAGTGACATTCTTGATGTTGTGGAAATAGTTTCTGTTTCTCTCCAGGTCCCTTGATTTGTGAGAAATACCGAAACTGAGACAAGGAGAAGAATGTGGTGATGAACTTAGGCTATGGATTCAAATCCTGACAGAACCACTTAATGGCTTTGTGATTGGGGATGAGTTATTTGACCCCTCCGAGGTTCAATTTCCTCATCTTTGAACTGGGAACAACAACAACTTTGGCTTTACTTGGCTGATTGACCACCGCATGTGAGAATGTGTGTTTCCTGCTTTGCATCCTGCTTGGTGCATAACTGCTGCAATTTGTTCATGATGATGCTGAGGACTGTGGTGGATTTAGACAAGGCATTTAACCAGTATTTGCCTCCTCCTCCTGCTTCCTCATACTATCTTTGCAGAATCTCCCTTACCATTTAAAAACATGAGCAAGGATTTTTAGGGCTGGCTTACTTAAGAGACTATGAAGTCCTTATCAAAATAACAATAATTAAAAATGATAGTTTATCTGATTTGATGCTAGACCCAAATTGTCTCTAAGCCTCTCCTAACGTTTGAGTTAGAACGCTGCTGCAGGCAGACACAACATGAAAGACTAACTTTTATACTGTGCCTACACGATTTATCTCATTAAGTCTTTTTGTAAAGTCATTTAAAATTAATACTGGTGCATAGTTTGAGTCACTGGGAAAGGGAGTGAAACAGTTAAAACCCTCTGGGTACCAGTGTTACTTCCCCCAGGCCATAGCTTTGTCTATCTCTAATGAGCCCATTATTCCAAAACTATTTCCCATTGAAAAAGCATAAGAAGCTGATAGAAACAGAACGGAATACTCTTGCATGGATATGTCATGTACAGTCCTTGCAACTGTCTAAGATGTTTACAATCCTCAATTGCAAAATATTTTACTTTCTGGAATTGGGAGCAGACAGACTATCCAACATTAGCCAAACTGCTATATTCTGCTTAAAATCTGATTTAATGACACCTCTTCTGATGAACTTTAGAAACTATCCCCCAAACAGATTGCGTTTCTCAAAAAGTCAGAATGGTTCCACTTAGCCTTGGGCTTATCAATTGGTTTTCTCCACTTATGCTAAGTATCACACATCATGTTTTAACTTTACATCTGGAAATCCCTCTTCTAAAATCACATGCAATTCAGTCAACTAAGTGCTCACATAAATCTTTCGGCTTTTCCAGTGAACACTGGAAATCCAAGCACCAGCAAAGTCTGAAATTCATATAAAAAGATGTCTTTTAAGACAGCACTTCTCAAATTTTAATGTGTATATGAATCACCTGGGGAATCAGTTAAACTGCAAACTATGATTCCACAGGCCTGGGGCAGGCAGGGTCTTGGTTTCTGAAAGTCTAAAAATCTTCCAGGTGTTTTCAATGCTGCTGGTCCATGGACTGTACTTTGAGCAGCAAGGTTCTAAGATACCCCTATGCCTGTTTCTGTGCTTGAGTTTACCACTGTACAAACCATGGTCTCCATAAACATTGTATATCAACTTGTCACTCTGCAACATGGAAAAATCTCCCCTCTTTCAAGCTGCTGAACTGTCTGGTTGATGAAGTACCAAAGTAGCTCGCTCTCTCTGTATACAACATGGTCAGTGAGGGGCTGCAAGCTGGTAGATGTTGACTTGCTTTTTCACTCAATGGCTCCTACCCTCCACCTCTGGCCCCGCAGGGTTCTGTCTGTGTGGCACAGGGGTGGCCTCAGGAAGCATCAACCTAAATAACAAAGAGGGAGAGGTTCTCTAAAAAAAAAAAAAAAAAAAAGATTCAGCAGTAGGGCATTGCAATGGGAATACATGTGCTGCAGTAACTTTGTATGTGTGTGCAGGGAGGTAAAGAAAGACAAATGTTTTTGAAGGAAAAAATGAGGAAGATTACATAATGGCTTTGAAGTAGTTATTGCTGGCTACAAAGATCAATAATAAGGGTGACATCAGTCTGTACTTGGACAGGCAGTTGCTGGGCAGATGTCCTTGCAGAAGTATTTGTGTGTGTGCGTGTGTGTGTGTAAGGTTGTGATGGCCTTTGTGCAAGGTTGTGGTTTTTGCAGTCTTTTGTGACAGTTTTTGTTATCAGGCAACCAAGTGTGAGACTCCCCTCTTCATAACCCTCCTCAGCTCATTTTTCAGGGTTTTAAATTGATTATTAATTAAAAAAAATTTTAACATAAGTGGCTTCATTTTGATTCTGACAGCTTTTGCAGAAGTTCGTGTTCCCTTCCTTCACAGCCATGCTGCTATTTTTCTTCTCTACTTTCCATTGCCTACTTATCGTTGCCTCCATCACCATTATATGCTCCTTTCTATGCCTCCTTTGAAATGTTTTGTTTTCCTATCTCTTCTTCGATCTCATTTCTGTTTGGCTTTCTGTTGCCTGCCAGTGCATATTCCTGTCTCCAGGGATCCTGTGATTTTCAGGCTGGAGTTCAAATTTTGGCTCTCCTCCATTGCCTATTTTTTTTTTAAGTAAGTGTTCACTGCTTCTTTTCTTTTCTGTCCAAGAGGATTTTACC
Source organism: Homo sapiens (assembly GCF_000001405.40). Lineage (NCBI taxonomy): Eukaryota > Metazoa > Chordata > Mammalia > Primates > Hominidae > Homo > Homo sapiens. Next base: position 83,554,171 of record NC_000016.10, on the reverse strand, counting down.
TTCTATTTCTATACCCTGGTTTAGAAAGATCTAGAAAGAAAGATTCACAGACAGAAATGGCACTGCTACATTGAGGTCTAATCTATAACCTCCTAAAATGATCATACCTTTTGACCTAGTAATTCCATTCCTAGGCATTATTAAGAAAACAGACAGAGACACAGGCAATTATATCTGTACAAGAATGTTCACTGCAGAATCGTTTATAAATACCTATAAAAGACACAAAATTATCTACAATAAATTGGTGGTTAAGTAAACAACAGTATGTAAAAATGGTGAATATTATGTTGGCATTTAAAAACCATGACTTTGGGCTGGGTGTGGTGGCTCACGCCTGTAATCCCAGCACTTTGGGAGGCCAAGGCAGGTGGATCACCTGAGGTCAGGAGTTCAAGACCAGCCTAGCCAACATTATGAAACCCCATCTCTACTAAAAATACAAAAATTAGCCAAGTGTGGTGGTGGGTGCCTGTAATCCCAACTACTTGGGAGGCTGATGCAGGAAAATGGCTTGAACCCAAGAGGCAGAGGTTGCAGTGAGCCAAGACCGTGCCTCAGCACTCCAGCCTGGGCGACAGAGCGATACTCCATCTGAGAAAAAAATACAACAACAACAAAAAAAACCCATCACTTTGATTCCTACAGGGCAGATAAAAATGCTCATGAAAGTTACATGGAAGAATGTAACTAAACAATGTTGTATATATTAAAATTCCAGTGTTATAAGAAAAACATATGCATAGAAAAGAGCTAGCAAGAAACACCCACTAGTTACTAAGAGTTTTCTCTGGTTGATGGGATTACAGATGTGAATTTTATAACTTTTGTATTTCCTGTGTTGCCTACAATGAAACTAGATTCCTTTATTTGAATCAGGAAAAAATCCTTCATATAAAAACAGTTTATTTATTTCAATTTAGATATTACATCCCAATCATGGATAATTTTAACTCTTGGAATGTTAGGACTGCTCCGAACTTACATTAGAGTTTCCACCGAATACCGTAAAATGCTACATTGAACAGCTGTAATAAATGCTTCCTAAGCAAAAATGTTTACAATAACCACAGTCACTTTTTTTTTTTTTTTTGAGATGGAGTCTCACTCTGTCGCCCAGGCTACGGTGCAGTGACGCGATCTCAGCTCACTGCAACCTCTGCCTCCTGGGTTCAAGTGATTCTCCTGCCTCAGCCTCCCGAATAACTGGAATTACAGGTGCGTGCCACCACTCCCGGCTAATTTTTGTCATTTTAGTAGAGACAGGGTTTCACCATATTGGTCAGGCTGGTCTCGAACTCCTGACCTTGTGATCTGCCGACCTTGGCCTCCCAAAGAGCTGGATTACAGGTGTGAGCCACTGCGCCCAGCCAATAACCACGTCTTTGAAAGACTGAACACAGGCATGATATGTTCTAATCTTTCCCCTGAAATGCAGTAATCTCTTTTGCCAGGTTTCAACATTCTTTCTTTAGTGACAAATTCATTTAAGATGCAATTCTTCAACTGGCTAGCAAACTAGCTTGACTATTTTGGGCATAATTACAGATAATTAGGCAGCTTCTTAGAGTAATGTGACTTTCTATTCACTGCAAAAAAAGTAATTTGCACTTTCAGTGTGAATCTCTTCTGTCTCTATATTCTGCGGTATCAACATTTTGCATTTCCCCTATTAGTTAATGCCTGACTAGGAGACGGAGGGCCATGCCAGGGTGATGTCTGGAGAAAGGATTTAGCATGTGAGCACGAGCAATTGGTGCATCCTCCACTGGAACTGACAGTTACAGGAGTTACCAGATTGGCATTTCCTTTCCCATATGTCTTAGTCATTTCCTGGTAAGATAATGGCTTTAGACATAAGCAGCTGGGTTCTGGCCTCCCATTCTGACCTCCCTCAAACTATGCTCTTCTCCATGGCACAAAGAATCCCCAGGACCAAGAGAATACGCCCAACTAGGTCCACAGGCTCCTTTCTAGATCACACCCTGATGCTCATGTACCTGGAACTCCAGAATTCACTGTCTGAGGACAAAGGGCACTCAGCCTTCCCTGGACAGGGCCATATCATTTATCCCAAGGTGGGAGGTGGTGGAGTTGCTATTTTCTTAGTATTCCCCTGGAATGAATCAGTTTATGAATCCATTCAATTACTTATTCCATTCATTTTGTCATGCATCTAACCCATTACTTATTAACCCGCTAACCAACCCATCCATCCACCTATCCACTTATCTACCCATCCATCCATCCATCCATTCATCCATCCATTTTTTCTTTCAACTAACATTAAGTAATTATGTGCCAGGAACCATATTAGTTGCTGGAAGGAACAGTGAAAAAGATGTTATGGCCCCTGACTTGACACCTTCATAGGCCAGCAGGTGAGATGGGTAGACAAATTGACAATTCAAGTACAAAGTGATGAAAAATGGAAGAAAGGAAAGGGAGATGCATTTATTTCTCCAAGGGAGGACAAGAATCAGAAAAAGGTCCCCAGATGACACATCTTAAACAAAGACAGTGTTTTGCTAGGAAAAAAAAGAGAAGCTTGGATGTCCAGCCTGAGTGAATACATGAGCAAAGATTAGGAAACAAGAAGATGCAGAATGGGTGTTTGAAACGTAAGACACAGCACACAGTGAAGCACCAATGTGAGCACTGACATGAAGTTAACCCAAGGCTGGGAAGGTACTAGGAGGTGGGTTGTCATGGCCTAAGAGATATCTATGGCCAAATAACACTTGTTGACTTTGACTATGTAAAGCAGGGTTGTAACATGATGAGACTTACATGTTAAAAGAATTAAGCCAGGGGCGGTGACTCATGCCTGTAATCCCAGCACTATGGGAGGCCGAGGCAGGTGGATCACTTGGGGTCACCTGCTCAACATGGTGAAACCTTGTCTCTACTAAAAACACAAAAATTAGCCAGGTGTGGTGGTGTACACCTGTGATCCCAGCTACTTGGGAGGCTGAGACACGAGAATCACTTGAACCCGGGAGGCGGAGTTTGCAGGGAGCTGAGATCATGCCACTGTACACCAGCCTGGATGATGGAGTGAGAAGCTGTCTCAAAGATAGATAGATAGATAGATAGATAGATAGATAGATAGATATAAATGACTTAAGGGGGCCATGGAACAGAGATGGGGGTAGGCTTACTCATCAGAAGACTACTTGGGAGATGCAAATTGGCTTCAGAGAAAGAAGACAAGGGAGAAATGTTAGAGATTTATTCCTGAGATGGAATATGCAGAGCTTGGTGGGGAAGAGAGAGGGAGGAATGCAAGGCAACTTAGATTTCTAACCTGAGAGGTTAGGCTTACTGTCAGTGAAAAAGTAGAATTCTGGAAGTAAAACAGCCTAAGGAAGGCAGCTTCCAACTCATTCACTGCTTCCTCGATTTAACAGATGTTTACTGAATGGCCACTATGTGTCAGCAACAAAGGATAGAACAGTGAACAAAGTAGATGTGATCTCTGGCCTCATGGAACTTTCCATGAGGTTTCACAAGGAAAACTTTGCTAGACATTCATCAGAGGCATTGATATCTTTCCCCCTCCTCATGTGCCCACAGCTGCATCAGCAGGAATCCCCCACCATGCTGGTTTGCATGCATGGGCCAGCTCTTCCATTATGAGCGGAATTTGCCATCGGATTAACTGCTTGGCAGTTGACCTCCTATCAATCAATTGTCTCCATCATTAAGACACTGCCACCAGCAACATTCAATCACCAAATGTCACTGATGGCTCCATGCCACACATTACCTCTGTCACTCCTCACAGGAGGATTAAGACATCATAGCAGATGCTGGAAAGCTTTGCCAGACGTGTTGACAACTTCTGTCAGCGCCCCCTGGTTGAAAAAGGCTTCTTTGGGAGAATGCTTTGAGTTCACCCTGGCTTCAAACTCCTGCTGGCCAGCTGACCAAGAGATTCCACAGGTGTTTTGTTTGTCCCTCTCAAGTACTTGGGGCTTCACCAATGTTTGAGCACCAATGCACACAGCCACGTTGGAGAATACATTTCCCCTGGCAAAGTGCATCCTGCAGTCTAAGGTTGTGAATCTTGAAGAGTCAGAACAAGTCATCACCCCTGCACTAGAAGGCAAGAGCATCCCCAATTTTGAGCAGCTGCTGCTAATTAGTGTTTTTGGCTTGGTCAGCCAAGTTTGGCAAACCCTGTCTCCTTTCTATATGAACGATCCAGATTGTACCAGCAAGACGAGTGGGAAAGACTGGCATGCATACAGTTAAAACCTCCGTCAGAGTCTTCCCCTCTCTGTCTCTCTCTCTCTTTCACCTCCTGCCACCAACAGTTACAAATGCCTTGATTACAGTAATGAGCTTTTGTATTACTCCTGCTTCCACCTCTCCTCGAAGGGATTACAGTGAATGCCCCTTTCTTTAGTTGACAAGTTTTGCTTTGCCTTTCTCTTATTGGAAATTCAATGCGGTAGCGTTTTCATTAACTTGATTTCTCATGCTGAGCAGATTTTTTTTGTTTGTTTTTGCTTTTTTTTTTTTTTGAGCGTAGAGAAAAATGATGCAAGAAATAAAGCTATAGTCCCAGTGCTACGGGAGTGGGGTTAGGGAGTGCTCTATGCTGGAATATGATCATAAGCCAGACTGGGGACCCCAGAAGGGGACCCTCGAGGGCACAAGCAGGTGAAGCATATGGCAGCCTGCAACCGGCAGCAGGCAGCCTGAGGCTCACATCCCTCTACCACGTTCCCCTTGATACAGGCTGCTCAGCTTGCACACAACTTAATTTGTTCAAAACGCTGATGTGGTACTTTCTTCTGAAACTCCTTTCCTTTCTAGCTGATATTTTACTTCCAAATAGGTGCTTTGCACAAAAGAAGAATGAGAGGTGGGGTGAAGCACAGAGAGGTGACCTGGAGAGTGGGATGTTTTCTCGGAACCAACTCACAGGTGCTCCCGTGGGCTCTCCCAGGTGAGACCCAAGGACTCCATCACAGCTTGTCTGCGTCCTTCCCCACAAGGCCCTCCAAGGACCAAGCTCCGTTAACGACATGTGAACCGAGATTCAGCGTGGCTCTCACCAGGTCACCTGGGTCTCTTCCTGCTCCTCTGAGCTTTCAGAGCACTCTTGATCTGTCAGAGCACTGACAAGCACACAGCCACACAGGGAAGAAAATTATGCAGATGAGGGGACTAAATCACACTTCTTCCTCAGTTTTCTTAAGGAGAAAATGACACACAAGGGGGCAAAGAAAATACTCAGATGAAATTCTACTGAAGGCTTTCTTTTACCCTTGTCTATTTTGCAATAGTGATGGCAGGAAAACCATTCTAATGCAAGGATCATAGGTTTCTCCTCTAGGGCAGAAAAAAGAGGGGTGGAATATTGGAAGGCAGGGGGTTGGAAGGTGAGAATCAAGGGTAAGGTGGCTGGAAACTTCATTAACAGAGAAAAAAAAAGGCTGCCTTGTGGGGGATGGTGAAAATTTAGGAAGAAAACAAGCCATCTCCTCACTTGGATGTCTCCAAATGCCTCAGGAACCCATCTTCTGGTCTCCATTGACACCACATACCCCTTGTAAAAGAACTGGCTATCCGGGGTCCCAATATCTCAGAGAATGGCATGACCTTTCACCTTGTTAGCAAGACAAGACCCAAAGATCACCTCTGACACTGCATCTCTGATGTTTCTACATCTGAAGCCAGGTTTCTCAACCACTGCGCTACGGACACTGGGGCCAGATAAAGCTTTGCTGTTGGGGGAGGGGCTGCCCTTTGCATTGTAGGATATTTAGCCACATCCTTAGTTTTTACCTATGAAATGCTAGTAGCATCCCCTTCCCACCAATCTCCCAGCCAGTTGCAACAACCAAAAAATATCTGGATATTTCCAGGTGTTCCTTGGAAGACACAACTGTCCCTGGTTTAGGACCACTGAGCTAAATAAGCCATCACCAAGGCCTGTTGAGTTTGCCTCCTAAATATCACCTCAATCTGTCTACCTCTCCCCACCCTGGCACCCCCACTAGGTTTAAGTGACCATTCTCTCCCACCTGGACACCTGCTCTTGGCTAGCTTCCCATCCCCCCCTTCCTGCTCCAATCTATCTGGCAGCAAGCAGCCCAGGTGATAATTCCAGACTCAGCTCTGCATATATCATCTCCCCACTGAAATCTCTCAAAAGCTTTCCTGTGCTCTGCAGATACCAAGGAAGATTCCTAGCAGAGCTTACAGAACCCAGTCTTGGTCTGCCTGGTCTGCTGTCTTATACCATTTCCCTCCCCCAGCAGCTCCTGATGCCCCAGGATAGCTTCTGCAGGCCACAGCTTCCCACTACAACACCCTCCTCACTCCTTTATCTATTTCAGCCTTGGAGGTCAAGGCTCAACAGTGACTTCATTCTACCACAAAGACCCATGCACGCATATGTTCACTGCAGCACTATTCACTATAGCAAAGACATGGAAGCAAACTAAATGCCCATCAACTGTAGACTGGATAAAGAAAATGTGGTACGTATATACCATGGAATACTATGCAGCCATAAAAAAGAAAGATCATGTCCTTTGCAGGAACATGGATGGAGCTGGAGGCCATTATCCTTAGCAAACTAACCCAGGAACAGAAAACCAAATACTGCATGTACTCGCTTATAAGTGGGAGCTAAATAATGAGAAAGCATGGACACACAAAGGGGAACAACACACACTAGGGCCTACTTGAGGGTAGATGGTGGGAGAAGAAGATCAGAAAAAAACAACTATTGGATACTTAGTACCCAGGTGACAAAATAATCTGTACACCAAACCCCCATGGCATGAGTTTACCTATGTAACAAATTTGCACATGTACCTCTGAAACTAAAATGAAAGCTAAAAAATAGATTAAACAACAACAGCCACTTATCCAGGTTCCTGGGCTTCCCACATCCCCCTGGGTCCAGGCTCACTGCTGTGTACTCTTGAAGCCCTGTTTGCCTTTCCTTCTTAGCTTTTACCATACTCTATAATTCCACACTTATTTGTGCCATCATTCGATTCAAGTTTGCCTCCCCCACTAGATGGTTATCATACTCCACCATTCTCCTGGCAGCTTGCACAGTGCTTGACACATTCACCTTTATGGAAGAAAGTGAACACATGGAGATGACCTGATGGATTAAAATTCAAGCCAACTGTGGTCCTTGAAGTTGAAGCCAGGCTGTTCAGGACCGGAGGTGTCCCTTCCGGTCCGTGTTTTTGTTGTGCCTTCATTCATTCATTTCTGCATTTTGCAAGTCTTTTCAGAGTACCTACTGTGTGCCAGATGCAAAGAGACTGGCACTTGAATCTTTCAGAAAGACAGACATGGCCATGGGGCTGCAGTGCCCTCTGTCTAGTGGCACCAACTGACATCAACTGAGTAACAATAGCCTAATAAGTACTATGGAAGGGCACTGCTGTTATGCAGATGGCTGGTGTTTACTCTGAGGTCAGGGAAAGAGAAGCTAAACACAACCCTCTCTCCACACCACTGGGTCTCCCCAAACTTCGCTACCCAGAATAGGAGGTGAATTTGAGTAAAGATCAGAGACATGGCATAAGACGTTGGTTATACCCAGACCTCATCGATCATGGCGCCAATCCCAAGATGTTATCTGGCACTTAAATTGCATTTCCTAAATGGATTTTTCAAACTTTGTTTCCAGAACGTCTTGAACCCAGAGAAAAAAAAAAGAAGCAATAGCTATTTTCTTCTTTGATTAAAAAAAAAAAAAACCAGTAGTATGGCTAACAAATGCATAACAGGTACAACCGAAAATAAAATTTTAAGTTAAATTAAATGAAGGCACTTGAGCCATCACCTGTGGCTATCTGCTGCTATGCATGAATTCCGGACAAAGTACTGGGGATGCCAAGAGTCTGGGGATGCCAAGAGTGCCACCCTCCAGGAGTTCAGAGCCTCTGAGAAGGGAAGAGCTGGTGAGGTATCTACCAAGACGTCCCACGCTCTACACTTGGAGGATGGATGCTTCCCTCTCATTATGCAGGTTTTAGCCCAAACCTCACCTCACAATGGCTCTTTCTGATTGCCTCATCAAATATCACTCTTCACTCTGCCAATTTCACTCTTCCTCATCACTCCATATTTTCCTCAGAGCACTTATCACTTCTGAACTTCTGGACTTAAGTATTAGCTTATGTTTTACTTCATATTGGTTCCCCAGCTAGAACAATGGCTCTATGCTTTCTTGTTCACCTCCACACCCCAATGCTTAGAACAGCTCCTGGTAGATAGTTGTCATTGAATGAATGAATGAATGAATGAATACGCTCAAAGAAAGGGAGCCATCAATTCTCCATGGGGAAGCTGAGGAAAGCTGCAGACAGGAGGCATTATTTGAATGCGGTCTTGAAGTAGGAGTTGGACTTAGCCTGGCAGATAAAGGGTGGGCAGATGAGGAGGGCTTGCTTGATATAAATATTGACACACAAGAAGATACGGCAGGGAGAGGAACTGTATGGAGAGTCTAAAGGATGGCAGAGGAGGTCTGGTAGATGGCTAATGGATTAAAATTCACCTACAGCCTTTTTCATTAGAAGGACTTTAATTCCATCACTGCAACAAAATAGGCAAGGGTAATGGACTGGAGGCTGGGGCAGGTTGTGAACAGCCATGAAGGCCTTGTCCAGGCAGTGGACTTTCCCCTCTCTGGACAGTGCAGACAATGAGACTTCTTTAAGCATGAGAAAGATGTGGCTGGATCTGTAATCTGCAAATCCTCCTCTGGTGTCCCAATAGAATGAAGCTGGTTACGGTGAAAATTAATGAATCTTCCCCTGGAGAGAGGAACATAATTTGTAAATATCTAATTTAGCACATCCACTATTTTTTTTCCTTCTTCATTAACATCGGCAATCTTTAAAAATCCTTAACTCTTACTGTGAAGTCTTCCTAGTCACTGGGTATGTCAGATGGTGCTTGGAGGGTTTCCACACCTTCCCACCCAAGGGTCATGTGGGATTTAACATCGAACAACTTCTAAGAAGGGCTAAGGAGCTGAAGGACTAATTAAATCCTGGTTGGGTAAAGAACATGAGCTCTAACAATGGGCTTGTGAGTTATTTTTAAGTACTCCCTGAAGGAGATGAACAGAATAAAAGCTTCATCATTAAGTATGTTTCCAGTGAATGGAATCTTCTAGTTAGTTTAAGGAAAGTCTCATTAACTAAGAGAATTACATATCATACCTATACATTTCTCTTTCTTAATACCTGTGAATGTAATGACGGCTAACGGGGAGAAGAACTAACATTTATTGAGCTTATACTGTGGCCAGACATTGTTAGATGTATTTTGTATCTTTTAATCCTAGTAGATACCCTTTGAACTGTTATAAATCCTCATTTTGCAGATGAGGAAACAAAGACGGTGAGGGTTAAATCCCTTGCCCAACACAATGCAGCTAGAGAGAGTCCCTGACTTACGATGATTTCACTCATAATTTTTTGACTTCACAATAGTATGAAAGTGATATGCATTCAATAGAAACTGTATTTCAAATTTTGAATTCTAGTCTTTTTCTGGGTTAGCAACATGTGGTGCCATATCCTCTTGTGATGTTGGGATGAATCATCTGACATAATGCCTATTTTATAACGAAGTGTTAAACATCTCATGTAATTTATTGAATACTGTACTGGAAGTGTTCTCAGTGTGTTTAAGGTAGGGTAGGCTAAGCTATGGCGTTTAGCAGGTTATGTGTATTAAATACATTTTTGACTTAATGATAATTTTCAACTTACGATGGGTTTATCGGGTCATAAACCCATCGTAAGTTGAGGAGCATCTATAGGAAATGTTGGAGCAGGAATCTGAATGGAAATGTAAACCCAGACTACACAGGGATTAAAATCACAGACTCAATCGTCCTATAGACTGGGTTTTATTTAGGACTTTAACACTCCACCCTATATGACATTGGGTGAACTACTCAGTCTCAGTGCTGGAGACTCCTCTTCTGCAATGTGGGGACTGTAATAGTTCTCACCTCAGAGACACTGCGAGTGGGAGCATCATCTCACATTCAGTGAGAGGGTGTGCTCGAAGCACACTGCACAGAGCACCCCACCTAGTAACCACTGGGTGCAGCTCACTTTCTCATACTGCAGTAGTGATTGAAAGATCCCATTTCCCTCTGATCCAAACAGCTGGATATGGAACAACAAAGCTGTGTTCTCCCTGGCACTCCTGCTACCGGCTACATCAAGTGTCACTGATGGGGTGGCTCAGAAGTCTTGGTCTTGCCCATTGAGGCAACTTCATGTCCATTTTGTCTTTGCTTAGGTCAGGGTTTATCTACGCTGGCACTACTGACGTTTGGGGCCAGAGATTCTCTGTAGCGATGAGAACTGTGTTATGTACTGTAGGATGTTCAGCAGCACCCCTGGCCACTGTCCATTAGATGAGAGCAGCATACCCGCTGGTCCCAGCTGGGGAATGGGAATACACTCTGCTCTCACGACAGACAACCAAAACATGTCTCTAATGTCTGTCCCCTGAGGAGCACAATCACCCCCAGTTGAGAACCACTGACTTAGGTGAAAATTAACAGTGATATATGAAGCTAAAGACCAAGCTAGAGGTTGCTGGGATTCAAAGAAAGAGATCTCCTTTACTGGAGTAGATCACAGCACTTGCTAAATAGAGATGAATTCTCACTGGGGAATCAAGGCAAGGCAAGCAACAAATCATCATAGTCAGCGCCTCAAATGCCTATTACTGAATCCACAACATTTTGTAGATTGTTAATTTCCCATTAAAGGAGCCATGTCATTTAATCAGCATTCTGTCATTGGGCTCCATAAGGTGGAATAAAAGCATGAAGGCCCACTAAGGTTGTTTTTAAAATATGTAATGAGGAGTGACAGCTATGTTCACTCACCCAACATTTATTGAGCATTTGCTATACGAAATGTCACACATTAAGCCTCTGGCAACATCAGGAAAATATCGAAGTCTTTTATGCAGGCCAAATTGCTGTGTGGAAAGAATATTAATTAATTCAACCTATAGTTACTTAAAACATACGATGTGCCAAGCGCCAAGCTACACTCTGGGTAGGATGTACTGAAAGAAAGGAATGTTGTCTTTGCACTTTTGCAGCTCACAACAAGGCAGTCGTTCTCAAGCTGGGGTTGCTAGACCAGCAGCATCAGTATCACTTGCTGTTGTAAGTTGAATTATGTCCCCTCAAAAAGCTTATGTTGATTGTCTTAGCCCTTAATATCTCAGAATGTGACTTTATTTGAAAGTGAAGTCTTTGTAGAGGTAAACAAGATAAAATGAGGTCATGAGCACGGGCCCTAAGCCAATATGATTGGTGTTCTTATAAAAATGAGAAATTAGGACACAGAGACAGATGTTCAGACAAGGAAAACAATGTGAAGACACACACGGAGACAGCCGTGTAAAGACAGAGGACTGGAGTGGTGGATGCTTCTGCAAGCCAAAGAGCTCCAAGGGTTGCTGGCAAACATCAGAAGCTGGAAGACACAAGGAAGGATTCTCCCCTGGACTAGCTGCCAGAGCATGGCTTTGCCAACACCTTGATTTCAGAGTTCTGGCTTCCAGAACCATGGGAGAATACATTTCTGCTGTTGTAAGCCACTTAGTTTATGATGCTTTGTTACCACAGCCGTTGCAAACGAATGCACCTGGGAAGTTGGGAGAAATGCACGTTATTGGTCCCTATGCCAGACATACTGAATCAGGCAGTGTGGGGAGGTGATCCAGCAATCTGTGTTGTGATACGCACCTAACACCCAGGGGATTCTGCCGCAGGCTAGTGTTTGAGAACTACTGAGATGGAGCAGTAGTTTGCAATCCTGGCTGCACATTACATTCATCTGGGAAGCCTTAAAACAAAAACAAAACCAGATTCTGATAGGAATTCTGATAGGGTGACTCTAAGGTGCAACCAAGGCTCAGAACTGCTGGTCTAGAGTGATGTCTTTCAAATATTAGTATGTGCACCTCAGCAGGAATGGCCTCACCTGAGAGTCTTGTTAAAATGCAGATGCTAATTCAATAAGACTAGCATGAGGCCTGAGGCTCTGCATTTCTAGCAAGCTCTGGGGTGATGCCATGGTGGCCCATGGCCTACACTGTAAGGAGCAAGGGTCAGACAACGCTAACACATTAATACTAATAGCAATAATAGCTAGTATTTATTGACTTGCTTCCAAATGCTGGACACTTGCTAGGGAATGGGTACAATGATGGATAAGAAAGACACAGCCTCTGTCCCATGGGGCTTGCATTCTAAAGCTATGATGCAAGCTCTGTCTAGGGCTCTATACATTCTCATAGGAGAAGACCTTACTTTACCCATGAAGAAACCTGATGTGGTAGAGCAGAGTCTTATGTTAGGCAGAGCAACATTAACTGCTGCAACAAATAAACCACTGTTTCTAAAGAGCTTAAAAACCAACCATGAATTTCTTCCACTTTGCTCAATGTCTTGGGGGAGTCAGGGATTCAGGTCCTTCCATCTTGGGCTGTGCCTTCCTCTAGACCTTTGGAGTCCTTGGTTCAGCTTGTGGATGGGGAAAGAAGGTGAGGAGAGGAAGGAGTGGTTTGATGACTTCTACCAAATTCCATTGTCTGTTTCATGGCCCTGCCTAACTGCAAGGAACTTTGGAAAATTAAGTCTAACTATGGCCAAGAGTGAAAACAAACAGAGTTTAGTGAACACACGATCTCTGCCACATGCCTCAAAGGATGAGTAAGGTTGGTCAGGCAAAGAAGAGAGGAGCTGGTGGGAATGTGAGGGACTGAAGACATGCAATGAACATTTGGTAAAGGATAATGAAGTGATCATATTTCCATAGCTTCTCTGGAACAATCAGAAGAATTCATTTAGATTTTCAATGCCTCAATATTATGACATGTTAAAACCTTTCTAAGGAAGAGTGTTGGGCAGCTTCCTGATACTCAACAGGCAGCAGGGTTAGATGCATCCAGATTTCTTCCCAACATCTTTGCTCACCACTGGGCACTAGTGTAGGCCAGAGGCTGGAGGTGGCAGCTGGGCTGAGAGTCTGAGATTAGACTGCCATATGACCTGGGGATTGAGCGGGAGTGAACATGAATACTCCAACCAGGAGACGTCAAGATGATCCCAAGACAATTTCTACATCTTTTCACCCTGGGCTCTGTAGTCACATTTACCAAACAAACTGGCATCATGGATATAAAAATATTTTATTGACAATAGGCCAGGTGCAGTGGCTCACGCCTATAATCCCAGCACTTTGGGAGGCTGAGGCGGGCGGATCATTTGAGGTTGGGAGATCAAGACCATCCTGGCCAACATGGTGAAAACCCATCTCTACTAAAAATACAAAAATTAGCTGGGTGTGGTGGTGCATGCCTGTAATTCCAGCTGTGGCTGACTGCCGCAATTACTACTTGAGACCAGTCACTACAACAGTTACTACTGTTACTACTTGAGACCATCATGACAACAGTTACTACTTGAGATGTCATTAGGACAGTTACTACTGTTACTACTTGAGAGTGTCATTACGAGACTGAACAAAGGGACAAACGTAGAAATGGAAACTTAAGACAAAAGAAACTGTTTTAAAGGAAGGGTCTGGGGAAGAAGAAGAGAGCTCCCTGCTTCTAGTGAGCAAAGGCACCCCTGAGCTTCTAGAGCCCTTTGTATTTATTGGGTAGAAAGAGCAAGGAGGAGGTGGTAATGACTGGTCAGCTGCTTAACTGAACACAGGTTTATATTATTACTAACAGGCTTCAGATGTACCTAATCACAAGAAACACTGCGCATCGGGGGTGACTGTCTTCAGCACTCCTTCGGGGCAGCAGACGCAGTTTGTCGGTCTGCCAACATTCTGCATTTATGAAGACCAGTTTGGCGCTTACTCATATAGCCTCCAGTGGTATACTGAGTTGATCACGACCCTCAATCTTTCGGCCTCCAACACCAGCTACTCGGGAGGCTGAAGCAGGAGAGTGGCTTCAACCTGGGAGGCGGAGATTGAAGTTAGCCTAGATGGATCCACTGAACTCCAGCCTGGTGACAGAGTGAGACTCCATCTCAAAAAAAAAAAAAAAAAATTTATTGACAATAACATAAAGAATTTTAAAAATCAGTCTTGTCCAGGACAAACCACCTAAATTAGCAGAGATTCAGAAGCAAGAGAATTTTATCTAAAGTCAAAGAATGAGTTCCACCAATGGAATGTCAGGGAATTAATCACGCTCAAATTCTCCCTCAGGGAGATATCCCTAATAGATGATGCCCAGTTTCTGACTGCTGGAGCCCTTCTTCAAATATTAAGCTAAAATATTTCTTTCTAGAACCATTCCTCCTCTGGGGCCACACAGAGTGAATAAGTCTAACCTATTCGCATGACCTTGGACAAGGTACTTCATCTCCCTATGCTGCAATTGCTTCATCTATGAAATGGGAATAATTACAGTACCTATTTCGTGAAGTTCTTGTGAGGACTCCATGAGTGACACGTAGAAAATGCTCTGAAAATATCAGCTAGAATTATCATTATCGCTGTTACCAACACTTCAACAAATGGCCCTCATGCTCATCTCTGTGCCTTCTCCTGTCAGATTTTCCCTCTTTCAATGTTTCGGTTTTCCTTTTCTGCAAGTTTTCAGCCTTTCACTTTCATGTGGACTAGCATTTCTTGAATTGTGTTCTAAGGCAGGGGTCTCCAGCCCCCTGGCTACACACCAGTGCTGGTCCATGGCCTGTTAGGAACCGAGTCGCACAGCAGGAGGGGAGTGGCAAGTGAGTGAGCATGACCACCTGAGCTCCGCCTCCTGTCAGATCAGCCATGGCATTAGATTCTCATAGAAGCGTGAACCCTACTGTGAACTGCACGTGTGAGGGATCTAGGTTGCATGTTCCTTATGAGAATCTAACTAATGCCTGATGATCTGAGGTGCAATAGTTTCATCCTGAAACCATCCCCCACCCTTGCCCACAGAAAAATTGTCTTCCACAAAACCGGTCCCTGGTGCCAAGAAAGGTTGGGGACCACTGTTCTAAGGATACTAGATTCTCAAGATGTTAGTATGAGTTCCTTTAAAATCAAAGTTTCGAAAACACTTTGTATGCCAGATGACTCCCTCAAAGATTTACAATGAATCTTGGTTTAATAAAAGTTCTGAAAAGTCCTCAGAATAGACCACTGTTTATATGGGTTCAAGTGTGTGCCCTGGTAGTTGAAATGTAGATTGGCATGATATTTGCGAAGGATGACTAAGCATTATCTAACATATATTTTTTTACAAAATTTTATATTAATATACCTTTCAACCAGGAATTCCACTTCCAGGTATCCAAGCTGGATAAATACTTGTACATGGGTTATTCCAGTTTAATATGTCTTTAAAAACAGATTATGCATTCTAACTGGACAATTATTCCTTCCAACCTTGTCTCTTCTGCTAATCTAAGAGCTATGCCTTTCTTTCTGTGCCTACATCCACATCCCTGATAAAAATGATCGTCAGCGCTACTAAGTCGATGCCAATCTACCCTTTTCCTCTATGGCTCTATCATACTTCCTCAACTCACCCAACAAGGACATCCTATTATTTTAGGATCACATTCCTTCTTGCAAATGTTCTCTCAAGTTTCACTCTATATTTTGAGTATAAATTTAGAAACAACCACCTGGGTGAAATCTCATAAAAGTCATTTCAATTCAGACTGCATTTTTTCCGCCTCCACTAGATCAACAAATTGTTGGTCTGTCTTAACTGGTCATTTCACTCTCAAGATTCTGATTGATCATCTACGGAGATGAGTATAGTGTGACTGCTTCAGGGGACAGTGATGACTAATGCTTGGGAAACGGTGTAAACCAAAATAAATCTGAAAAGAAATAACCTAAACATACCCAGAAATAAATGTATTTGTGCACAATCCAAGCAACAAGAGGCAGAGCTTCCCAAGTCCTCCTCTAATCTTTATAAATGATTTTCTCCTGAGCCACTCGGCACATTTCTATTATGGCCTTCTGAATATGTGTAGACACAGCAGGTAATTTAAGATTGCTTCAAGTGTCTGGCAAAAACATAGCGCATATTCAACTTGTTTAGGAAACATCTTAATGACAAGCAAAGCAATTTATAGAGGACATATTTTTATAGCACGGTAACATCAACATTTATTATTTGGGCCGTAACTGGGAAAGGAAACAGACTTCCCCCATTTAGACAACAAAATTAAATTCCTAGGAAGGCAATAGAGAAATAGGCACTATGTTGAATATAGTTATGGTATAAAATAATATTCTTTTAGAAATATGGTAGGAAACATGGGAAGATTGGTATAATGGCCTGATCAGATATTCCAAAGATATAATTCCAGAGTACAATTCCTTCCAAGGGGCTAAAATGTGATATTCTCAAATTCAAGGTAATCTAATATAGATTTATTTCTTTCCATAGAATGCCACTATATTAGATAATAACTATATGTAGCTATTCTTTGCAACACTTTTTTTTTCCTGTAGAACAAATAATGTCTAAGAAGCTTCTGTCTTAGGGTACTGAAAGTTCTGAGAAGCCCTACAGTAATGAAACCTTCTTTAGATCTGCCAGAGTGTGAGCAAATGGTTCCTTTTCCTTTTCTTCCTATCTCCCTCATATTCCAATCCCCAAGAATTAAACAATCATATAACTACCAAATTCAAATTCAAATACATTATATATTCAAGTCTTGTTGATAAGGAAGAATCCAAGTAAATTATTCAAGCCAAATTAAGTGCATTTCACCTTTAGGTTGCAGCCTAAAGTTCTACACAGGGATTGCCATGGAAAGAAATATAGCAGGACAAATTTTTGTGCATAGATCAGCCAATTCATTGTCCCAGTTGGCTCAGGAAAGTCATGCAAAATCGCTCTTTGGTTTTATCTACTTGCTCAACAAATACTTATTCTGTACCTTCTTTGTAGATAGAGCATCCTGCTGGGCCTTTGAGACATATCAAATGAAATGCCTACTCCAAATCTGTGGTTTCTATGTATTTCAATTTGATTTCAATTAAGTCATCACTTCTGCAAGTCATTCTTGTTGCTCGAATCCCCACAGCTGCCATTCAAAAATGTTTGTACGTCCTTAAAATTCTGCCTTAGTTCTCAATGCACTCTTTTTCAGCAAATGAGCCAGGCTTCTGCTTTACTGAGAAGATGAAACACCTGTGGCATGAGTTACCTCCATCCGCAACATCCCCATTTCAATTTCGATTGCACCAGTCAAGAAATGCTGGTGTTATCCTGGCCACCTGACCCTCCATTACCTCTTCTGCTCAATTTATCACTAGTGCTGCTGTTGATTTTCTCTCCTAAACAGCCCTCGAAGTGGCACCTTCTCCCCATCTCTACCACCTAATTGCTGTCTCTTGTTTGAACCAATATGGTAGTCCCCTAGTGGACATTTCTCTTATCTCCTTCTCCATCTCCCCTTAACACTCAAACCAGAATCATCTTTCCAAAGATGCATCTCTGTATATATCTCCATATAACTTAATATACTTTAAGGATTTCCCATTTCCATTAGTATAAAGACAAAACCCATCAGCCTGTTCTACAAGGTTCCATGGGTGTTCAGCTCTTGGTGGCCTCTCCAGCCTTATCTACACCCACACTCACTGCATTCCCACTGGCCACAGGACCTTTGCTCACCCTTTTCTCTCTCCCTGTGATGTTCTTTCTACCCATTCTTGCTCAGTTAACACCACCTCATCCTCTTGATTCACCCCAAGGATCACGTCCACAAGGAGACCTTCCATGACTACCGTGGTCAGGTCAACTCAGCCCACCAAAGACTCTCTTGCAACATGGTCTTCCCCCTCTTACCTTGTACTATCTTTCTTACTATGCTTATTTGACTAATATTGGTCCCCCCAACTACATTGTAAGCTCTATGAAGACAATGACTGTTGGTTTTTACTCATTTTTCCCCCATAGCCGCTATCATAGTTTTGGCTCACAGTATATACTCAGTGGATATTACGGAAAGGATTTCTCAATGCCTCATAATGCCAAATGCCATATGCCACCCATTTCCTGGGTGTTCATGCAAATGTTGTCCTGGGTGAATTTTTCAATGACTACTCTAGAGAGAGGAGGGCCAAAGCCAGGGTGGTTGTTTCTGTGGGTGTCCATGGGTTTCTTTCTTTTCTTTTCTTTTCTTTTCTTCCTTCCTTCCTTCCTTTCCTTCCTTCTTTCCTTCTTTCCTTTTTTTCCTTTTCTTTTCTTTGTTTCTCTTTCTCTTCCTCTCTCCTTCCTTCCTTCCCTCCCTCCCTCCCTTCCTTCCTTTCCTTCGTTCCTTCTTTTTCTCTTGCTTGCTGCTCCAAATACTTCCTCTGTGTCAAGCACTGTCCTAAGCTCTTTCCTTCCATTCACTCACTTAATATTCATGACACTCCAAAAAAAATGAACATTATCATATCTTGGGGAAACTGAGGCCTAAATGTTAATTAACCTGTCCAGGACTGCACAGTTGGCTCAGCATTTCATTCCCAGCACCATGCATAACACCTTCCCCATGTTGAGATCTCAATACGCACTTGTGGAATCAACGAATGAAGTAGCAAAGCAGAGCTGGTCAGCTGTAAGTCACAGATGCCTGTGACTGTCCTCTTCCTTTGGTCCTCACGGTCACACACTAACCTTTGCCTTGGCCACCTCTCACCAGAACTATTGCAACAGCTTCCTAACTTCTTCTGAATCCACAATTATTTCCCTCTACTTTGCCCATCTACAATGTGGCCACAGCATCTACTAAAATGCCAATCAACTTATCACTCCTTTTTTTGAGATTCTTTAGTGGTATCTCTTTGTCCTTTGGATGCTGACCCAAGTCCTTAATTTGGCCAATAAAAGCCTGTGTCTCTTTCCAGCCGTGCATCTCTTTTCTTCTTGCACATACCAGGCTGCCTCTTGCCCCAGGGCCTCTGCACATGCTGTGCCCTCTGCCTGGAGCACCCCTTATGCTCTGGTCTCCCAGTTAACTCTTAATGAACCTTCAGGCCACAGTGTATATGGCAGACTGAAAAAGGACCCCAACAATATCCTGATCCTAATAATTCCCAGGACCTGTGAGTGTTACCTTATATGGCAAAAGAAACTCTGCAGATATGATTAAACTAATGACTTCAACCATATCCACATTCCAGCTGAGCTGTTGCTTTCTTCAGATTGTCCTATAAAATTGTCCTAGACATTGACATTTGTGCTCTAATGAATTTGTGTAAAGAAGAAATCCTTGATCATTATCAATAAAATCATGGCTTTGATGACCCAATTTTGGGTGTGTATACGCACTGCTAATTCACATTTAAATAAGAATAACTGTTTGCAAATGCATGCTCATAGCAGCATTGCTCATAATAGTGAGGAAGTAGAAGCAGCTCAAATGTCCATCAGTGAAAGGATAGGCAAACAAAATGTGGCCTATCCATACAGTGGAATACTATTCAGCTATGAAAAGAAGTGCTGACCTCTGCTATCATATGGATCAGTAAACACTATGACGTACCTTACAACATTGTGCTAAGTGACAGGGGCCAATCGCAAAAGGCCACAAAAGACAGGCATCACCTGAGTCAAGCCATGTACATTCATTTCACATAGGTGCTAGCCAGGAAGAGGAGGTAGTGGTTGTAACATTTGATGGCTTATTTGATGTCAGATTCAACAGCAAGAACTTTACCTGAAGAAGGTTATTTAATGCTTGTAACGGCCCCATGAAAATGCACTGCCAGCATTTTCCCTTTGTAGAACAGGAAAAGGAAAAATGAAGAGGTCAAAGAACCTAGCCAAGATCACAAAGCTGAAAAATGAAGGGACTGGTATTTGAATCCAGGCTGTGAGGATCCACAGCTCTGCCTCTGAACCACCATGAACAGACCACCTTCCTAATGCGCTCCTCTTTGCATATTTCATTTGTATGGAGCATCCAGAATAGGTAAATCCTTAAAGACAGAAAGTAGATGATTACAAAGGGCATGGGGGATGGAGGATGGGGAGCAACTACTTAACAGGTATGCGGTTTTCATTTGGGGGCGATGAGAATATAGATAGAGGTGGTGCCTTATACAACACTGTCCATCCACTAAATGGCACTGAATTGTTCACTTTAAAATGGTTAATTTTTATGTCATGTGAATTTTGCCTTGACAAACAAGTTTAAAAATAAGTCCAACTAGATTTTTAAAATAGATTAACGTGCCAGGCACTGTGGCTCATGCCTGTAATCCCAGCAGCTCGGGAGGCTGAGGTGGGCGGATCACTTGGGGTCAGGAGTTTGAGACTAGCCTGGGCAACATGGCGAAATCCCATCTCTACTAAAAATGCAAAAATTAGCTGGGCGTGGTGGTGCACACCTGTAATCCCAGCTACTCAGGAGGGTGAGGCAAGAGAATCACCTGAACCCAGGAGGTGGAGGTTGCAGTGAGCTGAGATCGTGCCACTGCACTCCAGCCTGGGTGACAGAGTGAGACTCCATCTCAAAAAAAAAAAAAAAAAAAAGATAATGTAAATTATACTTAAATCCTCACAACTTCCACAACTAAGGAAGCCGTGGGCCGTGCCATTCCACCACCTCCTTGTGCTGGGTCCTTACTGCAATGCCCATGAGCTATTATGAGAGCTGAGAAACCTGCCAACTCTACCTACACAGATCCGACTTCCTGTCTGTCGGCTTCAGGCAGGGACCTGCTGCCCACAGAGGAGGAGGTGAAGAGTGTGGGAGGCACCTCCCATCTTGTCTTTGGGGAATGCCCTGTAAAAATGACTCACCTCTGGGCATCTCAGTATTTATCTTCCGCTCAGTGGTGAGGTTGCGAGTCACGCTGAGTTGAGATTTTCCGAGCACATTTAAGTGCAATACACACCAATGAAAAGTGAGCCGTCGCATTGAGGGGAAGTTTACCTATGTTTACCCTTCTCCAGCGTGACACCAGCTGCTGGCATCTGCTGGTCCTCTGGCATAAGAGTGAGTGGAGACAGAGTTAGCATCTCGCTCTCCTCTCCCTGAATAAGAGCTGATGTTGAGGTAGACTGTAATAGGAGCAGGCAGAACAGAACAATAATTGGAATCCTTTTAGAGATGCCTGATGCTCTGCAGACTGACAATTGTAGTTAGCTTCTCCTACAGAGAGCTCTGTCACCACGAGTTTGTGTTAGAAACAGCTGGTGGCTGAAGGACTGGGAACTAACAAGCCACGCTGCTCAGATGCAGGGGAGGCCGCTGGCTCTCTCCCGTGGCACTGCTGAATTCCGTCTGCCGGGATGTTGGCACAACGCATGGCTCATAACACACACCGGTAGGGTTCACATGGCTTAATGGGACAACTGCTCTAGTGCAAAGGGACAGAGGGAGAGGATCGCTCAAGTCCGGACCAGCGTGACTACTCAGGCAGATGGCCAATGATTGCTTGCAAAGAACTTACAAGGCACCAGGCATGGTGCAAGCCACTGCAGAGATTGCAGAGGAAGAAACTGACATGGCGAATGTGGAGCTGATAGGCTACTTGAGGAGACAAGCAGCCATTTATTCATTCAGCAAATATTTATGGAGAAGCTACCATGCACTAGCGCTGAGCTAGGCACTCTGGATGCAGCAGCAAAGAGCCCGCATGTGGCTTCTAGGAAGCTCACTGTCTCTCTGGGAAGACAAATATTCATTTATCCAGTAACATTTTATTAAGGGACTCCCATGTTCCAAGCACTGGTTCCAGGTGCTGGGCATTAAACTAATAGTCCCAAGTGCAATGAATGCTTTGAAAATGAATTTCAAGGTGCAATGGGAACTCTTCTAATCTTGGGGTGAGGGTGGTGACAGAAGTCACCTTTGAGGAGTGACTTCTACACTGTATGAGCTTGTACTAGTCTGTTTTCACACTGTTGATAAACACA
The DNA here is from genome assembly GCF_000001405.40 of Homo sapiens. NCBI lineage: Eukaryota > Metazoa > Chordata > Mammalia > Primates > Hominidae > Homo > Homo sapiens. The sequence continues at coordinate 83,532,229 of NC_000016.10, read as the reverse complement.
TACCTGAGACTGGGCAATATGCAAAAGAAAGAGGTTTAATGGACTCACAGTCCCTTGTGGTTGAGGAGGCTTCACAATCATGGCAGCAGGTGAAAGGCACATCTCACATGGCAGCAGACAAGAGAAGAGCTCTTGTGCAAGGAAACTCCCCTTTATAAAACCATCAGATCTCATGAGACTTCCTCACTATCACAAGCATAGCACAGGAAAGACCTGCCCCCATGATTCAATTACCTCCCACCGGGTGCCTCCCATAACACATGGGAATTGTGGGAGCTAAAATTAAAGATGAGATTTGAGTGGGGACACAGCTAAACCATATCAGAGCTTCTTGTGACTGCCCTAACAAATTACCACAAACTGTTAGGTTGAAATAACACAAAGTTACTCTCTTACAGTTTTGGAGGCCAGGAGTCCAAAATCCATTTCACTGTGCTAAAATTAAGGTGGCCGCAGGGCCACACTGCTTCCAAAGGCTCCGGGAGAGAATGTATATTTTGCCTTTTTTGCTTCTAGAGACTGAATTCATTTCTGGGTTAGTGGCCACATCACATTGCCTCCTCCCTCTTCTTCAGTCAATACCACTCGCCTCCCTCTTGTAGGGACATTTGTAATTACATTTAGGGACAACTTAGATAATTGAGCATATCTGGCTGAGAGGCCTCACAATCATGGTGGAAAGTGAAAGGCATGTCTCACATGGCGGCAGAGAAGAGAAGAGGGCTTGTGCAGGGAAACTCCGCTTTATAAGCCCCTCACCCCTCATCTCAAGATCCTTGACTTAATCACACCAGCAAAGTCTCTGTTGCTGTGTAAGGTAACATAGTCATAGGTACCAGGATCAGGACTTGGGTGTCTGGGGGAGCCATCTTTTAGTCTATCACACACACCTTCCTATTTCTATTATACTGTGCTGCCTTCAGGCCATGCCAGGCTCTACCAGGAGAAACTGAGGCTGAAAGGCTGAATGGATTTATAGGATGGCAGAGACCAGAGGCCTAGTTACATGTAAACAGACAAAGTCAAGATTACAGATATCACCTGAGTCAAGCCATGTACGTTGATTTAACATAGGTGTTACCCAGAAGAGGATGTGCTACCATGGTGGTGGCAGTTGTAACATTTGATTGCTTATTAGATGTCAGAAACAACACCAAGAACTTTACCGGAAGAAAGTTATTTAATGCTCGTAACTATCCCATGAAAACACACTGCCAGCATTCCCCCTTTAGAGGACAGGAAATGGAGGAGTGGAGACATCAAAGGACCCAGCGAAAGTCACAAAGCTAAAACATGAAGGAACCGATATTTGAATCCAGTCTGTGTGAATGCACAGCTCTGCCTCTGACCCACCATGCACAGACCGCCTGCCTGATGGGTTCCTCTCTGCCAAGGGGCTAGTTACTGGTAAATGTCATTTCAACATAGAGGTGGCAATCTGAGATTGCCATAGGCTAGTCCTTCTTTGTCAGGACCAGTTGAGTGACTTGGGAAAGTCACTGTCCCTCTGTGAACCTCAGTCTTCCATTACAAAATAAGGAAGTTAATGAGATGAATTCTGCAGCCTTGTGTGTGTGGTTAAGATGATGGGCAGATTGAAAACAGCTGCTGTGATGGTTGGTGCGTGGTTGATGTGAAAGCCTGGGTGCTGGGTTATAGAAGGAGTAGACTCACAGAGACCATTAATCCTAACAATTGCTCATCAACAACTTAACACAGGCCAAATCTGTCCTCAAGGACAGAGCCACAGTGCTCTCAGGAAACAGTGCTCAATTTTGGCTCTCTGTTCTGGGGTCCTGATTCCGTGACTACGAAGCAACTTTAGACAGCCAGCTGGAAATGCCATCTGAATGTGTAAGAAGGTGTCTAATATGAGAATCATAAAACTCAGCACAAGGTCAGCTCAGTGGTGACTCCACAAAATTCAAGCTATGGAGACCTACAGAGACTGACTTTACAGTGCACTCAATTTTCTGATATTTCTCAACTGAGAGCTTCACTGACTTAAGCTTTAATTGAAAGCATTTAACCTATTACAAATTATCATGAATAGCACCAAGCTGAACACCCCCAAAATGCTCATTTCAAATATATGAACCTCTTCAAGGGCCAGCAGGAACAGGTACGCAGAGCCATGGGTTTAGAAGGAAGACAGACAATAATCTTCAGAGAACATGCTTCATGTCCAGCTCAGTGTCTGCATCAGGCACCCTCTGCTTGCAACTCCAGAGAAGTCACTAGATTCTTACCCGACCCCATTTCACAAGTTCTTTTGCACTCCTACTTAACTAGGACTGTAGTTTCTAATTTTCCTTTATAAGTGATTTTAATAACGTTATTTTATTACAAATACATATGAAAATAACAGAAATGTAAGAAAAACATTAGCGCTCCATAATCACCTGACCAAATGTTCAATATGTTGACATTTATTTTCATCTTTTTTAAAATCAATATCAATATTGTATTTTTCTTTTATGTGGTCGTTTAATAGATAAAATTCTGTTATGCATAATTTTCCTTTGTGCTTGTATTAAAATCTCTATTTCCATTTATATTACTCAGAAAACAGTAGTACAGATCATCCATGTCTTTTACTATCCTTACAGAATCCTATAAAAACACACACAGGGAATTTTTATGATTTTTTTCACAAAAAAATGGCATGCACATTTCTTTATGTAAGCTGTGTACATTGCTCTGGGCTAGTAAATCATAGATATTATCAGTTATTTTTTAAAGCCATATAGTATTTCCTAGAATGGATGTAGTACAGTGTAGTGTGAATGGAGATCTAACCTTTTATTTTTTGTACCTACAAAAAACAATGCTTCAACAAACATCCTTATACATATAAACTCAAATATTAAGGTTTTATTATTTTTTAGGCTAGTTTTCAGAAGTAAAATTTCTGGGCAAAAGACAAAGCCTGTTAATAAGTTTAATATATGTCATCCAATTAGCTTGTACACTGCAAAGCTAGGATTCCAATCCACGTACACTGGACTTCAGAGTCTGACCTCCAACCATAAATACTATGTACTGCTTGTACTTCAGAGATGCCTAACAATGGGGCTTAACTTCCTGAAGAAGCAAGCTCGCCTAGATCTACAATGAAAAAGAAAAAAAAAAAAAAAAGACAGAGGTATTCATGGGGAGGGGGTTTGGGTGGAATGACCTCCATCTTCTCTTCTAATCTGAGATTTTCATACTCCCTAAACTGAATCCACTATATTTCAGTCAGGTGGACCAAGCAATTTATATATAACTACCCCATTAGTAACTGAGCAGGACCACCCTGGTGACATTTCTCAAGGTGACTCCTGCTAATTAAACAGTTATATAGCCATGATCCCTTCACCATAATGAACAAAGAAAAAAGGCATGGGGAGACTGGGATTGAACAGTCTCTCTCTTGACTACAACCAATGCTAAACGAGACATGGATTTAGAAATTAGAATAAAAACAACACTGTGTTCAGCATGATAACTCTTTTTCAGTGCTTAGTGTTTTAATGCTGTTCGTTACATCTCAGCACTGTCAGAGAATTTAGAGATAGATGGAGATAGTTGGGAAATTTAGAGATAGATGGAAACAGTTGGAGAATTTAGAGACAGATGATCTAATATTTATAGTAGAAATCCCTTTTGAAATAAGATTTATGTAATATATACATGAAGATAAGTGCCCTCCCAAGGGCTCTTAGACGACCCCACTAGGGACTACTATTATCTCAACCCCTGAGAATGAGCCTCATGGGAGTTGATGTTTCACTATACACCCCACACAAGGGTAACCAGCCCATCCAGACCGCCCAACTGCAACAGAGGAAGAGATTTCCCCAAGGAGAAGACTTAATGGAAAAATAATTTCACGTTTGCATTTTTAATTTTGCAGTTTAAAATCTCTCTAAATACAGTTTCCCATTTAAAATGTGATCAACCAAAATTTCCTCATCCTTATTATGGCAAATAGCCAGTTATAGTGTTCCTTTTGGAATAGCTGCAGGGATATTACTTAGATTTAAGGAAGAAGGCATGCGTGCAAGTGTGATTAAAGCTGAATATGTTTAGTTATCACTGCTATTAAGAGGATTATTAAAGAGGCTGTGTGAGTTTGGGATATACAGATGGGGCTAAGTAGGTATGCCTGTGTGTAGGGGGCCCACTTCTGGCTCATTATCAGCTCTGTGGGAACTTGGATTGTCTAGCCCTGGCCTTCCCGATAAACTCCCTGCGTGCCCTTAGAAAGTCACCGAACTCATTCGAGGAAGATCTCTAATATTTCCTCTGGCTCTAATATTGTTTGAAGTTTTGTTGGTACTTAAGTAATAAATTAACATTAAAGTGGTACTGAGAAAATATAGACTTCTTTCTACTTTACAGTGTGATATGGATACCAGTGATCTCAAAAGTCTTTAATTTGGTGAGTGCCATTATCACCCAAATGACAACAACAACCGTAATAGGTGCTGGCATTTATAGGGTTGCTTATTTGATGCCAAGTCCTAGACTGGGTGTTGTCTCAGCATTTGCTTACTGGGTCCTTTCGTAGCACCTGGGTCAGGTGTATATATCATCACTAACTTACAAATGAAAAAGCAGACTCAGGTTGCCCTGGGCCATCTCTATAATGCCATCAAACGGATGTAGTTGCCCTGGGCCGTTTCTATAATGCTGTGGGTAGATGTAGTTTTTCTCTCCCTGTGCTGCGGTTAACGCAGAAGACAACTCTTTTTGTATCTGAATTCCCATTCTTAATTTTTAATTTTTTTTTTTTTGAGATGGGGTCTCGCTTTGTCGCCCAGGCTGGAGTGCAGTGGCCAGATCTCGGCTCACTGCAAGCTCTGCCTCCTGGGTTCACGCCATTCTCCTGCCTCAGCCTCCCAAGTAGCTGGGACTACAGGCACCTGCCACCATGCCCAGCTAATTTTTTGTATTTTTAGTAGAGATGGGGTTTCACCGTGTTGGCTAGGATGGTCTCCATCTCCCGACCTCGTGATCTGCCTGCCTCAGCCTCCCAAAGCACTGAGATTACAGGTGTGAGCCAGCACGCCCAGCCTTAAATTATTCTTTAATTAAAACAATTTTTTTTTTTTGAGACAGAGTCTTGCTCTGTTGCCCAGGCTGCAGGGCAGTGGCATAATCTCGGCTTACAGCAGCCTCCGCCTCATGGGTTCAAGTGATCTCCTGCCTCAGCCTCCTAAATAGCTGGGATTACAGGTGCGCACCACCACGCCTGCCTAATTTTTGTAGTTTTAGTATAGACGGGGTTTCACCATGTTGGCCAGGCTGGTCTCAAACTCCCAACCTCACATGATCTGCCCGCCTTGGCCTCCCAAAGTGCTGGGATTACGGGCACGAGCCACCATCCCTGGCCTGAATTCCCATTCTGTCTGCCTGCCTGCTTCAAGACAATTACTGGGATTGCCAGCAGTTTCACTGTTCCCAAACTGGGACAAAGGGCTAAGGTAAAGAAGGTAAAGCAGAAGATTGTACAGGCTGGGCTGGGGAAGTGAAAGAGTCAGTGTTTAAACAGTGGCAGCAAATTTCATCATTTAAGCCAGGAGCCGCCAGCCCCCGGGCCACGGACCAGAACTAGTCTGTACGCTGTTAGGAATTGGGCCACACAGCAGGAGGTGAGCAGTGGGCTAGCAAGCGAGCATTACCATCTGAGCTCGGTATCCTGTCAGATCAGCAATGGCAGTACATCCTGATAGGAGTGCAAAACCTATTGTGAACTGTGCATGCAAGGGATCTAGCTTGCATGCTCCTTATGAGAATCTAAAGAACTAATGCCTGATGGTCTTAGGTGGAACAGTTTCATCCGGAAACCATCCTCCTCCAATCCCACTGGAAAAATTGTCTTCCATGAAACTGGTTTCTGGTGCCAAAAAGGTTGCGGACTATTGATTGAGGCTACAACACAAAGCTATTTTTGCCCCAGCTTGAGAGCTGGCACTTTTCAGAATAAAGAGGAAAAAAACAAAACAAAACAATAACCACCACCGCCCCCACAAAACAAAACTTCTGACTCTGATGACTGGCTGACCTTTGAAGCTGGTTCGAAGGTGGTGGCTGCAGCATTTCCTGGTGTTTTTGGTTCTGCCTTGAATGTTACATCCCTTTCATATTGCTACTGTAACAAATTACGACAGCACGGTGTCTTAACACATCTGTAAATTTTATAGTTCTGCAGATCAGAAGTCCAACACAGGATGCTGGGCTAACATCTAGCTACTGGAAGGGCTGCACTCCTTTCCAGAGGCTCCAGGGGAAACTCCATTTCTTCACTTTTTCCAGCTTCTTGGGACTGCCCATGTTCCTTGGTTTGTGGCCCCTCCTCTGTCTTCAAAGCCAGCAGTGCTGGACAAAGTTGTTTTTATGCTGCAATCTGTCCCGTTCTCTTCTTCAGTCTTCACATTTTCTCTGAGCCAGAAAAAATTCTTTCATTTTAAGGACTCATTGGATTAGAGTGGATCCACCAAGATAACTCAGAATCATCTCCCCGACTCAAGGACTCCTTAATCACATCTGCAATGTCCCTCAGGTAGGCAACATAGTCCCAGCTTCTGGGGCACTAAAGCATGGACACCTTTGGGAGGGCCATTATCTTGCCTACTATGGATGTGAAGTCAGAATGGAGGTTCACACGACAAGGTCTGGGGAAGGAACTGAGCTTAAATCCACAAGGGCTTGGCAACAAGCAGGTGCTGTTTAGGATGCCCTCTCCCACCAATACTGCAACCAAGTCAGTATAACATAGCATTTACAAATTAGGCTTAGGAGTCCAAGAAACCTGTTTACAAATTCCAGCTTCACCACTTTTTAACCATGTGACCACAGGCAAGTTATAGAACTTCTCTTTGTACTAAAGCTTATTTTACGTTGTTGTCCAGAAGGTTAAATAAGTCAGTGTGCATGACACACAGGATCTAGTGCAGACAAAGTGCTCAGTAAATGCCAGTTATCAGGAAACTGATGGAAGCTGTCTTAGACTTCAGGTGCCTGGTCAATCCGAGTACTACATTCTACTGGCCCGTGGTTGGTTCAAAGGATGGACATGAGGCACAGATAGAGCCAACTGGAGTCTGTCCCTGGGGTTGCTATAAGGACACCGGGAGAGAGAGGTTTTCATTACAAGTAAATTGCCGTTTGATTCCACTGTGTGCATCAGACCAATAACTTCTCCTTACAGAGAAAAAGAATCAGCGTCCCCGAAAATTAAGTTTTTTGTCCAAGTTGACACAGCAAGAATCTATGATGAGAAAATCATTGGTCTACTGACCTTCCCATCTCATGCGCATTCAGGATTTACAGCCCACGGAACCCACTCATATGATTTCTTCTCTGATCCCTGTGGCTTTTCTGTGTTAGATGGTGGCCCCATTTAAAGATGGATAAACTTGACACTCTCAGTGCTACAGGTTTGCCAAGACCTCTCAGCTAGTAAGAGGGGGTGTTAAGACATGCAATTTGGCCGGGCGAGGTGGCTCACACCTGTAATCCCAGCACTTTGGAAGGCCGAGGCGGGCGGATCACCAGGTCAGGAGATCGAGACCATCCTGGCTAACATGGTGAAACCCCATCTCTACTAAAAGTACAAAAAATTAGCTGGGTGTGGTGGCAGGTGCCTGTAGTCCCAGCTACTTGGGAGGCTGAGGCAGGAGAATGGCGTGAACCCAGGAGGCGGAGCTTGCAGTAAGCCGAGAGCGCGCCACTGCAGTCCAGCCTGGGCAACAGTGTAAGACTTCATCTCAAAAAAAAAAAAAAAAAAAAAAAAAGAAAAAAGAAAAAGACATGAAATTCATGACTCTCAGTCCACCTGCTAGACAGGCTGGAAGACCTGTGTGAACTTCCTGCTCCTACAATTGTAAAGAACCCATAATAATGTGGTTATACATTTTTAAATCTATGTCTGCATAAACACACTAAATAAGTGTCTACTCCTTCACTGGGCCTGGTATGAATATATTACTCATGTACACTGCATGCTGATTTATTCTTCTAATAATGCATTATTTATTCTCTTAACTGCAAATTCTCTTGGTTGTCGTGCAAACCCACAAGCTTATCTGTGGAAACAAATCTAGTGCATGGTAAGGTCGTGACAGATATGAGGACATTTCAGCTCTTCGGGGTTCTGTTTCACTAATTTACACAACTGAAATAAAGCTCATCTCCTGTGGGTGGACTGCAGGGTAAGTGATTAAGAGCTGTGATCTAAGAATCTTGGTTGAGAGGTGCAAATACTCCTGGGGACTTTGGTTGCCCAGGACGCTCTCCATCTGGGCTGGTGCAGAGAAGGTGAATCTTCATTCTAGAGTCCTGACACAGGTTCTGGATGCTTCATCTTTCCCAGAACAATGGATACTTCTAGGAGCTGCATAACGAGGGACTGAAGTGTTTGAAATGGGGACTGTTGTCGTTCTTGCCTCCTTTTCCCAATGTTCAATGTTGTCCTTGCAACCATGCCACAGAATGGGGAAGATATATACTTCTGGGATGTGCAACCGGACATGCCCACTGAGGTGGAATCTGAGCGCTAGGAAGAGCCCAAGCCAGCTGCCAGGGAACTGACATCAAGGGTCTACCATGAAGCAAGGGAGTGACCCTGGAGTAGATCCAACTCAGGAATGGGAAATGGAGGAGCACTTGGTGAGTACACACACGTGGCAGAGAGTCCTGGTGTGGGGGGCACTGGTTGGCAGGGTACAGGCTGCTCCAGTGGATTCCAGGGTGGGAGGTGAGTTTCTCTTCAAGGATAATGAAAAGGGTAGGGTACATATGACAAGACAGAGCCTTGGGCTTAAAAAATCTAAAAAAGCTATCAGGATTGAAGAGCATGGGCTAGGTCATCATGAATAGGAAATCATGTTCAACCAAGACAGTCTGCCAGACAACCTTGCTTTCTTCCATCCATGCACTCATTTATTTATTCAAAAATGCTAGCTGAGCACCTATTATGGACATGACAGGCACAATGCTAAGTGCTACAGCTACAGGGTGGACGCCATAGACATGGATCCTGCACTCATTATTTGTGGGTAGAGAGGATGACATCAAACTTTTATTACTAATTTAGATACAACCTGGACAGGTGCATGAGGAAGAAGCACCTATAAAAGGGGTACCAGAGGAGGGTGGAATAGGGAGGCCGGGGGTCCAGAAATGCTTCTTTGGAGAAGTGACATTTCAGCAGAACTGAAGGGTGAGTATAATTCAGCCAGGTGAGGACATAAAGGAAGAAAGTTCTAGGCAGAGGGAACAGCACCTGCTAAGGTCATGAGTCTGAAAGGGACTTGGTGTGGCTAGCTGGAGTCACACTGGGAAGAGCCACTAGGTGGTGAGTCATAAAGTGTCTGGAAAAATTCTTTAAGTCCTTGGGGTGGAGGGGAATTGAACCTATAGGTGGAGGTCAGAGCCTCTGTAATAAGCCCCAGGAGAATGCACAGCCCCAAGGCTGAATTCAGGCCAGTCTGATGCCACCTGTCACCACCTGGAGATGGCCAGACCCCGACAGGGCCCAGGGATGTGAACTCTGCCGCCCACCTGCTGATGAGAAATGACGCTGCAGGTGTTTAAGAACCCACTGCGCTCGGCAACTTTGCTGTGCTTTATTACTTTCATTTATAGAACGGTATAAAACTAGACATTTATTGGCCACAGACCATTTTTGTTTTCCTGTAACTCAAAAATGGTTACATTTTTAAAAATGAAGTATTACCAGCTTCAAGTCTGTAATAGAGACCACGTCTTGTTGGCACCCACTGAATTATTAAGATTAGAAACTCCACGGTTGCATATTGCGCTGTGGAACTTTCTTCCCCAATATGCCTTACCTCATATACTCATGTTAATTTTGACAGTCCATAACACAAATTGACATAAGATGGACGTATACACTCCATCAAGTGAATAATACATGACTTTAAAACAATGGCAGGCTACATTTTGACGTGATCCATTATAATGGACCCGAAGCAGCTGTTATGGCCTTTCCATAAAGATTCAATAAACATGTGGAGGCTGCAGCAGAGCAGGCATTAAACATGACATTAAAGCGCAAGCCAGAGCTGGCTCCTCTAAACAGACAGCACCCGGTGGGCAGAGAGCTGGACCTGCACTCTGCGCAGCAGGGGAGAACTGGATTTGCAGACCTTACCTAGGAAGGAAGGTGGCCTGGCACCCGAATGCAGGCATTTAACAGCTGATGGATTCATCTCTCCATCCCTCACATGAGGGGCTCTAGCTTCAGAAAATCGCTTGAAAAATAACAACGTGTTTCAAGGGCAGACTCTACACTCTTTCATTTAAACTTCAACGACCTCATATAGTAGGATGATTTGCCCTGTATTATAGGTGAAGTTATTGAAAATGCAAGAGGTTAGATTTCTTTTTCAAGGTCACTCAGGTCAAGGTCAGTGGCAGAACCAGCACTAGCCAGGCCCCTCTAACTCTGAAGCCAGGGCTGGTTCCATGCACCCAGGTTGCATCCCATGGGAAAACCCATAGGTGGAAGAATTACCCACTCATGTTCTTTTCCGGGGGTGGCTGGTGTCTACATATACAATTTAGATTGATTTCTCTAATATCCATCTGCATTTGCCAATGATCACATCAATATTTCTAAGACTTTTACATCCCTTTAAAACTCACAAGGGATTTAACAATATTCTCATCCAATTCTCATAGCATACCCTGGGATAAGCTGTCTTTAAACTGCATTTTATTGCTGTTGTTGACACCGTATTGGTGTTTACACTGTGTTGGTGGTGACACACTATTAAGGAACCTGCTAAAGGTCACCTGGCCGCTACTACTCTATTAGCATAAAAATACAATTTTTTTTCCATTATTGGTTTTTCCATTCTTTTTTTTTTTCCTAAATTTCAAAGAGCAAAGAGTACCTTCTCTCTTGAAGGACCTCACAGTCATACAGGGTGGCCGATTACTTTATAACTTAAAATAATAAAGCCTTAAAGCTGGAAGAAACCTAAGAGGATGAAAAATAATTACTGAGAGCTAACACGCAAGGCAGTACATGCAATAATTTAAATTTAAAACGTGTTAGCAAAGTGCTGGTTTTCCATTTACTGTGGCACTGTGGTGATGGGGTATGTCTTACCTAAATATGTTTACTGAAGTAAAAGAGAGCATGTTGCTTTAAAAAGCACATGAAGTATATATTAGAACAGATGTTAGAAATAGCAGACATTACAAAGGTGAAATTTAAAAAATTGAAGTTTGGGAGGCGATGGTTGAAACCTGAGGAGAGGCACTTCCTGTGAACACTTCTCTTGGTGGGGCAGCCCATTGCTCTCCCTTCAAAGGATTTTTAAATAAAACTTGGATGAAGATTTTGAGCTGGGCAGAACTGAGGCCAGAGCCATGTGGTGGATCCTGTGCCTGTCCCTGGCTGGTGTCCCTCAGCACTCTCCAGGCTCTTCCCGGCCAGCTGAAAAGCTAGCCACGTCCTGTTCTGGCTCTAAAATTGATGATGCCACATTCCTGCAAGTGTTCCATTAAGCCCTTCCAGGACAATTTTCCAGGCTGAGAAGCTGTAATCAAAATTGGCAATTGAGCGGCAAACATAAACACTTCCGCAAAATTATATGCAAACAAGAACCTGGCTCTAAGGCCAACCATAGAGTGGATCCATGCAATGACGTCGAGACACAGAGGATTTTTGCCTAAACATATTATTCACAATATTCAAGGCCAAACACAGCCCAAGCTGTGTTTGCTCCCTCAGAGCAAACCCTGCAGCCCACTTAAGTATATATCCATGTAACTAATACCCAGACTGAGAGAACATTCCCAGTCTCCAGCAGGCTTTCCTATGTCCTCTCCTAACTGCCATCTCTGCAAGGTAGTCACTATTCTGATCTCTATCACCATAAATCCTTTTTGTTTTTTCTTGAACTTCATAAACGATGGAATCATACAAAATGTACTTTTTTGTACACTTGGCTTCTTTTGCTCCACTTAGAGCCTGTGAGTGTCAACCATATTCATTCTTTTTCATCACTGTTTACCTCTAGTCATTGACTTATTCTGTCATTAGAAGTCATATGTATTGTTTCAAGACTGGGGCTACCATTTTGAAAAACATTGCAAGACTCCTAGTTGTTCTACATACTTGTCAGCACTTGATATTGTCAGTCCTTTAAGTTTTAGCAATGGTGAACATTTATATCATGAAGTTACCCAGGCCTAGCCCTTTTCCTGAATATGAGATCTTTATTTGCTATGATTTGCTGTTTTTACCTGAAATTTTTTCATTTATTTTTCAAACTCAACATAGCAAGCAGAAGATTTCACATCTCCTTTCTGATCATCTGCGACTCTTCCTTTGTCCCCCAGCTCTAAGAAACCCATTCAAAGCTAACGTCCTCATGCATGTTTTTCAGTTCCCCTTGTTCCCCCCACCATTCACACTGGGAGGATTGTACCTTTGCCATGCTGCTTGTATTGAGGCACCTTTCTTTCCTCTCCCCGCACCATTGCCCTAGAGCATCCTTCATTATCTCTTGCCTAGAATATTTTAGGCTCTATAAAAAAGATTTCTTTGAACAGCTAATTTTGGACATTTTAGAAATAGGTTTAACTCATTTCCTAGGCAACTTCTCTGACTTCTGATCAAAGGGTCTGTAAACTTATAACTGGATTAGTCTAATACTCAAGGTATTATAGTTAAAGTGGCTAATTTTCTTCCTCTGTTAGTTTGCTCAAATACCCTCAAATAAGGAATGTAGAAGTGCGATATGAAATTCATTTTCATTGAAGTATTTGTTTCTTTTTCATTGAAGTATTAGTTCTTTCTTTGTCCCTAGACTATTACTTAAACCAATCAGCTGTCTTCTGGGGACTCCAAAACAGAGGCTGTGTTGTGTTCATATGTTGCAGTTTTCCTGATAAAGGCCCTTGGATATCACTGGACTCCAATGCTAGGGCGGAAACAGGCCTGATCATATTCTCAGAAGTCATCTTGTTAGGCTGAGACAAGACAAGACTCCTGGTATTTCTCCTTCCACCTATATGTAGGAACTGCCTCCTAACCTAACTAAAATTCCTCAAATTTCCAGTGTGTCCCAGTCCCTATAAAACTCTATTCTCTATCCTTCCAGATTCTAAGCTTCCAGGCTACGGACAAAGAACAATGGTAAAGTTTAGCGAATCTGAGAACCAGGTGCCTAGGATCTGTGAATCCTAGTGCCTACGTTACAAACTGTAGAGTCTGGTATATTAGTCCGTTCTCAAGCTACTAATAAAGACATACCAGAGACTGGGTAATTTATAAAGAAAAGAAGTTTAATTGACAGTTCAGCATGAATGCAGAGGCTTCAGGAAACGTACAATCATGGTGAAAGGGGAAGCCAACACATCCTTCTTCACATGGCAGCAGCAAGAAGTGCTGAGCAAAACAGGGAAAAGCCCTTTATAAAACCATCACATCGGCCGGGCTCGGTGGCTCAAACCTGTAATCCCAGCACTTTGGGAGGCTGAGGCGGGCAGATCACGAGGTCAGGAGATCGAGACCATCCTGGCTAACATGGTGAAACCCTGTCTCTACTAAAAATACAAAAATTAGCCGGGTGTAGTGGCAGGTGCCTGTAGTCCCAGCTACTCGGAAGGCTGAGGCAGGAGAATGCCGTGAACCCGGGAGGCGGAGCTTGCAGTGAGCCAACATTGCACCACTGCACTCCAGCCTGGGAGACAGAGCCAGACTCCGTCTCAAAAAAAAACAAAAAACAAAAAACAAAAAAAAACCCATCACATCTTGGCCGGGCGCGGTGGCTCACACCTGTAATCTCAGCACTTTGGGAGGCCGAGGCGGGTGGATCACAAGGTCAGGAGATCGAGACCATCCTGGCTAACACGATGAAACCCCGTCTCTACTAAAAAATACAAAAAAATTAGCCACGTGTGGTGGCATGTGCCTGTAGTCCCAGCTACTTGGGAGGCTGAGGCAGGAGAATGGCATGAACCTGGGAGGCAGAGCTGCAGTGAGCCAAGATCACGCCACTGCACTCCAGCCTGGGTGAGAGAACAAGACTCCATCTCAAAAAAACAAAACAAAAGACCATCACATCTCATGATATCTCACTCATTATCATGAGAACAGCATGAGGTTAACCACCCCCATGATAAAATTACCTCCCACCAGGTCCCTCCTATGACATGTGGAGATTATGACAACTACAATTCAAGGTGAGATTTGGGTGGGGACACAGAGCCAGACAATATCACTGGGGTTAGTCACTTCATCACCCCAGGGCTCAGTTTTCTTATCTGTAAAATGAGAACGATAATAATATCGACCTCAGAGTTGCTGTGAAAATTAAATGGGACAATCTACATAAAGCCCAATGCCTTGCATTTAGTGAGAGTGCCACGTGTATTCTATTACCATTAAAGCTAAAAAAAGAGCCTCCAAACTGCCCATCTCACTTTGTTCCTAATCATCTTCTTATACACTGTCAACAATTCTTTCTCTCCTTTAGCATTTTTGCCCTTAGATCCATTTTTAAGCTTGTCAACCAGTTCACATTGTTTTCCAGACTGTCACTGCAACAAACAAAGGAACTTCCTGGTGATTGCCCACGTGTTCCCTCACATTTCTCACCCTCCCTTCAGGTAGGTGGGGCCACATGACTAGTTCTAGCCAAAGGGATGGTTGAAGCATTTAAGGGCTGCTTTTGATACTGTAACTCTTTGTTCTTCTGCCACAGGCACAAAGGAGGCCAGTGCTCCACATGCTGCAAGCTGGCAGAGCCTCTGTCAGCCTGGATCCCTTAATGACTACGTGGAACAGAGCTCCCCAGCAGACCCATGTTGGAATCACAGCTTGAGCAAGAAAGAAACTTTGTTGCGCTATGCCTACTAAAATTTGGGGGTTAACTTGTTACTGCAGCATAACCTAATCTAGCCCTGATTAATATTTCAAGTTTGCTTTTAGATTGATAATCTCTTTATGAGCCTCTTTTAGACAGTCTACATCCTTAAACTGTCTTGCAAGCACTTCTAAGCTGAGTATGACCTGCTGCTCTGGAACCTCTTACAGTCACCCTGTTGAGCTTCCTTTTATGCTAGAACTGTAGTCTCTCTGGGATCAGCAAGAGATTCCAGGAATTCACTTCATATTTCCCTTTGCCAGAATTACAAGACCTACAACTGGGAAAACACGACAGTCAATGTATCCAGACTTTTTTCAGTTTTTAACTACACCAGCAATTTCTTACACTCACTGATTTCTCTGGTGACAATATTTTTGCTCTCACTCCCGCCACTTTATCTCCTTTCCTGGCTAACAATTTCCAGGTCTCAAAATAAATACCACTTCCTCCAGGGAGCACTCCTTGCTTTCCCCAACAAGGTGGGAATCCACCTGTTGTACACAACAATGCCATTGTAAAAAACACTCAGATCATTTGCAATATCTTTTTGACATCTTCTCTACTAAGTTATAAATTCCATGATGACAGGGGAGGCAGCTGGCTTTTTTACTATATATTCATTTTAAATACTGTGCCTGGAAGAGAGTAGGTACTTACAAATTATCTTCTGATCATTGCCTTTATAAATAAGAGGGAGAACAATTCAGACAGCCATTCTCCTCAACATGATAAGGGAGCTCTCACATTAAAATCCCAGGTCTAGGAAGAGAAGACACCTCTCCTTTGAAGCAGTCTATAAGTCATACTGTAGAGAATTGTTTCCCACAAATTGCTTTCTGTAACACTTAGTTCCATTTCAGAACTCTGAAATAAAATCAGATCCTTGGCTTCTTGATTCTGCCTTATACTTAGCTTACTGTAATGTTGACACTATTTTTATAGGCTAGAAACTAGTGGAGTGTTCATAAAGAGAGATGACATGAAAGCCTGGCTCAAGGTCTCAAAATTATAGGGTGCCCCCACTCTGATGAGAAGAGAACCTCAGAATGGAGCCACACTCCCCAAACGGTTCCAGTGCTGAATTGCTTTTGCTTCTCATTCTTTGGCACTATAAAGAAAACTTTGAGTGTAAAACGCTTACAGGAAACTTTCTACAACCCCCCTGAGCTAACAAATGCCATGAGCTATCTGAGGACATCTCTTTATGTTATACACTTTTATGATGAAGATAAGAACCCACCACATGCTCTTAGACGGAAACTTGGAAAAGCGAATTTTTGAATAAATCACGAGGAACAATGTTTGAATTGATTTTCTTGGTTGGAGCAGAAATGGAAATAATTCAGCTAATACAAAGAACATGGATAACAAGATAATATTATACCCAAATATCAGCTTATCATTTCTTTTCTTTTTCTGGCTTGTCTGTTTAATTCCTATATAAAGATTAAATTTATAAATATATAGGCAATCTTTTAATGTGGCAGGACACATTAATACAATATCAAAAAACAACTTATTAATTTTATTTCTAAACAAAATGAACGCTTTGCTTGGTGTGTTTTAAAAATTTCTTCATGAATTCAACCAAATATTGAGAACTTGAGAAAAATAATGTATTTTTGTCCTGCTTATAAAAAACTTGATTCTCATATTTTGGTAACATCTCTGTTGTGACATCTAGAAATTCTAAGCATTTGAGAAATTTTACACTGCTTTTTAACACTGGAAACTTTGACAGCTGGGGCAATTTTCTAGTCAATCACCCCAGTGAATCTAAACCAGTATCTTTTTCTAGCTTGTATCAAGGGAAATTACAGCATGATATAAAGTTTCTCTCCTGATTACAGAAGCTCCTTCAATTGTGTCACGGAAAAGACTGAACACATGCAGATATGTGAAATGAAAAGCAGTCTTGACTGTTTATTATTGCTTGTTAACTCTTCGTGAGTGCATAAAACGACAGTAACTTCAAAGTTACTGCAGAGAGAAGTGTAATGCTTAAAAGAGAAATGTCGTGCAAATGAATTTTGTAGTGGTGGTTTCAAAGCTTCTAGAATTCTAATCAAAGAGGCTCAGGGTTGGTTTGGAGAGACCTTAAAAGGAATCCAATCCCACCACCCAGCTGAGGCATGAGTCCTCAAGTACAGAGTTCTTACATCTGCAGGGGAGAAAAGAGAGCTCAGAAACATGGAATGACGTCTCCAGAACCTGAACCCAGCAGACCTACGACACAGCACAAGATGAGGAAACCAGATTCTAGATTCCTACCCCCGAAGCTGCCTCTGACCCTAAACCTCCAAAAGCTGGCTGTGTGCACCTGGGTAAGACATGATCTTTCAGTCTCCATTTCGCCATCAAGAAACAGGGGCATCTCAGTGTCCAGGAGCTGCAGTAACTACACGTCACAAACCGGAGGGGCTCAAAACAACAGAAATTTACTCTAATAGTCCTGGAGGCCAAAAGCACAAAAGAAGACATCTACAAGAGTCCTTCCTTCTGGAAGTTCTGAGGGAACATCTGTTCCCGGCCTCTATCCTAGCTTCTAGTTGTTTGCTGGTGACCCGTGGTATTTCTTGGTTTATAGACTCATCATCCCACTCTCTGCCTCCAACTTTACTTGGCCTTCTCTCCTGGATCTTCTGTGTGTCTCTGTCTCTCTCCTCTTCTTCTCTTTTTAATTTTGAGATGGAGTCTCACTCTGTTGCCCAGGCCGGAGTGCAGTGGTATGATCTTGGCTTACTGCAACCTCCACCTCCCAGGTTCAAGCAATTCCCATGCCTCAGCCTCCTGAGTAGCTTAGACTGCAGGTGAGCACCACCATGCCCGGCTAATTTTTTGTATTTTTAGTGGAGATTGGGTTTCACCAGGTTGGCCAGGCTGGTCTCAAACTTCTGAACTCAGGTGATCCACCTGCCTTGGCATCCCAAAGTGCTGGGATTACAGGCATGAGCCACCGAACCCGGCCCTCCTCTTCTTATGAGGATACTCCAAGGCATACTGGACGTAGGGCCTACCCTAATCCAGCATAACCTCATCTTAGCTAATTACATCTGAAAAGACACATTCTGAGGTTCTGGGTAGACATGAATTTGGGGAGGACCCTAGTCAACCTAGTACAGAAAGTGATAATGGGATTTATTGCATGGAGTAATTGTGAGGATTAAGTGCATGTAAATAAATATAGAGAACAAAGAGCAGGGCCTGTCTCACTGTGAAAGTACAATACACATTGGCTTTAATTAGTAATGGACACTACGTCCAGGTTGTATTCCTACGAGGCACACAAGATAGTTTCATTTTACTTTCAATTCTTTCAGCTCCTGATGATGAACTTTTAACATACAAGACAGTCTCTATTGGACAGATGAGGCAAACTTTGCTCTCAAAATAACCCCTTACTTTTTTTCCTTCATTCTCTATAATTTTTGTCTATGTTTTTATCAGCTACTTGGGGACTAGAGAGGCTGGCAATAAAGGTGATCTGCGGCCTATTATGGTGGCATTTGTCTTTGAACCCAACTGTTAAGGTTTGGCCGTGTCCCCACCCAAATCTCATCTTGAATTGTAGTTCCCATAATCCCCATGTGTTGTTGGAGGGGCCTGGTGAGAGGTAATTGGATCACGGTGGCAGTTACCCTCATGCTGTTCTCATGATAGTGAATGAGTTTTCAAGAGATCTCACGGTTTTATAAGGGGCTATCCCTGCGCATTGCTCAGCACTTCTCCTTGCTGCCACCCTGTGAAGAAGGACGGTTGACTTTCCCTTCTGCCATGATTGTAAGTCTCCTGAGGCCTTCCCAACCACAAAGAACTGTGTGTGAGTCAATTAAACCTCTTTCCTTTATAAATTATTCAGTCTAGGGTAAGTCTTTATAGCAGCATGAGAACAAACTAATATGCTAACTACAGGAGAAGTTTGCACTTTTTGGAGAAGTTTTCCAGGCCCACGATCACCATTGATCTAAGGGATCTAAGGACGTTCTAATATTTTGGAGAAAATGCCATTTCAGGTCCCATGATGCCTGCCTCTCTGTTCATCACTCTGTGGTCAGGGGCTGAGTCAGCGGCTGACTCAGATGTGAACTCAGATATTCAGATGTGAACATGGATCTTTGTTTGATGCTTTGAAGCTTGGAAAAAAAGCAAATCCAACCTCAACTTATTTTGTTTCAAAATCTTTTTCTCATGGGACTAGCAGGCATTATAGGCTCGAAGACAATTCTTGAATTGTTTTCACAAGCCTAATTCTGGGGCTTAAAATGAGATTCAACCCAAAGACACTTATGCCTTTTTTTTTTTCTTCTTTTATTTATTCCCAATCTGCGAAATACTTCCTGGATTTAGCTGACTGCCCAGGACCAGGGTTAAAAAGCTTGCAGGGCTTGATCAGAGGTTCTCAAATTTTAGTGTGGCTTGGCATCATCTAGAGGGTTTGTTGAAAACACAGGTTATTGGGTGCCACCTCCCAGGGTTCCAAATCAAGAGGTTTGTGGGGAGGCCCGAGAATGTGTTTTACCGACAGGATCTCAGGGGATGTGGCTACTTCTAGTCCACACTGGTCTAGATCGGTGCCCCTGTGAAAGCTCATGTAGAACATATTCCTTCCCCATGTACTTTCTTTATTACTATTATTATTATTATATTATTATTATTATTATTGAGACGGAGTCTCACTCTGTTGCCAAGGCTGGAGTGCAGTGGCATGATCTCAGCTCACTGCAACCTCCACCTCCTGGGTTCAAATGATTCTTCTGTGTCAGCCTCCTGAGCAGCTGGGACTACAGGCGCATGCCACCACACCTGGCTAATTTTTGTATTTTTAGTAGAGATCGGTTTCATCATATTGGCCAGGCTGGTCTCAAACTCCTGACCTCGTGATCCACCCACCTCGGCCTCCCAAAGTGCTGGGATTACAGGCATGAGCCACCACGCCCAGCCCTTCCTTTATTTTTATTTTATTTATTTATTTATTTATTTATTTATTTATTTATTTATTTATTTATTTTGAGACGGAGTTTCACTCTGTCCGCCAGGCTAGAGTGCAGTGGTGCAATCTCCGCTCACTGCAAGCTTCGCCTCCCGGGTTCACGCCATTCTCCTGCCTCAAACTCCCGAGTAGCTGGGACTACAGGCACCCGCCACCATGTCTGGCTAATTTTTTGTATTTTTAGGACAGATGGAGTTTCACCGTGTTAGCCAGGATGGTCTCCACCTCCAGACCTCGTGATCCGCCCGCCTCGGCCTCCCAAAGTGCTGGAATTACAGGCGTGAGCCACCGCGCCTGGCCCCTTCCTTTATTTTTTAAAAAAGCTAGTTTCTAATGCTATTAGCTAACACTTACTGAGGACTAACCATGTGCTGGAACTATTCACCAAGCAAAAGCCCCATGCAGTGATTGCTTTTATGAGCCCCTTTCGAGGGTATGAGAGGTTAAATAACATGCCCAGGCCTCAAAGCTAGGAAGGGAGAGATCCCAAAGCCTGAGTCCTTATGTGCTATGGGTGTCGGGCTTATTTCTCATTAAACATTCAGATTCCCATTGTAAGCATTCTAAGGATCCTACCTTTGCCCCTTCCATTTTTATTTTGCGATTTCATTCTTCAATAGGACTTCTAGGATAATTATACTTTTTTCTTCTTCTTACTATCTTACATTAACCTGTGTGATGCTCATATCAGAATTTTTACTGCTTTTTAGTGAGACAAGCATAATAAATATGTTTGTATGGTAAAATTTACTCAATTTTGTTCACTCTGAGATTATAACTCACTTGTTTCTATGGGAATGTATGAGTGTATGTGTAGGTGTATGTGCGAGTGTGTGAGTGTATATGTGAGTGAAAGTATGAAACTTTTTTTTTTTTTTGAGATGGAATCTCACTCTGTCCCCCAGGCTGCTGTGCAGTGGCGTGATCTCAGCTCACTGCAACCTTGGCCTCCCTGGTTCAAGCAATCTTCCTGCTTCAGCCTCCCGAGTAGATGGGGTTACAGGCACCTGCCACTACACCTGGCTAAATTTTGTATTTTTAGTAGAGATGTGGTTTTGTCATGTTGGCCAGGCTGGTCTAAAACTCCTGATTTCAGTTGATCTGCCCTTGTAGGCCTCCCAAAGTGTTGGGATCACAGGTGTGAGCCACCGCACCCGGCCACGAACCATTCTGTGTGTGTGAGCGTGTGTGCATGTGCGTGCATGTGTGCACATGTGCATGTGTGTGCATGCGTGCATGTGTGCATGTGTGTGTGCATGCGTGCATGTGTGTGCGTGTCTGTGTGTGCACACACGTGTGCATGCGTGCGTGTCCGTGTATGTGTGTGGGAAGATGGTAATACCAATGTGTGCAGTTCTTCTTTAGATGTCCTTACATGACAGAATAGGCATGGTAGTCTTCTCTCAGTCTAAAGTTTTCAAGGGTAAATTTTGTGTGAAATTCCAAATCCTGAAATGCACTGACCTACATTACTGATTTTCTGAAAGACCTTTAGTACATGTAACTGTTCTCACTTAGTTGTCTGCATTTATTTTTCTTTAAGACATACTTTTTCAAACTAATCATGTGCACAGGTGGGTGGTGAAAGAAACCCAAACCCCCTTTGGCTTAGACAGTTTGGCTCTATCTAGAAGTAGGTGGACAAGGACCTCGTGGTACACTGGAGATGAAACATTGGTGTTGAGAGCATCAGCTTTGAGTCTTGATCCCTGGGTCTCCTGTCCAGGGGTAGATTCCAGGTAGGATTTCACAACTACTGCAGCCCTTCTCTTCTAACATATCCTTATTCCCAGGGTTACTGTCAGCTGTCAAGGTATCTCTCTTTTCCTGGTAGCATTTTGAGAAATGAAAACTTTGCAAAAGAAAATTATTCCTTCATTGGTGTGTTGTGTATTTTTAATATCCATTAGACGTAGTCCACCTATCTCTATCATTTTGTGGGCTGCAGAAGGATTTTCACAGGCAAGTTAAGTCCAATTGTGGAATGGTGGTGTTTATCAGTTTTCTCAAAATGTCATCTAAATTCATATTTTACATTCTAAGATCTGTGCTGTGTTCTCTCTCCATCTCGGAGAGCAAAAAAATTACACACATCCAACTATCACTTCTAATATGAATAAAAAATGTTCTTCACTTTATCCACTCGAAAATAATATCCCTGAAGAATTTAAATATCTCACTGTTTTGCTTTTATTTCTTACAAAATGGCCCCAGGAGAAAAAGCCGTCAGACTCGTTTCAGCCATCCATTCACAGGGCTACTGGGCTGAGTCAAGGAATCACATTCCACTTGTAAAACACAAGCAAAAACACTTCTGAAAAAGTCCATTAAAGCAGGGCTAATGATAGACACAAGGAGGTACGCTGGCTACAATACCATGCTCCCAATCCTCTGTCCGGGGTCTTGCCACCTGGCCAGCTGGTAGCTGTGTGACCTTGAGCCAGTCATCTACCCTCTCTGAGCTTAATTTACTCCTCGTGTGTGCCATGAGGAAAACAAGGTCCTCCAAACTCAGAGAGAGTAATAATTAAATGAGAATCCACAAAATATTTAGCCCAATGCTTGACTCATAATAAGGCTTTAATAAAACTTAGTTTTTATTATTAGTATTTTTTACTACCACCAAAAAGGACTTTTTGGTAAATCAAATTTGTCTTATTCCCTCTGGTTTCCCACTCTTTGCCTTTATATGTTTTCTTCTCTCTGCTAGAAATAGTCTTCCTTTCTCCCTTTCCAGAAATCTACTTCCCACTCTTTAAATCAGAGGTCAGCAAACCACAGCTAATGGGACAAATCTGGCCCACCATCTGCTTTTGTAAATAAAGTTTTATTGGAACACAGCCATGCTCATTCATTTATGTGGTATCTATGCTTGCTTTTGTGCTACAAAAAAGTAAAGCTGCACAGTTGCAGCAGCCACCATATGGCCCACAAAGCCTAAAATACTTACTATCTGGCCCTTTACAGAGAGTAAAATCTGCAGATCAGTGCTCAAAAATCTTTTGCTCAAGTTATCCCATACCTGGGCATCTTCCTGATCCCCTTGAGACAAAGTTACTTCCCTGGCCATGGCATGTTCCACATATCATCCTGCTGTAAAGAGTCATTTCCATGGCCGCCTCCCTGCTATACTTTGTGAATACCATCAAGGTGGGCATCAGCTCTTACATCTTTGAAACTCTGAGGTAAGAAAGGGTGACCCTAAGTATGGGAAGCCCCTGGGGGCTGGGGAAGAAGGGGGTTGAGTAGAGGGATTATGGAAACTTGGCTTCAAATAGAGGAATGAGAAGGGAGGGCAGAGGGTTTCTGTGATGTGTGCATGCTATGCAGACCCCACAGGCACTCATGCACACAGAGCTGTGATGGCATGTACACACCTATGCATAAATTCTCAACTCCAGGTACCCATTAGCAGCATGAGAAAGTACAAACAGATCAGCTGGGTCATTACACCTCAGCTCTACACGGTACCTTGTGCCTGTTACAAGATATCTAAAATATAGAAGACAAGAGAGAATAATGGATCCAGCTAGCTCTCTGCCTATTTGAGTGCAAATAGCTTATTCAGGATACAATCTTAAGAAGCACAAGTGAGGGAGAAAGAGAAGTGAGACAGAATATGTAAAAGAGTCAATACACAGGTGGCAATGGGCAGATTATCTCTGTGGACAACTGGTGTTCAAACTCACTGGGGTCATCTGGGAGACTCGGGAGAACATATCTCGAAGTTGTCCTATTCCAAGGGTCAAGAAGGGATGGTAATCTACCAACTCTTGCCACTCAAAGGCTGATGGCTGTTCCCTGGGCAGTAAGACTGAGCACACTCCCATGGTCAGAGGAAAGTCCAGGCAGGCAGCTGCAGGGATTAACAGGTTGAAAGCCTGTATGGGAGTGGTGGGTTCCTGGGGATCTGGGTGAGCCATCAACAGTCACTGCTCTATGATCCAACCCAAGCATCGAAGGGCGGATGCACGGACTACACTACAGAAGCAGCCATGGGGCAACGCAAAACTTCTCTCTAATTTTTTACCCCATCTTCTCACTGCTATCCTCCAGAACCCCAGTAAGTGAGTTATTGAACCGGGGACAGGAGAAGTAAACTGCCGACCTGATTTGGCAGACTCCACATTTATTAAATGTATTCCCTTCCCTTCCCTTTCCTCCCCTCTCCTCCCCTCCCCTCGCCTCCCCTCCCCTCCCCTTCCCTTTCCTTCCTCCCTTCCTTCCTTTTCCTTCCTTCTTTCCTTCCTTCCTTCCTTCCTTCCTTCCTTCCTTCCTTCCTTCTTCTCTTTCTCTCTTTCTTTCTTTCGACCGAATGTTGCTCTTGTTGCCCAAGCTGGAGTGCAGTGGCGCGATCTCGGCTCACTGCACCCTCTGCCTCCCGGTTTCAAGCGACTCTCCTGCTTCAGCCTCCTGAGTAGCTGGAATTACAGGCGCCCGCCACCACGGACTGCTAATTTTTGTATCTTTAGTAGAGACGGGTTTTACTATGTTGGCCAGGCTGGCATCGAACTCCTGAGCCCATGATCTGCCTGCCTCGGCCTTCCAGAGTGCTGGGATTACAAGCATGAGCCACCGCACCTGCCCTCATAAATTTTTTACTAAGCAAAACATTTTTAAACTAAGTGATAAGACAATTTTTATTTAAAACCAAGGATGTCTGAGCATGTGCCATTAGATGAGATCAGGCAATTCAGGGTGCTATGCCCACAGGAAGGCTAGCATTAGATATTAACAGTCTAGCTCAGTTAAGCATTCCAGTCACCTTTGGAAACGTTTCCTGGGCTCTTTAATTTGTTTCCAGAGTAGCAACCAATTATCATTATTGTACTGTTAAGAATGGGACAAAGACTGTGTACCATTAATACTGCTTCTAAACTACTTTAAAGAACTTAGTCTTTCTAGCCAAATATGCTTTGAAAATGTCACTGGCTTTAAATGTATTTGGTTTAAATTTCCCCAGGTTCTAACACACACTCTTCATTCATTCAGCCATCTTCTGAGCCTCTATTAATAACAATACCTCTTTGAAGAATGCATACATTACAAACTTTCTCAAGAAGCCTAGAATCGACAGAGGAGAGAGACTGTAATAAAAATATTGCTTTTCCTTGTGACAGTGGCATTAATAGAATGCTAAACAATCTGTGTGAGAAAATGAAGAAAGAGGGATTGAGTCATGCAAAGAAGACCAGAAAAAGTCCACAGAGGAGGGGCTGCTCACACCAGGTTTGGGGGGTAACAGAGAAATGAGCAGCAATTTTAGCTGGTGAAACAGACTATGTGTATTAGTTATCTAATGCTGAATAAAATTACCCCAAACTTAGTGCTTTAAAGCAACTAAAAACATTTATGATTGCACACAGTGTTTGTGGCTTGGAGATATGGAAGCTGCTCAGCTGTGTAGTTCAGTCAGGATGTTGGTGAGGCTACAGTTATCTAAAAGCTTGATGGGGGCTAGAAGGTCTACTTCCAAGGTGGCTCACACATACGGCTAAAGAATTGATGCTGGCTATTAGTAGGTGGCCTCAGTTCCTTGCCATGTGGATTTCTCCATGAAGCTACTTGAGCTTCCCTACAACACGGCATTTGGCTTTGCCTGTAGCAAGAAAGGACAAGAATAAACAAGGCTCAGAATTCACACAAAGTCATTTCTGCCATGTCCTATTTGGCTACACAAGTCATTCCTATTCGATGTGGGAGGGGACCACGCAGGAGCATGGGTACCATGAGGTGAGAATCACTGGGAGCCCTCCTGGGGGCTGGCTACCATAATATGCAAAAGTCAGAAGTGCATTATCTTTGAGGGAAGAGAAAATGCTGATGCCATTGGAACGAGGGTGAGTTAGGAACGTAGTGGTACAATATAAAGCCAGAAAGCATGGGTCAGACTGTAGTTTGGATCAAGGAGGTTACATAAAGGAAGGCACTGCATCTGTCAGTCTCTCCTCCCTTTCATCTGTTGGGATTTGAGTGCAGGAGTCAGGAGCATTCATAGCAGAACTGGATTCCCACCAATAAGTCCCTTTCCCAGGAACTGCCCCATTCCCCAACCCCCAGAGAGATCAGTGGCTCCAAATCTTTGAGAGGATACAGAGGAGCTTGTCTATACTCTTCACTCTGACCAGCCTTTTCCTTCAGGCCTTAATGAAGACAGCATCTTCTTTCCTCCCCTTGGCCTTTTTATTCCTGCATGGCCTGATGGTCTCCCTTGGACTGGAACAACTTCAAATCCTGTTTGCCATGAGTGGAACAGCAAACCATTCTGACAGCCTCTTTGGTCTTACACTGACCTGGGTGTGAATTCCACTTCTACCCATTCCCTGAATGTGTGAACTTGGAAAGTAAATACTCCCTGTGACTCTCAGCTTCTCCCGGGGTAAGGTGGGAATACCACCACCACGTTATGGAATGTTGAAGGAAGGAACATGCTGATGCGTTTGCAATGTTGGCAATGGAGGCTGCTTTTAATAATCACATCATATCTGCAGCTCACAATCTGCTTCCTGGATCTCTTTAAACTGGGTTAGGCATTTTGGGAGGCCAAGGCAGGTGGATCACCTGAGGTCAGGAGTTCAAGACCAGCCTAACCAACATGGAGAAACACCGTCTCTACTAAAAATAAAAAATTAGCCGGGCGTGGAGGCGCATGCCTGTAATCCCAGCTACTCCGGAGGCTGAGGCAGGAGAATCGCTTGAACCTGGGAGGTGGAGATTGTGGCGAGCCGAGATTCCACCATTGCACTCCAGCCTGGGCAACAAGAGCAAAAACTCCTTCTCAAAAAAAAAAAAAAAAAAAAAAAAAAAAGGATTAATCACAAACCTCATCAGCTTTACAAGAACTGTGCTCCTTTGGCAGAGTTTACTAAATGTGTTCCCTTTGGTGCTCACATGTAGGCTGTTTCCCATGAATTCATTATCAGGCTGGCTGGGAGGGTCCTGGGGGAGGAATCTGCATGGATTTCCACTGGCCTTTCAAGATCAAGAGCAAAGCACTTCTGAGTCCTAGTGTTGTCCAGCGTACACTAAGGTGAGGATAGATTGAATTATCCTTCGTTGTAGGCTAACGCCCGCTAGGCATTATGACAGTTAGAACTGAGAAACAATTCTTGTTTCTTCTGGGTACAATGGGAGGGGAAGCCTGGGGATCTGGAGGCTAGATTTTAACTTAATGTGGAAATAAGAGCACCAAATTCAAGTCCAAATCTAGAATTTGAGGATGGGTAGGATCACATTTCCTATGCACATCCTTTGTATGAGAGTGACAGGCAAAGACAGAGGTGGTGCCACAGCTGGCTGACTATGATGAGGCATCAATGCTCTCAGACCCCTCCCATCCTCTCTTTTCACTCCTCTTAACCATTTTTACAGAGAAAGGAGATTTAAAGCAGGAAATTTTGATGCTTTATTTGAGGCAGACTTTAAAAAATAATTACGTTGACATGTCACCATGAGACTTACCTGGCAGGACACTAATTACTTGCTCGTATGAATATATTTTCTACTTTAAAAAACACAACTATAAACAAATGTTATTTTTTAAAAAAATTCCTTGAAGCCACTACTCTTGTCACCAAGCAGACACCAGAAAATCTCATTATCTGCCCTAACACCAGTTGCTTACAGGGCCTGAGCCACTCTGTCTGGATGTCTAGTGTTGAGGATGAGGCTGTTATCTCCCGCTACCTGCCATGACCCCATATCAGCCCCACTGGCACTGAGAATGGGCACAGCACCCGGAGTGGGTCCCATCTTGCTAGAATCCCAAAACGTGGAGTCCAGGTCATAAAGATCTGGCCTGCTTTCCACCCTCACAGCAGAAGAAGTTGTCAGCAAAGCCTCAGATGCCTCCCATTGCCCGTCCCAGTGGTAGCGACACTGGACAGGCTGAGTGTCTTCTGGTGGCATTAACCCTTTGTGCTCTCTTTCATAGGAAAGTTGCTGTGTTCTGAGCTGAAGAAATACCTCCAAAATGCTTCATGCACAGCAGATCTTCAGAAGAGAAGTAAGGGTGAGGTTGGAACCTCTGTCTTTCCAGAATCAGGCTTCTTTGTGGAGGGGCTGGAGGTTGTGAACACTCTTCTCTAGTGCCCTGTGCTTCACCAAGGGTGCAGCAACCTGAGGATTAAAATCCAGCCTGTTCCACTCACCAAGCCTTACCCTTGGCATGGGCTATGTCCATTCAGAGGAACGGGCATCTTTTATTTCCTTTTTTTAAATTTTACCTTAACTTCTGGGATACATATGCAGACTGTGCAGGTTTGTTACATAGGTATACATGTGCCATGGTGGTTTGCTGCACCCATCAACCCATATTTTAGGTTTTAAGCCCCACATGCATTGGGCATCTGTCCTAATGCTGTCCCTTCCCTTGCCCCCCACCCCCCAACTAAAACACCAAAAGCAATTGCAACAAAAGCCAAAATTGACTATGGGGATCTAATTAAACTAAAGAGCTTCTGCACAGCAAAAGAAACTATCATCAGAATGAACAGGCAACCTATAGAATGGGAGAAAATTTTTGCAATCTACCCATCTGGCAAAGGTCTTATATCTAGAATTTACAAGGAACTTAAACAAATTTACAAGAAAAAAAACAAACAACCCCATTAAAAAGCAGGCGAAGGATATGAACAGAAACTTCTCAAGACACTTCTGTGGCCAAAAAACATTTGGAAAAAAGCTCATCGTCACTGGTCAAGCATCTTTTCCTATTGCACAAAAGTGGCTTGTGGGCTAGGAGCCTCCCTGCCCCTTCCCTTTTCCTCCACTCCACCCCAGGAAAAGGAATGGAGGTTTCTGATTGCTGAGTGGCATCTCCCTAGCTATGTCTCCTTTCCTCCTTTCCCTCTCCTGTTTCTCTTCCCCTTCCGGCCTCCTTCTCACTGCCCCTCCTCCTGGGCAGAGGCATCCTGAGATGGGCTCCACCCAGGTAGATGTGGCGTGTTGTTATCCCACCCCATCCGAATCTCTCTAATTTAGGTAAAAGTATTAGCAAATTTATTTGGGTACAAACTCAAGGCTTTCCTAATCAGCTTCATAGGTAATGAAACCTACGGTTTGGTCTCCAGTTGTCCTGTATTTCTTAGGAGTTCTAATTTGGGAGGGGAAAAAAGGGTACAATTCACCACTTCTTAGTTTCTCAACACTACTTGAATCTACGTGAGCGATTCAAGGCCTCACTTTATACCCCTTGCTTACCTGATGATGTGAACATTCTTACCAATGTGTATTGAGCACCTACAAGGTACAGATCTAGGAGGCAAGGAGCCCCTCTCTCTGTGTAGCCTTTGTAAGGCTGGATTTATGTAACTGAAGCATAACCAACGAGCTCCGCTGTGCCCTTGTGAGGGCCAATGGAAGGCCACCCCCTGAGAGGAACACTTTCATGCACTTTTACCAACTCAGGCAGGCTGGTTGGGTGGGATGGCAGCCACCCAGCCTTCTAGGGAGACCCCACTGTCGATGGAGATGCCTGAGAAAGATCTGGTCAAGTGGACTGTGCCTCTGTTAGAACACTCCTGTGTCATCTCAAGTCTCACCATTATTTTATTATTGGTAACACCAGCTACTATTGGTCAAGAGCTCTTCATGGCCAATGCTAACGGCCATGAAGCTAATGTATTTCATGCCCAAGAGTTAATGTACTTCACCTGTCATCTCTTTCAAGCCCCCAAAACTAATGTATTTCACACATCGTCTCTTTCAAGGTCAAAAGCTACTGTATTTAACACGTCATCTCTTTCAAGCCCACAAACCATATAAAAAAGGTTACATCCATTTCCTATTGCTGCTGTAACAAACTGCCATGTCCTTAGTGACTTAACCATGTGACTTTATTCTCTTACACTTCAGGACAGGAGTCCAAAGTGGGTCTCAGTGGGCTAAAATCAAGGTGTGGGCAGAGCTGCAATCCTTCTGAATTTCTCTCCTTGCCTTTTTTTTTCCTTTTTTGTTTTAGATGCCAGAAGCTCTGTCCACAGCCCTTGCATGGTGGGCCCTTGCTCCATCTTCAAAGCCAGCACTAGAGCATCTTTAAATCTCCAACCCAGCCATTCCCACCTCCCCCTTATTAAGACCCTGTGATTATATCAGGCCCATCTGGATAATTCAGAATAATCTTCCAATCTCAATATATTTGACTTAATCACTTCTACAAAGTCCCATTTGCCCTGTAAGGTAACATATTTACAAGTTCTGGGAATTAGGATGAGGACTTCTTTGAAGGGGAGGAGCCATTATTCTGTCTTCCACACAGGCCGTGCTATGAGTTCCATTTTACAGCCAAAGAAACCTAGGCTCAGGTAGGTGAGGTGACTTGCCCAAGGCCACACAAGTAATAAGATGCAGAGCTCAGATTCACAGATTCACATTTGTGAATTCCTAAGCCCAAGCTCTGAGCCACTGTACCACATGGGCTTTCTAATGGAAGAGCTGAGGGAAACTCAATCAAGCTCCCCAAATATGTGAAAAGTCCAGGAGCAATGAATACAGAAATCCCTGAAATGAGTCTGATAAAAGATAAAGTTGTCCTTGAGACATCTGTCAGATTTTTTCCATCAATATGTCCCGTGCTTTTCTTTAATAGCCCAAGGGAGTGGATAGAGCAGCGGCTATGAGGTCAAATCCAATGCCCTGGCTCTCCAGTGGGTGACTCAGGAAAGGCAGGTCAGCCCTTGGGAACTCCATAACCCTCCTAGTAGAATGGATGTGGCAATTTCAGCCTTACAGAGCTCCTGTGAGTGTTATGGACCTAATGTAATGCCTGGATGAAAAAACGCCGTAATTGTTTACATGGTGGCTGTCCAATGCTGAGCACAACATAAACTGTCTCACACCTATTAGATATTCTAACATGCAGAGGAAATAAGAATGGAGAATCTCTTGACTCTTGCTTATTCCAGAATGCTAGAGCCCAAGGAGACAGAAAACCTGAATTTAGGACTCTGAGAGTCTTTCATGGAGAAAAATCAGCCCACACAACAATTTAGAAGACACGGGAGAGAAAATACCTAAAAGAATTTAATTTTGGTTCCCAGTTTTAAGGCCCATAAGCAGAAATGCCATTCACTGAATTTCAATGGTCATTTCTATAGCTGTTCTTCACAAAGGTAGAAATAAATTCATTTCCCATGGCTGTCTTAGAAACATATAACCACAAAATGTCTATTAAGTTGCCTGTTGGAATTTGTGGAAGCAAAGATAAACAGCTGGTCAGTGTGTCTGTGATGATCACGTTTAGCCAGGAAAGCCATTGCTATGTCTCTGTTACTTAAAGAAATAAGAATGCTTATTATTTCAAGTGGGAATGTTTTGACAAGACTTACCTTAATACACCTTTGAAAACATTTGGAATGCTTCCCCTGCAATCTTAAAAACATTAACGGAGGCCATGATTCCTGGCACAACTCCCTCTGTTTGGTCAACAAATAAACTGGCTCATATAGAAACCAGTCTCTAGGCCGGTTGTGGTGGCTTATGCCTGCAATCCCAATACTTTGGGAGGCCGAGGCGGGTGGATCGCCTGAGGTCAGGAGTTTGAGACCAGCCTGGCCAACATGGTGAAACCCCGTCTCCACAAAAATAAAACAAAAATTAGCCGGGCAAGATGGTGGGTGCCTTTCCTGTAATCCCAGCTACTCAGGAGGCTGAGGTGCGAGAATTGCTTGAATCCAGGAGTCTGAGGTTGTGGTAAGCCAAGATCGTGCCATTGCACTCCAGCCTGGGTGACAGAGTGAGACGCCATCTCAAAAAAAAAAAGAGGAGGAGGGAGGAGGAGGGAGAGGGAGGAGGAGGGAGAGGGAGGAGGAGGGGGAGGAGGAGGGAGGAGGAGGGGGAGGGGGAGGAGGAGGGAGGAAGGGGAGAAGGAGGGGGAGGAGGAGGCGGAGGAGGGGGAGAAGGAGGGGGAGGAGGAGGGGGAGGAGAAGAGGAGGGGGAGGAGAAGAGGAAGAAGAAGAAGAAGAAAGAAGAAGGAAGAAGGAAGAAGGAGGAGGAGGAGGAGGAGGAGGAGGAGGAGGAGGAGAAGGAGAAGGAGAAGGAGAAGGAGAAGAAGAAGAAGAAGAAGAAGAAGAAGAAGAAGAAGAAGAAGAAGAAGAAGAAGAAGAAGGAGAAGAAAGAAACTAGTGTCTGAATTCAAATGTGATAGTGTTGCTTGACCCATCATGGTGTTATATCCTAACCTTTCTCTTGCCTTACGACCACTGATACAACTGCTTTTTAAAATGATTAACAGAATTGGGCCGGGTGCAGTGGCTCACACCTGTAATCCCAGGGCTTTGGGAGGCCGAGGTGGGCGGATCGCCTGAAGTCATGAGTTCAAGACCAGCCTGGCCAACATGGTGAAACCCCATCTCTACTAAAAATACAAAAATTAGCTGCGCGTGGTGGCAGGCGCCTGTAATCCCAGCTACTTGGGAGGCTGAAGCAGAAGAATTGCTTGAACCCGGGAGGTGGAGATTGCAGTGAGCTGAGATCGTGCCATTGCACTACAGCTTGAGCAATAATAGCGAGACTTCGTCTCAAAAAAAAAGATTAACAGAATTGGTTTTCTAAATTACAAAAATAACATGTGGCCACTGCACCCAAACTAGAAAATACAGATAACAGCAATAGCTCATGCTCAGCTATTACCCTCCTAAGCATGTGCTGTATTAATTCATTTGCTCTTCATGACAGCCCTTTGAGAGAGGCATTACTGTGATTTACAGTTGAAGAAACCAAGGCATAGTTTTAACCAAAAGGGATTTGTTCTCCATATTATGATAAGGGAATTCTCAGGGAGCATTAACAATGATATGAGAGAAGAATGTTTTATGACATGCAAATCATAATTATGGTTACTGGTTGTTCAAGCTAATGATGTTTCTCTAGCACAAGGCTGGTGAAAGGTGAAGTTAAAGTTCAGACTCAAGCAACCCAGATCTGAAGACGGTCATCTCAGACACTGCACTGTGGAAAAGTTAAAATCAACCATAGTCCCAACAGGACCACTCCTAAAACATCACACAAATCCTTTTGTACCTTGGACCAAGATGCTCTACGTGTATAAACAAAGAAGTATCACAGCTTAAGGAGTATTTTGCAAACCACCTGCTGATACATGGTGAACATCTTTCTATATTATTAAACATTTTGCCACATCATTTTACATGATTTAATAGAATACCAGTGTAGGAATATACCATAATTTACTGAACAAACCCCCACTGGTTGGCCATTTCATTTGGTGCTTTAAACAAAGATCCAACAAAAACCCTTGTTGCTGGATCTTTGCACACGTATTTGATCACAAGAAACTTCTGCATCAAAAAACACTAGGGGTACTTTAAAAAGCCATTTGATTCTTATTGACAAAATACTCAACAAATGACCTGTATTGATTTGCATTTCCCCCCAAGGGCAGGAGAGAGTCTGTTCTCCATAGCCTCCTAAAACCGAGCTATAGAAGCCACTGGGCTCAGTAACCTGGAAAAAGCCCACCTGGCCCATATGATAATGCGGCACTGAAGCCTATGGCCTGATGAGAATGAAAGTTCCACCAAAACTTCACTGTATTTTGCTTTTCTGTGTTAAAAAGAAAGTTCAAAATCTATTTATTCTGCAAGCTTACCACACATATAAATATCAATAATATTGATTTGTATAGTGGGAGAAAAAATGCATGGGCTTTGGAGATGGGCTGATAGGGGTTTAAATCTTAGTGACATTGAGGTCTCTATCTCTGTAACCAGGGCACTTTACTGACCTCATTAGATTCCTATCAAAGTCAAATGCCATATAAAGTACGTTTTCTAGGGACTGACACATGGTGATATGTAAGACACATGGTGACACTGTTCTTTCAGTTTCTTTGTTATCACAGCCCCATTCTCAAATTCAGGAATGACAGAAAGGGCAATGAGAGGTGGAAGAAACCTTCAGGAAAATGTCCCAAGCCTGGTCCAGAGTGTCTTTTTGTTTCCAGGTGGCTCTAGAATAATCTCAGTTTTACCTCAGGGACTCCTTTGGAGCCTCTAGAGACAGGGTATGAGCCCAGGTCCTCTGATTCTCCTTATTTCACTCCATGCTGGTGTGAACAAGTCCATCTGGCTCCAAGACTCAGCTCCAGGGAGTGCCCCTCATCTGGGAAATCTTCTGTTCCCATCTCCGTCTCCCCTTGCCCCCTCTCCTCTCACCTATCAGGGCTCTAACATAATGAAAGTAGCCATTCCAAGATGGTTCCCTCCAATATTTAGTCAATGTCTAGATGGCACTTTTTCGTTTACTCTTTTTCTGTTGGACTGCTTTTTAAAAATTACTGTAACCAAATTTTGAGCTAGATTTAATTACCAAGTGTCTGTCTGAGGTTGCCTGTTTCTTAATGGTGGGAGAAATGAACTATGCTGTCAAAATGTGAAATCAGACCCATCACCCATGATTAGTTTCTGTCCCTATAATCAAACTTCAAGGTGATGATTAATAAGTGTGAGTTAATATTTTGAGAGTGGACTTCAGATATAGACATATGATAACATGCTGCAGTCAGTACATAAAACTGCTCCTATCTGAGCATTGTGGCCAATGATCTAATAGACCAGTGCTGGCCAACTATGGCCCGTTGGTCAAATCCAGCCTGCTGTCTATGTTTTGATGACGCATGAGCTTTAAAATGCTTTTTATAATTTTTAATGGTCACTTTTTTTTTTATTAAAGTTTTAGGGTACATGTGCACATTGTGCAGGTTAGTTACATATGTATACATGTGCCATGCTGGTGCGCTGCACCCACCAACTCGTCATCTAGCATTATGTATTTCTCCCAATGCTATCCCTTCCCCCTCCCCCCACCCCACAACAGTCCCCAGAGTGTGATATTCCCCTTCCTGTGTCCATGTGATTTCACTGTTCAGTTCCCACCTATGAGTGAGAATATGCGGTGTTTGGTTTTTTGTTCTTGTGATAGTTTACTGAGAATGATGACTTCCAATTTCATCCATGTCCCTACAAACGACATGAACTCATCCTTTTTTATGGCTGCATAGTATTCCATGGTGTATATGTGCCACATTTTCTTAATCCAGTCTATCATTGTTGGACATTTGGGTTGGTTCCAAGTCTTTGCTATTGTGAATAGTGCCGCAATAAACATACGTGTGCATGTGTCTTTATAGCAGCATGATTTATAGTCCTTTGGGTATATACCCAGTAATGGGATGGCTGGGTCAAATGGTACTTCCAGTTCTAGATCCCTGAGGAAACGCCACACTGACTTCCACAATGGTTGAACTACTTTACAGTCCCACCAACAGTGTAAAAGCGTTCCTATTTCTCCACATCCTCTCCAGCACCTGTTGTTTCCTGACATTTGAATGATCGCCATTCTAACTGGTGTGAGATGGTATCTCATTGTGGTTTTGATTTGCATTTCTCTGATGGCCAGTGATGATGAGCATTTTTTCATGTGTTTTTTGGCTGCATAAACGTCTTCTTTTGAGAAGTGTCTGTTCATGTCCTTCGCCCACTTTTTGATGGGGTTGTTTGTTTTTTTCTTGTAAATTTGTTTGAGTTCATTGTAGATTCTGGATATTAGCCCTTTGTCAGATGAGTATGTTGCGAAAATTTTCCCCATTTTGTAGGTCGCCTGTTCACTCTGATGGTAGTTTCTTTTGCTGTGCAGAAGCTCTTTCGTTTAATTAGATCCCATTTGTCAATTTTGTCTTTTGTTGCCATTGCTTTTGGTGTTTTAGACATGAAGTCCTTGCCCATGCCTATGTCCTGAATGGTAAAGCCTAGGTTTTCTTCTAGGGTTTTTATGGTTTTTAGGTCTAACGTTTAAGTCTTTAATCCATCTTGAATTGATTTTTGTATAAGGTGTAAGGAAGGGATCCAGTTTCAGCTTTCTACATATGGCTAGCCAGTTTTCCCAGCACCATTTATTAAACAGGGAATCCTTTCCCCATTGCTTGTTTTTCTCAGGTTTGTCAAAGATCAGATAGTTGTAGATATGCGGCGTTATTTCTGAGGGCTCTGTTCTGTTCCATTGATCTATATCTCTGTTTTGGTACCAGTACCATGCTGTTTTGGTTACTGTAGCCTTGTAGTATAGTTTGAAGTCAGGTAGTGTGATGCCTCCAGCTTTGTTCTTTTGGCTTAGGATTGACTTGGCGATGCGGGCTCTTTTTTGGTTCCATACTTACTTTAAAGTAGTTTTTTCCAATTCTGTGAAGAAAGTCATTGGTAGCTTGATGGGGATGGCACTGAATCTGTAAATTACCTTGGGCAGTATGGCCATTTTCACGATATTGATTCTTCCTACCCATGAGCATGGAATGTTCTTCCATTTGTTTGTATCCTCTTTTATTTCCTTGAGCAGTGGTTTGTAGTTCTCCTTGAAGAGGTCCTTCACATCCCTTGTCAGTTGGATTCCTAGGCATTTTATTCTCTTTGAAGCAATTGTGAATGGGAGTTCACTCATGATTTGGCTCTCTGTTTGTCTGTTAATGGTTATATAAGTACCTGCATAATGAGGACTAAACTCTGACCTTTTTTCTTCACTTGCCCAAATTCCTATCTAAGACATCTGGGGAATCATGCTCTACAAGCCAAAAAGTCTCAAAAGAGGGCTTTCATTTAACCCTACATAATGTGGCTTACTTTCCAGCCTGACTCTGGCAATAACATCACATGACAGATAAGGAAGGAAATAAAAATATTTTAACCCCAAATATGTTTCTTTGCCCTATCTTGAAATAGTCCTGCAAAGCTGTCTCTTATGGGGGAAAAAAACTATATTTTGTAGAAAATCCCTTTTCCCCTTCTCATGCCTTTTTCTTGATCCAAGAGAGAATTAACTAAGAGTCTGATACCTTTTAAAGTCTGACAAGAAACATTTACCATCTAGTCTCTCTGAAGCCTGCTACCTGGAGGCTTCGTCTACATAGTAAGAACCTCAGTCTCCACAACCCCTTATCTTAAGCTAGACATTTCCTTTCTATTGATTCCAGGTCTTTAAACTCTTTCAACCAATTGCCAAACAAAATATTTGAATCCACCTATAACCTGGAAACACACCCTCCTCCAGTTGTCCTGCCTTTCCAGACCGAACCATTGTACATTTTACAAGTATTGATTAATGGCTTATGTCCCCCTAAAATGTATAAAACTTATTTGTGGCCCGACCACCTTGGGCATATGTTCTCAGGGTCTCCTGAGGGCTGAGTCAGTGGCCATGGTCACTCATATTTGGTTCAGAATGAAGTAATAAATCTCTTCAAATTTTATAGAGTTTGACTCTTTCTGTTGATAATAATATCTTCAAGTTTGCCTGTTGGCCAAGAAAGTCTATACGATTTACTATTTGGCCCTTTAAAAAAAAAGTTTCCTGACCTCCAATGCAATAGATGATCCTATAACTTGAAGTGCCTTTCATTGTTGAATGTGACATCATAGTGCCATATGTCCAATAAGGTTGATCACGGCTTTTAGAACCCCAAAGTGTTCAACTAAATAATACGATCAACAAGCTTTTATCCTATGAAAAGGCACAGCAAATGAGATACCTCTTAAAACAAAAGTGAAAGAAATGTGGATCCCAGGCATTTTGAGATGTCATCATGTCTTGAAATGGTCTATCATTAGTTTGCCTTAATCTAAGTGTTGCAGCTTTTGATTGCCTCTCTGCAAACTGCTTTCCAGTGGAATCATATTGCAGCTGTTCTAACCACCCAGTTCCTGCTCTGGACACTGAGTACATTAAAGGAAGTACAAAACAGTTACTTCCCAAAAACTCTCAACCAACTTTTCTTTCCTTAAATGATGGTCATTCTCCATATGGCAGGAGCAACATTTTTCTTATTTTTCTCTGCTGGTTTGAAATCAGAACTGAACTAGATATTCTTTCCAAATTAGAAGGTACCTCTTTCACTGACAACAGGAATTTAGAGGATTTGGGGTTTAGAACAATGTTATTTAAGTTCAATAACTGGAAAATCTCTTGATGAAGCAAAACCTGCATTAACATAGTAATCATACTTTTTGGCTGATAAAGAAAAATAAACAGCTCTCGAAAAGAACTTTTTCCAAAAATGAAAACATTCTTTAGCTTTTTAGGGTACTTCATATAAAATAAAATGAAGAAATTTAAAATGACAAAAAAGAGAAGTACTCTAAATTCATCATCACTCTGCAAATTATCTTTACCATATAAAATACCAAAAAGAAAAGAAATATCTTAGAGAATTAAACATTTGTTAAATCTAAAAAGATGAATCTTTCTTCATGATAAAGTTAAGTGTCTCTTGATTCAACATGTGCCCAGTAACTACTGATTGTCTGATACTTTAAGAAGCCCAAGAACAGAAGAAAGAAAATACCTACGGACTGAGGTTTATTAATCTATTTAACAAGCTCAGAATTTAGATTCAAGTGGTAGCTCCTCAGCTCTTATCTCCATCAGGCTAGAAATGTCGAGAACCAACTTGTCAGTCTCAACCTGTCTCCAAAACGCCTGAACTTTGCCACTGACGATCTCTCCTTTAGCTTAACTCATTTTCTGTCCAAGTCACAGCTCTGTGAATGCTGTGTTGAACAGAGCTGTGTTTAATGTTTAAATAATGGTGGTTTCCCATTTACAGTAGGATATAGCTATAATCGTTTGAATGACATTAGAAGCCTTTTGCAATCTTGTTCAAACTCCCTGCCCTTTTCTGGTATCTCTCTATACCACAGCCTCATCTCTGGAGTCTTTAAGTAGCATGTGAATATGCCATGCCTTTGTCCATGCCACTCCTTTCCCCACGATGCCCTTCCTTCTGCTTCCGCACTCCAGGTTTCCACACAGCCATCAAGGTTCGGTTTGAACAGCACATCTTTGCATGCGTGTGCTGTCGACATATCTGCTTTACCTCCAATGCAGGCAGCTCAATCTTTGCGTCCTGATATCCAGCACCATGAGTTCAGCAGACATTTGTGGTGCTCAATACTTATTTACTAGCTTTTATTGCTGAATTTTGTAGGCTGGATTAGCTCTGTCTTTCATTCAATTTAAAGAAACTTGCCATAGTCTCTGCCGTGTGGGCAAAGTGTAAATGTACGTCCTGTAGGAGAAACTCCAACTTCTTTCTGCTTCTTCAGTCTCATTGTCAATCATGGAAACATCTAATACCAACTAATATTTACAGAGTGCTTATAGATAAGTATCACGCTAGTACTTGGCACATCTTATTTGAATTTTTTCAATAAGCCAATGAGATTGGGATTGTGATTATTCTCACTGTGGCAGATGAAGAAATCGAGGTTTAGAGAGGTCTCACAACTGACAAACAAACAAAAAACCAAAAACAACAACAACAACAACAAAAAACACAGGTAGTCTATGCCCTTGGCCCATTTCTCTGAAGCCAGGTTTCAACTAAATTGCGGTCATACTAAGAGACTAGCCACGGTCTTAGCTTTAATGGATTGATAGGTCACACTAAGAGGGATGGGGGAAGTGGTTACGGTTACCAGTGGAGTCCTGAGACTCATCAAGGTCTTCTTCTAGAATTTATCCAGAGTGGAGGAGCAAATGAGGCCACAAGATAAAGACCCTGGCCTTCCCCATCTCTAACCCTCCCACCAATCCCCATTGCCATCAGCAGGAGGCCTGCACTCATGGAACTAAATTTCAGACCCCAGGACTTAGCATTCTGCCTTTTGAATGTCCTATTCTACTTTATTTGCTGAAACAACGGAGCAAGTGCAATTAGCATAGGGTGGTTAGCTGTGTTTCATTTGAAAGGATAATGCATTATTTTAAAAATAATAAGGCAATTTATTTACATCTACTTTTTCCATCTCAATTTTCACAGCAGCAAGTGATAAAAAAAATGGGGAAAATTACCCCAACAGAAATATTTATGAGTAAATAGCTCGAAGAAATTGTGAGGATGCTACTATCTGAATCATTCTGGTCCCACCCACCAAAACAAAGCAAGATAATATTCCTGACAGCATGATTGAATTGTGTGTAATTACTGCCAATGTTTTAAACATGATGATAATGAGAAAAGTATTAGCATTAAATCAGAAAGGCCTAAAAACATTTATTTTCCTAAGAGTATGACTACTACCTCTATCTTTCATTGAAGGCACTGGAGGAAATGCTATCCTTTTTTACCATTGTTCTTTTCTGGCAGCTTGATTTGATATCATCATTTTCACAGATGTCTTTAGTATGTTTCTGGAGATGCATGCTACGTGACAATATTTTAACATGGGTCATTTTGACCAAATACATAGTTCTCTTTGGGCTTGCAGCTACACATCCAAATTCGTTGGCTAGATGGCATAGGATGTTCTCCCTAACATTCTTCAGTTTTCTTCTCTGACATATTCAAGGACTCTTGAATATCTCATAGCAAGTAAATGCACATAAATCTAAGACTAAGTCCTTATGTAACACTTACCATGGAAAGAAAGAAAGAAATTCTCTCCATTTTTACATCTGGCCTAAAAATTTGGGCATTATAAAGTTTCAGAAAGTGCGTTACCAGCTGAAAATACAAAACAAATTACATTCACAGCCCTAATATCTTGTATTATATGTACATTTTCACGGGCAGGCTATCACTTTCCCTAGATTATCTGGAAGATAATAGATAATAAGGTAAAGGCAAATTCAAACAAAGACAGAAAAGTGCTCAGCTCAAACCCCTTAAAAAGACTAATGATACTTTCTCAATGCAAATGTTAAGATTGCTTTTTTATGAGTCTATTTTGGAAACTATTTCCATTAAAAAAGAAAAAAAAAAAAAACCCTGACCATTAGTTACTCTGAGTAGTTGCAAATTGTGGCTGTGTTCAGAAAGCTGGCAGATTCCAGCAGATGAATTTCAGTCTAGCAGCCAAGATGATCAACTAAATAAAACATTTATCAAACGTTAGAGACCTTTATCTGATTTTATTTTGTAGTGCAGCCAGACATAGTTTAAAAACATAGACAGAGATGCCAGAAATGGGGGGCTAAGTATGGCTATAGAAAATAATAAAAAAGTGCCCCAAATGAACCTAATTTCATTTACTGGAATATATGGCTCTTATTTTCCGCAAACATCTCCCCAAACACTTAAGCAAGAGGCACAGATACTCCTGTCCATCCTATTCACCCAGTGGACCAAGACACTATTTCTTAAAGCAGTTCCTGCAGAAGGTAAACATAAAGTGAATAAATTAGATTACCAGATGATTGCACAAGGGTAAGACTAAGCTTTCACCTATAATAAAGTAACTTCCTCTGTTTATATATCCATGCCAGAATGTGGATCCTGCAGAATGTTCTGAGATAATACAAACTTAAGGAACACAGGTCATCCACTCATCCACCCTGATAACCTAACAGATCTTTATCCAGTGCCTATTATTTATCTGGTGCTATATTTGGCAATGGGAATAGAGAGAGAGAACAGAAATCCAAGGTCCCTTTCTTCCAGAAGCGTATATTCTGGTAGGGTTTTCCGAACAAGTAAATGGATGAGCGTGTAATGGAAAACGCACATGTCTTGGGGAAACTTGATATCTATTAATGCGGAGCTTAAGATATGGAAGGGGAAGAAATGGCCAGTTCACCTGCTTTCAAGCCAGTGTGAATCACGCTGTCTTCCTCACTTCCTTCCCGCCTTTCAACTCTCAACAGATATTTCTTTGAGCATCTCTCATGTGCTAGGTACTGGCAATAGGTCATGGGCAAGCCAAACATCATCCCACAAATTGCATGTTTGAGCATTGACTATGGTGAGTGCAAGCAGATAGGCCATAGACTCTTTCAAGAATAGTGGCTGCCAATCCTTGGAGCAGGAGAG
Source organism: Homo sapiens (assembly GCF_000001405.40). Taxonomy (NCBI): domain Eukaryota; kingdom Metazoa; phylum Chordata; class Mammalia; order Primates; family Hominidae; genus Homo; species Homo sapiens. Next base: position 83,490,525 of record NC_000016.10, on the reverse strand, counting down.
GAGCAGATTAGATGAGTGCACCTGCCTCAGATGGCTCCATGTGAGACATCCTGGGAAGGGAGGAGGGTGGGAAGAAGAAAGGATAACAACCAAAGTGACAACATAGTAAGGATCATTTCTACACTGCCCTGTGTGACTATCCTCAGTTACAAGCCTTGTTACAAAGTGAATCTATAAAAGGCAGGGAAGATGATTAGGTAGGCAGATTCACAGAAAATTCCCAGTGCCTGCCACCTCCCCACTCATCTTGCATCATCTGCCTCTCCCTTGGTTAAACACTTCCTGCTGGGGTCCTCCTTGGTAGATGCACTTAAGAAAGGAAATTGACTAAATGGAAAATAAAGATGAAAAATTGTTATTGTGTCAACTTAGCTCGTGTCACCCAATGGGATTCCAGAGTATCCACTCCCAACAAGCCAGGAAACACACGTTTGCTTTGTCCCTCATTCAGGTGAGAGCCAGAGGTGCTGGTGAGCTGTGTGTGTGTGTGTGTGTGTGTGTGTGTGTGTGTGTGTGGTTTCTGCAGCTCCTGCTCTTGAAGGAGTTTGTGACAGAACTGGAATCACTATATTCATTGTTCCAACACGCAATTTGAGATACTGCGAATGAAGACAGGAGACAAGGTAACAAACCTTAAAATCAACTTGAATCATCTCAAAGTCCACAGGGTCCCAAATGGGATACTTTCTTAAATGAATGCTGCAAAAGTCTGTATTAAATGTTTTTTCTGCCCATCTGGCTGAGAAGTAGACTTTAAAACCACACCTAAGACAGGCCTTCTCAGAAGGTCTTCAGAAATAATATTAATAATAAAATCTCACAAACCTGCTGAAGAAAGTATCGCATCCATGTGAATCCTACAAAAAGTGCCAAGTCTCAATGGGAGGAAAACATTGCAAACTCTGGGGAACTCCACTGGACATCTGATGTGCAAGTTTTTTACCCTCAAAGACAAGAACTTGGAATCACGTTCCACCTCCTCAGCAAACATGCTGAAGTGAAGCTTATCACAGCACAAGGAACTAGCCAAAGCTTGCCTAAATTTAGGGACATTTCTTTCCTTTGGATTGCACTGATGTTGCCTGGATCAGCAATGAACTCTGGAAACCCTCACAGAAGAGTGACACTCTTTATTCATTTTCATTGATTTTCCAATTTCGGTTAAATTGAGTTGATCTTTTTTGGGGGGCTGTTGATGTTTTGTGACTAGAAATGCTTAATTCAACTTCCATAATTACATACTTATTACAACTTAATGAAAGCCCAAATGAAAAGATCATGAGCTGGAAACACATTTGTCCCCTAAAATAAACTTTAAAAATGGGATAATTTACTACATTATCACTTTGATTTATAAATAGAGACTTATAAAATATTTTCTCTCAGAACAAAGAGAAGCTGAAACGGAGAAATCACCATGCTTCATCTTTTTCTTGTGAAAGGATCTTGTGAGAAGCTTTGGGAGCATTAAGGACTATAGAAAAGCTGGCATGTGTGTGTGCACCTGCACACACGTGTCAAGTGGGGAATAGAGAGCCTTGGGAAGTCATCACTGGCCTCCAAAAGAAGAAAATATGTCAGTCATAAAAATAGGGAGCATTGGCCGGGCGCAGTGGCTCATCCCTGTAATCCCAGCACACTGGGAGGCCGAGGTGGGCAGATCACCTAAGGTCAGGAGTTTGGGACAAGCCTGACCAATATAGTGAAACCCCATCTCTACTAAAAATATAAAAATTAGCCAGGTGTGGTGGCAGGCGCCTGTATTCCCAGCTACTCAGGAGGCTGAGACAGGAGAATTGCTTCAACCTGGGAAGTGGAGGTTGCAGTGAGCTGAGATCGTGCCACTGCACTCCAACCTGGGTGACAGAGCAAGACTCTGTCTCATAAAATAAAATAAAAAAAATAAAAAAATAAAAAAATAGGGAGGGTTGGAAAGAGAATGGGAGATGAAATGAATATAATGGACTCATTACTTTTTCTACTTCCCTATTCTTTAACTAGAAACGATTACATTTTCCAAAGGACAATCAGAGTTTCAATGCAAATTTCTCTGTCTCTCCCTTTCAATAATTACCTATTTCTAGCTTCTGTTTCTCACAGCTTATGTAAGATCTTAGTTTTATTTCCAACTCTTTTTCCTTTTTTTCCCTCTATGCCAACAAACATATAATTAGGATTTTTAGAAGTACTTCAACCATGCTAGGCAGTAGAAATATAAACATGCATATGACCACAGTCTCTGTTGTCAGGAAACATACAGTCTAGGCCATTGTTGCCCAGTAGAACCTTCTGGGGTGATGGAAGTGTTCTAGGTCTGCACTGTCCGGTACAATAGCCACCAACCACATATGACTGCTGAGCACTTGAGATGTGTCTGTGACTGTGAAGCTGATTTTTACATCTTGATTTCAATTAATATACTTTAAAATTGCAATAACCCCATGTGACTAGTGGTTACTCTACTGGACAATTCAGGTCTAGACCAAGAGAAAGAGAATCTTCTTCAGAGACAAATGACAACCTAATTAGCACATGCCAACTGCTATATGATGGCTACAGGCAAGAGTAGTCAGAGATGGGAGGAAGAACAAGACTGTGGAAGAATCAGGTGGATGAGGACAGCTTCTTAGAAGGGGTTGATGTAATCCAGAATCTCTTGAGAAACTATAGCACATAAGAGAGGAGAAAGCAGAGGAAACAACACTCCGAACCATGGATTTATTTCATCAAAAACACTGAGGGGGAAATGCACAGAGCCCCCGAGGGAAGCCCAGCAGTTACGTGGAGCTGATGGTTCTTACAGAAGGTCAAGGACAACTCCAAGGCCCCACGCCTGTGGGATGATGTCAGGAGCAGGGAATTCCAGAATGGTAGCAGGTTTAGGGTGGATGGAGAGTGAAGGATGGGTAGGAATCCACGAGTTGGTTTAAGGATGCTGTGTTTGGAGGTCCGCGAGGGTCTTCTACTTAAAGTAGCTTATGGTAAGCTACACGGTGGACCTCAAACTCAGGAAAGGGCAGGACCAGAGGGGCCCATGCACGTGGAAACGTAATCGAGGTGGGAGCACATGTCCCATCTAAAGGGGACAGCAGACCCTGGATCCACTGGAGCATCACACCTCACACCACCGATAGTGCACATGTGGAAAGTGGACCTGATGTCTCCAGGATTTCTGATGTCCAGAAAAACTGGAAATTGGCATTTTTAAAACAGAAACGTGAAATCTAAATATTTTGATATGACAACTAATTCTAAAAGCTGTAAAACACTGCAGGCAAAACGAAAGAGCAGGCATGTGGACTGACTGGGCCAGGGGTCACCTGTTTGTGACATGTGACCCAGGAGACGGGGGAGATTTCACGGAGAAAGCCTAAAGGGATGAGAACAGAGATGGAGGAAGAGAGGGGTTCAAGGGGGAATGCAGGATGCCTGCAGCAAAGGGTTGGAGAAAGGAGTCATGGGCATTTGACTCTGCAACAAGGACAGCCTGTGTGATCTTGGATGAAGCCACCTCTCCTCCCTTCCCCTCCTTCCCTTGTCCTTCCCTCTCCCTTCTAGCATTAAAGCAGGGGCCAGAGGCAGAGTCTAGAATCACCAGGGCCTAGAGAATAAGTGGCTGTTGAGGAAATAGGCATCAGGTTGAGTGAATACAAACAGTTCCAGGCGCTTTAGCCTTTTAGAGCACGTGTTTTCTTGGGTCACATAATATCCCATTTCCCTTTATAGATTTTCCCCACCAAAACATGGTAAACACCTCATTTCTGCCTTTACAGTATTAAAAAAAACCACTGACTGGAGCCCCACATCATCCCTTGCATGAAAGCCACATTCTATTCTCGTGAAAAAGAAAGTGTATTCTTTTCAGCTCACCTCTCGGTCCAGCAGCGCAGGTGACACAACAGTGACAATGTCTCCTTTCTCAGGATCGATGTAGAACATGTTGGGAGATGGCTTGTCAGGCGTCTGCTGACGGATATTATACCGCAGGAGGGCATTATCGGTGGCTGGGTCATCTGCATCAAAGGCTGTCATCCGCATCACTGTGGTGCCTACCGGGGCAAGACAGAAAGGCACGGAATGGTTATCAATGGGTCAACAACGGCCAGAGCCCCTTCCCCACCTGGGCAATAGCAGTGCAGCAGTGTGCCCATCACTTTCCAAATTAAAAAAGAAAAGTATTTCCCAAGCTTTGCTATGTTTCAGCTTTTCTTCCTCCTTTCCCTCTCTGTTTCATTCCATGAAAAGACCTGAAATAAAGAAGAAAACATCTTTGCTGTTCAGCAGAGTGACTGCTTAATTTTTCCCTCTGGTGATACACTGTTTATTTTCAGGGGCTTTCATTCCACTGTGGATGTGGCTTTGTGACAGGGACATTCATTTTTTTAGACAGAGTCTCGCTCTGTCACCCAAGCCGGAGTGCAGCGGCGTGATCTTGGCTTACTGCAACCTCCGCCTCCCAGGTTCAAGTGATTCTCCTGCCTCAGCCTCCTAAGTAGCTGGGATTACAGTTGTGTGTCATCACGCCCAGTTAATATTTGTATTTTTGGTATAAATGGGGTTTAACCATTTTAGCCAGGCTTGTCTTGAACTCCTGACCTCAGCTGATCCACCTGCCTCGGCCTCCAAGGGTGCTGGGATTACAAGATTCCATCTAGCCATGGCCTTCATTTTTAAAGCTCTGATTCAATGCCAACTCCATGTGCCTGGGCTGCGTGTTGGGGAAACAGGAGTACAAAGAGGCATGCTCCTGGGTGTGCAGGAGCTCAGAAATCAGTAGAAGAGATAAATATATAACAAACAATAAGACTTATCAGGCACACTGAGAGAGGGCATTATGAATACAGAGATGAACAACCTTATCTAGTCTGGGGTTTGCACAAAGGTGTCTGATGAGGACCCGTAAGAAGAGAGTAGGCAGGAACAAGTCAAAGGGACCTCAGAGCAAAAAGGCATTCCAGTTAAAGGGAATGAGAGCAAACACTAATGTGTACCTACTATGTAGCAGCCGTGTTATTTTAGGGACTTCCAATATAAAATGAGGGTAACATGGTTGGGTTCACTCACAAACAAGCAAGAGTCATACAAATAGGACCTGATTCTATAACAAGCATGTGGAGTGTTGGATTATGTCAATGATTGATAAGGGTGTCAGATAATGGGTCTCCCTCCCATGCAGCTGATATAAAGGGAAACTGGTATATCCATTGTCAAGGACCATTGGGCAGCAAAGAGTAAAAACAATGCCTTCGCCTCCTTGGCATCTACTTTCAGAAACAACTGCACGTGTCCGCAAGGGATCTGTGCAAATAAATTTCTAGCTGAATTATCTGTCAAGGTGAAAAATTTGGAAACAGCCTAGCTGTTCATCAACAGGGGAATTGCCAAAATGATAGTATTCTCACACTGAGATATTTTGCAGCAGCTTAAAAAGACTGTAGATCTAATGGGTTCTAATGTGGGAAACTCTTCAAGATATATTAATTAGTAAAAATGTTAGGTTGAGGAATGTTTGGGGTTCAGCACCAGAAGAGAACATTCCTGGCCCATGCAGCCCCCTTGCCTTTGGATGGCAGCAGGAACAACATGGTTCTGTTTCCCATTGACCTTGTCATGGAATCAGCGTTCTCAAACAGTGGTCTAGGTAGCAACTTGAAGTATACAGAAACTGATGTGAAATGTGGCACGTTTTAACTTTCCTTACCCACAGGGGGATAGTGATACCATTTTTGTGAACATGCTTACACACAGAACATGCCACAATACTTTATTCACATGTTTTACAGGTACAGTTTATAAGTGCATAGAACAACTCTATAAGGAGAACTTCTCCCTGGTAATGGTGGTTAAATCTGGAGAAGAAGAGAGGGGATTGGGATTTGGCATGGTCATCGGGAAAGATGTTGGCCTCATCTATAACATTTTGTTTATTTTTACAAGGTGAATGTATTGCTTTGGCAATTAAAATTTAATTTACAAAGAGCATAATTATAAGCACCAACAAAAACATGCCTGCTGGTTTTGATGATTGACAATAGCAATTGTATTGCTACCACATTTGGATTAGGGCATCCTGCCTAACCATAACTTTTTATCCCAATATAGTCTTCTACAAATATAAGGCCCATCTTCTGATTTTGAATCTGTCTGGACTCACAAAGTGTGACCTAACCGGAAGAGATCAAAGCCGCAGATGTCTATTCAACAAAGCAGCAGGAATAGTCATACAAAGAAAACACTGAAGCCTAAAGGAAAGATAGAATTCATCTGGTTTTACCACCACCCAGAATTCCTTTTCCTTCCATAGCAATGCTTCTCTAATCATCAAAGCCAGTTTTTTTTCCCCCACCACTGGAATCAGAGTATCAGTCATTAGGCCTGATTGATCAGATAAACAACGAAGATCTGGCCACCCTCAAGGTTGGATTGATTTGTTAGGCAGTCTCAGCTATTTTCACCAATGGTGCCATCCGGCCACATGCTTCAAGGTGCACTTCCTATCCACCTAGCTTCTTTGCCCTGTGAGATGGTCTCAGGGCAAGCTTCAAGGTTCAGCTTCAGAAAAGAACATTCTTGGCCCATGCAGCCCCCCTGTCTCTGGAAGACAGCAGGAACAGCATGACTCTGTCTCCCATTGACATGCTACAGAATTAGTGTTATCCAACAGTGGTCTAGGCAGCCACTCACAGTCTATGGAAACTGATGTGAAATGTGACACATATTAAACTTCCTGATCTAGGCAAACTTAAGGATATCCCCATCAGAAATCAGAGGCAGATTTCAGGCCTGCGATCTTACCCAGGGACATGCTAAAGGGAGCTCCATGTGGCCAAAGACATAGGAGGAGGCCTTAACCCCATCAATTCCACACCAGTCTCCAGTTAAGTACACTTGACCCAGGGCCTTGCACTTAGTTAATGTCTAATGAATGCTCGATTGATTGGATTTGTGCCCTATTTAATCTGCCTTTAATTGAAGTCATGGAAGGTATAAAAATGAAGTCATCATGGCTTGCAACTGACATATGCATTAAAATGATTAGAGGAAGAAAAAAAAAAAAAAGACCTTTCAGGTTGATGAGTCTTTAGTTTTCATCAGGAAATTCACTGAGGATATCTTTTTGTTTACAGGTTGGATAACATGATGTAACACAAAATTATCCTGGAATATTCCCAAGCATACACAGAAAATGGTTTTTATTTTAATGGATTGTTAGGGAACAGGTGAACTCGGTCTTAAGCCCCGTGTTTGTCTTCACCCAGACACGAATGCATCACTGGATTTACTCTGGAGGAAATCGCGCCTCTGAGGGAACCGCATTGTGCCTGAGTTATGTAAATAGGTTTGCAGCATTGAAGACAACGACTCTGAGGTGACGTATCTGGGTTCAAGTCTTTTCAAGCTGCGTGACCGTGGCCACATTATTCATCTCTCTCTGAGCCTCGGTTTCCCTGTTTTCAACATTCCCCTTTGGTTGTTGTGAGGATTTCATGGGATGACCTATTTTCAGAACTTGGTACAGTGCCTAGTACATTAGTGTTCAGAGAGGAAGCCTTGCATTATCCAACTCTGTCCTGGGTTCTGAGCCAATTATGGCAGTGCAGGCAAAGGCCTCAGATACAGGAGACTAGGATTAAGTTGTCCAAAGAATGTGGGACAAAGGGTCGCAGGACAGCCCTCTCTCTCACCGGGTCCCTTCTCCCACCCTGCCCATGGTCTTAGTGTGCAGATCTGGGTTTCTACTGTGGATATCACAACAACACACACACACGTGCACACACACATTCTGTAGTCTACACCATGTCTCCACGTGGTCCTCTAGTCGGCCTCTAAGACCAGGCTTTACTTTGAACCCCAACCTATCTGCTGAGTGCAATGCTTGGCTCTTGCCAGTACCTTCCCCTGGAGGCTGGATCATGGTTTCCTTACTTCTGTGTTCTGCAAAGGCTGGATAAACCTCCTAAACCAGCATTCTCTAAATTGGTTCCGAGGAACTCTGGCTCCATAGATTCAGTCGAGAAACAGATTTGGGAAATACGTGGCAAACACCGCAAAGCAAGGTTTCCCCAGAGGACTCTTCAGTGCCTCTATTAAGCACGCTTACAGCATCAATCTCCAAGAGAGGGTGTCTCTCTGCAGCACTCACCAAACTTTGCTGTTGATGGAACCTCTTTATTTCAGAACTGTCTATCTTTTTGTGATGGGCCACATGGTCCTAGATGTGAGCTCTTGGAGGGTATAGACTGTTGTGTTCATTTTGTAAGCCCAGTGTCTGACACGCGGTAGGTCCTCATCAGTGTTCTTTGGGTTGAATTGGCTTCTTGCCATTCACTGTAGTGTTGCCTCATTCCACACTGACCAGAGCCACCAGTACCTTGTCTTCCAAGAAGAATGAACAACTGAGCAACGTGCCTGGAGATTTTCCACGACTGCCTCTGAGCTCCCTGTTCAATGCGCCTTGGAGGTCCTTGCTGGAATGGGATTCCTGGGTCACATACCAATGCTATGCCCAGGGCTGACATGCAGCAGGTGGGCCTCAGTGCACCTGCTCCAATTGCCTGTGGGTGATGCCTGTGCCTCTCCTCTTATGCAGTCCCACACACTGGACTCCATGTCCACCACTTTGTTTTCACCAGCTCATGCAGCTTCCTATCCGGGCTTGTCTTGTGTTTCCAGACAGCAGAGAAAGGGTAATTATATGACAGACACGCATTGGGGCTTCCACACAGTACATTTCTGTCTTTTCCCCCGTCACAATACTCTCCTGAGTGACAAAATAAATTATAATCACCCTGTCACTCCCTGAGCCAGATGAACTAGCAGCAGCTCCTCCAAAGGGGGAAGAAAACATCCCAGGTTCCTGGTTGAAAGTCTCAAGTTGGGCCGTCATTTTCTTTTGCCGAAGGACACGGCCGCCAGCCTGACAGGCTGATTAACAAGTGTGATCGCTTCCTTGTGGCCAGGTAGCCCCTTCCTCCTGACTGCAGCTCTCTCATTAAAGCAAGTGCCGCCTGGTTTCTTGACCTTGAAAGCCAGCTTTGAAGTTTTGCTTTCCTGTGACTTCAAGCACGGCCAACCCCTTGAGAAAGGAGAGCGCAGATCTGAGAGTGACGGGGGGTTTTCAGCTGGCCATGAGGATGGGGATGCTCCAAAAGACAGTGACAAAATTATGCTGTTCTTAACATTTCTTTGACTCCATCCCTAAACATTTCCTTTGCCTGATCAAAAAGTGTCAGGCTCATTTTTTACAAAATGCTATTCCTATAAGCGAATCACGTATTGAGACATAGACATTCAGATCTATATTCAGCACTGGATTTCTGATAGCACAGTTAGGGCAACAGTGTGCTTTCCAGGGAGAAGTGTGATGTTAAAGCAAACATGAGCAGAGATGGCAGATGTCACCAGGTGAACCTCTTTGATGTGACAAAATGGCACATCGTTGTCAAGCATCAAACTCACCAGAGGAGGCAGTGAGTTCTAATTCCAATCAAACCATGCTTTCTGTGACCGAATGATCTAATAGTGGTGCTTCAAAAGGAGAATGTGGTCATGGATCCTGTAGTGCACAACGTTACTTGTGTGTTTGCCCCTGTGTCAGAAGACAAGCCTTAGACCAGCAGCAGCTTAGGGTGCTTAGCCAGGTGAGACAGATGTAGAAGCTGCTATTTTAAATTCTAGCATTTTGGGGAATATCTAGTTGGAACGATTCTCATTGGAAACTAAATTTCCATTGAAGATTCTTTAGTTTGAATGGGTTTGGGGCCTCCTGGTTCCAAATGAGAACCAGATAGTTCTCCCAGGACTGAGGGGATTCCAGGACACTCCTGGGCAAACCAGAATGAGGTGGTCACCCTGCAGGCCAAGTTTTGCTTTCAGGTGTAGACACGTCTCTTCGTCATGAGCAGCAGACTGCCAATGTGAGAATTGTTGCAAATGTGACTGTAGTGCCTGGGACACAGCCTACAGCCATTCACTCAACTGGCCACCCCAAACACACCAATCTAAAATTGTTTCCTGACCAAGCAGGTGGACATGAGCCAGTTCTCTCCTAACCGTCCTCAGTAACAAAGAAAGAGACCCTGGTGTGCAAAACCAAAGCAGAATCAAGCCAGTGGCCCGGCTGAGGACCTGGGCTATCTATTTTTAAAACCTGGCCTCACCTGCTGGGCTTCTCTGGGCAGTTAAGCCCCAAATTTTATTGTTGTTGTTTGAGACAGGGTCTCCCTCTGTCACCTAGGTTGGAGCGCAGTGGTATGATCACAGCTCACTGCAGCCTTGACCTCCCAGGCTCAAGTGATCCTCCCACCTCAGCCTCCCAATTAGCTGGGACTATAGGTGCGCACCACTATGCCTGGCTAATTTTTGTAGAGATGGGGTTTTGTCATGTTGCCTGGGCTGGTCTTGAACCCCTGGAGTCAAGCGATCTGCCCACGTTGTCCTCCCAAAGTGCTGGGATTACAGATGTGAGCCATCACGCCCCACCTCAACTTTTCATTGACAAAATGGCTCTTCTCTCATGGGTTGTTGGAGGCATTGAGTGAATCAATGCTCTCTGAGCCTCTTGTGTTTCCATTAACACCTTCCCCCAAGAATATTTTCAGACATTTATTCGACTTGACACCCTCTCACTCCATCACAAAACGTTAATTCTATAGAATACCGTGTATCTATTTATGTGCTATGGCCCCTTGCAGGGCACAAGCCATTGTAATATCTAATACATCTGATGTGATAAACCCCTCTCTCCTAATGACCAACTTTCTCTTGCTTAGAAGTAATATTACCCCCTTTGAGAATGCACAAATTAATCTATATAAAGTCCAATGCCAGGATGATGGTAAGTAATGGAGAAATGTAAGTTTTTTTTTGGAGACGGAGTCTCACTCAGTCCACCAGGCTGGAGTGCAGTGGTGCAATCTTGGCTCACTGCAAGCTCCGCCTCCCGGGTTCATGCCATTCTCCTGCCTCAGCCTCCTGAGTAGCTGGGACTACAGGTGTCTGCCACTACGCCCGGCTAATTTTTTTGTATTTTTAGTAGAGATGGGGTTTCACCATGTTAGCCAGGATGGTCTCGATCTCCTGAACTCGTGATCTGCCCGTCAAAGTGCTGGGATTACAGGTGTGAACCACCGCGCCCAGCTGAGAAATGTAAGTTTGTTATTTTCATTGACTCTCACAATTTAGAACTCAGTTCTGTGAGGACCCACTGCTGAGTGCAATCATGACGAGGGAAATAGCTTGTGGGACCCAACCACTTAGGGTTTAAGACACACTGCTTCTAGGACTCACTCTCAGGATCTACAGAAACAGGAGTTACTTAAAATCTTGTTAGGAAACAATTCCTTTCTTCCCTTAGACAAGCCTAGATACTTCTGTTGAGTGCACATATGCATGCATCCGCTTCCTCTGGTCTTGTGGACATTCTTGAGTAGACAGCAATTGATAGGGAAACTGTCGAATGACTAGTTGATGAAAGATAACCAACCAACCTGATAGGGATCCAGAGGCAGCCCACGTTTGGCAGGGCATGTGTTCCTGGAAAGCTACCCATGTGATGAATTGTAAATAATGTCTCATTTTCCCACTGGCTTACATTTGGACTGGCTTTATTTTCATTTGAGGGGATGTCCAATTGGAGGCCACTGCTCATCATTCAGCTTTTTCTTTTTTTCTTTTTTTTTTTTTTTTTCTCATCTTCAAAAGACTCTACTGGCCAGCCAGGTGGGAGGTTGGTTCTCAGTTCTGGGTGTGAAGACTGTTAAAGAAATCCCTGCCCCTGTACTCTGAGGGTAGGAGGATGGAACTGCAGAGTGGCAGAGAAAAGAGGTGATTCCAGCCCAATTTTGGGGAAAAGAGAAGAAGGAAGCAGGCTTAGGCCTAAGGCAAGGTCTGGGAGATTTGGCTTTGTAACCCTTGCTCCTTTGGCGGCCCTTCCCTGGGTTGCCCAGTTATCCAGGGGTTGTTATTCACCAGCACAAGGACCCCTCCCACATTTTCATATGGTGGTCCAGCTGTGCATTTGATCCAGAAAGTGCTTGATAATGTGAGTTTTGATGAAGATGCTAATGACCTTTGGTCAGTCCTCTAACAGGAGCCTAGTTCCACTGGCCTCAAAGGTGGGACTCTCTGTGGTCAGACTGGGAGCTGGGCCAGGAGTGAGAAGCTCACCTACTCACCCAGTGCCCATACAGGTAGCTTCACATGAGTAAAGCGCTCTCAAGGCAACCGGGAGAGGTGGGGTTGGTGGCAAACTGGAGCGTGTGCCTCCTGCCTCAGGCGGCAGCTGCCTTTTAGCTCAAAGGAATTACTGCATGTCTGAAATACAAGTCTGGACTAGCCAGATCTTTTGATGTTTTTTTTTTTTTTGAGACGGAGTCTTGCTCTGTTGCCCAGGCTGGAGTGCAGTGGCGTGATCTCGGCTCACTGCAAGCTCCGCCTCTTGGGTTCATGCCATTCTTCTGCCTCAAGCAGCTGGGACCACCAAGCCTGGCTAATTTTTTATATTTTTAGTAGAGATGAGGTTTCACCATGTTAGTCAGGATGGTCTCGATCTCCTGACCTCGTGATCCACCCGACTCGGCCTCCCAAAGTGCTGGGATTACAGGTATGAGCCACCGCGTCCAGCCATCTTTTGATTTTTTAAGAAAAGGTGGGAATTTGGATTTTTAGACACTAGTTCAAATTTAAAAAATAAAAGATCACTCAGTGGGACTAGAAGGCCAAACAAAAGAGGTTATGGCAAGCTTCGGTCTGAGGCCCACCAGCTTTTGACCTTGTCTGTTGGTAGAGCCATTCTTTCCCCCAAAGGCACGAATTAGATGTTGTTGATGAGTACTCCAGATTACAACTTTAAAAAGTGGTACATCCATGGGAAACATTTTGCCCTTCCTCCTCCCACCTCCCTGTTTGGAACAGAAAAATTCATCATCTGTCCGAGAATGATCTGGCTCAGAGAGATCTCACCCTGTGGGAGAGCAGCACTGACTAAACGGGCACGAGATATATATACTCCTGATACAGGTTTGAGGTGAGGAAGTGCCATCCCATAGGAACACAACTGTGCTCTTTAAAATGAGAATGCCTTAAATTTTGGGACAGTTGCTGACTTCATTTAAAAACAGTCCTAAGTGTCTCCATGCAGCTGAAATTACCACAGGCTTGAATTGAAATGCAACAGGCTTCGCTTCTCCTCTCCACTTTGCTTTGCCTCCCTGGAGCTAGTTGGTTTTTTAAGTACAAATTGACAGCCAAATATGTAATAAGTTATGACAAGTTGAGCAATGACTGTCTCCATCTGTTTTCAAAGGTTGTTTATTTTTATACTGATAAAGAGATGATGGCAACAGGACCACCTTGTGATTATTTCAGGTTTTCATTCGCTGCAGTTCAGCCTCCAGTGTCTGCCCTTCTTTCTGGTAAGCTATTCTTTAATGAAGCTGAAGAACTGTTTATGACATATTAGGTGACACATGGCCAAAACTGGGGTCCCCCATCATGATTCATTTTACTGTCCTAATTTCTTCCTTTTATCCAGACTTCGACAGTAAGATTTTTCTTACACCCCTTAAAAATTCCACTTAATCTTTTTATCTACCATTCCCATGAAGTTCTTTTTGAAAGACATAGGATACTCTATGCTGAATTAAATGATGTTGCCTGAAAACACTTCAAAAAATCAATTTTAAGTGGAAACTTTAATATTCCAAACTAATAATAAAAATACTCTTTATATTGAATTAGCCTGAAGTAATTGTAACTCTCCAATATATTTTTCCATAAACTCTTAAAAACAACAAAAGGACACGGTGTGGTTTTTTTTGTTTGTTTAACCAATTTAAGAGTTTTTTTTGAGACAGTCTCGCTTTGTCACTGGAGTGCAGGCTGGAGTGCAGTGGCGTAATCTGGGCTCACAGCAACCTCTGTCCCCCAGGTTCAAGTGATTCTCATGCCTCAGCCTTCCAAGTAGCTTGGATTGCAGGCATGCGCCACCACGCCTTGCTAATTTTTGTATTTTTAGTAGAGATATGGTTTTACCATGTTGGCCAGGCTGGTCTCAAACTCCCGACCTCGAGTGATCTGCCCACCTTGGCCTCTCAAAGTGCTGGGATTACAGGTGTGAGCCACTGCGCCCAGCCAATTTAAGAGATTTTTAAATGGCAAGCCTAGTCCTTTTTACAGCAGTGGTTTTCAATGAGGGGTATTTTAGCCCCTCTAGGGAACATTTGGCAATGCCTGGGGATACTTTTGGTTGTTACAACTGGGGCAGGAGATGTGATATTGGCATCTAGTGGGTAGAGATCAAGGATGCTGCTCTATATCTGACAAATATGAAAATGTTCAAAGGCACCAGAATAATGCTTTGCATGTATTAAGAGTCTAGTAAACATTTGCCAAATGCACAAGTGAATAAATACATGAATAAGTGAATAAATAAAAGATGAGTTTTTATCATTTTTCTTCGTTTACAGCTTAAGGTAATATAAAGCTGGAGTAGGAAGCAGGTAAATAATTGATACTTAACTGACACTAAATATTAATGAACTCCTGGGTTAATTCTGAACAATGGGCTTATTGTCGCTATCATTTATATCTATTTAAGGGCAAAGGCGCAGCAATTTGCTCTTTAAAAACACAGACCATAGGCCAGGCATGGTGGCTCATGCCTGTAATCCCATCACTTTGGGAGGCCGAGGTGGGTGGATCACCCGAGGTCAGGAGTCCAAGACCAACCTGGCCAACATGGTGAAACCCTTTCTCTACTAAAAATGCAAACAAATTTAGCCAAACGTGGTGGCATGTCCCTGTAATCCTAGTTACTGGGGAGGCTGAGGTGTGAGAACTGCTTGAACACGAGAGGCGAAGGCTGCAGGGAGCCGAGATCACACCACTGCACTCCAGCCTGGGTGACAGAGAGAGACCCTGTCTCAAAAACAGTAACAACAACAACAAAAACCACATAGACTATATTAGGCTAGGCTAGAATGAGATAACAGTCCAACCCTATCATTTCAGTGGCTTAGCACATAAAGTTAATTTCTCACTCAAATTCAGTCCACTTTGGGGGTTCACTTCAAGGGGCAGATCCTCTCTCCAAGTGGCAGCTTAGGGATCCAGACCCTTGCATCTTATAGCCAGGCCACCTTGAACATGCAGCTTCCTGACTGCTGCAGGAGCGGCAGAGAGTTGCAAACTCACATGCTGACTCATTGAACGCTTCAGTCAGAAACGACACACAGCACTCTTGCCTGCACTTCAGCGGCCAGACCTGGTGTCTAAGGCAAGCTCAAGAGCAGGTGGACTTCATGAACGTGTGACCTGCACAGTTGCACAGAACCCCTTGCTCAGACAGTCCCTGTGCTGGGTTTAGTGCTCTGTTGTCACCCTCTTGACATTCTTAATTGTTGTTGAACAAGGGACCCTGAGTTTTCATTTTACAATGGGCTCTGCAAATCACGCAGCCAGTCGTGGTCAAGAGCCAGGAGCCAGATGGCGGAAGGCCTGGGAAACACAGGGGGTCACCTGGACACTCAGTGTCTCGGCCTCAGTGCCTATACTCAGCTGCGCAGGCAACAATGCACATGCCTTCCTTTTCATCATTATGGCCCCAGAACTGCACCGGCTCACTGAACACTTGGCTCCTCCAGCGGTTGTTTCCCTATGGGGTGAGAAGCAAGATGTACCTGGGCAGAAGTCAAACAGTCACTGCTCTAGGCTTGGACCTTCTCTGGGAGTGCCTTCTCCAGCCCTAAGCTCTGGGTTCCCTGTTCTGGGAGATCTGTGCTGGCTTCACAGTTTATTCCTCGGGCTCCCAGCTCTTGACCTTGCTTTGGACACCAGAGAACTGCTATTTCCTTGGCTTCTGCTTTAATTTGCTGAATTCTAAGCTACATCCTCCTTTTTAATGAAATACTTCTGCTAAATTTCCCCCACCCTCTTGTTTTTTCTGGTGGGACCCACCAGATGTGGGCCGTACATGAGAATGAGGTTGAGCAAACATGGCCTGGGGGTATGCCTTGCAACCCTGGCTGCTCATTGAAGATATTTTAAAATTCTCTTGATGTCTGAGACTCTCCCCCAGAGATTTTTATTCTACTGGCCTGGTGTGGGGCCTTGAGAGTGGAATCCTTGGAATGATAGAAGCTGAACAGATGGAGACTCTGGCACCTTACTTACTGGCTACATGATCTGAGCAACATACACAACCTTACAGAGGCTCAATTTCCTTATCTGTAAAATGGGCTGACACCTATGACTGTGTAAAGTTGGCTTAAAGATGCAGGTAAAATATAGGGGGCACTGAGGAGGAGACCTTTGCAGTAATTCCATGGAGGAGGAGATACATGTGTGGACTGTGCACCAGAAATAGTTCTTCTAATAGCCCTGCCAGGGTAATTAGATCATCTCTATTTTAAAAGAAAGAGACTCAGGCTCAGGGAAGTCAAATAACCACTCCATCATCACTACTGGCAAGTGGCTGAGTATGGGCTCAGAGGGACACACAAAAGCATAATCCTGAATGAATACAAAAGTTGGTGCAGGAGTGATGGGGAGCTAACCTTTATGAGGGTTCGTACCATAGCAGATGACTCAGGGCATTGCAAGCATTTAATCATCCCACAAACCCTATGAGGCAGGTGTCATTAGCCCATTTTATGGAGAGGGAAGCTGAGGCCCAGGGAGGTAAAGCCGCTTGCCCATCACCTCAGTTATCTAGCTGGTAAGTGGCTGAGACGAGAGGCAAACCCAGGAAGTGTGGTTTATTCTCCCAACTTCCCTACTCAGCTCCACACAGCTCATGTCAGATATTTCACATTACATTTTGCAGGTAGGATAATTTTCCAGAATTCTCCCTACAGAGTGGCTATTGAGGACCTTGCCCTGCATTACAGCTTGTCTGGGGCATCTTTAGGCTAGGTCCAGAAGCCCGAGGGACATATAGGACCTATATCCTTGAGTTGTAGTGCAGGACAGATGATCGATGACTCCAGAACCACACCTGTTAGGTAAGTGACCTGGCTGAAGTTCCAGGTATGATCAACAAGGATCTCCAGGAGGTTTCAGGGTGCTGGTGACTACTGCAGTTACAAGATACAAATGAGCCAGGATAGTGAAATACCACACAATTCAGACTCCGTGTTCAACGGGAAGAAAGTGCTAGCAAATTGCTAGTAAAGCTGTAATGTTGCTGATTTTGCAAACATGTGTTCTCCAACTTGATAAGTAAATACATATTGGGTAACATGGTGATGTTGCAAGCTGTTGTTTCATGGCTGGGAAGTCGGCTGCCTGTGATTGATGCGAGCAATGAAAGTATGTATAAAATAACACTGAATTAGAAGGAGTTGCTTTATGAGTCTATGGAAATGGATCTTTTATGAAGAATAAAACTTGATGAAGGATCTCTATTAGGGTCACACAAAACTGAAATTAAATGCGCTGGGATTGAGATCTAAGAGGGGGCCTTCTGGACTGTCTGGGCTCACAGACTGGGGTAGCTTTTTCCAGGCCACCTGTGCCCCCATGGAACTGGAGAGTCATTTCCATTTGGCAGGATTCATTTCTCTCCACCGTGGATGTCAGAACTGACAGATGTATTACCTCTTCCAAGCCATCAGGCCACCACTCAAGGGATAACTTAGATCCATAAAACTTAACAATGCACATTTGATTCACCCTCGTATCCTCTGAATGAAACAGGGCCAGCCACACAGTAGGTGCTCAATAAATATTTAAGGAGCAAAAGGAGATTCGATCCAGTAGCTTCTGGCACACTCTGTATGAATAATCTGTTTCATTTTTGGTTTTAAATGCTCTTCCCCATGTGTTCATTTCTACCCTACAATAATACTGCTTTTCCAGATTGCAATGTTCTTCTCTTAGAAACAACCTGGCAGAAGAGAGACCAAAGGCACCTGCTCCCCACACCCCAAGGGCCAATGGACACAACTTAAGAGAGCTGCACTAGATGCTCCCTCGGATCTGGGGTTGTGAGTCCCGCCCCTGAGCGGCGGTGCCCTGACTCCACTGCCTCTGCTACAAGCCAGCTCCCGGGGCCGACCTCAGGGCTCCAGAGTCATCATGGCTCCTGCTCTCCCCAGTCTCATATCTCCAGCCTCTTGTTAGGGGAGAGATCTATTCATCAATTCCCCTTTGTTAAAGAAAGTCTGGGTTGGTTTTCATTTGTTGCAACCACAGGGCACCGTCTAACATAAATCCCCACTGGCCTCCCATCCAGACTCACAATACTCAGAGGGTTAGCAGCATGCCCACAGGAGACAGAGTCCCCAGTTTCAGTCCCAGCTCTGCCACTGAACAGCTGCTCCACTCTGGACAACAGTGAGCCTGAGGTATAACGGTACTAAGTGGGGACAGTAATGGTTTTCACCTGATGGGGTTGGTGCATGGATTAAGTGAGTGACTACATGTAACATTCAGCCCAGGACACTGTGTTCTCTGAGAATATTGTTGTTATCAAAAGACGGGAGAGGCATGGCCCAGAAGCACCACGTTTGATAAAGAAGCAGAAGAGAAGTCTTCAATGAAAGCAAGGTTAGTGTGAAATGATATTTTTTAAAACCAAAGTAACCTTAGGTTGTCTAAATAGAAGTAGATTTGTACAAGGGAGACAATCACCATTTTAACTCAATATTAAGCCTCAACAATATCCCAAGGTCTCCTCCATGTGCTCGATGAGACTCAAGAGGTAATTAAAATATGACTCTTCCTTGCAAGTTGCTGAGAGCCTGGCTAAGAAGCTGGGTATTTAGGCACTGCTCGGGTGAGCATATGGTGTAGTAGTGGTTTAGAGCCCAGGTTCCAAGATCAAATCCTGCCTACTTCAAACCCTGCCTTCAGTTTACTCACTGGGGAGGCTGGACACATGGGGCAGCCTCTCTGAGCTGCAAAAGTCGCTTCACAGTTACAAAGGCAGGCATAAAAGTGTGGTTAGAAAGGCCAGGCGAGGTGGCTCACGCCTGTAATCCCAGCACTTTGGGAGGCCGAGGCGGGTGGATCACGAGGTCAGAAGTTCAAGACCAGCCTGGCCAAGATGGTAAAACCCTATCTGTACTAAAAATACAAAAAATTAGCCGGGCGCTGTGGCAGCCACCTGTAGTCCTAGCTACTCAGGAGGCTGAGGAAGGAGAATCATTTGAACCCGGAGGGTGGAGGTTGCAGTGAGCTGAGATCATACCACTGCACTCCAGCCTGGGTGACAGAGTAAAACTACGTCTCAAAAAAAAAAAAAAAAAGGGTGGTTAGAAAAATAATGGTCCCAAACATTCCTATATCCTAATCCCCAACAACTGTGAATATCTTACCATGTTATCTTACAGGGTAAAAGAAACTTAGTCAATGTCATTAAAGATCTTGAGATGAGGGGCTTATCCTAGATTATCTGGGTGGGCCCAACAAGGTCCTTGTAAGAGAGAGACATGGGAGTCAGAGAAGGAGATGTGAACAGGGAAGCAGAAGTCAAAGAAAGATATCTGGAGACGCCACACTGCTGGCTTTGAAGACCAAGGAAGGCGTCAGGAGCCAAGGAGTGCAGGTGACCCGAGAAGCTGGAAAAATCAAGAAAGTGGATTCTCCCCTGGAGCCTCTGGAAGGAACCAGCCTTGCCTACACCTTGACTTTAACCCAATGAGACCGATTTTGGACTTCTGACCCAAGTGTAAAAAGATAAATTTGCACATTTTAAACCATAAATATGTAGCAATTCATCACAGCCACAAAAGGAAGCTCATACTAGCGGTGTCTATTTTATTGGGTATCTGTGGTGGGCAAATGAGAGGCAGAGGACGTGCAGCTCTGGGCTAGGCGTGTTATCTGCTGAGCCTGTGGTTGTGGTGGCTGCTATTATCATTTGGAGCAGCAGAAGGGGTAGAAGAATCAGATTCTCCCTCCTGCCAATGAGTAGGGTGGACATATTACACTCTTTCAGAGGTGGCAACTTTGAGGCAATGAATCATCCTTGAGCACTGCTGGAATGTTATGCTCTATTATAAGAGGAATCTAGGCTAAAATGAAGAATTTCAGAAAGGACAAAGCTAAAGGAAAAAACCAAGATCAAATTATAAGCTTCCACTATGGCCTATGCAAAGGGATGGCCAGGAGAGCTACCTTTTGATAGCCAAAGGGATGGTGCCATGAGCAAGAAGCAGCAGAGATTGGCTGGGTGTAGTGCTCACATCTGTAATCCCAGCAGTTTGGGAGACTGAGGCGGAAGGATTGTTTGAGCTCAGGAGTTCGAGACTAGCCTGGGCAACATGGTGAGACACCTTTCTCTAAAAAAAGCAAAAATCTAAAACAAACACACAGAAAAACACCAGCAGCAGAGGGTTCTGGAGGTGGGAAGTAGAGGGATAGGTGAATGTCAAAGCGAGAGTGTGCACACAGGTGTATGTGTGTGCAGGGGCTTTGATTCACTCCAACTAAGAGCCCAGGAGAGCTGCACAGATCTGAAGCAGGATATCTTGTACTGTAATAGTTGCCTGTTACAACAAGTATCACCCAGAGACTACGGCCAAGTAAAAGAAATTTATGAAAACTGCATAAACAAAGGTGACACTGTCTAAGGGTCTCTTAAAAGTCTCCCAGCCTGTAGGGGTTTGGAGAAACTGCAGCAGCCTCCTCAGTGTGTAATGCACACATTGTATTTTGCACTATCCAAGAATCTCATACATTTCAAATATGAGATGTGCTTTGATGGGTCAGTCCCATCCCCCACCGCAGGAAAGAAGAAATCATGCCTACGTGTTGCAAACAATGCATTTTATTCAACCCCAGTCTTTATGGGGGCCTATTTTGTGGCAGGCCCTGTGCTAGTGCTGTGGATGCCAGACTGAAAAGGCCTCATGTGGACCTTCCACTGGCCACATTTTGCTGGGAGACAGAGATGCTTACACACAGAATTTTCTTGCAGCATGAAGATGCAATAGACAAAAACCCATGATCAAGGTTGCCCTGAAAGCATCTGGTATCAGGAAATGTGGCTCACCGTGGATGTAAGGTGACTCTTGAATAGCTTTAGTTATTCCCCGCTGAGATATAGGGTGGGGCCAGCCTCAATATGTTTTTCCTGTATGAATGACTGTGGAAGGCCTGCTCGACCCCCGACCTATTTGATTAATACTTAGCACTGAAGCCTCTGAAATATTTTCTTCCTCAGGATAACTTGCCCGTTCACTGAGCACAAAGAAATATTAGGGCCTGAGAAACAGCAACACTGGCCATCTTCAAATTCTTCCTCCTGCTATAAGACTGGACACACTGAACATTTTTAAGAGTTGGGAACTTTCAGGCTCTATTTGCAAGTCAAGCTGAAAAAACACTGAGTTGAAAAGCCCTTAGCAGCTGCCACTTGAACTGCTATCTTCCACGGCCTTGAACTTTCTGCTTCTGCTGAATTCCACCTCCTGGAAACACATCTGGCCCAGCAAAACTAAAAAGTATTGCCATCTAAAAGTCTGACCTCAGCAGAGAAAAGATATACCAGGGAAAGCCGTAGAGTCCTGTGCACCTGTTCCTGCAGCCTATACAACTCGCTTTAGCAATGGTGGGCAATCAGAAACCCACGGGCAATGGAAGAAAGAATCAGCTGGCATCCAAAGGGAGATCAAAGTTTACACTGGGCTAATGCGTGCAGGGCTTAATGCCTAGGTGATGGGTTGATAGGTTCAGCAAACCACCATGGCACACGTTTACCTATGTAAGAAACCTGCACATTCTGCACACGTATCCCAGAACTTAAAATAAAATTTTAAAAACTTTACACAGGACGATGATTTATAGGCAGCTCAACTTCATCAAGAACAAAGAAGGGAAGGAGAGGCGGTGAAAAGAGACAGAAAGGGAGAGGCAGAGAGGCAGCAGTCTGAATGATTTGAGTTATTATCTAGGAAAGATTTGCCCTACGCCTCACACAAGTGTGGCTGGGTTTCTGTCTCCTCAGTTCTGTGTTCTGCTAATGCAAATGGCTCACCCTTCACTCACTAAATCTATTTCCTGGGGATGCTGTAACAAATACCACGAACTGGGTGGCTTAGGATTTCGGATATTTGGTCTCTCACAGTTCTGAAGGCTTCAGGTCAGAAGTCAAGGTGTGGGCGGGGCTGTGCTCCCTGGACACTCTAGGGGAGGTCTCTTCCTTACCATATGCAGCTTTGGTAGCTATCTACATTCTTTGGCTGGCGGCCACATCTCTCTCTGCCCTGCCTTCACCTTGCCTGTGCTTCTGTGCACCTGTGTTCTCTCCTGTTGCCTCTTTCTTCTAAGAACACCTGTGATGGCATTCAGGGCCCACCTGGATAATCCACAGTACTCTCATCCCCAGACCCTTCAATAAATCACAACTGCAAAGACTCTTCTTCCAAATCAGATCACATGGACAAGGTCCAAGGAATAGGACTTGATCTCATCATGCCAGTGATTTCAAGTTCACGGTGCCAAAAGGGCATGGAAGCAAGAGAGAAGACAGTTTGTGAGATGCTTCCTCAGCTGATACACCTGTGAACTGTGCTGACTGCCAGAGTGAAGAATGGAACCAGAGGAGAAAAAGAGGCAACTTTGCTTCTAACCTCATCCTACCTCACAGAAAGCCTCATGACAGAAAGCCTTGATTCACCCTGTCAAACGGACTGTTTATGCTGCCCAGGGTACTGTGCTGAGTACCAGTGTGCACATCGGACCCCAGGAAGACTCCATTATTGTCCTTGTTTGGTTAGTGGGAGAACAGAAGTGACTGGCTCAGGGTTACACAGCCGGTGTGTGGTGGGTTGGGTCCTGAGGACTCAGCATCTCTGCTTGGGGGCTGTGTTCTGCAGCCAGGAACGACACAGACAGCAGAGGGCAGAAGGAACAGCATTGGGTCCAAATATGAGAAGCACACAGGTGTCTCGTGCCCAAAGAAAGTTTCAGCGTCAGTTTCTTGAGAACCAACTCCGTGGAGGAAGACTCCTCTGCACGAAGCGGTTGCCAGTTCTGTTCTTGGGGTCAGCTAAAAACAGACACGTTTTCTAGGCTCAATTCACAAAGAGCTGTAAGGCGCCAGCTCCTAAATCTCAAGATGTCTGCACTCCAGGCATCTATGTTATCTTTTCAGAAACGCAGCAAAGTGGCTGGGGAAGATGAATGTGTGACATCCGCTCACACATAAGCTCTTTCATGGGCTTGCTGGATTTACAGGAAAAGAAATCTGTCACAGAGGAGACATGCTTTATATTTTTCTATAAAAACATGGACAAGACAAGTCTTTTCTTCATTTCTTTCCAATCTTTAAAGAAAGAAAAATGTGCACGGTGTATTTGTTTTCTCTTGGAACCACAAAACGTTTGAGCAGAGAGATGCGTTTGAGTTTACTGAGAGCCGGGGCTTGGTAAGAGTGTTTTTCTGGAATGTCAGCCATTATGGCTTATATTGCTTTCTTGTATCGAGAAGTAAATTTTATGGAGAAATTTTAGAACCCTCTACTCTGGCCCTTGGATTGTGGCTGGAGTCCTGGATCCAGCTGGTTCCTGTGGTTTTTAAGGAAAATACATAAAGCAGAGACTATCAGGAGGAGAGAAGTTAGTCGGCAGTCTAGATGGTGGGGTACTGCCATATAAAGACTGATTGTAGTAATTGGGCTTGGCTTGGCATGGAAGACTTAATCTTCTTTTTAGATTTAAAGGGAAGCAATGATACAAAGAAAGAAAGGAATTGGGCTAACATGATGTGAAGGTGTTCCTGTAGGGTAAATGCATCTGATAACAGTGACTTAAGCATACCCTTGGGATGACCCAGGATGGCAGATGCACCTGAATGTGTGTTCCAAACTAGGGAATCCAGGAGAGGTCGACCAGGAGATTTGTTCCTTGTCTATGATAAACATCTGAGCCCCCCACTCCGTTTCATTCCATGGGACATGAGCTGTACACATTGAGGCCCTGAGTTTTGGGTTGATGAAGGTTGCCAGGTGGAGGTCATTAGGGGGAGTGTGTTAAGGGAAAATGTTATATAAATTGCATGATGTTTGCAGTTTTCCTCCCCAGCCCACTGCCACTAGGCTGTGTGCTTATGTCATCTAGCCTGCTGACAGTGGATCATAGGAAGGTGAAATCTTATCCAGCCCTCTGTTGCTGGACTGTTTCTGTATATAAGGCGGTTCTAATGTCCAGCTTATTGCCGCTAGACTCTCTTGCCTGGATGTAAGCCCCTAATAAAACCCCATGCCTCCTTTGCTGGCTCTGGGTCTCTTCTTCAGCCTCTTGAACCTGGTGTCTTCCTTACTGAGGTTAATAGGGTTTGGCACAACAGTTCTAAAATGGGAGCGTGCTACCTTCCAACTTTTGAATGACTTCATGCTTAAACGGAAACAGCGTAACGTCACGTGGCTCCCAGCTAGGACGGGTGATGGGTCTTGGGGAAGAACAAGGCTACTGCAGGGGCTGCTTGACCATGGGGTTGCGGGGGGTGGTCCTGCCTCGAGAGACCACAAGCTCCTGTGGTTCAGCACATGTGTGTAGGTTGAATGACACCTGCTGTGAAAAGCAGAAGAGACTTCTCCTCCCTGTAGAGGAAGGAAAACATCAGATCGCCTCTGGGTGACTTTCAACTTGCAGTGTCTGTGATTCCAGCAGGGTAAAGAGAACACCACCAGTGATTTCAAGTTCACGGTGCCAAAATGGCATGGAAGTAAGAGAGAATAGAGTTTGTGAGATGCTTCCTCGGCTGATACACCTGTGAATTGTGCTGACTGCCAGAGTGAAGAATGAAACCAGAAGAGTAAAAGAGGCAACTTTGCTTCTAATCTCATCCTACCCCACAGAAAGCCTCACAAGGACATGCACAGACCATCAATTGTCTCTGAGCTGATGGGGAGGTCTGCTTTGAGTGTTCCATATAATTCCCCAACACTAGAACGACACAGGCATCAAGCATCTCCTATTTCCTTTACTGCTGAGCTGCTCTTATCAATTAAAAAGGCGGCTTCCATTGACTTGAATCTTTATTTTAGCCCTTGTGAAAATTTCCATCTTAATAAAACCGGCTGAGTGGCTTGTCTGTTACCCACTCTCCTGGAAAGGGTTGGTGTTACATCTATGTCCATGGGGACAGAGTGCTTCAAAAGAGCTATTCCAACTCCAAACTCAGATGCAAATCATGTTTATCAAAGCCTCCTGCCCTAGGCGTTGCTATAGATTTTATCTCAGGGACCCTCTTGTAATTCTAGAAGCTCACTCAGTTATGTTGCTTCTGTCGCCTTTGTAGCTGTCTAGCCCATTCGCTCCTCACACCTTAACACTTCTGGCTTTCTCTAACAGGCTGTCAGCTCCTGTTATCCCATCTTTATTTTTACTCTTGCAACTTATCACCATCTGAAACATTACAAATTCATTTGTTTAGCTCGTTGATTAATGAATCCCCGCAACCCTCTTTGCCAAATGTGATGGGGGGACTTTGTCTGCCGCCTTCTGTCACCACCCAAATGCTTGTGGAAAAAATGAATGAATACTACTCAGGCTGTATCCAATTCAATGGTTCTGAAATGAGAAACTGTGTCATTCCCAGACTTGATATCCTGCAATGGCCCTTGCTAGATACAGTAAAAAATCTAGTGGCTCATGCCTGTAATCTCAGTACTTTGGGAGGCCGAGGCAGGGAGATCACTTGAGGTCAGGCGTTCAAGACCCACCTGGGCAACTTGGTGAAACCCCATCAAAAATACATTATCACTTTCTGTACTAGGTTGACTAGGGTCCTCCCCAAATTCACGTCTACCCAGAATCTCAGAATGTGTCTTTTCGGATGTAATTAGTTAAAATGAGGTTATGGTGGATTAGGGCAGGCATTCCGTCCAGCCTTGGGGTATCCTTGTAATAAGAGGAGGGCCAGGTGTGGTGGCTCATGTCTGTAATCCCAGCATGTTGGGAGCTCAAGGCGGGTGGATCACCTGAGGTCAGGAGTTCAAGACCAGCCTGGCCAATGTGGTGAAATCCCATCTCTACTAAAACTACAAAATTTATTTATTTATTTGAGACTGAGTTTCACTCTCGTTGCCCAGGCTGGAGTGCAATGGCACGATCTTGGCTCACTGCAACCTCCACCTCCTCGGTTCAAGCGATTCTCCTGCTTCAGCCTCCTTAGTAGCTGGGATTACAGGGATGTGCCATCACGCCCGGCTCATTTTGTATTTTTAGTAAAGACAGGGTTTCACCATGTTGGCCAGGCTGGTCTTGAACTCCTGACTTCACATGATCCACCCACCTTGGCCTCCCAAAGTGCTGGGATTACAGGCGTGAGCCACCATGCCCAGCAAAATTTAGCCGGACATAGTGGTGTGTGCCTGTAATCCCAGATACTCAAGAGACTGCCTGAACCAGGACGGTAGAGGTTGCAGTGAGCTGAGATCACACCACTGCACTCCAGCCTAGATAACAAGGCAAGACTCTGTCTCAAAACAAAACAAAACAAAACAATAAAATCCCCCTAGAACATAGCATAAAGGAGCTTCCGAATCTGGCTGATGTTTCTTTCTCACCCTCTCCCACTCCAGACGACCCCCTTCTCCTGCTACAAAAGTGGTGGTCCTTAGTGCTGTCAACTGATACTTCTAGTTCTCCTTCTGGCCACACAGAAGGACTGCACTGTCTTCCCCTGTTGGATTTACGAGTGGCCCTGTGACTTACCTGGCCTATGAAACAGAATCCGAAGTGCTCCAAGCCACTTTCTTTGCTTTTTTTGGAGACAGAGTCTCACTCAGTTACCTAGGCCGGAATGCAGAGATGTGATCATAGCTCACTGCAGCCCTGACCTCCTGGGCTCAAGTGGTCCTCCCACCTCAGCCCCTCCCAAGTTTCTAGGACCACAGGTGTGCACCACCATGCCCGGTTAAATTTTTAAAATTTTTATAATGATGGGGGTCTCACTATGTTGCCCAGACTGGTCTTGAACTCTTAAGCTCAAGTGAACCTCCTGCTGTGGCCTGCCAAAGCGCTGGGATTACAAGCAGGAGCCATTGCACCTGGCCTGCATGCCACTTTCATGTGAAAGCTTCAAGAGCCTGTGTGTAGTGTGGTATGCCATCTTCCTCTGCACAACCACTGCCGCTGTTCTGCAAAGTGGCCACTCTGTCAGCCTGAATGCCAGAGAGAGGGTGACATGGAGCCGAGCCCCCAGCCAGTCCCTGGAGGATAGAGATAATGGGAAGAAATGAACTGTTTTTATTGTGAATCGCTGCATTTTGGGTACTTTACTATGACAGCATAAGCTGGCCCATCCTGGCTGATGCACTTAACTTGAACTTTCACCAGCTGGCTGTGCTATCTGACGCCTGGGCCTTGGTCCCTGCTGTTCATTCAGCAATAGAATCTTCAATGCCCCTGCCCCAGGTTGTTCCTGCTTCATCTCAAATAATTTCTGCTCATCTTTCATTACACTAGAAAGTCTGCCCCAACACTCCTTCCCGAGGCAGTGTTATATTTTCCTCCTCTTCCATTCTGCTTGTCTTCGTGGTTTTATCCTCTGCCTAGAGCTTGGCACACTGGGTTTACCATTGTCTGTTGGGTGATCAGTCTCAGCTACAAGACCATAGCTTCCTCGAGAGGAGGGTGTATTTCCACAAGCATATTCCCAATGGCTCAGAGGCCACCAGGTACCTAGGATCTAGGTATTACATAAACTTTTATTGGACAAATTGATGAGTAAGTGAACAAATAGTATTAGAGATGTTTCAGGGTTGGGCATTGAGAAAGCAATATATACCAGGTGCTCCAATTTCTTTCTTTTTATCTGAGGCAGAATCTCACTCTGTCACCCAGGCTGGAGTGCAGTGGCATGATCTTGACTTACTGCAACCTCCACCTTCCAGGTTCAAGTGATTCTGCTGCCTCAGCCTCCTGAGTAGCAAGTTGCAGGCATGGGCCATCACACCTGGCTAATTTATTTTTTTTGTATTTTTAATAGAGATGGGGTTTCACCATGTTGGCCAGGCTGGTCTCAAACTCCTGACCTCAAACTCCTGCTCGCGTTGGCCTCCCAAAGTGCTGGGATTACAGGCGTAAGCCACTGCACCTTGCCTCTAATTTCTTTCTTGATCTCACCACCTTCTGCAATAGTAAGCTGTCCCTGACCCTTGTTTAAAGAGCTAGAAACTGAAATTCAGAGAAAGGAAGATAAGCACTTGAGACTATATAACTGAAAGGAGGCAGAAGGAGATTCAATCTCAAGTTGTGAAACTCTCGAACCCAAGTTCTTTTCCTTGCCCGCTGCTGAAAATGGAGCCACAGCATTGCTTCCCTTTCCCAGGGGCTAAGGCAGCAGAGACAGGTCCTGCTGAACAGACCACAGGTTTGCCTGCAGGGGCTCATGGCTGCTTGAAGAACTGCAAGGCAGATGTAGAAGTGACAGAGCACAGCTGTCAGTCATGCACTGCCCCATGTTTCCCTCTTGGCCCCTGTTAAAACGATTTCCAAGTTTCTGCTGGTGACTTCTCTTGGGTTACTCTTATAGACTCATGAGAGCCACGAAGTGGAAGGGATGTTGGAGCCATGGAGCCCACCTTTCAGCACACATGTAGGGACAGGGAGGTGTACAGCCTTTGCCTAAACACATCCAGGGACCTGAGCTCATACCTTACAAGGCAGGCCACTGCTTTCTGGGGTATGTTTGGCTTTGGTGAGATCTTGGGTACACAGAGCCAGAATCGATCTTCTGGAAACCTCGAAGTTCCACTATAGCTCTTATACATTCCCCTCCGATGAGCTACAAACTTACAAGCTGATCTTTTACATTGCTAGTTACCACCCTCTGACCATGCTTTGATTTGTCAACTCTCTATTCAAATCAAGATGCTGGGAGAAAACTATACAAGATACACCTTGATGCATGCTAGCTGTTGCAGGATGATCACTCTTCCTAGAGTGGAAATTAGCTCTCTGGGCAGACACTTGTACAGAAGGCTCCTTTTGAACTTGTCAACTAAGACCCCAATATTGTTTGTGCATGAATTGCTGTTTAACAAAGGCGGGGGTCTCACCTCAATTTAGTGAACTGGTTTTTAAGAATCTCAAGGGGAAGATTTCATCTTCACCTCTGTTCCATTAAATAATCAGTTCATGGCTGGAGCTTGTCCATGCCTTTCAGAAAACCTGATTCAATCATCATCATCCCTCACCTGCTCTGGATGAGCCAGATTTTAATAAATTATTGATAAAAATGTTGAATGAGATAAGATTCATGCCTGATAAATGTTACATAGCTGATACTTCCTCTTTTCCATTAAAAGCTATATATTTTATATATAAATAGGAATATGTACATATACATGTATGTGTATATGTACCTATATACACACATGCATATACAACATATAGCAAGGTATAATAAATAGTACAGTCAACACTTGTATCCACCACCCAGCTTAAGAAATATCACATTACGATACCACTGCAGCTCCTGTGTGTTCCTCCATGATCTTAGCCTGCTACCTTTCCTCTTAGGAAAATGGCTATCTGCAGTGTTTGTTCTGTGTGTGTGTGTGTGTGTGTGTGTGCGTGTGTGTGTGTTTTGAGACAAGGTCTAATTCTGTCACCCAGGCTGGAGTGCAGTGGAGTGATCACAGCAACCTCGACTGCCCAGGCTTAAGCATCCCAAGCAGCTAGGACCATAGGCATGGGCCGCCATGCCCAACTTTTTTTTTTTTTTTAATTATTTGTAGAGACAACATCTCGCTATGTTGCCCAGGCTGATCTTGGACAAAATCCTAGGCTAAAGCAATCCTCCCGCCTCGGCCTCCCAAAATGCTGGGTTTACAGGTGCAAGCCACTGCACTCAGGCTATCTGCAATTTTAAATCTATTATTCATTGTTTTGCTTCATAGTTTTACTTCTTATCTGTTTCTAAACCTAATAGTTTTTCCTGTTTTTTTGAACTCTATATAAATGAAATCATCTGTTTGTATTTTTCTGCAGACTGTGTTTTCCACATATGCATGTCCTGGAGATCCACCATCCTTGCTGCAGTTCATCAGACGTACACACTGCCGGGTACGGAGCTATGCTTCCATCAATGAGCATGTAGGCCATTTCCTATTTTGCTATTGCTAGAAATGCTTCTAGGAGTGTTCTTGTCTCTGTGCCCAGGGGCATAAATGAGAATTCCTTGCAGAGATTATCTTAGGGATAGGTTACACATCTTCCACTTTGGTAGATAATGACAAACTGTTCTTCAAAGTTGTTGTACAAATTTACTCTCTGAACAGCAGTCAGCGAGGGTCTCTGTTTTCCTGTTATTGCCAAAGCTTGGCATTTCTAGGCTTAATATTTACCAATCAGGAAGACATAAAATTATATAAATACATCTAATTGTTACTGGAATTTTAGCAATGGCCAATGAGTGTGAACAGTTTTTTATACATTAGTCATTTTTCTTATTCTGTGAAATGACTGTTTTTATCTCTTAGTTATTTTTTACTTTTTTTTGCTATCTTATTGAGTTTAGAAGTTCTTTATATAATCTTGTTACTGATCCCCTATCAATTAAATGTGCTGTGAGTATCTTTTAAAAGATAACGTCTTCAATCTCTACCTTTTCTTTTAAGCCCTCACATCTCATGGAAGAACCTGTTGCATATCAGACTGAAATCTATGTGAATTATGCCTTGGGCATTCCTCTTTTCTACCAGTTGAGTAACACTATTGAAAACTACAATGCTCATACTCCATTCTACACTTTTTGTGGTACTCAGGGGACGTTTACTGGTATGTAGTTTCTAGATCCTTCCTTTCACCTCCTTATGCAGTTGAGTCATTTGGTTATTTTTCTTCCTGTGATCAAGTGACTCTTAATACAGGTTTTACCTTTAGCATTTACATGAAACCATCAAAATTTCCAAAATCTCCTTCATTAGAAAAACGGTCACAAATCTGCGAATCTGTCAGCCATTTTCCTATGGCTCTGGTACAGCACAGTGAAACCAAATTGCAAAGTTTAATTAGTTAGCTTGCTTCAAGATAAAAATGCAAATAAAAAAGTTTTTAGTTTCACCCGTTTATAAGCCAAAGGCAAAATTAATTAAAGTCCATGGAGAAAAGTAAACAAACATTTTGAAATAAAGGAAATAAACATTCTGAAGTGTGAGGTTAAGGCTCATGAAACATGGGAGAGTCAATTATTTATAGTCATGTGTTTCTGTCCGATAATTTAATCACGTTTATTCTGTCCTCTCTCCCACTGGAATGCATGCTAGGAAGAAAGGCTCATTAAGCATTAAAAGGTGGTCCACATGGGTTTCTTGTCAATGGCATTGCTGCATCCCAATGCTAACAAAATATTTCTGGACAAAATGACAGTGGATTTTCTGAGTTCTGTTATTTTCATTAAGATGTTCTTAGAAACCTGTAAAATGGGAAGCTCATATATAATTTTGCCATATTTAAAAACCAAACAAACAAAAAGTTGGTATTGTGCTGTTGGCCATCTTGGTTCTTAGATTAGTCATAGAGGAAAACAAGTGTGTTTGTTGGAATTGACAGTTAAGATGTTAAATAAAAAGAAAAACCCCATGAAAAATTGTCGTTTCATCATCTGTAAATAGACACTGCTTTTGCATAATAATATACCCTTCTCTTGACAATATCTAGAAGCAGTGCATGATGGGATGTTTTCTCATTGCTGCAATGCTGCAGTGAAACTGAAATCTCATCAGACTTGGGTTGAGTCAGAGAAAGAGACAACCGGTGCTGTGGCCCACGATCAGCAGACAGAATGTCAGAAATGAGCAATCGCACCATTGGGAATTCATCCAACAGGACTGAGAAGTGTCAGTATGAAAAGACAGTATATAAAGAAGATTGTTGCTGGGTGGCCTGGGTTTGCAAAACAACAGGAAGATGGCTGAAAAAGGGAAATCAGTAAATAAGTTACAAGGCTACCATAGCTATGAAAAAATAGTAAGAATTTGTATTGTCATGGAAAGATGACCACAAGATTTTTTGTAGTGGGGGGAGATGAGTTATAAGATGAACTCCATTCTATAACTCCATAGGTTTGTAAAATCATATCAAAACAAAGACCTGTCTGTAGATATGTAGTTATATTTAAGGAAAGGAAAATATAAGAGGACTACACACAGTTGTTAATGGCGATGATGTTGGGAAGTGTTGGGGAGGAATTAGGAGAGGTGGAAGGCTCATTTTAATGTAGTCATTTCTGTGCTTGAGATTTTGCTACAAGAATGACTTAGTTTGGTAATTCAAAGGCGACTAAAAAGTAAACAATAACAGATCAACAAAGGAACAGCCCAAAGAACCAGGTGTCAAGTACAGGAGAAACAGCAGATCTTGAGTTGGAGCCAGCCTGGGATCCTGGATCCAGCAGGAGCAGGCACAGGAAGACAGAGACGTCCCAGCAGACGAGGAAAGCCCTGGGGTTTCTTGGAAGCTCTCTGTTAGGAGCGTTCTGTCTGTAATGGCGACAGTGGGTGAGTTCCTACCTCTGGTGCACTTAGCACACCAGGGCCATCTTAAGAGACCCAGAGCTGCCTCCCATTCTGCCCCCGGGACCCTCTTTTGTTTCTGCTCAGGCTTTACCAGCATCACTGCGTATGTCCGATGAGGGTTCTCAGACGCCTGCTGGAAAAGCAAAATTCCCTGGGGAGCTTTTGAAAATGCAAATTTAGGGTGCCATGACCTGTCAAATCAGAAATCTGGGAGAGAGACAAATGTCTTTCCTAACATGTGTGTTTTCAGATTTTGCCTCAGGGATCTTGGATGCGGAGTGGGTCAGTGACTATTGGCTTGGCTCGGCCTGGCCTGCTGGTTCCCTGTCTTTTAGCTGCAAGGCTTGCATGGCCTGGCCTGCTGGTTCCCTGTCTTTCAGCCTCAAGCCCTGAACTCATCTCTCTAAAGCAGAGTCTGCCTTAGGTGCTCCTCCTGCTTATTGCTACTGTGGATGTCATTGTTGTTGAGGATAATAGAGGTAGATGATGATGATGACAACGACAACATCTGTGATTTATTGAGGATCCATGTGCTGAAGCTGGGGCTGGGTGGCAGACACACACAATCCTTAATTGAAAAGCAGAGGGGGTAAGGGAGGTAAGTGACGTGTCTGGGGCTATGTAATGAGTGATGGCAAGGCAGAATAGATCCTATGTCCTTCTGACTTCAAAGCCCTTCAGTGCCCACCCTGCCTGGCTGCCCACCATGGTGATCAATACTAACACAGACACTACTAAGCTGTAACAATTAGAGGTAATGTTTATCAAACGCTTAAAGCCCAGGCACGTGCTGAGTGTTTCATGTGTATTCTTGGGTCTAATCCCCAAAACAACCGTAAGGTGTCAGTGCTCTTATTACCCCCAGTGATTAAAGGAACTGCGGAGCTCGCCAAGGTCATACCAGGGACGTGGCAGAGCTTGGGCCGGTGCCCAGGTGTTTTGGCTTGGACTCCATCCTCCATCGCCTCTGAGATGAAGCCCAAAGTCAAAATCAAGCCATATCAGACCCCTAGTAACCTGCCTCTTGCTTACCTGGCATTTCAGCTCCATCAGGGACATGCCCTAGGGGATCTTTCTTTTTATTATTTTAGGCAGAGTCTTACTCTGTCACCCAGGCTGGAGTGCAGTGGCATCTTCTCAGCTCACTGCAACATCCGCCTCCCAGGTTCAAGTGACTCTCCTGCCTCAGCCTCCTGAGTAGCTGGGATTACAGGTGTGTGCCACCATGCCTGGCTAATTTTTGTATTTTTAGTAGAGACGGGGTTTTGCCATATTGGCCAGGCTGGTCTCGAACTCCTGACCTCAGGTGATCTGCCCGCCTTGGCCTCCCAAAGTGCTGGGATTACGGTCATGAACCCTGCGCCCAGCCCCCTAGGGTATCTTTCTGATGCAACACATCATTCACTGCTTCCTAAACATAGCCTGCCCCGGACTTCTCAGCGTCTGAAATGCCCTTCCTTCCATTAGCCCATCTGGCACACTCTTGAAAATGGCTCAAGTATCTGCTCTTCCTTGCAGTTGCCTCTGAACCCACAAAGGGCAAAAGTCCCCTCCCCTGAACCCAGGGTTCCCCGTGCATTCTACTGTCATGACGTCTTTCACGTTGTACTGCAACTGACCCCTCAGGTAACTTTCTCACCAGTTTGGATTTTTCCAAAGCCCGGGACCATGTTGATCTATTTCTGTATCCTCTTTACCTAAGACGGGGCCTCACTGTGCTCAACCAGTCCCTTTCCTGTCTCTAGGTCGTTGGCCCTGGTCCATTCGATTTAGTGAAATGTTCAGAGACACCTGTAACTGCCACATCCCGACATCCTTATTTTTGTCTGGCACTATCTCCAGAGCAGGGAATGTGTCTGCCTTGTTTGCTGTTCTATCAACAGTGGGAGGCTCGTGGTGCCTGGCACACAGGTGACTCCCCACTGGTGTTTGGTGGATGAAGAAATGCAGTCTTCTCACCCTCTAAGCAAGCCAGGGCTGGATATTGGAACGCAGGTGAGAAAGGCTCAGAACTCCAGCCTCGCTGAAGACAGACAGCAGGGTAACAGCAGTGGGAGCCTCCTCCCCTCAGCCCTGCTGTCTTTACAGGATGCAACATGCCTCTTATTCCACACTGTTGATGAAATTAATTGGAAGCACTAGTCTGTCGTTTTTCCAGAGCTGCGAGAGATGAAATTTAATTAGTGATTTGTTTCCAGCTAGCACAGAGAAGGAAAGGGAGACTTGTCCACAGGGAAAGCTGCGCCACTAACAGAAGAGATGCTGCCCTGGCCCTGCACTTTAAGTGACAAAGGAAAACGAATGGAAAGCAGGAACAGTTGTCCAGGTGTCCACCCACTCCGCCAATGCCACTGACATATAGGATTCTGAAGAGGGATAAATTGCAAAGCTCAAGGTTCTTAGAGATCTAGGGATTGACGGATACCAGAAAGCCTTTGAGGAAAACGCAGCTGGAAGCAGAGAAGAGCACAAGAAGGAGCCACGTGTAGCAATGGCTGAAGCTCCTGCGTGGGAATACACAAAAGCAAATATCTAGGGAAGAGGAGAAAATCCAGAAGGTGCACTAAAATGAACATTCACGTCCTTGGAGAAAGCCACTTCTAAACCAAACAGAGACACGGCAGCAATGGATGGAACCTGCGACTCATCCCCCAGAGCCTCAGGTGGGCCAGTGATCACACCAGGCTCCCTGCATTTTAGATGCTCAGAAACAGCTGTCATTGGTTGAATGTCCATCTGCCATTCATCAGGGGCAGGTTTAGAGGGGGTTAGTGAATCTCTTGGGCCTTGCCAGTTTCCTTGTCTCACTCCACATGGTCCAAGTTGTATTGTTCACTGATGAAAAATCCACCCTCTGAAAGTCAGAGATACGTGGGTTCATGTCTCAGGTCTATAACCTGCTAGGTATCCAGACTTGAGCAAACTCTACAATCTCTCTGAGCATCAATTTTCACTTAGAAAGTGTGATAACAATGGCTCCGATTTTAAAGATTACTTTGAAAATTAAATAAGCTGAAGTATTCACAAATAATCAATAGAGAGCTGGGCATGGTGACTCATGCCTGTAATCTCAGCACTTTGGGAGGCTGAGGCGGGTGGATCACTTGAGGTCAGGAGTTCGAGACCAGCCTGGTCAACATGGTGAAACCCCATTCTCTACTAAAAAAATACAAAACTTAGCCAGGTGTGGTGGCAGGGGCCTGTAATCCCAGCTACTCAGGAGGCTGAGGCAAGAGAATTGCTGGAACCCGGGAGGTGGAGGTTGCAGTGAGCTGAGATCATGCCACTGCAATCCTGCCTGTGTAATAGCAAGACTCTATATCAAAAAAAAAAAATCAATAGAACATATTTAGGTTCTACATATGGTTTCTTAAAACACAGTTTCTACAGCTAAAAATGGCAGAAAATCGATGGCCTAGATGTTTAACCATAGGAAAATGGCCAAATAAATTAGACTCAGCTACTTGATGGACCATTACACAGTCATTAAAAATTATAATGATAAGGACCATACAGCAATCTGGGATGTGCTTATGATACATTAAATGCAAAGTAAAATATATAATGCAATAGGAAGCAAGTGGACACAGATGAGAAGGAAAGACAAAGTAGCAAAGTCAGAGGGGAATAATTAGGGCTGATTTCTAGTGTCAATATTGAAAAGGTATTTTCTGAATTAAAAAAGGTAAATCAAACTGTCACTTTGATTTCTTTTGGGCTTATTTGGGAATGTGTATCATGCACACAAAACAGATTTTACTTCTCAATCATTTTCTCAGACACCCACAAGCTATGCCCAGAGATGGATGTAATTTAAAGACGTCTTCTGGTTAATCTTTTCTATAAACAGAGGTTCCTTTTCTGAGGTGAGTCATCACCCCTTAATATACCTGTTTTGCATACTTGCAGTTGCTAACTGAGGCTTCTTTTGGAGAATCTCCTAGTGTTTCACGGAACATGCAGACTGAATCAATTTTTCCACAGATAGTGACAGTGAAACACCCATGCCCCTTAGAAGCCAGGATAAAGTTGCAAAGATAAAGATGAGAGGATATCTAGAACCTAGCCTTCAGAGGGTGCCTGCGTGCACACCCTGCTTGGGAAGGCAGGAGCACAGCATGATGCCATTTGAGCTGGCACTACAGACTCATGGCAAGCTTTTGACCATGGACTACAAAGGCAGGGTCATTATCAGGCACATATGGTCCCCTGAACAGAGCAGGCTGATTTGGGGAGGCTGTGAACCAATAAGTGATCTGCAGAGTCCCAGCTCTCACAGATACATGGTGGAGATACATGGTGGATAAAGAGTTTCCTTTTTAAACAAGTTCGGGAGTACGGCAGAGAACATTGCCCACATACAGCCAATTCACAATGCCCTTGTACATGCAAGGATCTGAGAACCCCACCATTAAACAGACGCACACCCCACAGATAGACTCAATTCCCCAGCCCTGACTCCGTCCACTTCGTATTGTAGGACACCCATCAACATTGTGATAATTATAATAACTAAGGCAACTATGATTTTATTAAGTGCTTATAACATGTCAGACACGATGCTAAGTGCTTTTTAAATAATATTTTCTTTTGTTTCTTTCAACAATCCTGTGTGGGGTGTAATGTTATTCATGTTTTTTTCATGATCAATGTTGTTTTTCATTTTATTTTTAATTTTTTTGTTTCCATAGGTTTTTGGGGAACAGGTGGTATTTGGTTACCTGAGCAAGTTCTTTAGTGGTAATTTGTGAGATTTTGGTGCATCCATCACCTGAGCAGTGTACACTGAACTCAATTTGTAGTCTTTTATCCCTCATACACTACCCACCCTTTCCCCCGAATCCCCAAAATCCATTGTACAATCCTTATGTCTTTGCATCTTCATTGCTTAGTTCCCACAGATGAGAACACACAATGTTTGGTTTTCCATTCCCCAGTTACTTCACTTGGAATAATAGTCTCCAATCCCATCCAGGTGGCTGTGAATGCCATCAATTCATTCCTTTTTAGGGCTGAGTAGTATTCCATCATATAGGCTCAAAAATTAAGTGATTTCCAAAGGCACACAGCTAGAAGATGGCAGAGTTGAGTTTCTCCCCCAGGGACTTGTGCTTAAGCCCTTTGCTTACAGTGGGTCTAAGTCTAATGAAATGCTGGTGTTCCTGGAACAAAAGGAGGGGAAACTGACTGAGACTAATAATATGAGAAAGAGATTTCTCCTTCCAAAACCCACCTCCAGTATCACTTCATCCACGAATACTTCTCTAGACATCACAAACACATACATTATTTCTTTCACCGAGGTACTTCTCTTGTTCCTCATCACACTGCATTGTACATCTATTTTTAGATGTTTATTTTCTCTATTTAATTGCAAGCTTCTTTAAATATCATGTTTGTCTTTGCAGGAACCCAACAAATCTGGTTATTCTATATTATTACTTACTTACAAGAATTGCTGGGCAGGAAACAAGTACCATCCCCAAGCAAAACAACAACGAAAACATCAACCAAACACAAAACGAACCGAGAAAGTGAGGAGCCACGTGATGCTAAAATCATAAAAGCCTTTGTCCTTAAAAAACAAGAAACTTATTACAAAGCTCTCATTGCCTGAACAGAGGATGTCTATATTTGTCTCTGTTTTCACAGCCTAGTATAGAACTTGGCACCAAGTAATCAATATAAACACTTGCTGAACAAATGAGTGAATAAATGAAAAAAATGAGTCATGTAAGAGCAAGGTTTCATGAAACTGATTATAGGCAGCTAAATCCTCTGCACAAGAAAACACAAACACAACCTTACCTGAATTGCTGACATACTACCGACTGTCACAAGGTTGACTATAAACATTAATTTTTATGAAAATATTTCCAATAACTTTTCTCTCTCCAGTCTTGAGATTAATCATATTTTCAGAACTTTGAATCGAAATGTATCTCCTGTCCTGTAATCTCAGGCGGTGGGGAGTGCGTGTGACATTAGGGCTGACCGGGCAGATGAGGCTCAATTTGGCACAAAGGAAAAATCAGAAATATCAGTCCTGACACTCATGGGTCCACAGGAAAAGCAAAGATTAAACAGAAGAGCAAAATCCCTGAGCTGGGTCCAATTCACACACATACCAGATGCACTGAAGGCTCCATTTTAAATTAACCTCGAATATAAAGATGTTCAGTTTGAAAAGAAAAAATAGGAGGAAGAATATTTCAGTACGAAATAAAATGGACTGGGCATCGTGTGGCACATGCCTGTAATGCCAGCACTTTGCGAGGCCAAGATAGGAGGATCACTTGAGTCCAGGAGTTCAAGACCAGCCTGGGTAATATAGTGGGACCTCGTCTCTACAAAAAAGTAAAAAATTAGCTGCACATGGTGGTGCATACCAGTGGTCCCAGCTATTTAGGAGGCTGAGGTGGGAGAATCTCTTGAGCCCAGGAAGTTGAGGCTGCAGTGAGTTGTGATAGTGCCTGTACTCCAGCCTGGATGACAGCGGAAGAGCCTGTCTCAAAAAAGCAAAAACAAAAACAAAAGAAAAAAAGAGTGGTATGGTTTGGCTGTGTCCCCACCCAAATCTTGAATTGTAGCTCCCACAATTGCCACAGGTTGTGGATGGGACCTGGTGGGAGGTAACTAAATCATGGGGGCAGGTATTTTCCATGCTGTTCTCATGATAGGGAATAAGTCTCATGAGATCTGATGGTTTTATAAAGGGGAGTTTCCCTGTACATGCTTTCTCTTGCCTGCTGCCATGTAAGATGTAACTTTGCTCCTCCTTCGCCTTCTGCCATGATTGTGAGGCCTCCCCAGCCATGTGGAACTGTGAGTCATTAAACTTCTTTCCTTTATAAATTGCCCAGTCTCAGGTATGTCTTTATTAGCAGCGTGAGAACAGAGTAATACAAAGACAAATGATTCTCCTTTGCTTCAGAAACATGTGACTCCTTGAAGAAGGTGTTTCTCCAAGTGTGGTCCCCAGACCAGCAGCATCACTGGGGGCGCTTATTAAAAATCCAGATTCTCAGACTCTACCCAGACCTATGGAATTGGTAACTCTGGGGGTGCGGCTCAGCCATATGGATTTTCACAAGCCCTCCAGGGGATGCCGACGCACACACAAGGCTGAGAACTACTGTTTTACATCATGAACTCTCTTTATCAATTTTTTTTTCTCTGTGAGACAGAGTCTTGCTCTGTCTCCCAGGCTGGAGTGCAGTGGCACCATCTCGGCTCACGGCAAGCTCCGCCTCCCGGGTTCACGCCATTCTCCTGCCTCAGCTTCCCAAGGAGCTGGGACTACAGGCGCCCTCCACCATGCCTGGCTAATTTTTTATATTTTTAGTAGAGACAGGGTTTCACTATGTTAGCCAGGATGGCCTCGATCTCCTGACCTCGTGATCTGCCTGCCTTGGCCTCCCAAACTGCTGGGATTACAGGCATAAGCCACCGCCCCTGGCCCTCTTTATCAAATTTAACACACAACTTGATTTTCACATTTTTTTCCGTTCGATTTAATAAAGTAAGATACAGCTGTATTTGGCATGCCTATAAAGCATACAAAATCCTGGTAATGAATCAGATACTACCCTTTACATAGATCCTCATGAGGAGCTCATCAGGTAGAAAATTGTCCCCCACAACACCACCCATTTTTCAGAGGAGCAAACAGAGTCTCAGAGGGACTGAGTCACTTGTTGCTGGTCCAACCCCAGGGACCACGTACTTCAAATTCATAGAACAAGCTGCACTCCACACTCAACATTTCCGCTTTTGAGGGGCAGAGCCTAAGCAGCTAAGAGAGAACATCCAGGCTTATGGGCCTCACAGGTGGGTTTGTGGGCATCATGCAACCTCCCTGCAGGAGCTATCTGGGAATGTGCACTTTCTCCACCGTCTGGCAAAGAATCAATCACAGGGCGCTGCTGTGGTTTATCCATATCTGCCTTCCCCAGTAGGCACCGTGCTGGGTCAGAGTTGGGATGTCGGCATTGAACTCTGCAACCCCAGTGATGAGCAGCTGGGCCCGGGGTCGGGGCGGGGGAACTATCTGCCTCTGCCCTGCTAGCGAAGACCGGTGATTCAGTCATCAAATGCTCTTTTTCTTCTATTAGAGTTCCTCGCAGAATAAAAACAGAAACAGCAGCCGTCACTTATTCGGCACTTTCTCTGCACAAATCTGTGGTCTGAGCTCCCTCTCCCTTGCATTAGCTCATTTTCTCTTCAAAACAAACCAGCAGAGTACGTCCCAGCGTTAACGTCCCTATTTACAAAACGAAGGTGCAGTGAGGATAAAGGATTTGTCCAAGATGACACATTAGGCAAGTTGCAGAACAGGGACTTGAAACCATCATTTGGCCACAGATCCTTGTCTTCACCATGATTATTCATCCCATGGTGTTATGAGGGGAGGTGATGTGGGAACTGCATCCTGTGTATTTAGAACCATAAATGACTCTGAAAGAACTGTTGGTAGAAGCGAAATTCCAAGGACTGGAAATCCAGGCTCAGAGTGACTAAAAGAGAGAATTAATTTGCTTTGATTCACCGAGTGATATTTCCAGAAATTTCAAAAAGTCACCATCTTCCTGCTCTGCATTAGAACAGGATCTGGGGCCCTGAAGGACATGACGAAGATGTGTGATCAGGTAAGGGAGCCGTTTCTCCTTTGCCCAGCGGACAGGGACTTCCATGAGCCCTGTTTATCAGTTGTTTTCCTCTTGGTACCATGAGATCTTTACCATGATCCTCTTCGTTTACTTTCATTGATCATCCTCTCATCTCAGGTCTCAAAGAAACATTGAGGGCCTCCTATCTCCAAGGGCTTGACATTATAAATGAGAAGACATATCATAGATCATTATAGATCATTGTGGCAACGAATTCCATCCGGGCTGATTTATTTTGTCCAGAGGAATGTAAGACATTTAAAACGTAGGTTAATATGGAAGCTGCAGCCTGCTGATCATACACACATTGCCCTTGATCTATTCTCGAGTCTAAAACTAGCCCAGGTCTCCCTTTTGTTGAGGATTGCCAGGCTGTGGAAATTCGGTATCTAGGAGCATATTGTTGCTTCACTTGACTTCTTTCTGTAATCTGTCTCCATACGAAGAATCCTGTATTCCTCACTGGCTGCTCTTTCGAAAGTCATCAGTAACCTCCAAATCATCAAGTCCTGTGACCTTTGCTCAGAAACTTCTTGGAGTCTTTGCTGTCTCAGAGGTGTGGAACCAGTCCACCCTATCCTCCCCAAATCTCTATTTTCTATTCCTTTCACTCCTCCCCACCACTGAAGTTCACCTTCCCCAGCTGGGCTGTCTTGCAGGCATGGAATGAATGCATCCTCTTACTCTCATCTCTACTGCTTTTCCCTGGAAAAATTGACCAATTCTATAAATCATCATGAAGAGGAGGAGGAGCTATAATGATACTAGTTAGTATCTGCTGAAGCTTACAGGGCCAGTCACTCTTCTCATGTTAAACCAAAGATACTCAATGCTGCTCTATGAAGAGGCCCCTATCATAGTGCTGCTTTTACACAACAGTGACATGAAGCTCAGAGACACTGAGCACCTTGTTCTGGGGCACACAGCCATTGAGCATCTTGTTCTAGGGAAGAGATCTGACCCAGTGTCATGCACAGAACTGCTGAACCCTCTTCCTTTGATCTTGTTTCTCCCTCCAAGCTGAAGTTGGTATCTTGGATCTCTGCATTTATATGTCTAGCTACCATGATGGTGTCTGCATGCCTGCCCTGGTTTTATTCCCTTTTATCTGCAAATGAGCCCCTCCTTACTGATTTCTTTACATATCAGTGATACCACATTTCCTGCTCCACTCCAGATAGCTAGACTCAGATCATGAGATTAAAAAAAAAATCTTTAGCTCACTCAGCTCCACTATCACCTACACAAAGCTATCATTTAAAAGTTATATCTCTATAATAAAATAAAAGATGGGGACCATATTTACCCCTATCTCAGCTAAACACTGTGCTTTTCCTCTCATTCCCTTGGAAGTACCTGCTCCAGGCAAGTTCCTATTGGGAGTCAAAGGGGCTTCTGAAAACTCCCAGAGCAATCTTTTTCCCTGTAACAGAGGAGACTGGGGACCAGAGAGGTGGGGCAACTTCTGCAGACCACAGAGTGAATCACATCAAGGGCTACTTGATGTGGGAGCTTCTTGAGAGAGAGAACTGGTCTATCTCATTTTAACTATGGTGCCTGGCAAACAGTCGATATTTAATATAAATCATTATAAATTATAAAAAATAAATCAATATTTAATATATATAATATAAAATATAATTTAATATAATTTAAAAAAATGATTATCTCTAACTTCACATTCCAGCCTCCATTACCCTTTTGTCACCTTGATACTCTCACACTTGGTTTATTTCAGGATCCTCTTGACCTGTTTTCACACGCTTCTTCCTGTACACAGGTGTGAAACTCATCTTGCTAAAGATCTGGTATCATCTGCCCCGCCCAGCTCAAACAGCACCAATGGTGTTTATCTGCTCTTTGGGTGAGGGCAACATCCCTTGTCTAACTGGCGGGCTTTCCACAGTCCTGATCCACAGTAACTCATCTGCTTCATCCATCAAACTTTTTTTTCTTTGTTTTTTTGGGATGGAGTCTAGCTCTTGTAGCCCAGGCTGGAGTGCAGTGGCGTGATCTCAGCTCGCTGCAACATCTGCCTCCCAGGTTCAAGCAAATCTCCTGCCTTGGCCTCCTGAGTAGCTGGGATTAGAAGCACCCACCACCACGCCCGGCTAATTTTTGTATTTTTAGTAGAGATGGGGTTTCACCATGTTGACTAGGCTGGTCTCGAACTCCTGACCTCAGGTGATCCATCTGCCTCGCCCTCCCAAAGAGCTGGGATTACAGGCGTGAGCCACCGCATCCAGCACAAACCAAAAAAAAAAAAAAAAAAAAAAAAAAAAAAGGTTACTATAAGGTGTTTTTTGTTTTTTTTTTTTTTTTTTTTTAAGACGGGTGACCAGTGGTGGTGGTAAGTCTATTTAAATCATTTCCTTACTTCTTAACCCCTTCAATGCAGGTACATGACCATTAGGTGGCAGTAATGCATCACTCTAAGGAAATAAATCAATGGTTCAGCTTAACACTTGAGATAGAGGTAAACATGGTCCCCAGCTTTTATTTTATTATAAAGACATAACTTTTAAAAGCCCCCCAAAAGGATAAGCTTAAAGACTTTGGATTTGTTACATGTACTCCTTAATAAAGCCATCATGGAATTCATTCCAGTTGCCCAGGAGTTCCTTTCCCAGTCATTTCTCCATGTTGTAGCAGACTAGATAATTGGAGTCTACTGAACTTGTTTAAATTAATTACAGGGAAGACTTTCCTATCTGGAGCTCGTTCCTTTGATTACCACCAGAAAGAGAGGAGATGGAGAAATGAGCAGAAAATTGCCCCAGAGTTTAATGGTACCAAATCCCTGTGTGGTTTTTCTTCCATTGTTCAGCAGAATGGACTTCTGTACCCTGCTAATTTTCATTTTCTGTCCTTTCTTCTCTGCGGCTGGGAATAATTTACATTATTTTATAAAACTGGAGGCACAAAACTCTAACACTGAGTGGTGGAAACCGATCTCATTAAGCAACTTCCTTTTTTAAAAAGGCTCAGCTGACCATCTATGCCTAAGGGCTTACTTCTAAATCTAGTGAAGGTACTTTCTAATTTTTTCTTTTTTCTTTCTTTCTTTTTTTTTTTTTTTTGAGACAGTCTCACTCTGTCGCCCAGGCTGGAGTGCAGTGGCATGATCTCGGCTCACCGCAACCTCTGCCTGCTGGGTTCAAGCGATTCTCTTGCCTCAGCCTCCTAAATAGCTGGGATTACAGGCACATGCCACCATGCCTAGAAAATTTCTGTATTTTTTGTAGAGATGGGGTTTCACCACGTTGGCCATGCTGGTCTTGAACTCCTGACCTCCTGTAATCTGCCCCCCCACCTCAGCCTCCCAAAGTGCTGGGATTACAGACCTGAGCCACAGCACCTGACCTTCCTCATGTTTTTCTATACCCAATAAAAAAGTTTGATGGGGGAGGGATGGGGATAATGCTTTAGAAATCTTTTAGTTGCCTTTTTGAGTCAAGAGGCACAAAGATCTCTGAACT
This sequence comes from Homo sapiens, assembly GCF_000001405.40. Classification (NCBI taxonomy): domain Eukaryota; kingdom Metazoa; phylum Chordata; class Mammalia; order Primates; family Hominidae; genus Homo; species Homo sapiens. The sequence goes on along the minus strand of NC_000016.10, from coordinate 83,445,901 downwards.
GTCTGTTGTTCGGCGTGGTTTGTAGGAATCATCTTCCTCCTACTTCAGTATCTCCCCAAGTACCTACTTGAGGAAGACTGGGAACTCCGAGTTATATTTCCAAGCTAAACACTTCTCCCCCTACCTTAGGACAAGTTTTAGATGCTTATCAGATCTTCTAACTGAATTCTGGAAATCTCAGCTATTCCAGTTTTACTTAGCCACGTGATGAAAACATCTATTCAGAATTCTAAAAGCAAAAAAGGTGGAGAAAGAAAAAACATGATGGTCTTTATCGCTAACAAAATGTGCAGAGAGAAATTAAAGCCAAGTGTGAAAGTTCCTTGCTATCTTCTGGTTGCGCCTTTGTGGAATACTAACGCAGCTGTGGGAGGCTATCGGTCCAGAATCTTGGCTTCCTCCACCCTGCAGCCAGGTGATAAAGCTCCTCCTTAATGACCCAGAAGCCTGAGGAAATTGAGGCCAAGTGTGAACACAGCAGGATCTGATTTTCTAGGCCAGAAATTCATTTTAGGGAAAACTTAGGAAGCTTTTCTGAAATAACTTTTCTTCTTTTGTAGAAGAATGATTCGGGTAGGTGAAAATGATGCAAACCTTTTATAATTTATAAAACCTTTTATAAATTATAAAAGCTTTTATAAATTATAAAAGCTTTTATAAATTATAAACTCTCGCAGCCTCAGTTTCCTCAGCTGCAAAATGGGAAAACTATTACTCAAATGTCAGTGTTGTATGAGGATTAAATGAGAGAGTAGTAGCTGGCATGGAAGGAGGTCACACCTGTGAGTTTATTCAGACTCCACTGCCATGAAAAATATCAAAAATTAAGAATATAAATAATCCCTGAAAGGCAAAGTCTTAATTAACTAGCATGGCCTCATTTGAAAAAAATCCCAGCCCTGTGGTTTCTGAATATGGATAAACAATGCCATCCTTTCTTAAGAGCTTTAATTTCCTACCTGCAACGTGGGAACAGAGGCATTTTGGTCCATTTTTGGAGTCTTCCGTGAACTCCCCCTTCATCAGAGGAAAGCGCTGATTTGCTGATTTGCTGATTTGGGGAATTTTATACCTTCAGGCAAAACCAACCATGAGAATATTTTCATTTCGAACAGAATATTATGAATGAAATAAATTAACTCGGCAGTCAGAGATTTAAGCTGGTTTCAGCACACTGCCCCACAAAGATCTGCCATGCTACCCAAAACATTATACTCCAGCTCGCCAGTTACTATTATTAAAAACAGCATCACCGGAGGGACATGAGCAATGATGGCCCTGAAAATTCCTTGGGCACTATGACTGGCTCTTCACAAGAGAGGACATGGTTCTGGTGCTCAGTGACTGGGTTGTAAAGCCTGGTTCTGCCACTCATCAGGTGGGTGCCCTTGAGCACATTACTCAACCTCTGGGTCAAGATTTTAAAAAATCTTTCCAGGTGATTCTAATGTATAGCAAAATTTAAGAAGTATTGTCCTTGAGCAAGTTCCTTACCGAGTTTAAACTTCAGTTTCAATATCTTTAAAATGGGAAAATCACAGCATGTACTTCATGTGATGGTGCTGAAGATTAAATAAGATAATGAACACTCAGGGCTTAAGTGCTTAACATATCTGTTACCTAGCAAGGGTTCAATCAATGTAAGCCTCTACCATCATCGTCATCATCATCATCATTACTATGGTCATCATTATCATCATCATCATTGTCATCACTGTTGCCATCATCACCATCACCATCATCATCTTTGTCACATCAGCAGCCACATCTTCATTGTTGCTATTGGTATCTTCACCATCATCAACCTCACTATTGTCATCTTTGCCATGATGATCATCACAGTCATCATCAGCCCATCATCATCACCATGATCATCGCCATCACCTTCACCACCGTCTTTGCCATCATCATCATAATCAACACCATCACCTGACTCTATAGGAGGTACCATTGATTTTTTTTTTTTTTTAGAAACGGTTTCCTCTGTTGCCCAGGCTGGAGTGCAGTGGTGCAGTCTTGGCTCACTGCAGTCTCAACCTCCTGGGCTCAAATGATCCTCCCACCTCAGCCTCCTGAGTAGCTGGGACTACAGGCACATGCCACCAAGCCTGGCTTGCTCTCGCTCTCTCTTTCTCTCCATATATATATATATATATATATATATATTTTTTTTTTTTTTTTTTTTTTTTTTTTTTTCGTAGGGACTTCGCACTCTGTTGCCCAGGCTGGCCTCAAATTCCCAGGCTCAAGTGGTCCTCCTGCCTCAGCCTGCCTAAGTGCTGGGATTACAGGTGTGAACCACCAGCCCAGTCTGACACTGATTCCTTTAGGAAGACTAGAGTGCTTTATACTCAACATGATAATCTTGAATTCCTGATTCTGCTTTTAGTACTTCAGAAAAAGTGAGGGGCTAGTAACCCGTAAAAATTCTCTAGACATTTTGATTAAATTCTATTTAGGTCAAAAATGTATAAATCAAACCTTTTCGTAACATTCAACACGCACTGAGAATGTGCTCCTAATGATGGTCCTGTCTGTGGGTGCAGTGCTCCAAGCTCACTCCTTAGATTCTTTCACTCATACCTGAACACCTGTTGCGGAAGGGCCTCCCAGCCTCTTTCTCAGAGGCGTGGCCTCCCCAGGGGTGAAGCAGCAAAAACGCAGCTAGAACTCCATCCACCATTCTAAGCATCACTGTGGGAGTAAGTCACCCACCCTATCACATTCTCAGCTTCAAATAAATTCCTTTCTGCGTTTGGCATGGAAGGTGATAAGTATTTTCTGAGCGATTTTTCAGTTGCAAACTTCAGTCTGCTGAGATGAAATATGCAGATTGAGGTCTGAACAGCTGTAGCACTGCAGAGTGGCTGGTATTTTGGTGGGCTTTATTTTAAAGTCTTTGAGAGTTCAATCTCACTAAATAATTCAGCTGTTTAGGAAAAGCCATATGATCTTAAAATAAGTCCCTGAAGGTCAAGCATATAGGGTGAAATTTTATTTTTCAGTAAATAATAGCATTTGACAAAATAACAGAAATGTCCCTTATAGTATCTCTTCCTTTACATCTTTGAATGAAATTACCAAGTGCACATCACTGGATGTTCATTTATAAACATTTTACATCTTCTCCATGCCTTTCTGGCAGAGTATTAAGGTAACATTCTGATATCACTGTTCCCAATGAAGTTAGAGATTCTAAAGAACAATTTCAAAATGCAGCCCTAACTTGGGATGTCACTGATCACTTGGAAAGTCGTTTGTTACATCTAGTCCAGAAAAATATAAGCTTCTTGTCATAGAAAGGCTGAAGTATTGACTATAAATCTATAAAGAAAAAGAAAAAAAAAACTTGCAATGTGAAAGTTTTCCAGGTCAAAGCTGGATCTCTCTCATCCATCACTGAGTTCTCCAAGGTGACATGCAATTCAGGAGAAAAGCATCAGCATCCAGAAAGATACTGGCCAAGGATGTCTTTGTGCTCTTTAATGATGGGTCTTTGGCTGAATCACCAGACTGGTAGCTTTGGAATAGCTGCTCATGGAGGTGGGAGGCAGGATGTGGAGGTCCTTGGATAAATCTCATCTAGATTCACATAGAATCCTGCACTCGTCAAGGCTGATGGGATCCTGAAGTTCATCTACCTCAAATACCTTCTTGTCTCATTTTACGGATGAGGTAACTGAGGCCCAGGGAAAATAAACGATAGGTGCCCATTAAGGCACTCAGTGAATAATAAACCCAGAGCTAAGACGCAGGTGGCATTGGAGGAGCATGGTGATAACCATGCTTTGCGTCAGAGTTGGCCTGTGTGTTCCTCCGGTCCGACTGCAAGTACAGGCATGGCTATTTTGCTTGTGGACAAAAAAGACTCTGTCATCTCGCTCCCAGCTCTTATGGTGTGACCTGGGCCAAATCATTCAAACCCTCTCAATCCCAGCCTCCTTATAGATAAAGCCCTCTTAATAATCCCTACCTCATAGGGATGTTGTATCAATGAACTTCTATATTTAAAAATATCCTGAACAAAGCCTCGTATACACATTCATGAATTCATGCCCTCTGATGCCCTGAAACATTTCCTTTTGGAGTAGAGTATAGGGTCCAGAGCTGAATCATCATCACATTTACTCATAGGGCTCCACCAGGTACTCTCTCTCTTCCCAGACACCGTTTCTATCCGGGTTCAGGGAAATGAAGTCATTTCACTGTCACAGAGCTAACTGACATCTTGGTGGCAGCTGTGAGTCATAAACCGTATCAGGAAAAGCAGGAGCTGGGCTTCTCACAGCTTGCAAAAGCTGCCCAACTCTAAGGAATGGCATGCAAAAAAATGTTGTAAAGAAACTTTCCTCATTTATCATAAAAACTGTTAATGTTCCTTTTTAAACATTAAGAAAATATCACTGACCAAAAATTGGGAAAATTAAAACCATCCCTAATTCTACCAATCGGGGAAAGTCACTGTTAATATTTGGTAGGAACATAAGTTTTACATACATTTAACATAGATATAGATTAAGCTGATGTTCTAGAGCTTGTATTTTGCCAATTGTAAATGTATTGTGTTTTTCCCAAGTAATTGAATTGTCATCTTTCAAATGGATATACAGTATTCCATCACTCTTATTATTTCATTACCAGAGTGGTACTCAAAGTATTGAACAACAGGTAGAGATTGAGTGCCAACAAATGACAGGCGAGAGGAGTCTCTGGAAGATCCATCCACAGTCGACCAGATGACTACTGACCCTGGCTGTGCCATAATTTAATTATTTTCTTATTCAAAACATTTCATTTTTATTTTTAAATTTTTCTGCTGTTGTAAACATCTCTCTGATGAAAGAACAGATAATAAAATCTTGACAAGCATCCTTAAATATATTAGAAAGTTGGTTTCCTAGAACTGCAGTGGTTGTGTTCAGGGATGAACACAGATTTGGGACATTGTTGGAGGGGAAGCTCTCCAGAATGTCTACCCTCCAGGTAGGTCACAGTCATGGGTTCATCTTTTCTTCGCTTGGCAAACACTCCAAGTGGACAATTAAGAAAGGCCAGGTGGTAGTTCTAGAAGGGCACCAGGATTAATCTCCCTCCCCCGCTTTTTTTTTTTTTTTTTTGAGATGAAGTCTCAATCTGCTGCCCAGGCTGGAGTGCGGTGGCTCAGTCTCAACTCACTGTAGCCTCCACCTCCCAGGTTCAAGCAATTCTCCTGCCGCAGCCTCCTGAGTAGCTGGGACGACGGGTGTGCGCCACTATGCTCAGTTAATTTTTGTATTTTTAGTAGAGATACGGTTTCACCATGTTGGCCAGGCTGGTCTCGAACTCCTGACCTCAACTCAAGAGATCTGCCTGCCTTGGCCTCCTGAAGCTCTGGGACTACAGGCATAAGCCACCGTGCCTGGCCCTTGCTGTCCATCTTCTGTGACCTGCCACGTTTGCAGAGACCCCTCCTCCCCACGACTGATTCAGTTCCCATTCCACAGTGTTGGGGGCACAAGGCTGAAGGAGTCTTCTGGGCTCTGGCCCCCACTTGGAGCTCTCCACTCTGCACTAACTAAATATTTGGGTGTGGACAAGCCACTTCATCTGTCCTGGTCAGTGCTGATTTTCCTACATGTAAAGGAGGCAACTGGGCCAGATGAATAACCAAACTCCTTTCCGTGTCCTAAGCCTGTCTACAACTCTGTGACCCACATCTAATGCTGCCACATTTAAATGATAAAAGCTTTACTTCACTTTTTGAACCTCCTTTCCCTTTTTCTCCATCCCCAACAAGCCATTCTCCATCCTTACTGGGACCAAGCAAACTTTTTAAAATGACAAACTTTTCAGATGTCATTTAAAATGAAAGCCAGCCTCCCTACCCTGGCCTGCACAGACACCGTGGGTCCACCCTCTACCACATCAGCCCTACTCTCTCCTTTGAGCCTATCTTTTCTTCTTTACATTTGACACCCAAGTTACTAAGTTTTGTTGACCTACATAGAATTTTTTACATAGAATTTGGACTTTGTTAGAGAAAGGACACCAAGGATTGACAGTACTCTACTCACTAAATATATGAATAAATATGATGGGGAAAAGAAAAGTAGCCACTGACCTCCAGGAGCTGGCCTGGGACATTAATTAGATGTTGGTGTTCTCCTGTCAAACATGATTTCAGAGAATACCAACATCAGATAAGGCCACTCTATGACCACAGTCAATCAGACCATAAAGAAGGCCATTCCGTAATTATGCATGAACACAGACAGACCTGAACATTGCCGAAGCCATCGCCTTTCCTGGCTAAAACAATAGCTGCTTCTTTGCCAATTACGGCTGTAGCCTCACCCTAGGCTGTCCTACCTAAAGATGAGATTTAGCACTGGTCATAGAACTACCCATGCTTCCGAATAGCAACCAATTCAGAGAAATGGTTCAGTTTTGTGACCCTTCCGCCAAAGCAGCTAATAATGCAAGCCCAAATTATATGTCTTTTCTAACACACTTTTACTAAGACATCCCATAGTTCCCTATAGTATATTCTCTCCCATTGCAATGAGCAATCAACCCAACTTCTTAATTACGGATGTGTTCCTGGTGCTCTTTGGCTGAAGGGCAACAGCAGTGGGAAAATAACAATAAATAGTATTAATAGCTTCTTTTTCACGAGTAATTGCTATGTAAATTGCTTGGGTTAATTGCTATGTGCCAGACACCGTTCTTTCCAATAAAACATTAGAATATAGGTATTACTATTATTACTCTGATTTTAAAGTTGAAGAAATGGAGGTTCAGACTGGAGAAGTAACTTTCCAAGATCACATAGCTATTGGAAGAAGCTGCAGTTTAAACCCACATTTTCCTGACTTCAAATCTTGCATATTTTCTCATTATTATAGTGTTTCTTTTTTTTCTCCCTTTCCTTTAAAAACTATGCCAGGTGCTCTAAGCTAGTGATGAGGATATGCATGATAAATGTGCTGCCTCTAATAATTCCTCCATTTGAAATGATTAACATTCCCAATAGTTATTGTAGGTTTTCAGCCCTCTGTGAATATCTGCAGTTTAGATTGTTCTGTTCTTTCAATGTCACTGCTGCATAGACTTTCTGGCACAGTCTCAAACGTACAAAATATGTTCAACATCAGAAGAAATATTGTCAGACAACCATTCTGTCATTTGGGGGATTATAATTGTGAAATGGAGAAAATATTTAAAAACAGGGATTTGTGGGAAAGAACGTACTATATACAGGCTCTAGTATAAAAGAGCTGAATAGCTCTTGGTATTTTGTATTATTGCTTTTTAAATAATGTCTCCTATCCATTGTCCTTAAAACATGACTAATGAATGACTGAATTTAGCAGCTGTACTAGAAATAAAGACTCCAGGGAGTTGGTCAATGAATAAACATACCTCGACTTAGAATGTTATGAAGAGACAACTGTGACCGGGCCCTGCCCTAGGTGCTATTGTCTGTGCCATCTCAAATGTATTCCTTTAACATACTTCAATTCCTAAATCAACCTACAGGAAGGTAAGTCAGCAATATACACCTGGTGCCATTAGGTTTAGGCAACAATGGGGAGCTTCAGTTCCCTTCCACCCTGTGATCCAAAATGTCCATGAGCTGCAAATGATTCCTGCAGTTGGGGTGATGGAGCATGGTGAATACCAAAGACCAAATATTCCAGTTTCATCTGACTCCAGAATAGCTTTGCAGACAAGTCCCTCAGGCTCTCCTGTAGGCAGTTTGATAAAGGAATCTAGGGTCTGCGATTTCGATGCACACTGCTTCTTAAGTCATGAAAGGGGTTTTGAGCAGGACAGTGGCATCATCAGGTGTGTGCTTTAGAGTCCACTCTAGCACAGGGGAGAGTAGGGAGACCGGTGAGGGGTGGGTGGCTGAAGCAGAGAGGATAGGAGCATGCACATGGGAGTGGCCAGGAGGATGGATGGAGGGAAGCAGATGGAAGAGATCTTGAGGAAGCAGAAGGAAGAGAGTTGGGCGATAACTGGCCATCTTGGAGTGACATGGAACAAATAATCTTTATTTGCTTTTTCTCCTAAGTTGAATTCCACATTAATTTCTACCCTTTGGCCAAACTATTATACATCAGGGCATATTATATCAAGTGGATCTGGGGTTCATGGGAAAAGGGCAGTCAAGAATGTTATTTTTTTTCTGACTTTGGCTGCATATTATGTGAAGCCTTTATTTTTTTTAATTTAATTTTTTTGGAACAGGATCTTGCTCTGTCTCCCAGGCTGGAGTGCAGTGGCATGATCTTGGCTCACTGCAACCTCTGCCTCCTGGGTTCAAGTGATTCTCCTGCCTCAGCCTCCCGAGTAGCTGGGACTACAGGCATGTCCCACTACGCCCAGCTAATTTTTTGTATTTGTAGTAGAGACGGGGTTTCACTGTGTTAGCCAGGATGGTCTCGATCTCCTGATCTCAGGTGATCCACCTGACTCGACCTCTCAAAGCGCTGAGATTACAGGCATGAGCCACCGTACCCGGCCAGCCTTTATCTTATTAATCGAATATGTACATTATTAAGCTGAGTACGTTCCCTGTTCTAAACGCTTTATGGATATTAATTCATTTCATATTTATAATATTTCTATGAGGTAAGGACTATCATTATCCGATCTAACAAAGAAGGAAACTGAGACACAGAGAGGTCAAGTAACTCACCCAAGGTCACACAGCTGATAAATGAGAGTCACCTTCTGGACTCTGTGCTTTTAACCATTATACACCATGGCCTCTCCTGGGAGGCTGATGTCAGAATCAAATCCATAAGAACTCCAGCCTACTACTGGGAAAAAAAAACCCAAACAAAACAGTACCAAGCATGCCTCAAGGACAGCCAAGGGAAAGTTAGTTGTTTTGACTTTGATTTAATTTGTTCTCAAGCACCAAAATCAAGAAAGAGTTTCACCATCCCAGTCTCCTACATTAAAAAAAAATGGTGGTGATTTCTGATGGAGACTCTGATGGAGTTTTACAGGTAACTATTTTAGGCCTGTTTATCCATAAAGAGCCCTACCAATGGCAGGTGATGATTTATCTCTATGGATTAAATGTCACAACTGAGCTGTGGTCTAAATCATACATTCACAGCAGACCTTGAAAACCTCTGCAAGGTCTCCCAGCCACAGGCACCAAAGTTGGCCAAAGGTTTCCAACTTTTCTTTTTACTATCAGAAAACTGGGATTACACATGGAACATATTACTTGGCACATCACGGCTGCATAGGCATTAAAAGGCACTAAGTTCTTTCAAAGAGGAAGCAAACTTTATGAGTTCAGGGAAGGCTAACAGATTCATTCTCAGATTAACAACCTCATACTGCTTTGAAGAAAGCATTAAGGTGTCCATGGCATGAAGACAACACAGTACTTGGGTCATTATTCATTGTATAATTTTTTTTTTTTAATTAGATTCAGGGTCTCACTCTGTCACCCAGGCTTGAGGCACTGGTACCGTCATAACTCACTTCAGCCTTGAACTCTCAGGCTCAAGCGATCCTCCCTCTCCAGCCTCTAGAGAGAGTACGTTTTTTTAAAAAAGACAACTCCTTCAGAATTACTATGACATAAGCATTATTATAAGCTCCAATATGAAGAAACATATGTAGCGAAATTGCCCCAGAATGAAACAACCAATGAAATGGAATTTAGATCAAGAGTCATTTGTTGCATTGTTCCCTATAGTTTTTATTTGGCAACAGCTTCTTTGGCAGTTTCTAGAGCAGGGCATCTCCACCTTGCCACTGGTGACATTTGGAACCAAATCATTCTTTGTGACGGGTGCTGCCCTTTGCACTACAGGATATGAAGCGGCACTCCTGGCCTTGACCTGCGAGACGCCACTAGCATCCCTGAGTCATGACAACCCTCCAGACATTGTCAAATGTATCCTTGGGGATCATGGACAAACTCTCAATAGCTTTTTAAATTGAAGAATTAAAAAAGTAAGACATTCATTCCCCATACTGAGTGGCTACTATGTACCAGGCCTGGTGTTAGCCACACAATTCCTCTCTTCACACAGCGGAGTCTGCAATACAATGAGGGAGACAGACAGCCAACCAGAGACAGCAGGAAATGCAGAAGGACAACTCTAGTGAACACGGAGAGAGGGAGTAACAGAGTGGCTTGGCCTCTCCTAGGGACACAGCAAAGATTTATCAGAGGAAGAGACAGCTGAGCTGAAGCTGGAGGCTGAGCAACAGTCATCTGGACTTAGATGTGAGGTACAGGGAAAAGCAACTCAGACAGAGAGAACAGTATGAACAAAGACCCTGAGATCAGGGAGAGAGCACGTGGCACGTTCAGGGAGACCAGGGTGGACTACAGTGGGCGTGGGAGAGTGGAATGAGACAGAGTGAAGAGAGGCAGCAGGGCTGAACCACATCAGAGAGGCAGCAGGGCTGGACCACATCAGAGTTAGATGTTGCTTTGGGGCAACGGGGAGCCACAGAAGGCTTTGAAGGGGATGACACGATTGCAGTGTTTGGAAAAAAGATCATTTTGCCTACACCGTTAAAAATATGTCAAATAGGGGGCCAGGCATAGTGGCTCACTCTTGTAATCCCAGCCCTTTGGGAGGCTGAGACAGGTTGATCACCTGAAGTCAGGAGTTTGAGACAAGCCTGGCCAACAAGGCGAAACCCCGTTTCTGCTAAAAATACAATTAGCCGGACATGGTAGCAGGCTCCTGCAATCCCAGCTACTCAGGTGGCTGAGGCAGGAGAATCACTTGAACTGGGGAGGTGGAGGTTGCAGTAAGCCGAGATTGTGCCGTTGCACTTCAGCCTGAGAGAAAAACAGGAGCGAAACTCTCTCGATATCTCTCTCTGAATTCCAAACCCTATGTTCCTTCATATATGTGTGTGTGTATATATATACATATATATATATATTTATTTATTTATATAAATAAAACCCCTATGTTTTATATATAAATAAAATATATTTATATATTATATATATAAATAAAATAGGGGTTTATTTTAAATACACATACACACACACACACACACACACACACGCACACACATATATATATATTTTAAATAGGTGCAGGTATGCCAGGTATGAGGCTGTTGAAAGAGTCCAAGAGAGAAATTGGGGCATATCCTTGGTTAGGGCGACAGCAGAGGAACCAAAGACAAAACAACAGATTGCAGACATATTGAGGGGTGACATCGGCAGGGCTGGGACATGGATTGGCTCTAAGACAGGGATAAGAGGAAGGGCTATGTACATGATTACTGATTGGTATCTCACTGTGGCACACTGGATGGATCTGTTTTTTCTTTTTTTAATTGAGTTTGAGATGGAGGGAGTGGAGGAGGGACTCTAGGTTAGATTTTTCAGCATGTGGACTTGAATCATTGGCACTTCAGTGGGCATGGGAGAGTGGAATGAGATGGGGTGAAGAGAGGTGGCAGGGCTGGACCACGCCAGAGATAGACACTGCTTTATATTTCAGAGGCAACAGGGAATATGACCCTTGAGGAAGTCATCTTGCATGTCATCTCTGTCACACAAATGGGGAAGTAGGTTCAGAGCCAAGGCTATCTAGCCAGTGGATGGAGCAGGTAGGACAAGAACGCAGGTCTCAAAATTCCAAGCCCTATGATTCTCCCATGTTGTACCATGACCTGGCCCTAATGGGGTCCATCTTGAAACTGGAGCAGAGTTCGTTGAGATGCTGGACAATTCTCAATAACCTGAGCGGCAAGGTGGTACCTCAGCTTAGGTACATAGAAGACTGGGCTATTAACGATGCCCCTTCAAATTACTTTGGACAATTTATTCTGCACTGGAGTAATGAGCCTTGTACTGCACTTCTGGGAAACCTCTCACCTTATAAAATAAAGTCCATCAGATAATGTTCTGCATATTAACCTTGCTAGAAAGGAAAGAAAAATAAGTAATAGAAAAGATTGATTCCCCCCCAACGCAAAGGAAATACTTTCCAACGAGCCACTAAGCATAATTCATATTTTTAGATTAAGAGTGTGCTTTGCACTGAGGAAAAAAAAATCATTACCAACTACTACCAATACCATGATGCCATGTAATAAAGGCATTTAAACACTCTTATCTGCTGCACGGTTCTTGCATAAACAAGTGTAATGTGACATGGCAGTAGCTAATGGTACATTCAAGGAATCTACATCAGCCTGTTTGCCACATTTGTCACCGGGTCCACACAACTGGACTTGAGAGGGCTCCCCTTTCTTTCCTGCTGGGGTAATGAATCTTCTGGTGGTTACACTCCTGAGTCAATAGGAGAAACCACCCTCATCCCCAAGCTCACAAAAATGAACATGAAAACTTCTTGCAGTCACAGGGAGTGAGGCCAGCTGCCTTTGGTAAAATTAGTAGGTGCACCAAGGAAACAATGATGCTCTTTACATGGGGTCATTGTGGTTTATCCGCTGGTCATGCATTTTCCCAGTAATGAATGATAGCCCACATTCACATAAATGCTGAATTAGAAGTCACAAAGCTTTTTCGTGTTTCTCATTTTTTGCTGACTCATTGGAACTACTCAACAAGCCTCAAGGGGAAGGCAGAGGCACTCTTATTTCCCTCATTTTACAGTTGAGGAAACTGAAGCTATGAGATGTTGGGTAAGCAAATAGTCATGGACTAATTCACACAAGAGCCAGGACGAGAACTCAGGGCAACCCCTTTCTGGTCCCAACACTCTACCAGTAAGTTCCAGGAAGACGGGGACTTGGTCTGTCTAGTCTAGTATCTGGCACATAGTAGGTGCTCAGTAAACACCTGCTGATGGCTTCTCTGTGCCTCTCATTCCCCAGAAGCATGACACAGTAAGAGAGCCAAGGGAGCTGGAAAGTTCTACCCCAGTTCAGTAGGAGACCTCCTGCAACAGCATGGATAAGTAATACTCCTTAGCCCATGGCTTCTGTTTTGTAAAGTGAAAGTAATTCTTATCAACCCTAACCATGAAGAAGAAACATAAATGTTATGTCAAACAGGACCATGCAAGTTTTCTTTGAACACTACACATTTATGGTGTGGTGGTGATTTTTAAATCGAGGAAAATATTCCTAGCAACCTGTTTGCACTTCCTGATCAGGGATGCTCTGAGGCTGTGTGCAAGATGCATCTCAGAGACCCAGCTGCCTGTGCCATCCAACTCTGCCTTCTAGAATTTTCTTGGGGCCCTTTGGGGAAGCTCATGACATCTGCATGAGCCTGAGAGCCGGCTACACCTTTCTCCACCCAGAGTGAAGTGACACGTGGTGGCTCCAGTCCCAGGCCAGCACTCTTCTCAAGTTCAGTCTAAAAGCTTTTCTTGAAGCTCGTTTCACCCACTCTGTTTACAGCAGCTGTGGTGAGGAGAGGAGGGGATCCTTGCCACTGTTCTCCATGCCCCAGAAGAACATCTCAAGCGTGGAAGTAGGCATAGGTCCCCACTCTGCCACTTGCTAGACATTCCACTTGAAGCCTACTTCTGAGCCTGGCCTCAGTTTCCTCATCTGTGATAGGGGTATATTAACTACCATTGGGGTAGATTATAGGATGACATGGTATGAGTTCTGTGCCTGGCACAGCACTAGAAGGAGCTACTGCAGCTACTGATACTCCTCGAACGGATCCATGGTGTCCCAGCAGCTCATGTTGGTAATTCATTTCTCTTATTCCAAATGCATGACAACCTTGTGGATAAAAGATTCCCACGTCACAGGGAATCTGAAATTTCCAGCTGTGCAACTGGCAATATACCACAATCTGACCACTCTCAACAGCAACCCTGCCTCCACTGAAGTCCAAGACACTATCCCCTTGGGTCTGGGTAATTGCAGAAGCCTTCTACCTGGTTTCTCTGTTTCTCCCCTTCCTCCTTCTCCAGTCTATCCCTCAACAAAGTGGCCAGAAGGATCCATTAAAACATGAATCCCTCTTTCCTCTGCTCAAAATCTGCCAATGGCCGTATGTATCACTGCAAAAATTCCAAGTTCACGTAATGATGGATATGGTTTGGATCTGTGACCCCACCCAAATCTCACAGTGAATAGTAATCCCCAGTGTTGGAGGTGGGGCCTGGCGGGAGGCGATTAGATCATGGGGGTGAATTCTTGCGAATGGTTTAGTGCCATCCCCTTGGTGCTATCCTCATGAGAGTGAGTTCTTATGAGACCTGGTTGTTTGAAAGTGTGTGGCACTTCCCCTCTTGCTCTCTTTTGCTCCTGCTCTCACCATGTGAGATACCTCATTCCTCCTTTCTCTTCGTGCATGATTGGAAGCTTCCTGAGGCCTCCCCAGAAGATGCCAGCATTGTGTTTCCTGTACAGCCTGCAGAACTGTGACCCAATTAAGCCTTTTTAAAAAATTTTTTATAAATTACCCATCCTCAGGTAGTTAGTTATAGCCATGCAAGAACGGACTGATACAATGACCTACAAAGACCTCCATGATTTGCACAATGACTTCTGCTCTGTTTCCTCTCTGCCATCATCTCCTGCTTGGATGAATGAATGAAATAAATGATAAGGAGATAGGACCAGGATCGTAAAAGAACTCTAACCTATGGTTGTCTCCTCAACGCAGCCAACTATGCAACAATTATAAGAACTGGTGTGTACGTATGTTTATTGCGGCATTATTCACAATAGCAAAGACTCGGAACCAACCCAAATGTCCAACAATGATAGACTGGATTAAGAAAATGTGGCACATATACACCATGGAATACTATGCAGCCATAAAAAATGATGAGTTCACGTCCTTTGTAGGGACATGGATGAAACTGGAAATCATCATTCTCAGTAAACTATCGCAAGAACAAAAAACCAAACACTGCATACTCTCACTCATAGGTGGGAATTGAACAATGAGAACACATGGACACAGGAAGGGGAACATCACACTTTGGGGACTGTTGTGAGGTGGGGGGAGGGGGGAGGGATGGCATTGGGAGATATACCTAATGCTAGATGACGAGTTAGTGGGTGCAGCACACCAGTGTGGCACATGCATACATATGTAACTAACCTGCACAATGTGCACATGTACCCTAAAACTTAAAGTATAAAAAAAAAAGAACTGGTGTGTAGATTAAAGTAGACAAGAAAGCAGAATAAACTTTTTTAAAAATCTGGAATGTGGAATCTACCATTAAGTAGAGACAGGACTACTGGGTGAAACTATAGGAATAATTTCAGATCCTTGTTGAGAAAGAACTTTCTTACAATTTCAACCTACCAACAGTGAAATGATCTCTTTCATGAGAGTGTAAATTCTTTACCACTGAAAATGCTCAAGCAGAGACTTGGAAATTCTATGGATAAGACATAGAAAAGCAGGATTTCAAAAAGAAGAATAAAGGTTTGATAAAATCACATTTAATTTTGCTTTCAATTCAGGGAGTCTATTATTTGTAATGTTAAAGAATAAAGTGGAAGTAAATAAGAGTCAACTACTTTAGCTCCCATCAATTAGGTTGTTTGCCAAGAAATCAGGTTTTTCATTTATTCATTTTCCTTATGCCCTGTTTTCTGTCTTTGGAGTCCTCTTCAATGCTGTGTGGGAGTATGTGTGTGTATTTCTCCATTGTCTTTTACTGTATAGTTAATCTTCATGCAACAAACATGATCACTGTAAATTAATCAAACTGGAAAAGAGAGTGCATGTCAGGAAACACTTAGGCTGGTTCCACATCTTGCCAGTTGTGAGTACTGCTGTGGTGAACACAGGAGCCCTAATACGTCCTCAAGATCCTGATATCAATTCTTTTAA
The DNA here is from genome assembly GCF_000001405.40 of Homo sapiens. Lineage (NCBI taxonomy): Eukaryota > Metazoa > Chordata > Mammalia > Primates > Hominidae > Homo > Homo sapiens. The sequence continues at coordinate 83,430,126 of NC_000016.10, read as the reverse complement.
ATACCCAGAAGGGAAACTGCTGGATCACATGGTAGCTCTATTTTTAATTTTTTGAGGAAACTCCATACTGTGTCCCATAGTGTCTGTACCAGATCAACTTAGATGAGGTACCTAAAACAGTCCAATTTATAGACTCAAAGAGGGGAATGGTGGTTGCCAGGGGCTGAAGGGAGGGGAAATGAGGAATTAATAATCAATGGGCATCAGTTTTCAGCCAGGCAAGCTGAATTAGCTCTAGATAGCTTTTGGCAAGCTGAATAAGCTCCAGATAGCTTGTGTACACAATAATGGATTGTCTACTCAAAAATATTTGTTAAGAGGGTAGAGCTCATGTTAAGTGTTCTTACCACAATAAAATAAAATAAAAACGTGGTTCATGTCATAGTGGAATATTATAAAGGTATTTTACAAAAGGGCCTGTGCTTGCCAAGTTACAGAAGCAGAGCACAAGTTCTAAGGAAAGATTAGCCACAACTGGTCACCTTCCCCTCAGCATTCTGAGTAGGTTGTTTGGCTGGAGACCAGGTAATTTATTTTTATTTTTCTCAAGCTTCATTTTCTCTCTTTTGGGTCATCTTCAATGCTGTGTGAGTGTGTGTGTGTGTGTGTGTGTGTCTTCATTGTCTTTTAGTGTATATGTAATGGTCATGCAACAAATATAATCACAGGAAGTCTCTGAGCCTGGCATAGGGGACATGATAATGAATAAAATCCAGACTGAAGGTTCTAACCCTTTCCTTAAAGATGGGTCATCAAAGGAGAGGTTTCCATATTAAAGGAGAGGTTTGCATAAGTCCCCTGTACCTCATGAGGAAATCAGGTGGTTGAGATTGGTCAAAGAGTGTCCTGCTCTGGACCAATCTTAGAAAATGGGCCACTCTTGTCATAAATGGGATACCAGTCTGTGTCACAACACACAAAAGGACCTTCTCGTAAATGCTATGGCTTGTTCAGATCCAGTCTTATAGAAAGTCTTAAGTCATAGCTGACCCCAGACTGCAATATCCTCTCCCACTGCCAAATGCACATGAATTAATGCCATCTTTCAAAGGATAAGGCTTTCCTCTTTCTTCCTTTGGTAACTGTCTTATCAAGACAAGAAAAGAAGATACTTCCCCCTAGGAAACGGATGAGAGAAGATATTTGTGCCCCTTGACAGGGAAAGTGATGACCGAACAAACCCCTAGAGTTGGTTATTAAAGATAAATGTAATGGATTGGCCCAGTGCAACAGTTATTTTAACAAATAAACCAAGAATAGTGCCTGAATGCACTGGAAGATGGGGAGATTTGAAACAATGAACTTCACAAGAAAACAACAGAATTCACGCACCAAATAGATTTTCCATAAAACATCAACAAATAAATATGTGTAGCTTATTCCCCAAAGGAACAAAGGCAAGAAGAGAATCGCAAACCGATACAGAATCTCATCCATCCCCTTGTCTTACGGACTAATTTCTAGTATATCTACTTATTTCTCATTCATTCAGCATCTCTCATCCTCTCTACATGCCAAGCACCAAAGTTCTGATTTCTTGGGCTAGCACTTATTACCATGGCTCGTTCAGGAAGTTATTTAACAAAACATCACAAGTTATGAAAAGTTATTGTTATCTCCATGCCACGAAGCACTTTTTTCAAAAGCAGAATCCTATTCTCTAACTTGACAACACAATTAAAAATGAATCTTGTCAATGGAAAAACAAACAAAGCTAAAATCAACTCAGGAAAATATTGGAGTTAAAAAAAAAAAATCTAACCATGGAGGTCAAACTAATTAGGGACTTGTAGTATGTTTCCAATGTTTTTAAAAACAAAAAAACATATTTCTTGAGCTAGTTCACTGTTTTTGCTGCCTGCTGTTTTTCCTGTGTTTCTCAGTCATTGAATCCCTCTTGGATCCCATGGAAGGTCACATGAAGTTCAATAATAAAACTCATTTTTCCCCTCCCATAATAAACATGAGCAGTCAAAAGGTGCCATTTCCCCCTATTCAAATGCTGCTACTAGCCAGTGGAGCTTTCGCCCCAACTTATGAACATAAATGACCCTCTCTGTGTCATCTGCAAAGGGGAAATATACCAGAGACCGATTCTCTAAAATTTTAATTTGAGCCAGTGGAACTGACCAGAGGATCAGCTACAGATCACCCTGGCTTTTCTGTCGCCATTCACAAGTGAGGTGACATGGAGCAGCCAAAGCTGTCAGCAGTTCTGCCTTTGCCTGGGTCCAAGGAACATCTTCACGGCCCTGAAAGGAGTCACAGGAATGTAATTGTTAATACTATTAGGGGAACAGAAGCTCACATTGTTACAAGTGGCCTCTTGTCAACTCTGTGGTTGGTTCTTGATGTGCTGGGAAAGAGAATGGTGGAACAGGACAGCAGACCATAAGTGCAGAGGTGCTTAGTAGCACCAGGCCTGCCGAGGGTGGAGGAGAATCCTGAAGGCACAAGGCACCATAATCACTGCACTCCCTTGCTGTGTTATCTAGTGGTGCTGGTATTTTATATGAGTCTCTTGCAGCTGCAGTAACTAACTGTACCATCTTAGTGACTTAAAACAACTCTGATGATTTATAGTTTTAGAGGTCAGAAGTTGGAGATCAGTCTCATGGGGGTTAGGTCAAGGTGTTAGTGGGGCTGGTACCTTCAGGAGGCTCCAGAAGAGAATTCGTTTCTTGCCTTTTCCAGCTTCTTGAGGCTACCCACATTCCTTGGCTCAGGGCTGCATCACTCTAACTGCTGTCCCCATTGCCACATCTCTTTCTCTGACCCTCCTCTATCCCTCTTGTAAGGACACTTCTGATTCTATTGGGTCTATCCAGATAGTCAATAACACTGTCTCCATCTCAAGATCCTTAACTTAATCACATCTAGAAGGTTTCTTTGACCATGTAAGAAACATATTTAGGCCGGGCGCGGTGGCTCACACCTGTAATCCCAGCACTTTGGGAGGCTGAGGCAGGCGGATCACCAGGTCAGAAGATAGAGACCACGGTGAAACCCCGTCTCTACCCAAAATACAAAATATTAGCCAGGCGGGGTGGCGGGCGCCTGTAGTACCAGCTACCTGGGAGGCTAAGGCAGGAGAATGGCGTGAACCTGGGAGGCGGAGCTTGCAGTGAGCCGAGATCACGCCACTGCACTCTAGCCTGGGCGACAGAGCAAGCGAGACTCCGTCTTCAAAAAAAAAAAAAAAAAAAAAAAAAAAAAAAAGAAAGAAACATATTTATAGATTCTGAGAATTAGGACAAAGTCATATTTGGGGGGCCATTACTGTGATCACCACACACCTTAACAGCAAGAGAGGAGAAAAGAGATGGGTCATGTTAATAAGAAGTTTAAGTTTGGTAGGACAAGTGGGAGGGGCTCATAATCACTAAGGGCTTAGGGAGAATGAGGACTATCATTCAGCATCTCTCATTCTATCTACATGCCAAGCACCATGTAGGCAGACTATGATGTAGGCTGGTGCACAGCAGTCCATGTTGGATTCCCCTCTTCCAGTCCATGTTGGATCCCTCTTCTAGACTGTTCAGTCCAGGAGGCTGGAAAACTGGCAAAAAGGTAACCACATGAGTGTGTGTGTGTGTGTGTGTGTGTGTGTGTGTGTGATTGTTTCCATGGGAGTTGTTTCCATGAGAGAGAAAATTGGGAGAAACAAAAGGTTATGGTCCAGGAGGAGATTTATGGTGGGAAATATTGGAATTAGAGTAGTTGGCATATTAGCAAGGACTAGAGTTTAGTCTTATGAGTTGGCTTCTCAAATGAGGGGGAGAGAAACATTATTGGAATAATGAAAACCAAGAAACTGACCCTTCAAATCGGATGCAGAAATCACTCAAATGCTGAAAGGAGACAGGAAAACTGAACCAGAATCCAGAGCCCTAGAATCTCAATGCATTAGGGTGGAAACCCAGAGGCTGGGAGGAGTGAACATAGTGTGATTAATCAGATGGCATGAGCTTCAGAGAAGGAATGGATGAAAGAGGGTGAAAGAAGAAAGGTTCTTCCAAAGGGTCCCTGGGAATACTGATTTCTCCTCCTAGCTTTGAAACATTGGAGTTAAGAAGTTGGGAGGATAGGAGAAAGGACCACCTCCACTTAAAAAGAAACCCTACTGCATTTCTAATTTAATTTACTATATATCTCATTTTAATTTTAATTTTATTTTCATTCTCCCCAGTAGAATGCAAGCTTAATTGGGGTGGTTCAATGCTGTATCTGTAGTGCCTAGAACAGTGCTGGGCACATATTAAGTCCCTTATAAATAATTGTTGAATGAATAAATGGAAGGAAGGGAGAAAGAAAAAAAGAAAGGAAGTAAAGGAGGAAGAAGAAAGAGACAAAGGAAGAAAGAAAAAGAGAAAGAAAGAAGGAAAGACAGAAAGGTATTCATATTTGAACACTGCAGATTAGTTGAAGAAAGAGTCAAGTTTCTCTAAAGGTGAGGAAATGTGTGTTCTAGGAGATGACTAAAGACATAAAGAAGTTTAGGATAAAGTGAAAGCTCCAAAGGCAACAGTGGAAGAGAGGGGAAGGGAGAGGAATTAGCAGAAGGATATTTTTGAGGGAGTTAATGAGCTAAAAGGGGAGTTATGGTGGAGATGCGGTAGCATAAACTGGATCATCTTCTCTGTGAGCCTCCTGAGTGCAGGGAGCTTGTTTCATTCATTAATTGGCCCCTGGCCAAGAGTGGGAACGCAGCAGGTAAGTGGCTGGTTCAAGGGTAAGAACAATAATTGTCTAATTCCAGAACTGGGCTCTCCTTCCTCGATTGCTTCAGGCAAGAGCCAAATGACCACCTTTCCGAGATGTCCTGTGGCTGAAACACTGGCTGGAACTAACGTTAGATGACATATTGGGTCCCATTTAATTCCCAAGTCATCAAATGGCCAAAGGGAGAATCATCACTCCTCCTTCCAATTTACGTTCCAGCTGTTCCATTCAGGTTAATGTCGGGAGAGCAGAATGACCTTTTACAAATACCATAGCTTAGAACTCGATGGACAAACGGTGGGATCACAGCTCTTTCTTGACCGAGGTTGTAAGCATGCTATGGTGTGATAGCATGCCAGAACCACTAAGGGAAAAGGAATAGCTCTGTGGATTTAATTTCCCATTACTATGGCAACCTTGGGACTTTTTGTTGCAGCAAAAGGTTAAATGCAACCAAGTGTTCATCAGGATGTTCCACTAACGAATCAGGCCAAATCCTTACTTGTGTGTAAATCTTTGTCTGTGTGAGTGTAGGGCTGTAGAACAAAGGGAGAGTGCACAAGCTGCGAAGAGCTACCTGTCTAATCAACCTTGGGATTAAAATTGGTCTCTGACTGATACAGTGGCTTCATCTGTAATGTGTGTGAAATAACTACAGTCGAGAGAGAAAAGAACCAGAAATTATACAATAATGTTCCAAGAGCATTTGTCTAGGACTAAAGATTACTTTTTCATTCTTGCAAAACCATTTATGAAAATGTGTAATTTCTTCCTTTTTATTTTTGAGGGGGCTTAGTGACCCTTCCAAAATTAATAGTCCAATATTATTTATATTAGTTTGCCTCAGTCTAACTAATATTCCATCCAGAATTACCTCTTACCACAGCAGCTTAAAAAAAATAATCAAGAGAGGCTTCAAAAGTGGGGGATGAAGGGCATGGCAAGGCCTTCATAAATCCAACTAGTTTGAACAACTGAAATTAACTAAAGCTCCAAGGCTGCTTGTGTGATTAAACTCTAGGCTACTGCAGATATGCAACCAATGCTAACCACGTGACTATGATGTAGGCTGGTGCACAGCAGTCCATGCTGGATTTCCCTCTTCTAGACTGTCCAGTCCATGTTGGATTTTCCTCTTCTAGACTGTCCAGTCCATGTTGGATTTTCCTCTTCTAGACTGTTCAGTCCACATTGGATTTCCCCCTTCTAGACTGTTCAGTACGTGTTAGATTTCCCTCTTCTAGACTTTTCAGTCCATGTTGGATTTCCCTCTTCTAGACTGTTCAGTACGTTTTGGATTTCCCTCTTCTAGACTTTTCAGTCCCTGTTGGATTTCCCTCTTCTAGACTGTTCAGTACGTGTTGGATTTCCCTCTTCTAGACTGTTCAGTCCATGTTGGATTTCCCTCTTCTAGACTGGTTTCCCAGGTGAAGTTCTTATTCACGTTTCTTACTTGTAGATGTCTTAAAGTTTAGTTATAGTGTACAGCCACGTCCCAGACTGCCATAGGACGGAGGGAAATGGGGGTAGAAAGTAAGAATTATCTTTCCCCACAACTCTGGCATTCTCTGAAGTTCCAAAGATTGGCAGGAATGCTCAAGGGCCACCAGAACAGGGACAAGGGGACTTGCACATCTTGCAGTCCCCACAACCAGAAACACATGTTTTGATCCTACATATTTATTAGGGTTTAATATACAATAATTTATACTAAAGAATTCCACTGCAACAGACATATGATCATGATTGCTGCAGTTGCCTCTGGGAGTATTTACAACCCCATTCTTCAAGTATTCATTTAGGTGTGCCTAGGTAATAATAGGAAACCTGAAAATCAGTTATAAACTTTTATTTCAGACTTTTAGAAAAATTCTACCCATTTGAGGTTTTTCTTGCTTGCTTTTTTTTTTTAAATGCTGTCAGGGATACCCTCTGTGAAATCAGTTTAAAAGATGCGAGATCAAGGATTCCTGGAATTTCCTTCTAGCAGAAGAAGACAGATCACACAATGGTGATGCCATTGAAAGAGCAACGAGTGAGTGGCTTTAGGCTTTTTTTCTTCTTTGAATTTTCTGAAGAAGTGAACAAAATGAGAACTTTCAATAACGACTTAGTTAAAAGATGGTCTCTTGGGTGAGTGTTGACATGTCATGTTGAAAATGCCTGAAATACTTTAGAGGCTACTGAGGACTTACACAATTCTTAAACTGTGCTCATCAATAAAGAAAACAAAACAGATTTTTGTGGGACCCTGGTTATTTCTACATACAGGGTCAATATAGCAGAAAATGGGGGGAAACACATTTCCAGTGAGTTTGCTGTTACATGTAAATCTACATTATAAATGGAAGAAAGACATGTACAGAATTAGAGAACACAAAAATGAAGCTTTCTGGAACGTAAATCTTGCATGTCTAATTTACCTTTGTATTCCTAGTATTTGGCATAGTGTTTTACATATAGTGGGTACTCAGGAAATAATTGCCAAATTCTCCTCCTCCTCCTTTATCATGATCATCATAACCATTGTTCCTACCCAACATTTCTGAGTGTTCATTGTGTCCCAGGCACTTTTCTAAGCATCTTATGTAATTATCAAAACAGGCTCATGAGGAAAGTACTGTTATTATCTTCCTTTTAAAGTTGGGGCAACTTTGGGTAATCTCAATGAGAGGTCATGCAAGCAAATGGCCACATGAGCTTAGAGGTCAGAGGAGAAGTCAAACGTCCTCTAATTCACAGATCACTTTAGCAGCAGTGTCACAACCTTTACCAGCTTTTCCATTTTAGAAGGAATTAACAGACCTCAAGAACTGCAATTTTTGAACCAGACACCAGAAAGAGCTTTCAAGACATTTATCGTAAGTATTAATTAATTCGTGCAAGAAATTAAACTCTTTTCTGTCTCTAATTATAAGCATTAATACTATAAGAAACCAGATGATTCATTATCTCAAAGACCTCTGCAGCCAGCATTCTTTCTGAGACCAGTGTCCAACTTAGAATTGGATGTTCTAGTTCATCATGATCAAAATTCACTGAATGTCTCCTAAACATCATAGGAAACAGTTCTGGTTCTTAAGTTCCCCTATTAAAGAGAATGACTGTGTAATTCTTTGGATGAGTATTAATATGATTTTTAGTTCAATGATACAACATCTTCAAAACGAATTATTTTTATACAGTACAACTTACGAAAAATAGTATTATGGAAAAATCCAGAGGTTCTAGAATATCTAATTAAAGGGGAACATGGCCTTCAAATGATAAACAAATTTTTAGCTAAGTAGTTCTACTATAAATCCACAAAATCTACCAACTTTTCTGTATGATTGATTCTTAAAAACTGAGACCAACATGAATAAGTCAGAACTTAACTTTCATATGAGAAAAAGATGAACTAAACACTTGTTCATATGACAGTTTTTTAAAAAGTAAGAAATGCCATCAATTTTAGCAACCAAAATATCATGGCTAAGGATTGCCAAAACTTTGTTTCCTGCTTTCATGAGAAGGTGCTTTGGGTAATCTTGACTATTTTATCAGCTTATTCAAAAGAACTAATTATGGAAAAAGCATTTCAATGTCTGAAAGAACACTGATGTCGTTAATTCCACTGTGGCCAATCTTGTTGGCTGTTCACCACAAAGTCCATTTCCAATTGCATCCTTACTGGACGCTAACAACAAAGCCTGGAAAAGCCAAATACTTCATTAGTCTCCTCAACAGTAGGGGTGGCCATGTAATCTGGTCCTGAATAATTAAAAATCATAAGAAGTCTATAGGAACTTCTGGAAAGGATTTTCTTTCCTGATGGAAGAAAAGATCATGAATCTTCTCTCCATTGCCCACTCTCATCTCATTTCATTTCAACATGATCTTGATGTGTCTAGAGTTGCATCAGCCGTCTTGCAACCATCAGGCAATAAACACAGGGACAAGAAGTCAACATGCAGAGGATAATTAATTGGAAAGATGTAGAGAGCTAAGATTCATAATATTATGATGAGCTGCTGAAACACTGCTGAAACACTCTTAACTGCCTACCTTCAATCACTTTATATGAATTAATTACATTTATTTATTGTTTAATCTAGTACTGGAATTCATTTATTTGCAGCTTAATATAGCTTAAACAATTAACCCTCTTCTGGATATTTATTCTTCTCTTCACCTCACTAATCCTATACTTTCCTGAGAGTTTTCTCCTTCTCTGGAAGGGTTCTAGACTTATGCCACTTTCTCCTCCAGTACTGGAATATGAGTGTTCCTCCTAGGTTCTAGATGTAGCCCTTGTTCTCATCTCCCTTCACATTATCCCTTATTAATCTTATCCACTTACACAGCTTTTACTGTGGACAGGGAGAGAAAGACCCACCCTCATTGTGGGTGGACACCATCCAGCTGGCTGTCGGCATGGCTAGAACAAAGCAGGCAGAAGAAGGTGTGATAACCTTGCTTGCTGGGTCTTCCGTCTTACTTCTTTTTCCCCTGCTAGATGCTTCCTCCTGTTCCTCTTGCCCTTGAACATCAGACTTCACATTCTTCAGCCTTTGGACTCTGGGACTTTCACCAGTGACTTGCCAGGAGCTCTCGGGCCTTTGGCCACAGACTGAAGGTTGCATTGTTGGTTTCCCTAGTTTTGGGGCTCTCGGATTCGGACTGAGCCACTATGGACTTCTCTGTTCCCCAGCTTGCAGATGGCCTATAGTGGGACTTTACCTTGTAATCACGTGGGTGAATTATCTCTGATAAATATCCTTTTATATATACACATATCCTATTAGCTCTGTCCCTCTGCAGAACCGTAATACAATGATAATGGTACCACTGGTAATTTAATCGGTACGTAAAAGATGCTGTCATGTGCACACATTATCACATGAGAATGCTTGTGCAATGAACTATTACGAGAGAGAGCACAGCTACCAAAATACTCCTGTGGTCTCTGCCCAGAGATCTATGGGAATAAAAGCTTTCTAGGGAGCTGTCCTTGGTACTGAACAATTTTTCCTTTGACCAGCATTAATCTCTGTGTCTGAACGCTGCTTGAGAATTCAACTGCTTCGAATCTCCCAAATTTGTGTCTAGCCAGACCTCCTGCTCCAATTTTCACTGACCTTAGTTGATGCTCTCAATTGTGACTACCTCAGTCATATTTTTAATTACCTCTACAATTGCTTCATAGAGATTGTGACAGCTCGATTTAGTTCCTTGAGAGTAGGATCAAGGTTCATTTCAATTTGTAGCATCTATGGAACCTAGCTCTATGTCCTGATCTTGAGAATTTCTCTTTTATATTTTTTATTCTGCTCATCTTTTCTGGGAAATTCTTTGCCCTCTATTTAAATCTAATTCTTTAAAACTGATGCCTAGCTAATCTGCCTCCCAAGATGCAATGTGAGTTAATCAGTTCTCTCAAGCTAAAATCTATGCATATAGTATTCAGAACACACATACATACAAAACTTTTTTTTAAAAAAAAAAAAAGATTGGACGATTCAGAGAAAAGAAATTCCTGTTATTATGTAGAGCTGAATGTGTAATACAGTTTATTTTGTTTGGAAGCAAGATGTTCAATAATTTTAGGTGACTCCTAAACCTGCTGGAAAACATGAGCAGAGAAAAATGCATTTTATAATATATATTTCATAGTATATAACCACAATGCCAGTACACTTATGGGAATGCCTTGGGGCAACTTGTCAGGGAAGTCACTTTATATAATACTGCGGGGTTTGGGCAGCTGATCAAGAATGGTGTTGAGTAAATTCCCCTCTATGTAGGAAATATGCTACAGCCATGGTCTAGATATTATTGGCTCAATAAATGTCAGGTATTACTACTGGTAGAGCATGGCAATTGTTCTGTAATGTCTTGGTTGGCTATCATTATAGAACTTGGAATCTTACTCCTGATCTAAGGATGTAAAAGTAGAAGGTAACTTATTGGTGGCTGAGGGGTTTAAATAAGATAATTCACACAAGACTGACATTTCTCTCACTGTGTATATTCATGATCAGTCATTGGGCCTCCCATATAGTAGTTCTGATGTCTTATATGTGTGGCTAATTACACTTCTGAGTACCAATTATTCAGCATACCTTGTATGGGTGGAAGAGGCATCTTCCAAAGACAGAATCAATGAATAAGTAAATGTCATCTCAGTAAACCTATATGTAGACTCAAAAATCTGGTTACAGAGGCAGGGGGCACGATAGGGATGGAGCTGGTCACAGATTTCATGAAAAGCAAGCAGCAGCATCACAAAACGACAGCTGTCAGGGAGGACAACAGTTAGGTCTTCACGCTGCCCTTTTGGCCCCTATTCCCCCTTACTTCACTAAGGGCACAGAGTGCTGCTTGGCTGTTTGAGAAAACAGATGAGGTGTCATGAAGGCAGTGCAAAGTTGGCTGGCACCTGCATATGTTTCATGAATTTAGGGGGCTTTGCCATTCCCTATCAGAAGAGAAGCATCTGCTGAAAATTCTCCATATGACACTTCATTTACCAAATGGGCCTGCAACTCCCCAAAGAAGGAAAACAACCTTCACAGAGAGAAAAGAAGGAAAGGGAAGGCTTTCAGTACTCCAAGTTGAACTCTAGGTCTTCTCCTGTCTTTCCTGCTGTCCCCTGGTGGTCACACTTAAAAGAGCCTTGACAATGTCCTAGCACTCATCACCATGATATTCTCTGTCTCTCTCTCTCTCTCTTTGCTAAAACTAATTCCCAGCAGGCAGAGCTCATAGGCCAAGTTCTAGCAACACTTCCTCATCAAAGGAGTTCTTGGACAGAATCCTGGTTTGTACAGATCCAAGCAAATGTCCAAGACATCGGATCAAACCCTAACTTGTAACTTGAAGTCTGCCTCATACCCTCACTATATTGTCCCCATAGCTATAGGAACAACCTACTGACCTATGAGAATGTAAGAAAGTCTGACATTTTATTTTTCCTTTAAGAGGAAGAGAAACTACTCCAAGACTACTATATCTTTTTTCTTAATTTGGAAAAAAAATCTCATGCTTCCTATGGGTATTATAATTTTCTAGGATGCTTGTATTTATTTTATGGCTATAAAATTCAGCTGGTAACAGTTACTGGGTACTGACAAGTGCCAGCTGCTGAGCTAAATGCTTTTCATAATTTTTCCCTTTTAATCCTCCAAATAATCACATATAAAAAGAGAGGTGAGACCGCCCTCCATTTTTCAAATGAGGAAAAGTGTAGCACAGTAAGACGAGGCAACTTGCTGACAGCCATGTAGCTAATGAATAGCAAAATCAGCATTTGAACACTGAATATTTTCCAAAGAGCCCATTTTCCTAACTGCCATGTTCTACTGCATGATTAAAAAGGAGAAAGTGTCTGGAAGAGTTGACAAAGGGCTTCAACAGAAAAGACACATTTTCCCTGGGCTTTAAAGGATGTATAGGAGTTTTCCATGTTAAGGGGGTGGGGAGGATGCTAGGCTGGGGAGGGGAAAACAGTTATGATTTCTCTTTCTCTCTCTCTCCAGTTGACTGGAACCATTTTGCTGTGAAATAGAATTTTCATTTTAGGGAAACTGACATCCCAGTTTCCCCATCAAAGCAGAGAGGGATTTGTTCAATTGGAAAAGAGAATTCTGATTGCTTATATAACAGGAGATACATGTCTGCTGAGCCTTGAATTCTATCTCTACAGCCTGTCTGCTTCGTAAGAGGAGCCTCTGTTCTAAATCACTGGCTGTTGCTTTGGAGTTTCTCTAGCTGCTAAAAAATATCTGAAACATATTTGTCTTGCCTGCTGAAGTGTTTGTTTGCTGCAACATCTCTGCCTTAATGTTATCAAGCTGAAAATTCTATTTTCGTTTCCAAATGGCAACTGAGGTGTCAGTGAGCAGGATAAATTGGAAAGGCAAGAAGGCAAGAAGGCAAGAGCACGGTGACCAGGGAGGTGGTGTCACGACAGGTTAAGATAAAGAGGACAGTTCAACTAGTCAGGGCAGCAAGAAGAGAATGGGGTAGAGGTGGAGGAAAGATTCTGGGTGCAGCATTTGCTAATTCACAGGTGAAAAAGAAAGGGGCTGTAATGGTAATCTTGGGGAAAGGGGAGAAAACCGGAAAGGGAGGCTGTTCTGGGGAGAAGATAAGGAGTCAATTTGGTATTTGTAATTGAGCAGGGAAGCCCAGGTCAAAAGTGTGGATCTGAAGTCAGACTGCCCTGGTTTAAATTATGGCCCCACCACTGACTCTTTGATCTTGGGGAAACTGTGTGTCCTTGGGCTAATTAACCTCTCTTTTCCTCATCTGTAAAGTAGGAATAATAACAGTGGCTATCTCATAGGATCATTCCCATGATAAGTGAAATAATCCCTGTAAAGCACTTGGACAATATTCAGAAAAGGTTGTCAATAATATTACTGATTTTAAAAACACTATTTTTAAAATTATGGCTGATAGCTAAACAGTACTTAACATGTGCCGGGCACTGTTCTAAAGACTTTGCACATTTTTTTTAGCATAACCATTTCAATAATTTTATAAGGCAAGTATTTTTATCCCCATCTTACTGATGAGAATCCTTAGGCACAGAGAGGTTAATTAGGTGGCTTAAAGACATATAGCTATTTAGTGGCAGAGCCAGGATTTGAATCTCAGAGATTTGACCCCAGCATTTGTGCTTTTATTCATCTTTCTGCTCTGCACTCTTTTCAACCTATGAATAGTGCCTGAAGGACATCTACTTGGAGATGCTCACAGAAAGATGCAAATTCAAATCTGGATGCTCAGGAGGGAGGTCAGAGATTGAAGTGGTACTTCTGGGAGGCATCAGTATGCATGTCATAGCTCGACCTGTGGGCATGGCAGTTTCTACCTACAGAAAACAGAAAATGTTATTAACTGAATATTGGGAGATACTTAAACATGAGAGGCACAAGAAGAGATAAGACCCAGAAAGAGAAACAGATATAGTCACAGGTGAATCTGCTGAGGACAGGGTCATGAGAGTCAAAAAGAAGGAAGAAGCTCCACTGAGTTTCCTATTTCTGTAAAAAATGCCACTGAAATTCTGATTGCATTAAATCTGTAGATAATTTTGGGTAATGTGGATGTTTTAACAATAGTAAGTCTTCCAATCCATCTATACAAGATCTCTATCTGTTTGTGTCTTTTAAAATTCCCTTCGTCAATGTTTTGTAGTTTTCAGAATACATGTCTTTCACTGTCTTAGTTAAGTTTATGACTGTGTATTTTATTCTTTTTGGTACTATTGTAAAGGGATTGTTTTCTTGATTTCCTTTTTAGATCAGTTAGTGTTAGTGTATAGAAACATAACTAATTTTTGTTTGTTGATTTTGTATCCCACAAATTTACTAAATTCATTTATTAATTCTAATAGTTTTTAATGGGTTCTTCAGTTATTTTCTATATGTGAGATCATTTTGTCTACAAACCGGGACATTTTACTTCTTCCTGTTTTGGATCCCTTTTGTTTCTATTTCTTGCCTACTTGCTCCTGTGAGGACTTCCAGGACTATGTTGAATAGAACTGGTGACAGTGAGTATCCCTATCTTGTTTCTGATCTTAGAAGGTAAGCTTTTAGTTTTATCACTGTTGAGTATGACGTTAGCTATGGACTTTTCATATGTGGCCTTTATTATGTTGAGGTACTTTCCTTCTATTCCTAGTTTTGAGAGTTTTTATCATGAAAGGGCACTGAATTTTGTCAAGTACTTTTTCTGCATCTGAGACAATCATGTGGTTTTTATTTTCTAGTCTGCTAATGTGGTGTATCACATTGATTGATTTCTGTGTGTTGAACAATTCCTGACTCCCATGCACACTTGATCATGACCTGTGATCCTCTTAATGTGCTGCTGGATTCAGTTTGCTAGTATTTTGTTAAGGACTTTTGCTTCTACATTTATCAGGGATATTGGTCTTTTGTTTTCTTTTCTTGTGGTGTTTGTCTGGCTTTGGTGTCAGGGTAATACTAGCTTTATAAAATGAGTTTGGAAGTGTCACTCCCTCTCCAGCTGTTCGGAAGAGTTTGAGAAGGATTCTCATCAATTCTTTAAATGTTTGGTGGGCCAAACATCTGGTCTTAAGCTTTACTTTGTTGAGAATTTGTGGTTACCGATTCAATCTCCCTATGAGTTATGGGTCCGTTCGGACTTTCTATTTCTTCACGATTTAATCTTGGTAGGTTGTATGTTTTTAGGAATTTACTCATTTTTCTCTAGGTTACCTAGGTTTTTTTTTCATTTTTTTTGGCAGGGAACTGTTCATAGGGGTCTCTTATGAACCTTTTTATTTCTGTGGTATAAGTGGTAATGTTCCCTCTTTCATTTCTAATTTTATTTATTTGAATCTTCTCTCTTTTTTCCCCTTAGTCTAGCTAAGGGTTTGTCAATTTTGCTTATCTTTTCAAAAAACCAACTTTTCTACCATATGACCCAGCAACCCACTTCTGGGTATTTGTCCAAAAATATTGAAATCAGGATCTTCAAGAGATAGTTTGAAGATATTACTGGAGAGCTACCACGTTCACTGCAGCACTATTCACAATACACAAGAGGTACAAACAACCTAAATGTTCAGTGATGGATGAGTGGATAAATATGACACATACATAGAATAAAATATGATTCAACCTCACAAGTGAAGGATATTCTGCAATATGCAACAACATGGATGAATCTTGAAGACATTATGTGACGTGAAATAAACCAGTCTCAGAAAGACTAATACTGCATGGTTCCACTTACATGAAGTACTCAAAATAGTCATATAACCCAAACCAAAGACTGAATTGGTGTCTGTCAGGGTCTAGGGGGAGGGAAAACTTGAGAGATACTAATCAACAGGCATAAAGTTTCAATTAAACAAGATGAAGGGGTTCTAGCAATCTGCCATACAATGCTGTACCTAGAGTCAATACTACTGTACACTTAAAATCTATTAAGGTCTCAGGTAAGTGTCCTTATCACAATAAAATAAAATTTAAATATAAACATATATATTTGTTTCCTCTAAAAATATAAAATCAGACTGTGGTGGTGGTTGCATCACCCTGTGAATATACTTTAAAAGATTAAATTGCACATTTTAAATGGGTGAATTATACAGTATATGAATTATGTATTAATAAAGTTGTTTTTTAAACAACAACTGCTACGACAAAAAGATCCTCAAGAAAATGGTTGAGCATGTTGATTCATATGGAAAATTCCAACCAAATAAGAAAAACAGCTATTGGATGTAGGAATGAGAATATTTTTGGTACCTTTTCAGAGAGTACTTCTATAAAACTATAGCAGGTTGGTAAGCAGGTACTTGTTAGGGAAGTAAAAGAATCAAGTATTGTCTAATTTTCAGAAGTTTACAAAGGACAACAAGAGAGAAGAGTATTTTTGTTTTTTTTGAGATGGAGTCTCGCTCTATTGCCCAGGCTGGAGTACAGTGGTGAGTGATCTCAGCTTACTGCAACCTGCACCTCCCAGGTTCAAGCAATTTTTCTGCCTTGGCCTCCCTAGTAGCTGAGATTACAGGTGTGTGCCCACCACACCTAGCAAATTTTTTTTGTAGTTTTAGTAGAGACGGGGTTTTACCATGTTGGCCAGGCTGGACTCGAACTCCCAACCTCAGGTGATCCTCTCGCCTCAGCCTCCCAAAGTGCTGAGATTACAGGCATGAGCCACCGTGCACTGCAGACAGCAGCATTTAGATGAGGCCGGCAAGGTAAGGGAGGGCTGTTTTGAGGATAAGTGGGGTTGGCACAGCCTATTATGGGCTGCATGATTAGGACACTATTTCTCTTTAAGTTTCATATATTTTAATAATCTTGACTGTAACTTTCCCCAAGATTGCTACACCCCGATCTCTAGTTGGGGAACATTACCGCATTGCATAATGAAATTTATTCCATTCCATTTATGAAGAATGCTCAGCAAAGGGATGATTAGTTGCCTGGTGAGGAATGAAAGTCGCTCGGTTTTATCATGATGGACTATGGAGGAGGAGTGACTGATAATAATTGGGGAAAAATTCTGTTTTTATTACAGCCTGAGGCAATGATCACATTAAAGCTAAATACTCTTATGTGCTGCTTTAAAATATCATTGATTGTGAGATTTGAAGCTATTTTATGGGAGACCTGTAGATGGAAGAGAATGTGCATTACAAAATTTAATGGGTTCTACAATAATTTTAGACAAAACAGAAACCAATCTTCACTGCATCACCGTGCCTTTGCATTTGAGTATTACAATAACATTATACTAAAACACTTCCAATTAAATACAGACTGTGAAATGGCATTACCACTGTTTGATGCTATGATGTATTAAGTAAAAACAGCCAAATGCAGAACTCTACGTGCACAGTGGAATAAAATGTCAATATATTGGACAAAGAAAACAATAGCTATGTTATGATGACAGGTTTATAAGTAATTTCTCACCCAATTACGTCTAATGGTAATACAACACAGTTACATTTCTTTAAAAAAGGAAGTAACATGAAATAAACCCCCTTTTGAGAATTTACACTGTTTACTGTTCTGGGAATTTCCCAAAGCTGCAGTTCTTGCCCTGGGTTCAAAGATGTCCTGAAATCGTAAATGCATGGCTTATGTGCACGTGGAATTGTTCCACTTTCACTGGGTCTTAAGGGGGCTCATGACTTCACCGTATTAGGAACCATGGGTAAGAAACATTTTGAGTAGTGCATACATTCTTGTCAGAGTGTCTACCTGCAAGGAGTTGATGTGCCCCACCCCACCTTCTCCCCGCTGAGATCTTCTTTCTTCGGGGACCACAAATAAAGATGGGTGACCCACCTCCCATTTCGAGGTGGCTGCATCAGTATCACTAAGGTGGGGGCTTATGCCTGACTCTCAAAAACCTCTGTTTGTAGACACATTTATTTATTTATTCATTTTTATTTTTATTTTTTGAGACCTAGTCTAACTCAGTCACCCAGGCTGGAGTGCATTGCTGTGAACTTGGCTCATTGCAACCTCTGCCTCCTAGGTTCAAGCGATTCTCCTGCCTCAGCATCCCAAGTAGCTGAGCCTGCAGACGTCTGCCACCATGCCTGACTAATTTTTGTATTTTTAGTAGAGATGGGGTTTCACCGTGTTGGCCAAGCTGGTCTCGAACTCCTGACCTCAAGTGATCCATCAGCCTTGGCCTCCCAAAGTGCTGGGATTACAGGAGTGAGCTACCATGCCTGGCCTTTGTAGACACATTTACAATGTGAAAAGGAAGTACATGATTCCACATGCATAGGTGCATTCAGCACGTTCTTAAGTGGTCATTAATGGTATGAAGTTCCAGCCATAGAGCCATGAGCTTGTGGCTCTCCTTGCCTCCCTGTGCCTCCTTCACAAACATCCACAGAGAACCTAAACTTAGCACACTGTCAGTAGCACAATGGCACCCTGCAGAGAACACAGGCTTGGATTCCAGATTTGCTCCTTATGCGCTTATCATGCAATTACAAGCTCGTGTTTTTCCTCTGTAATGTGGGATGTTACTATCTACCTTATAAACTTGTTATGAGGACTAAATGAGAAGTCAGATGCCAGTACACATATGAGATGCTCCATACTTGTTAGTTTCCTACCCTTGTATATTACTTCCTGGCATCATCACACTATCCACTAGCTGGTATGTTTAAGTGCCTACTCTGTGTGAAACACTGTAATGTGTACTAGGGACATATCAGAGAACAAAAGGTACTACATGACCTATAAGGGCATAAAAATGGTCTTTGCAGTATCATAGGTTATTTGAGCCATCACAATTAAAAGTAGCATGTGCTGTGTGCCAAATGAATGGTAGTGTATCTCAATATTTATTTTTTAAATATTTAAATATTTAAATGAATGAATTTGAATATTCATTGACTATGTGCTAACCCCCATATTGAGCACATATGATTTCACTGAGAACAAGAGAGACAAGGCCCATGCTTTCATGGAGCTCTTGGTCTAGCAATGAAGAAGCCAACAATAAACCACACAACGGTGATATACATTGGATGCTTGTGGATGATGGTAAATGCTTCAAAAGAAAGAAAAGTGGGAGGTTTAATGGAACACAGTAAAGGGGGATGCTAATTTCAGTGGGGTAACCAGACAAGACCTCTCTGAGGAAGCTACATTTCAGGTAAGACCTGAATAACAAGGTGGTCTCAGCTATGCAGAGATTAGTGGGTGATTGTTTCAGGCTAAAGGAGCAATTGTGTGAGGTCCCTGAGACAGGAATGAGGTTGGCACCTTTAAGCCATAGAAAGAACCCTATCTGTCTGGAGGATGTAAAGGAGGGCTGGAGTGTGGACCACGACCGCTATGGATGGATCAGCATGAAGCAAGTGACCAACTGGATATGGGAGAGAAAAAGCACGCACGGACATGGGTTGACTTATGAATTTTAATGCTGTGTATTTCGGCAAAGACTGGAAGCACTGACAGTTAAAAAGGTTGATTGGATCGTAAGTGGTGGCTTCAGTCTTGATGTTTCAATACCTGGAGCTTATTGTCGTGGTGATTTGGATGACTAAATTTGGCAGTTGTTAGTGGGCACTCAATACTAGGACTGAATCCCACAAGAAAACAATCAAAATGTTGGCAGCTGATTGCCAACGACTCAGTTACTTGAACATAATTAAATTGAACCTTCTTTATAATACTTTTCAGAAAAGTTCAATGGAGAATAAAGAACTAATTTCTATGAGTAGCATATATAAATGGGGTATATTTAAAATGACCCAAAAAGACATAAAAGAAGGAAGGAAAAATATCCTATGATAGCATTGCATGACCAGAGCTTACAAAAGATGGTAATACAAAATATAGGGGGTGGGTATTGCCTTCAATATACTATTTTTTCTCTTTTCTCAAATGCTATTTGCCAGTAACCTTGCTAAACACTGAAATTAGAGTCTGGCATTATCTTGATCTATAGATTGTGGTCAGATGCTTAGAAATGCAACATGAATTTTCATATTTGCTTTATTTTCTAACATTTTTAGAAGATGGAAGGAAATTGCTGTATAAGAGATAAAAAGGTTATAAAGTAAAAAAGCCTTTTTCCCCAGAGTAAAAGCAATAAATAAATACCCATTCCAAAGGCGAACGTGGTTTTGATTCTGCAGGAAATTTGGGTAGCATTGAACCTTGTCTATTTAGAGACCCATGAAAGACACAGATGCTGAATTCCATTAACAACTTGGCATCTTGGTGCTTCACTTCAGCTGATAAAACCATGCGCTCTACATGGGCTATGCTCATAATCTTATTACCTGTTAACAGGATTTGTGCTTGCAACTCTCAGGGACCCGAACTCTCAGGGACCTTTTCACCAGTTCACCCACACTCCCAGTGTCAAATACATTTTGATAAAAGTTGTTTCACACAGGAAATAAGGCCCACTAGCCTTCTTAAGGAGGCTTTAAAATATCTTCTGGAAACATTTCTCAGCTTGTAATTCAGAAATTCCATGTAAACATGGCTTCTTCTAAATCTGGTTAAGCAACTGGACACAAGTCAGGATTTAGAAAAAAAGCCAGTTAAATAACCCAGACTTACTGATATCCCAAGAATCAAATATCATCTGCCTTGTTGAGAAATGGCACATCATGGATTGTACCACTCAACATCCCACTTCTGGGGAAAAGCTGAATGATTTATTGGTCCTGTTTGATATAATCAAGGAGGAAGTTTCATGTGTGGGAGATGCCATTTTGAAGAGGGAAATAGGCTAGGCAGATGCATGTTGGTAATTCAGTCACTATAAAGCACATACAATGGGTAGATTACTCAACAGATCAATATTGATGGTGAAACTCCAGCCAGTATTGACAGAGGTCTGAGTCACATCACCTAGGTGCCTCCCAGGTTGCTTGAACTCTACATGTCCCAAACCAAACCCTTAACCATTCTTGGAGCAGGCTCTGCTGATACCCTAGTCATAGCCCCGGGTCTTACTCCTTCACAAGGCAGACAACTACCATTGCCCCGTGTCGCTGCATGAGGGCTTTCCCCAAAGGCACAGCAGGCAGCTCTGCTTGGCACATGGTAGCCCAGGAGTGCTGGGGGATTAATGTCCCTAGCAGCAGCCTTCAATCAGTCAAGAATGGGATTGGCATATCCACTCCCCAGCTCCCATATCTTTCTCTGAAGCTTATGCGTTTTTACACTATTTTTTATTGTTTCCTGGTGGGACGATGCTCCAGTCTCTCATGAAAGCAGCTGGCTGGTTACGTTATTGGCTGCCTTCCCTCCCCTGTCTTATTTCCTCACTTTTCTACTGGTGTTTCCTGTACCTCCCAAAATAAACCAATTTTGACTTGATTTCTTGCCTCAGCATCAGCATCTGTGGAAACCAACAATAAACCACCCACTCACTCACTCTGATTCAGCCACGTCACTGAAAAGCAGACACCAATCTTCTGTTCCCATGCAGAAACACCTGGACCAAGGAAGGAAGCCTTGTGCTCCCAGCCTTGGGCTTAGTCTCTGCATCCCTCTGTCTCCTTACCAAGTCTCCTGCATGCTTCCTGGTGCATGACATCTTTTCACACTTAGTGGGGATATATAGGTTTATATCCACATAAGACAACATGAGCAGCCACCATCCTCCACTAGGCTGACTTGCTTTAACTGAAGGTTACATTTAGCAAGGCCCTTTTCAAATGACAACTACTACATTCTTCATGCTTCTATTAAAGTTACTTAAGTACAGTCATTGCTGGATAACAATATATCAGTCAATGATGGGCCACATATAGGAAAGTTGTCTCATTAGATTATAATCGAGCTTTCCTATACAGGGATACCATTTTAAATATTTTATACTGTATTTTTATGGTATCTTTTCTATGTTTAGATACACACATATTTACTGTTGTGTTATAATTGTTTACAGTATTCAATAGAGTAACAGCCGTACAGGTTTGTAGCCTAGGCGCAAGAGGCAATGTCATACAGGATAGGCATGTAGCAGAATATACCATCTAGATTTGCGTAAGTGCACTATATGATGTTTGCACAATGACAAATCATCTAATGATACCTTCTCAGAAGGTATACCCATTGTTGAGTGACACGTGACTGTATATGGTTTGTGTGAATATGTGTATGTGTGTGCAGTGTTCCCAGTTTTGTCAATGGAACATGCAGAATTTCTTATTATTTAGATTACTTATTGTTCTAGTGATGATCAGAGTGATACAGTCATAGTCACACGGGTCACAAGATCATCATCCATGTGTCAGGAGAATGAGACCGGGTACATCTTTAGCAGCAAATGAGGATTCTGAACGTTGTCCCCAACACAGCTAAATCTTCTGGTGCCACTGCTGCTGGGAGGAGACACAGCCGCTCCATTAAGATGCTAGCAGGGTGGTGACACCTGAGAGATGACCCAAGGAATGACTGGGAATGTTGTGGGAAGAGGGCTTAGGAAAATGAGAACCCCCAAAGAAATCAAGAAGCAAATGGAAACTCTGCCCTTTTAAAATGCCATGCATACTCAGTTATACATTTGTGAGTCGATTACGCATTTGTAAGTCAATTACAAAAAGAAAACAGATGAGTTTTAAGACTTCTAATGCGCAATGCTGGAAAGGGCTTCAATTTAGGAGAACAATAATTTTTAAAAATGATTTTGGGTCAAATGAGGAGGGAAGGTTTCCAAAATGCCTCCTGGGAATTAAATTAAAAATGAGTAAACTAATTTTATTTGCAGCTTAAATAAAACTCCCCTGAAATGTTTAGTGGGCACCTACCTTCTTTAGGTATATTTGAAAGAAAACTCAATTTGCAATTATAGGCTAAGGAGATTAATGAATCACTACATTTTATTTGTATTAGAACCAGTGATTAGAAATAATTTTTTTTCTGAGCTAGAGTCATAGTAGTCTAGCTGAAAAAAAGCAGGCTGAGCTTTTTCACAGATCTGCTTTAGCAGCCTGGACATTTCCTTAAGTTCAGGGGCTAAGATGATAATGTTTATATGAGGATGGTGCTAACCACAGTACTTGGCATATAGCAGGAGCCTAATAAACATATAGAAAATCGATAAACCTACAACAATATTTCAACTGTGTGTATTTCAAATAAACGGGCAGGAGGTAAGATTATGCCTCTGGAGGCAAAAACTGTGTTTTCTTTGCCTTGATACCTCCAGGATGCAAATAGCATGTGCTGAATGAGTCCACTTGCATCTGACATAGGAAAATGGGAGTTTTGTTTGCTTTGCTCACTGCAGTCTTCCTGCTCCCAGAGGGCTGCCTGGCACACAGTAGGCGCTCAAAATTATCTGTTGAATATACATGGTAGAAGGAATGAGAAATCTTTTGAAGGCCAAGACCAATTTTAGAAAATTCAGCTTTCATCAGGCATTTGATGTATGTGTTTCATTAAGTTACTTTTTAGAAAGCAATTACTATGATGTAATAGTCATAAACTAATTTTAACAATAGTAGCTATGGACAATGTATAAGATACTTTGTATACATTATCTCTTTCAAACTGTACAATACTCTATTGAGGTAGATTCTGCTATCTTCATTGATAGACAAAAAAAATTCAGTTTTAGAAGACTGGCTTGTTACAGAATCCTCAGCTAGAAAGAGGCAGAGCTGGCTGGGTGTGGTAGCTCACACCTGTAATCCCAGCACTTTGGGAGGTTGAGGCGGGTGGATCACCTGAGGTCAGGAGTTCAAGACCAGCTTGACCAATATGGTGAAACCCCATCTCTACTAAAAATACAAAAATTAGCTGGCCGTGGTGGCATGTGCGCCTGTAGTCCCAACTACTTGGGAGGCTAAGGCAGGAGAATCGCTGGAACCCAGGAGGCAGAGGTTGCAGTGAGACAAGATTGTGCCATTGCACTCCAGCCTGGGCGATGAAGCAAGACTCCACTGAAAGAAAGAAAGAGAGAGAGAGAAAAAGAGAAAGGGGAGAGAGACAGAGAGAGAGGCGGGGGGGGAAAGAAAGAGAGCTGGGGTTCCATTCTAACTTGGGCTCCTCCAGGCTGAGCCTGAGACAAAGACTTGAGTGTAGGCGTGCTTTTGAGGATGGTGGGAGATTCAGGAAGCAGGTAGGAGAAGGCAGAAGAGGGAGATAAGGAAGGAGAAAACTATTTCTTACAGCTGTGTGGCTAAGCTGGTTACCACCGGGCGCTACCGCAGCTCAGTCCTACTGGGGACCTGCAGAGAGCACATCTCAGAATTGCCCTTTCATAGACAGGGGCCTGGGCATTGATCCACTGACCCCTGTCCCCACTGGCTGGAGGTCACCTCTGAGGACATTAGCTTCCTTGATTTGGGGCTACTATGTGCTGGCAAAGAATTTTCTTGGTCCTGGAAAAGCGGGGAGAAGCTGCTGGAAGAAGGTGGGAGTGCCCAATGCAGCTGCAGCCGAGATCCAGGTGGGCTGAGGGCATGTGGCTCAAGGACATCAAACGCATTGGCTGCCTGTTCTAACTTTGAACTGTGTGCCTTCAGAATCCTTTTTTATTTTTAACTAAGCAGCTATATTTCCTCCTGCTGAGAGAAGAGCCGGGAGGAATGCAACGTGATACCAACCACAGCCTCTGCCTCCAAGGTGCTTGTAAACCTAATTTGGGAGAAAGGAATATGCCTGTGAAAAATTAGATAACATGGCACTATTAGTAAAGAACAACTCAGTGCACATACAGAGTGTGGTACTTATGCAAATAAAAATATTCGCTAAAATATTACCTTCCTACGGCTGTAACAGATTATCACAGATTTGGTGGCTTAAAACAACACAAATGTATTCTCTGACAGTTCTGGAGGTCGGGAGTCTAAAATGAATCCAAAGGGCTACATTCCTTCTAGTGACATGAGGTTCCCTTACCTTTTCCTGCTTCTAGGTGCTGCTGGCATCTCTTGGCACATGGCCTCTTCCTCCAACTTCAAAGCCAGCAGGACAACATCACCTTTCCTCTCTGACCACTGGTGAGCCTCTTATAAGGACCCTTGTGGTTACATTGGGCGTATCAGACTAACTTCTTTAAATCAAGATCCTTAACTCAATCACACCTTCACAGTCCCTTTTGCAATCTAAGCTAACATTCACAGGCCCCAGGAATTAGTACTTGCACATCTTCCAGGGGGATGGGGGATAAGCTTTTTTCAGCCTACAAAGCTACTTACACAGCTACTTACACAGCTAGTATATCCATATTCTATCTTGCTTTTTTCCTGAAAGAATGCACATAGAATTGTTAAGATTTTTTTTTTTTTTGAGAGCTAGAGGGATTGGGACTTCAGAAAATGACAGGAGATTTCTACTTTTCTTACTGTACTGTTACTGACCTGCTTTTACTTTTATCATCTGCATCTTCTACTTTTATTTTGCTAAAAAAATGTTAACTTGGTTATCTGGGTCCTGAGATAATGGGCTACTTTGTTCACTGCTTTAGACATTTCTATGTTATCAACACAACCTAACGAATGTTTTTGAGGATTATGGTTCATCCATAAAATGCAACATCACATAGCCATTAAAGAGAATGAGGAAGAACTATATACACGGCGTCCGACAGATCCTGTTGGTGAGGAACACAATGCAAAACTGGCTGCACAGAAAGCTTCCACTTCTACAAAACACAGCACAAAAGGATATACATGTTTGTTTCTTAACACAATTTCTGGGAAGACACAGTGGCTGTTCTGGGGAAGGGTACCGAGGAAGATTTAGGCACATAGGAGGAATTTTCACTATATATTCCTTTGAAATATTTGGTGTGTGTATTTGTGTGTGAGGGGGTGTGTGCACACACATCTATGCCATATGGTACTATACAAAAAGAAAGTACTAAAGGATACATTCAATACAGCAATAATAAGAACAACATTAATCAAGTTCTTCTTGTGGGCTCTAAGTATTTTGCACGCATCACTTAATCCTTCCTAAAATTCTGCGAAGCTGCTTACCCTTACTGATAAGAAAACTGAGACAAGGATATAATGACAACGTTATAAGCATAACCAGTGAATGAATCAACAAATGGATAGATGTGTTGGGAGAAGAAACAAGGTCAGGCAGAAATGACAGACCAGTATTGAAGGCTGTACTGAGAAGTGGGGAAATTTGTTTTTTGGTTCCTAAAATTAGTGAAGGATTTTGTTGGCTCTCTGCAGGTGGAGCAAAGGATGCCAAAAGTTCTGAAACGTGAACAGTTCCCCCAACAAAGGATTATCTCATTTTGTATTTGACTCTTTAAGCATTCATGGAGGCGAGAAACTTCTTCAGAATTTTCTGAGCCAAGAGCCTGACTCCTTGTATGAACATTTTTTGTGGGATTTTTAATCTGCAATGATTATGATTCAGAAAATATTCTGTAGAAGAGACACTGGAAAAAAAGAAATGCATTTCTGAATCATCTTACTTCTCCTAAATTCAAGTTGATTTATTACACATAGGTGCAAACATTTGGCTGTGTCATTATATCTTCTTGTGTAGTCATGCCCGAACATTTCAAGTGTGCATTCTTTTATTGTAAATCACCTTCCTTTTATTTTTCCCTTATATTAAAGTCATGATAGAATACTGAACTTTTTGTATCTAGGTAAGAATATTCTCTATGGATTCCATGTTGGTGGAGGAGCTTTATGATGTTCTCCATCACAACAGGATGTCCTGGGGCCAAGCAGGCTTGTGTGAGATAGCCTGGAAATTATACTTCCACTGGGGACTGCTCACTCCCCCAAAGGTTTCTACATTTACATTATTATTATTATTATTATTATTTTTGAGACGGAGTCTCGCTCTGTCGCCCAGAGTGGACTGCAATTGTGCCATCTCGGGTCACTGCAAGCTCTGCCTCCCAGGTTCACGCCACTCTCCTGTCTCAGCCTCCTGAGTGGCTGGGACTACAGGCGCGCGCGACCACACCTGGCTAATTTTTTGTGTTTTTAGTAGAGATGGGGTTTCACCGTGTTAGCCAGGATGCTCTCGATCTCCTGACCTCGTGATCCACCCGCCTCGGCCTCCCAAAGTGCTAAATTTACATTATTTTTAAAGACAGTTCAGTACATCAAACATATCCTCTATTTCCTCCAAGTCTCAGGATTTCAAGGTCGTGACTTCCATTCTAGGAAGTGGTGAGTCACTGTGAAGCAGGGGGTGACCCACACAACTCCTGCTTTGCTAATCTGTCCTAAAGAGCCCATTTTTCTCCAAAACACTAACCTCATATAGTGTACCTTAGCTTTTCATTCTCACAAGACGTATTATTTCATTATAACAAAATGGGGCTAACCTGCGCCATGAGCTAGTGTGTGTATGTGGTTGCTAGGTAACCAGTTTGCCCCTTGGGCTTCAGAAGCAGCTGAGGGTGTTAAATATCACATTATAAATCAGGGTGGCTAGGGGAGCTCAGACATGCTTTAAGAAGCAGCGTCCTCCTGAAGGGCAGATTGTAGCTGGTTATTGATGGGATTAGAAAATAGAACCCAAATCAAATTAATTTAAAAATTTGATTCCATAAGCAAGGAGAAGGGGACGTATCTAAGTTTAATAGAAATGGGACAGAAAAGAAAATATAGTCTCATTACATAAATTAGGTAATACAATTAAATCCCAAGAAGACTAAGAATGAAATTGCATACTAATAATGACACTGATCGGTGTAACTTTTGACTTTCTGCCAGATTCCTGAGTGTTGGGCACTATGCTAATGCTTGACTTTAGTCATGCCATCCAAACAGCACCAACTTACAAGGCATATATTATCAACGATTTATCAATGAGAACAGTGAGTTATGGTAGTCTACCTGGGTTCGTCATACATAAATCATGCCAAACTGACTATCCTTTGAGGAGAGACTTGCTGGGGCAAGTGATGAAGAGAAGGCCATAGACAAAATATATGTTAATTTTCACAAAAGGAATTGGTCTGCACTATTTCTGTGGATTGGTAAATGCAGTCTGGCTCAGAGCCTGGTGGATTTAAGGAATCCTGGATAGTCACGTTCTTGTGGGATAAGAGCAACACACTAGTGGGAGCTATACTGAAGGTGAATCACTCTGTGTCCTGTTCTATAATCTTGCCAATAATTGGTGAGGATGAGCTCATGCATGGCACAAAACTGAGACAGGTGGCAAACTATATGGTCAATAGGTGGCGCTCCGGGAGCCAGACAGTTTTGCTACTTTAGCAGCAGCAGCAAGAGGAGGAGTAATAGTAGGAGTAATGATAATAACAACAATAATAATAATACTAGGCTAGTGTACAGCATCAAAGTTCAAGGTAACCTCCTGGATACAAAATCCCTCCAGATCTGACCTCTAACACCTATGTACTCTACAAGGAAGTATACAATGAGAAAGAAAAAAGATAGCAACATCTACACTCAGGAAACATTTCTTTTCTTTTGAAAAGTCATTGCTTTAGTGGCCACTGGAGCCCCAGGACTTCTCAAGACCTCAAGCTCTGGAGGGGTCTCCAGATGAATATGAGACTGAAACGAATATATTCAGTGCAGATTAAAATCATACAAAAAATGTTTATACAAAGAGCTAGGTTCTTGGCTCAGAGAATTCTAAAGAAGTTTTTCACCTACATGAATGCTTGAGAGTCAAGCACAAAATGAGATAATTCTTTGTTGAGGGAACTGTTTAACAGATTGGGTTCAAATTCTAGCTCTGCTACTTACCAGTCACGCATCCTTGGGTAAGATCCTCTTGGTGCCTCTATTTTTTTTCTCTTTTTTTTGTCCATAAAATGGGAATATTACTGGTATATACACTTCATGAGGTTGTTGTGAGGTTTAAAGTATATAATTTGTATAATTCAGTTCATAAAGGGCATGCTGAGGAAAAACCACAGATTATTTTTATTTTATTTTACTTTATTTTATTTTGAGACGGAGTCTTGCTCTGTTACCCAGGCTGGAGTGCAGTGATGCGATCTCAGCTCACTGCAACCTCTGCCTCCCAGGTTCAAACGATTCTCCCACCTCAGCTTCCCACCACGCCTACCACGCCTGGCTAATTTTTTAATTTTTTATATAATCTTTTTTCTTTTTTTTTTTTTGAGATGGAGTCTCACTCTGTCACTCAGGCTGGAGTGCAATGGCGTGATCTCGGCTTACTGCAACCTCTGCCTCCTGGGTTCAAGCGATTCTCCTGCCTCAGCCCCCCAAAGTAGCTGGGATTACAGGCGCACACACCACCACACCAATTTTTGTATTTTTGGTAGAGACGGGCTTTGGCCATATTGGCCAGGCTGGTCTTGAACTCCTGACCTCAGGTGATCCACCCACCTCGGCTTCCCAAAGTGCTGGGATTATAGGTGTGAGCCACTGCATTTGGCCAATTTTTTGTATTTTTTAAGCACAGACGGGGTTTCACCACGTTGGCCAGGCTGGCTCGAACTCCTGGCCTCAAGTGATCCCTTCACCTCCGTCTGCCAAAGTGCTTGGATTACTGGTGTGAGCCACCACACCCGGCCAACACCAGCAATTTCTATCATTAGTAGGAGCAATGATACTAACAGACTGGCTTACAGGACCGAATTTTAAAGTAATCCCCATAGGCTTCAGTGCATTTCAAGGCCAGGTACGTGCCATTCTAAACAACAAGGGCAGCAACTGGGCCAAATGGAAAGAGTGTGGGTTGATGGGACTCACTTTCACACTTGATTCTATGTACCATCTTGCATTTACCTATACTTGATCCTGTGTTTTCAGGGATCTATCACAACCCCACTGTGATAAAGGATGAAAGGATGGAGAACACAGATATGGGATGGTTTGTATTAGGTTGGTGCAAAAGTAACTGACATTACTTTCAATGGCAAAAACTGCAATTACTTTTGCTCCAACCTACTATGTCTTGAAAGCATTGGGGAGAACCCAGGGTTGCCAAATTGCATGAGTTCAGGAAGCTTCATTCCTTCAGGAAGTTTCCTCTAGGGGGCACCACTCACAGAGCTCCGCACTATGACCCCATCCTGGAGTTGGGCCATCCGGTAGCCGTCCCAACCCATAGGCTACTGTGCAAGAGCTGAGAAGCCTGCCTGAGAAAACAAACTTCCTGCATCAGAGCACCAGAAAGCCAAACACTTGATCTCTAACACCTGTGTTCACTGTGAGAAAATTTACAACGAGAAGAGAAAGGGCAGCCACATAGACATTTCTGGATCGATTTCTTTAAAAGTCATCCCTTTCGTGGCCATCAAGGAGTCCCAAGACTCCCTCTAAGTTTTCTCTAATATCTGTTAAATCCTTTCCAAAAAAGAAAAAAAAAAACCCATCAGAATTATCTAGGCCTCAGCATGCTCCTTCCCTTCTAATTCTTGGCAGTACTATAAGACAGGCATTATAAGGGAACGATTAAGAAAACAGATGTAACCATTAGGCACCATACAATTCTAGAGGATTAATAATGTTAACTTTTGCAACACATAGGTGGTTTTTTGGTGTTTGTTCTTATAATGTCCTATTTACATCACATATTTAAACTTGAGAGCATATTAGAATGAGTTGGGTACAACCTCCTTTTGTTTCTTCACTCTCACAGCTGTTTGAATGCCTGCTTGTGTGAGGCACTGTGCTAAATGCGGCGGGGGGTAAAATGGTGAGGACAAAGC
The DNA here is from genome assembly GCF_000001405.40 of Homo sapiens. Classification (NCBI taxonomy): domain Eukaryota; kingdom Metazoa; phylum Chordata; class Mammalia; order Primates; family Hominidae; genus Homo; species Homo sapiens. The sequence goes on along the minus strand of NC_000016.10, from coordinate 83,399,781 downwards.
AAAGGAGTCTGTGCTCTCCTGGAGCCCAGAGTCTAGCGTGGTTTAGTTTGGGCTTCCTCACAACATGGTGGCTTTCAAGCAGACGGACTCCAAAAGCAAGATTCCCAGCGAACAAGGAGAAAGCTGCATGGCCTTTTATGACCTCATCTCAGAAGTCACACATCATTCTACTGGTTACGAGTGAGTCCTTGATCCACTGAGATCCAAGAGGATGAGACAAAGTCCCCATATCTCAATGAAAGATCGTCAAGGTCACACTGAAGAAGACCATGTGGGATGGGAGAGAGACATAGTGGTCACATTTGAGAAAGGCCATCTGACAGATGGGAGAAGCTGAAAGGGCTGCAGTAAGCAAATACACTTTGGACGAAAATTTTTCTTAAGATCTATCTTTAGTACACAGATTTCTATGAATTAGCTCCAGTTATATTTATTTTCAACCTTGTCATTACAGAAGTAACATATTTCAAAACACTTGACAGTTTACAAAGTACTCTTAATTGATCATCATAATAAGCCTGCTAATTATTAGGACAAAATATTATCACCCACACTGTTTAGACAAGAAAACTAAGACCCAAATTCTCATAGCCAAAAAAGGAGCATGTTCAGGATCTGAGTCCAGAATTAACTGTTCTTTCTACAGAAACAAACCATCTATTGAAACATGCCATGGCAATGAAAAATCACAATTTATGGTCTGATGGTCTTTGTATCCTTTTTAGGATATAAAGCATTTGAATGGTCTATGGCTTTGAGTGTTAGCTTCATCATTTATATGAGAATATGAAACAGCCATTGTTGTAAATAGCATCCATTATGGACTGAACATAAAGACTATTTCCAAATTGCTTCCAACATTTTTTGTCCTATCTCTGCAAATAATTAAGGGTTAGCAACTTTAAAATTAATTCTAGTAGAAGAGCTATGCATCTGGCTTAATGGGCACAATAAATCAATCCCATGAGATAAAATCTATTTTAAGAACTCTTCTGAAAAGGTGCTATTTCAAAGAAGGCATTGTATTATTTTCTCTCTCTTTGGAGCAGCAGTCCAAGCTCTCATATTCCAACCTCTGAGCAACTTTTAGCATCAACTGTGAACATGTTAGAAGTACAAAAAAGCATAATCTCAGGCCCCATATTCCAGGTCTACTGCCATGAATTGAATGGTGGCTCCCTAAAAGATACCTCTATGTCCTTATCCCTGGAACCTGTGCATGAATCTTATTTGGAAAATAAGTGGGGGTGTGTCTTTGCAGATGTAATGAAGAATCTCAAGATGAGATGAGACCATCCTGGATTATCTAGGAAGGTCCTAAATCCAATAGCAAATGTCTTTGTAACAGAAAGGCAGAGGGACATTTGAGAAAGAGAAGAGGAGGAGGCCACGTAAAAACAAAGGCAGAGATGAAAATGATGCAGCTGAGGCCATGGAATCCCTGGAGCCACCAGGAGCTGGAAGAGGCAAGGAAGGATCCTCCCCTGGAGCCTTTAAAGGGAGCATGCCTTGGCAACACCTTGATTTTGGCTTCTGGCTTCCAGAAGCTAGAGAATAAGTTTCTGTTGCTTTAAACATCAACATTACAGTGATTTGTTATGGCAGCCCTAGGAAATTAATATACCTAACTGAGTTAGAAACCAGGGTAGTACGCCTAGCAATGAGTACTTAAACAAATCCTCCTGGGGATTCTGCTGTACACTCAAGCTTCGGATACACTGGTCTAGAGTAATTGAATTGTGGCTGGCTGAAGACATGGGTATTTTTTCCCCAGGACAGCAGAAGCCTCCCCTGCACCTGCAAATAGACCAGTGCAGGCATTGAACATCTGGGGCAAGACTAGCGTCTCCCAGCAGGTAAGTAAATTGTTCCAGGTCAGTTCTCTATAGCTTTCTCTCTGGGGGATTTCTTCATTTATAACAAATGTTTCTTTAGCTCTATGAATATGGACAGGGCAAACTGCCAGGCACTGCAGTTACAAGTAGGACAAAGATTAGATTCTTGCCATCAAGAGTTCTGCCAAGTCCTGGGAGAAACAGGACAAGGAGATACAGAGATAAACAACTCCATCTTTACTTTCACATAGGCATAATGTCTTTGAAACACACTCCGATAACTTATCAAATAAGCAACTCTTCAAGCTACAAATGTATCTCTAACTCAATTCCTCCTAAGTATTGGGGTGATATCAGATCAACACCAGCACGCTCTCCTTGCTAAAATACACGATGCTGTTTTCCAGTGAATAATGCGTCTTTCTTCTCTCCCCCATGCTCATCTTCCTTACAGATTAGTCTGCATATCAAGAACAACTAGACCTTATAAAAGTCACAACAGAGCAGAGGGATGGTCACCTGTAAATGCACACTTTCTAGTATTTTCTCAAATTAGAGCATCTGAGGGTATCTTCAGAGAAATCAAATGCACCAAGACAAAGTGAGAACATACCTTGGCTTCCATAGCTGGAAGGGTTGAACTTCTTGACTGGTTTAAATTCAGTATAATGGTGGTGGTGGTTTGTCTTAGATTAAGAGGGTGTATCCCCTCATAATCAAAGTGAGAAATGTACTACTGTGACCCTCAAAGGCCTTGGGGAAACACAACTTGGTGAGAGAGGTGTGTCCCCAAAGAAGGAGGGGTTGCCCACGGCCGAGGAGGGACATGCTGGGGAGTGGGGGTAAGGGGGCGGCGGTGAGATCAGGAAAGCCAGGAGAAAGGGCCAGAGCGAGGACATAGATCACAGCTGCAGGCTTTTTAGCCAAGGCTGCTTGGCTTCCCAATTCTGCACCACCACTAGTAGCTGTGTAACCATGGGCAAGTTATCTGATTTCATAGAGCCTCAGCTTCCTCAACTGGAACCTGGGACAATGATAGAAGCTACCTGAAAGGGTCATTGTGAGAATTAAAAATGTGAAACCATGAAAAATGCTACTGACAAAGTCTGGTAACACATGTTTTGTGTCTCCCAGTCTCCCCCTACTCCTGCTCCTCCCCTAATGTTCCTATCATCATCATCATCATCATCATTTGTGATGAATCTCATATCCTTGCAGCCCCAGGCTTTAAATCTGATTCTCCTCCTTCAATTACTGCTTATCTTCAGAAAAGCCATGCACCTCACGAACGTCACCTGTCAGTGGCCACCCTACCTTCATCTTGCTGGTGGGTGAGGATGAGAGAGTTCAGGTAAAGCCAACATAGAGCTTAACCCTTCAGGGACATAAAATTTAAAGTACCACCATAATTCAAAATAAGGTCATTATGATACAAAAAAGAGGAGAAGGGTTTTAAAGGAAGGAGGTCAGCCAGGCAACAGAGAGGAAAGAGGGACTCCTGGCTGCCTTCCAAATCTCCTGGAAGTGAGAGGATAGAATTACATGACACATGGCATATAAAGATCATTAATTCACTTTGCTTACTCAATAGCTGATCATTGACATTCCTGTGCCAGACACAGTGTTTTATCATACTCTGAACAATCCTACGAGGTAGAGAATGGATTACCCCCATTTTATAGCTCACAAAACTGATGTTCAACAAGGTGAAACACAATAGCAAAGGCACGGAATCAACCTAAGTGCCCATCAACGATAGACTGGATAAACAAATTCTGGTATGTATACACCACGGAATACTATGCAGCCATAAAAAGGAATAAGATCATGTCCTTTGCAGAGACATGGACAGAACTGGAGGCCATTATCCTTAGCAAACTAACACAGGAACAGAAAACCAAATACCACATGTTCCCACTCATAGTGGGAGCTAAATGATGAGAACACGTGGACATATAGAGGGGAACAACACACACCAGGAGGGTGGAGGATGGGAGGAGGGAGAGGATCAGGAAAAATAACTACTGAATATTAGGCTTAATGTGTGGGTGATGAGATAATCTCTACAACAACTCCCCTTGACACACGTTTACCTATGTAACAAACCTACACATCCTGTGCATGTACTCCTCAACTTAAAAGTTAAAAAAAAGAACGGAAAGGTGAAATAACTTCCCATGGTCACAAAGAAATTAATTAGAATTCAGGTTTCAGCCGCCTTCAGTTTCAACCACTATGTGATATCTACCCTGTGGTGACCACCGGCTGGCTGTAGCCTGCTATCACTACTGACCTACATCTATATTCTACCACCTTTGAGCAATGACCAGGCTGAAGGAAAACTTCAACACTTCAATGTCAACCCTTCAATGTGGGAGGGTTGGGGAGAGCCTCTTCTGGAAGAGTAATAGTTGTACCTTGCACTCCTGGCCTCCAGGAGGTCAAACCTAGTAGCTGGAAGAAGAAGCCACTTTGAAAGGAGGTAACTTCTTGGTATCAAACCTTCCAGACATCACTGATGGAAATGACAGGATGACCACTGGCAAACAGGACCTCCCAGAAGAACTCGGATGTCTAATTGATGATCACTAGGAGCCTTGAGTATTTGATCTTCCTTGACTTTTTTTTTTTTTGAGACAGAGTCTCACTCTGTCTCCCAGGCTAGAGTGCAGTGGCACAGTCTTGGCTCACTGCAACCTCCGCCTCCTAGGTTCCAGTGATTCTCCTGCCTCAGCCTCCCAAGTAGCTGGGATTACAGGCACATGCCACCACACCCAGCTATTTTTTTTTTTTTTTTTTGAGATGGAGTCTCGCTCTGTCGTCCAGGCTGGAGTGCAATGGCACGATCTTGGCTCACTGCAACCTCTGCCTCCTGGGTTCAGGCAATTCTCTTGTCTCAGGCTCCCAAGTACCTGGGATTACAGGTGCCCACCACCATGCCCAGCAAATTTTTGCATTTTTAGTAGAGACGGGATTTCACCATGTTGGCCAGGCTGGTTTCAAACACCTGACCACAGGTGATCCGCCTGTCTTGGCCTCCCAGAGTGTTGGGATTACAGGCATGAGCCACTGTGCCTGGCCCTTCCTTGACTTTTCTTTCTCTTGAACCACACACACCATCCATCAGCAAATCAGTCAGCCCTTTCAAACCCCTGCGGATACTAACCATTTCTCATCCCTCCATTGCTACCAGTCTGGCTCAATCCACCTATGTAACTGTCCCACCCTCCTCAATGGCTGCCTTGCTTTTGTTCTCATCCACTTTGATCTCTTCCAGACACTAGCAAGGGAGGTCCTATAAAATGCAAGTCAGGTCATGTCACGCTTCTGCTCAAAACCTTGGCGGCTCACCATTCCTTGTGAGTAAACGCTGGGTTCTTTACTACGCCTGCACAGTTGGATGTGATCTGCTCCCCCTGCTTCTGCTCCCCTTCTCACTTTATTTCATCCATCCCACATCCTTACAATTCCTCCAGTACACCACACGTGTGCCTGCCTCAGGGACTTTGCATGTGCTGTTGCCTCTGTCTGGCCTGCTGTACCTCCAGTTATCCACGTGGCTCACTCTCTCGCCTCTTTCAGGCTGTGTTCAAATATTGCTTTCCCAGACAAGCAGCTTTCCTTGAGCACGCAATTGAAAACCGCACCCCTGCCACTCTCACTTCAGTACTGTTCACTCTTTTTTGTTTTTTTTTTTTAAAACTTTTAGGTTCAGGGGTACATGTGCAGTTTTGCTATATAGGTAAACTTGTGTCATGGGGGTTTCATGTACAGATTATTTCCTCACCAAAGTGCTAAGCCTAGTAACCAATAGTTATTTTTTTCTGCTCCTCTCCCTCCTCCCAACCTCCACCCTCAAGTAGGACCCAGTGTTCATTGTTGCCTTCTGTGTCCATGTGTTCTCATCATTTAGCTCCCACTTACGAGAACAGGCGGTATTTGGATTTCTGTTCCTGCCTTAGTTTGCTAAGGATAATGACCTCCAGGTCCATCCATGTTCCTGCACAGGACATGATCTTGTTCTTTTTTATGGCTGCATAGTATTCTATGTTCCTCTTCATGCTTGCTTCTCTCTACAGTTCTCATTGCCTAATGTATTCTATGTTTACTGTGTGTCTCCCTCCACTAGGGGGTGAACATGTACTCCCTGAGGCCAGAAGCCTGGCATTGCTTGTTAAATGAATGAATGAATAAATGCATACATTGTGGGCTGAGCCTGGTTCCTTGACCAGGGGATTCATTCATTGAATGAATGATTCAATTCAATGAATGAATGATTCAACTGAATTGAATGAATGATTGATTCGATTAAATTCATTCATTCTTTCAGTAGAGCCATAATTGCAATAACATATATGTCTATGTCTCCTCCGCACAAAACTGTGGGCTGGGGATTGGTGGCTTAGCAGCTGCCCTGGTTCCTGGCAGCCATGGCACGTCAGTAAAGATGAACTTTGTTTCTGAGTCACTGGACTCGGGCAGCAGATTGTGACAGAAATTCTGGGCTGGCTTCTCCTCACATCTCTAGGGAAAGGATCATTTTAGCTCTCTCCTGAGCCAGTCATCCATCATCATAAACAAGCATGTATGCTCAGAAATGTCCCTCTGCAGTAACTGCACGTTCCCACAGCCCTTCCTGGAGGCAAGAACAATATTCCCACGAGAATGCTTCCTTTCCCACACCATAAAAACCAGTGCAGAGCCAAATGCCTCTGCCCACCCAAAGGTGGCATTTCCATGGGCACCCCTTGGCATCAGTTTAGCACCAGCTCTGGGTGACATGGTCTCACGGAATAGCACCAGATGTATCCTTGGGGACACTTTATCTAGATATTGGTGACACTTTGTTTTTGCTTTAAATAGTATTTATCTATGTATTTATTCTGGCAGGGAACTGTCTCTGGCCCTTGAAAGGGCTATTGGCAGGTCTGAATTCCCAGGCCTGGGCACCCACACCCCATCACCCTCCATCTATGCCCTCCCCTGGGCCTCTCCCCTCCCAACTTCCTTCCAGCTCTTCACCTCTCTCCTCCAGCCTCTTGCCTGACCCAGATTCCCAACATTCTTCAGGGGCGGCTCAGGCCCACCTCCTTCTAGAAGCTACCTCCATCCTCCACCGAGATTTTCCTTTTTCTATTTCCTACATAATTTAAAGATGGCACCGCATAATTTAGCGTGTAATTACAGAAGCTCTGACACTGTGATTCTGCCTCGTGCGCTGGTTCTGTCTTTGAAGCTGACTGTACTCCCAGCGTCTTTTCTTGTTTTATATCACGACTTAGGGCTTGGTCTTGGGAAGACGTGGTCCCAGATGAGGGCTTGGAACTGCTCAGAGAGAACCGTCAGTACCTTCTGTGTGCACACCTAAGACAGGTGGAATATTCATTCGTGTGATGTTCTTACTGTGAGTGGTCACAAAGAAACAGTTTTGGAACTCTATCAGGGGAGTCATTACGATGATAATTGAGGTTCTAGAATCTAATTATTTCTCTAAAATCCATGAAATAGCACTCAGAATCTTAGCTCATTGCTGTGAAGCACTTATTAGTGATAATTTTAGGAACAATCATAAATAATATACAATATAAGTTATATATAATAGCCAGCATTCATTTAGTACTTACAGCTCGTGAGGCACGGCGCTAAGGAGGCTTTAAGATTGGAGCTGTTATTTAACCTCCTCCATGCACCCATATCACAGATGAGGAAACTGAGGTTTGGGGGTTGTGGGCTTGCCCAGGGCCACGAAGCTATGAGGCAGTGGGGCCAGGATGGGAATTCAGGCTACCGAAGTCATTCAAGGCAGGGTTAACAGAAGATCAGTGTGTATAGGGGTGTGCTTTCGAAGTGCGAGGGGGCGATTTTTGAGTGTCACAATAATCGGGGGTGTTACTGGCATTTAGTGGGAGGTGACAATTAGGTGTTAGACACCCCGCGATGCATGGAGCTCCTGACTACATAGAGTTGCCCCACATACATTTCGAATGACCCTGATAAACAGTCTTTGGGTGGGGGAGAAAAAAAATCTTGTTTATCTGAGTCTAGAACCCAACTCGATTTTACACTCAAACCCCAAATATTTTCGTACAGATGAACATATTCCACACATCACCACAATGCAGACCCTGTGTCAAAAGAGGTGATCTTGTTTTTTGTTTGGTTCAGAATCTCACCAATTCTGGAAAATTGCCTAACCAATGGCAATACTGAATGTCACTTGGGTGACAATGCAAAACAGACCTGTGTTCGTCTGCATGGCAGCTGATGCAATGTGTTGGTGGTGACCCTGTGTGAGGATACTCTGGCGGGACCACTTCATTATGTTTTCCAGGGGGGTTGCGCCAGAGTATTTGCATTTGCATATTTACCTAGACCTCCTATTCTAAATTAGTTGTTCCTTTATAGTATAATTGGGGCTTACTATTATCATTATTTTAAATGTGTGGCTGGCACGGTGGCTCATGCCTGTAATCCCAGCACTTTGGGAGGCTGAGGCGGGCGGATCACGAGGTCGGGAGTTCGAGACCAGCCGGGCCAACATGGTGAAACCCCGTCTCTACGAAAAATACAAAAATTAGCTGGGTGTGGTGGTAGGCACCTGTAATCCCAGCTACTCGGGAGGCTGAGGCAGGAGAATCATTTGAACCCGGGAGGCAGAGGTTGCAGTAAGCCAAGATCATGTTATTGCAGTCCATCCTGGGCGACGGGTAAGACGCTGTCTCAAAAAAAAAAAAAAGTGTGTAGGCAGGTTAACATCTTATGAATGTCACAGAAGGATACTAAAGAGCATCTTGGCAGATACTTATTGGCCTCTCAGGACCCCCTGGGCAGCAGATGGTGAAGGAGGTTAGAGGCAGCAGAGGTCACTCGGGCCTGAGTCATTGGAACCCATTTGTTCAACCCACCAGTAGATACTGTTCGTTGTACTTTGTATGGTTTGAATCAGCAATTAAATCCTCTGAAAGCTAAGACAAGCAATCCCAAGCACAGGAAGCTGGCCTGCTAAGAGCCAGGCCTCTGCTGAGCCTGACATCAAAGAGGTCAGCTCCAGTGGATTTGACTGGCCTCTGCTCAGTGTCAGGGGGTGACAGCAAATCTTCCCCTGAGTTGAGGCTCTTCCTTCTCCTGCTTCAGCTACCTCGGCTGAATAAATATTTTTATTTAATTAAAAAATTAAACAGCAATGTGAGTGATTCTGATGCATGTCTAAGGTTGAACTGAGCACCGTGAATTGAGTTTTCTTAACTTCCCTGAGCACTAGAATCCATGGAGACAATCTGATCTCGGGCCATGGCTGTTGGGGTGGGGAGACAGTGGGATCAGCAGGACTCCTGGCTTGGAGGCATATTCTTGTTGATAATAGAAACAGCAGTTCCTGTTGATAGTAGGATCACTGTGGGAATGATAATCCCTAATCACATCTCAAAATCACACATTATCTTTAGGCAAGTTAAAAGTCCCTGTGGTTGTTCTCATGGAAAAAAAAAAAAGTATTTGTAAATAGAAATGGGATACTGTGTCCAATAAGGTTAAGATCTACTGCTCCAGGGCCCCGGGACTTAACCATACATGGTTCCACCTCCATAGTATCTACGTAAATTATGGCATATGCAGGGTTCTGTTCAGTGATGCTGCATGCTGAGACCACTGCCCACAGGCCATACTAGGAAAGCAGATACTGCTCTGAGCACTGGTACCTCTGAGCCACAGACCCCATAATGTATGCATTCAAAGCTGTATGAAGGGGCTTCGATGAAATTGAGTGTTTCTGAGTTCCTCAGCTCCAAACTCAGGGTCTGAAGATTTTCTGGGGTGCTCCATGTTTCTTGTATTACCACTGATTTACACATGGCCCAGGACTCAAAGAGATGTGCATTTTTTTTTCTGGGAAAATTACAAGGGTAGCTAAGGCCCCAGCTGCAAGCCTAGGACAGAAGCTCCTTCCAACCAAGTTGACTTTCTTATCACTGAATGACTATAAATAAACAGCCGAGCTCAGATCCCATTAGTTAAAGCGTTGGAGAGACTCCCAGCTTTGATGTTATCAGACCCTGTCTGCATGCAGATGCACAGGGCAATGTTCTTCGTAGATTTAAGGGCCAACTCTTCTGCTGCTGCTGAATGATCTAGGACACCTTTCCTCTCAAACTCAGACTCACCTGGCAAAGTGGAACCACTTCAGATTCCCAGGCCCCAAACTCTGAAAACTTTAATTCATTGGAGTTTGAGGGGAGTCTTGGAAAATGCATTAAAGAGAATAAACAAAGGCACCCCAGGACAGAGCAACAAGCTATGTGACACCATAAGGAAGTGACCAGATAAGTCTAAAAGGTGGGACTATCTGCAGAATAAATGGTCCAGTCCATCAATAAGGCAGCATTATGTGGAGAATAAAATAAAGGGATTGAGGAGGAGAAGAATGTGCTTGTTTATAAAAAACATAAAGGATGGAATAACCAGATCCATCTGGATTGGCTCCTAGTTTAGACAGAACAATTCACTGTAAATTGGAATTCGGGGTCAAATGGGAAAATTATTCTTATAGAAAGATAGAGATTGTTAACTGAGAAAATCAGATTTGAAAATAACGTTATGGTACGATCTCATTTTGGTAAAAAATATACACACACAAACACCTAAAAAAATGCTTATACACTAAAACGTTAAGATACGCTAAAATAACAACTATGGCAATTTTATAGTTTTATATTTTGCATATCTGACTTTTTAAAATTCTTACAATAATGTGATTTTTGTAAATTATGTTTCTTTAATTAAAAAATGAAAAGCAATCTGAGTGATTCTGATGCATACCCGTTTGAGAACTAAGTCTTCAAGCCAAGTCTTTTTAATTGACCATTGTCTTAGAATCACTGGGGCACATGTTAAGCCTGTGGATTCTCAGAGCCCTTCCCTGTCGGCTCTGACTGGTTTTAGGGTGGTGCCTGGGAATGGGTTTTTCACAAGCGCCCTGGTCATTCCTATCATCAGCCAAGTTTGAAAATTGTGCTTTAGACCAACGCTTCTCCCACCTTATGAGCACACAGATCACCTGTGGATCTTATTAAACGGCAGATTCTGATTCAGTAGGTCTGGGCTGAGCTTTAGATTCTGAATTTCTAAGAAGCACCCAGGTGAGGCTAATGTAGCTGTATCCATGGCCATCCTGGGGAGCAAGTATGGAGAGGGTGGTGGAGAGATAGAAGGGGACTCTCAGCATACCACACACACCTGCTGTGCCCTTGGAAATATATGGCTTTACAATGGAGACAATCTGGATGGGGTACACCAACGCAGGGCCTAAAGTGGCCATGCAGAGATTGGTAAATCAGCATCATGGGAAGAGTGCAAGGCAATAGGGTGTGGTGAGGACTGTAGCTGCCATGATCCAAACAGGCAGCTGCTCCTCAGCTCCTGCCCATGGTGCCACCTCCAAACACTTGTCCAATATCATCAAATCTCGTTGATCAAAAAAAGCCAGAAATGTGATTTTTTTGAGACAGGATCTTACTGTTGGCCAAGCTGGAGTGCAGTGGTACAATCACGACTCAAAGTAGCCTCGACTTTCTGGGCCCAAGCGATCCTCCCACCTCAGCCTCCCAAGTAGTTGGGACTACAGGCATTACCACCATGCCTGGCTAACATTTTTTTTTTTTTTTTTTTCCAGAGAGAGGGTTATTCCATGTTGCCCAGGCTGGTCTCCAACTCCTGGACTTAAGCCTGCTTTTGCCTCCCAAAGTGCTGAGATCACAGCCATAAGCCACCATGCCTAGCCCAGAAATGTGATTCTTAAATATTATAAAACACTGCACAGTCCAAACAACAATAAAAAACCTGCCAGCCAAGTACAGCCTCAGGGTGTCAATGCCGGATTCTTGGTCTCTGTCAGAGTAGGTGTCATGTCTAGGAGGTCTTTTACCCCAGTCCTGATAACTGAAACCCAATGAGTCTATAAGACAAAGGTTAACCAAAGGTAATTCTTGCCAACAGAGAAAGTAAAAACCCAGCACTACAGAAATTCTTGAATACTCAAGTCCTTTGTGTTAAAATGAGCATAATGAAAATTAACTCAAACTAGCACTTGGACATGCTGTGTAAACACTGCAAACCAAGGCAAAGAAAGAGACAGCAAGGGGAAAGTGCCAGGGGGACTGCTGTAGGAGCCAGTGGCATCCTAAGATGGTCACATATTAAGAGCCTCTTCTCACTGGTCCCCATTGTCCACTTCGCCATTCATAAGGCAGACATTCTCAACCATGTCCAAGACTTGCCCTGAGCTAAACTTCTAGAGATTTGCAAGAAAAACTTATCAAAGCAACACAAGAAGATAATTTTGTAGCTCTTAATGAATCCCATTTACATTTTTTCAGCTCTTTGATTTCTGAGCACTATTTAAGGGAGGAGGTTTGTTCAGTTCATTTACTTTAAATTTTTAACTGTCCAGGATGACAATCCTCTGTGTATAATTTCCCTCCTGTGCCCAAATCGATGAAACACACCCAAGAGCTAATATCCATTTTGAGCTCCACTGAGGCCCAATACCTTCTGGAATCACAGTGACTTGGAAAATAGTAAACAACTAGAAGTGAGCCGAAACCTGCTGCAGGCAATTAGTTCTCAGTGGAGAATAAGAACTTTCCAGTTCACATCTTAAGCCTTCTTCCTGCAGAAGAAAGAACAGCCCTTAAGTTGAGGAATGCTAGGGAGGATCAAATATGGCATCTCAAGTGAGCATAAGAATGGGTACCTTGCCTCCTCCTCCTCCTTCTCACATATACTATTCTTGGATAAGTTCCTGGGGCAGACATTGTAACTTGGTTGACCTAACACTCATTTCTGGCCCCTGTTTTCCTCCCCTGCCTCTATAATAGAGTCTATGAACACAAGTATTTAATTTTCCAAACTTCCCTTGTCACTAAGGATGGGCATATAACACAATTCTGGCTAAGAAAATGTAGGCGAAAGTCTCTTGCAGCAGGGAGCTAAAGATGATGTTTCAGGGAAACTTTGGCTTTCTAGATGCAATGGAAAAGGTGGGGTGGACCTTACTTCTTCCCCTTATCTCTTCCTTAAATACAGAAGTGATGACTAGAGCAGAGGCAGCTGTCTTGCAGAAAAGGCTAAGAGAATCACAGTGGGGACACCCCTGACATCATCATGATGTTGAATCAATACCAGCAGCCAACAAACATCCCCCAAACTGTTTAAGCCACCATGGTTAGATTTTCTTATACTTGCAGTCAAAACTAATTGTATGATGGAAAATTCCTCATCAAGTTAAATGAAGATACAACCTCTTACCTTAAATGAAGTGACCACAACTAGCAAGGGTAGCACATTTCACTGTAGCTTACCTGCCTCCTAGAGTCCTCAAGTAGGGTGGGTAATACTATCCGGGTATAGGTGGAACTGAAAAATCCCACTTATTTTGAACCAACACCTCTTTTATATATGGCTTTTAGTATCATCCTAGAAGAGCATACATCAAAAATATAGTTGCTTCCATTTAAGGCAGTTTTTACTATCAAGTCTCAGCTTGAGCCATGGGAAGAAAGCTGGGTCAGTGACCAGGTGTCTCTAATAATAGCGCTGCCCCCAACATTCCAGCATCCTGGGACGCCTATCCCTTTGTGGCCAATGTCCTGATGCTGGTTTTGTCTGGTGGATTCTGATGCTGGATTCGGTCAAGAGATCGTGGCCACACATCTTTTCTCCATGTGGCTCTGGGCTGGTTAATTCTTGTCATAGTGAAGATTTCCATGGGATTCTGAATTCAGCACCATTTCAAATACAACAGCAGCTCATGTTTCCTCAACAGCGACATGTTTCTAACTACTTAATCCACACAACCCTATGAGGTTGGTACTGTTGTTTACTCTATTTTCAGATGAGGAAACTGAGATGGAGAACATTGAAGTGTTTGTCCAAGCACCCATAGCTACAAATGGAGATGCTGGTTCTAGAATATAGGGCTGGCTATGGTCATAGTTCATATTCCACAGCACTATGATAAACTACATTGTGATAACCACCCAAAGTAGCTTCAGATGGGATCAGACCCAGGTGAGAGAGCAGTCAGTACATTGGCCTGTCAGTTTTTTCTTTCATTTTCTCAGCCCCAAAAGGAGATAGTGGGACATGCCGGGAATCTTTAGAATTCACCAAAGATTCCATTTGGTGAATGTGAGGAGGTTCCCATATATTCTCCAGCCTCTCCTGTAGTTATGCTGGGGCCACATGACTAGTATTGGTCACTGGACTGAAAACAGATGTGATGAGTTTCATTCTTGGGCTGAGCAAAGAGCTGAATGTCACCTCAATCCCTTTTCCCATGCCATAGGTGACCATAGAGACCCCATGTTCTAGAGTAACTACAAGATGAAGGAGCCCTATTTGCATTAGACATTTTGTTATAAATAAGTTATTTTAATTTATTAAGACACTGAGATTATGGGATTTTCTTGTTACTACAGCATAGCTGAGCTTACTCTGACTATTAAGATGGGCCTCTGAAAAGTGATCAGGCCACCTTGCCTATAGCAATCTTGCAAAGAAAGAAATTATAATCTGGAAGCTACTCTGCTGGGAGATTCATTTATCACTGGGGTTATTCTGCATCCAAATCATAATATGCCTTAGCTGCCTAATGAGGCATACAGTTTCTTAGAATTAACATGAAGATCTTACTTGCCTTACAAAAACTGGTACTATTTAATGGAAACAATGATTCTCTCTCATTGACTACTACCTCCAGCTGATGCCTCTAAAGAATTTTATACTTTGGTCCCTTACTTTTATAGGATGAAATGTTTGCAAAAAATATATATGTCTAAGCATCCGCATGCTAATGCATGCAATTTCATGACCCATTACATTTTCCATACAAATGTAGAGACAGTAGGGGCCACCTGTGCTGGGAGCTGGCTGCTGTTTGCCAACCATCTTTGTTTGAAAGAGGGCCAGGAGAGCTTATTTGAGATAAAAATATACATTGGTGCCTTAAAATACTTACTGAGCATATACTATGTACAAAATACTTTCCTAGAAGTTGGACATACCATGTTACACACGACAACTCATGAGACTTGTATATAATAGATGGAAATGACTTTGGAAAGGACAGGTGGATTTATCTGAGAGTACTTAAAGAATCCAAAAGCCAAGCGCATGCCTGAAGAGTGAGACAGGAAAGATTCATCATTAGTCCACATTGATCCACATGAGGCCTTTTGCCATGTGGCCCTGCACACCTGTCTAGCCTCCTCTTCACCACTCTCCCCTCTCCATACCCTCGGATCCCATGCTGCTGACCCACATGCAAGTGCCAGAGTGACCAGGCTCTCTTCCTCCATGCCTTTGGCAGAACCATTCCTTCTGCTCGTGTTCCCACAGGGTGTTAACCTTGCTGATGCTTCTATGCCCTTGGGGCAGCTCAAGGTGTTGATTCCTGCAGAAAGCCTCTTTGCATTACCTCTTGTAATAAGCCTCTTGGCTTAACCCTTGACCCTATTGTTCTGTCCATAAATTCGCCTCGGTAGTCTATTTCCTTCTTTCACTGGCCTGGGGGACTTGGAGGGAAGAAAGGAAGGACCAGTGCCTGCTGGTAGCCTGGGATATGGGGCTCTGGGAAGTCAGGCAGAGGTGGCAGTCAGCAGAGATGGCTGGCATGGTTGAGAGGCTGGTTACATCATGTG
The DNA here is from genome assembly GCF_000001405.40 of Homo sapiens. Lineage (NCBI taxonomy): Eukaryota > Metazoa > Chordata > Mammalia > Primates > Hominidae > Homo > Homo sapiens. The sequence continues at coordinate 83,384,252 of NC_000016.10, read as the reverse complement.
ATTTCATCAAATCAATTAGTAGATATATTGAGAATAATAATAGGTTTCTCACTGTTGCAGAAGGTATTGATAAACACGAAAGGTAGGAGGGCTAGAAAAACCCTTAGATATTAGATTGGAATTGGAGATATCAGTTTGAACTTGTGTTTTAAATTTAATGTATGAACAATGCAGAGAGATACAGTAGTTGTAGACATATGTGCAAGCATGTATAAATGAGTACATATAGATGTACCCATGTGTATATATGTGTACACCCATATATATGTACGTATATTTGTGTGGATGTATATGTGTATGTATATGTGTGTGTCTGTATCATTGCTCTGTCTGCTGAAAGGACCTAGCAGCAGTGACACTCCAGCAGCCACAACCTCACCAAATACCCAGACACTGATTTCTAAAGACCACCCTCCATGAAAAGAAACCAAGGTTCCTTGAGGAAGTCACTCAATCCAGGGTTGGGCAGGAAGGTACAACATGAGTTCAGAATATCTCATTGTATAAGAAAGTAAGCAGTAAAAATAAATGAGGAATTATCAAAAGCCCCAGGCTCCCCCTGGCCAAATATGACACAATTTAAGCACAGCATTAAAAAAGAAAGACAGCAACAGAAAACAACCCAAAGAATTAAAACCACATGAGTCCATTCTGATATAAAAAATAAATGAATGAATATACTAATGGGAGAAGAGGAAACAGTCTTCCTTGCAGTAGAATGCCAACCATAAATGTACAAGGAGCCATGGAAAAAGGAAATCACTCCACACCATCAGGGCAGATGCTCAGCTAAGAACTGGCAGGTGAGTCAAGGCTTGTGAGTTGAGGTCTCATGAGAGCAGCATATCACAAGATCGATGATCTGGAATATCTTGCTGCAAATTTGATTATAAAGGGGAAAATGGTGACTTTTTTGGGGGGAAACCTGAGGATGTTGACATGACCAGGTGAAAGAGGCTAACATTCCTGAGCCTTGGGCAGGGTTGGTTGTGTGTGCCCCAGCAGGTGGAACACTGATAACATGGCATCATTTCTGTGGTTTTTCTCCCCAGAACGTATGACCTGAAACTGGTCCCGAGGAAACATCAGATGGACCACGTTGAGCATCACACTGCAGAATGTAGGGCTGCATTCTTCCAAACTGTTGGGACGATGAAAGTCAGGGAAAGACTGAGGAAATGCTCCAAACTGGGGCAGACTGCAAAGATGTGACAATTAAATGCAATGTGTAACTCGGGGTTTCTGCACTTTAGCTCTTTCAAGATTTTTGACTGGATAATTCTTGGGGTCTGTCTTGCACACTGCACGGTGTCTGGCATCATCTCTGGTGTCTAAGCCCTAGATGTCAATACCAATTCCCACTTGTGTGATCAAATGTCTCCAGACATTACCAAATGTACCATGGGTGGGGTCAGAGGGGAGTGCAAAGTCAGCTCCAGATGAGAACCATTGGTGTAACTGGATGGAATCCTGGGCCAGATATGAAAAAGAGACATCACTAGGACAGCTGGACAGATCTGAGGTTAATGAAGATTTCTCACTGTTGCAGAAGGTATTTTTAAGAAGGGAAAGGTAGGAGGGCTAGAAAAACCCTGAACGGGGTGTGGAGATTGGACATTGCATCAATGTATTGATGCACTGGGTTTTGTTTCAGTGCTCATTTCTTGACTTGTGGGTTTGCATGGTGGTTATGCAGGAGGGTGTACTTGGGGAGGCAGATATGATGGAGCACTGAGGGTTGAAGGGACATCACATAGATACATACATAGGGAGATAGAGTGTACGCAGTGAAATGTGAATAGCTGGGGATCAGCATGAGGGGGTATGGAAGTTCTTTGTTCTGTTCGTGCAACTTTTCTGTACATTTAAAATAACCCCAGAATAAAATATTTCCATTAATTTACCTGATTAAATTGTACTTGTGGATTTATTTGCACAACCAATTAAGGATGATGGTGGAAATGGTGGAGATGCAGATGATGCTAGTATTGGTCAATGTTCATTTTTGTCTTCATTATGTGCCAGGCAGCAAGCTAAGTACTTTATGGCTATTAGTCAGTGCTGTCCTCAAATCATCCCTATGGTGGAGGAATTAGTATCCTTCTACTATAGATGAAGAAACAGAAGTTCTGAGAAGGTAGGTGACTTACTCACAACCACACAATAAGTAGCTGGTAGAGTTGGGGTGGAAGCCCATTCACATTGGATTATGGGACCCATGCTCTAAGCCGTTAGGTCATAAGGGAGACTTTTTCGTCGTTCCTGTGTCCACAGAGGTGGAGGATGAACTAGGCCCTCGGTAAGTGAGGGAAGGAGTGCACAGGCAGAGCTCTGCACAGAATGACAGCAAGGTGCACAAGTCATCCATATGATTTTATACTTGTGAATTCAAGTATAAGGAGCAACTTGTTAGACTTCAGTCTGTCTCTAAAAGCCAAATATAGGGTGGCAATGGCTGCATTCAGTTGAAAAATACCCTGGATCTAGTAAAGGAAGGAAGGTGTTTATCCTCTTGGTACTTTTTTTTTTTTAATCCCTAATTTCAGGCATGTGCAGCTTTGGTTTGGAATGATTTGACTCAGATAGACAAGTGGTGGGTTTAGGTGAGCTTTTTTAGGTGAGAGTGGTTGGAATTATAGAGGTGATATGGGAGAAGGTGATGTGAAGGGTAATTGCTGCTTAATAATTGGGAAGAGAAAGTCTGTAAAGAGCTTATCATTTAATGTGTTCAAGACTTGAGATCCAGAAGAACTGCATCCCAGGGCTTTGAGGGTTCTTGCTGATGCGATCTCGGTGCTAAAAAATCATGAACATGGATAGGGAACGCACAACACTGAAAGTCACTGTTGGCTTAAGTCAGAGAGGTTTGGAACTCTTAATGCACAGGCAGGAGAAGCCAGATGTCAGAAATCCAGGAAGACATGAAGGGGCAGGGAAAGGGGGAGTCCACGATTTCTGGGAAAATTTCAGGCAGTTAGGAACTGGTGGAGGCTAAAGAGATGTGCTCACTCCAGATGGCAAGGAGGGAACATCAACTTTAGAAATTAGAAAAAGGTACATTTGCTAAAATGTGAAAAAAGCAAGCAACTATTAAATAGGTAGTTGTTACCATCTATTGAGGACACAATGAAATAATAAGCATGAAGTACTTAGCATGTTTCCTGGAACAAGAAAGCAATAATTGCAGAATTTATTAAAACTTTAAGATCAATAAAACCATGTATTTTAAATGGATAGGAACATAGTTATTTAATTATAGAAACATAGACAAGAAGGTTATATACTAACTCTAAGAGAGTGCCTTCCTCTGAGAAGGGAGGGAGGGCAGTGAGGATGAGGGCATTTTTGTGGCAGGGCTGCTAGTTACTTCCTAATATACACTCTTCTCTTTTTCCTTAATTAAAGGAAAAAAAAAAAAAAACCTTGGGTAATGTGCCCTAATGAAACATGATATTCTCTATCCCCCTTGCAGTTACATGGCCATGTGATGAATTCTGGCCCATGAGCTGTAAGCAGAGGTAATTTTGGGAAGGGAGGGTACTGTTGGTCTAGAATATGGAGGTGAAGGCTGGAGCTCCAATCAGCCACCTTGAGCCATGAAGTGGCCTGGAGGGCAGAATCTACGTGCTGAGAATGGTAGAATTTTGTCCCAAATGACGTCTCCAGACTGCCCTATACAGACCTCTGAATGTCTTTTATGTGATAAAAAGAAATGTCTCACTCTTGAGATTTTTTTTTCTTTTACATGCAGCTAAGTCTAATCCTAAATTAGGTAGGTAGATAGAAAGGTTTCACGTGTATCTGTCACGTCTTTTATCTTCAAATAAAAAATAGCTGGGAGCAAAAATAGAATGAATGGGCTGACAGTCAGCAACCAATGATGGTTACCTTCCTTCTTCAGTTTCATATTTTGGGAATTTTAAGAAAACACAGAAAAGCACAAAGAACAATAGTATGAAAATCAGCACACCCACCATCTGGAATTGCCAACTGGTAACACTTTGTCACATTTGCTTTGTCTTTATTTTATTAAAAGAAATAAAATATTACAGATAAAGCTTAAGATCTTTGATCCGTCATATCCTGTTCTATGACTTTCAACCTTTTTACCAATGACAACCACTCTCATCCTCACGCAAGAATACCAATGTCCATTTTGAATCATCTTAGGCATATATTTGTTTCTGAGAATAATATGGTATATTTTATGTATATGTTTATTAATTGTTTAAAAATTGTATTATATGGAATATGCCCTAAAATTGGCTTCCTTGTTCTGGGACAGTCTCTCTCTCTCTCTCTCTCTCTCTCTCTATATATATATATATATATACACACACACATATATAATACATATATCTATATACACACACATATAATCTTTATAGAAATTATTGGGTTATATATTTATATAATATTTCGTTCATTCCTTTGAATGGCAGTTTTATATTTATTTTTAAAGTTTTTATTAGCCATTCACCCATTGATACACATTTATGCAATTTACAACGTAGTGGTTTTCAAACAATGCAGTAATGAACAACTGTGTGTCTCCTTGTGCACAGATGTGAGCTGGTTTTCTTCTTCAAGTCTGTTGTTGTGTAACTGATAAACCAGGAGCCTGGCAAATATATAGTATCATGATTTCAGGAAGGCCTGTGAAAACCTTCTCATGATCAAGTTGTGCATACCATGGGAAAACGTGGGCTGAGTGATCAAACTCTTAGGTAAATATATAACTGGTTGATCAACCTCACCAAAACACTGTATGGTTGCCTTTTAGGCAAAGGTAAACATAAATATATAATTCTATTCTATTCAATAACCTTACCATCCATCCATCCACTCATCCGTCTCTCCACCCATCCATCCATCCAATGTTCTGGAGTGACTTTGTACCATAGGCCATGGAAGACACCGGACGTAGAAGAGTCAACAGCACCCAGGACAGTTCTTGACTCAAGCTTCGTATCTAATATTTTTTAGTTGACACTTGAGGGAGAGGTAGTCAGTGCCCTTCTAAACCATATACAGTTGTTATTACTTTGGTGAAGATGCAGAATGCATGCTTATGAGATTTTGAATATTTTAAAAAGGCTAAGAATAATTGCCAACAAACCAGGTTGAAGACAAAAGACATTGTATTCTTCCCATGGGGTAAAGCTAATTAAAATAAAAATCATGGGTAAATATGACATCAAGGATAAGCATATGTTATACACACACGTGTGTGTGTGTGTGTGTGTATATATATATATATAGATGCATGTGTATATACAATTTCTAAACTGGAGAAACCTATCTTGGAAATAATTATAAGAAATATGCACTTAAGTTTCTGGTGGACCACAAGTTTAGCATGAGACAATGGTGTGAGCTTAGAAGGCTAAGAACACTAGCTGAATCCTATGATGATTTTAGGGTGTTTGTAAAATCTTTCTGGTAATGGTCACGACAGTTCTACTGTTTAATAATATGTGTTACCTACAAGTCTGGGAATTATCTACAGCATTTTTATAACAAACTACAGTCATCCCAATTTAAAGAGGAAGAAACTAAGGCTCAGAGCAGTCAAGTATCTTGCCTAAGGTCATGCAAATATGATAATAAGAAACAGAGATCCAGTCCAGCAATAACTGGATCATATCAGAGTCTTAATCACTCCACTGTGCTGCATTTGCTTCTGGGCCATGTACACAGACTCACAGTTGCATCCCACCTGAAGGTATGGCCAATCCAACTGAAGGGGACCCCTTTATTGGAGATATGAGACAAAATAACAGTCACATATATTATCGTTGCAGACAACTAGAACATAATAATGTCCCGATGAGAGCTGATACTGTTAAAAACTCATGGTCAAGGGATGTGTTTTTCTCAGGGCACCTCTCCAAGAAGTCCCTCTCCGCTGAACAGGAGGCCACATGTGAGCTAGAAAGGTCAGGTGTAAGTTACAGCTCTCCCACTCCTAGTCTGTGTGTTTCAGGGCAAGGCATCAAGATTCTCAGTTGTTGTTTTGTCATCTATGTGGCATCTATATCAATAGTTGTTTCAGGATGAGACCGAAAGCACTTGCACAGCATCTACCATAGAGCAAAGGCTGGATAAATCGTAGTGATGATGGTGATGCTGCTTCTGCAAGGTGTGCTCTTAGGAAGCAAATGCCTGGCTTTTTCAAAGCCACCATGCATGGTAGCGGGTCCAAAGGGTACTGAGAGCAGCCTGCCCTCCTCTTGCTCAGCTCTCTGGAAGAAGGGATATATTTGTTTTACATGCAAATTCATCTTCTACTCATTAAGCCAAGACCTCAATGGTCTGCTTCTTTCCAGAGGGGTACTTTCTCAGAACTTATCTGCTTGAAGGGGACACCTTTTTCTAATTTTTGCAAAGTACCTTATTGGTTAGCTGTGTGTTATGGTCTTTCTACCAGATAACACCAGAACAAAGACCAATCTCACTTCTCTTGCCTTTGTCTTTGCTCTGATCTATTCTATTGACTCCCAAAACATGGGTTTCTGGTTACAGTTCTCAAGAAATGGCATAAGTGTGGGAGTCATTATCAGGCAGAAGAAATGGAAGCTCACTGGTTGGAGCCTTGCAAAGTGTCTCCTGCTTTTCAATTCAATGACTTTTGCTTTATTTTTACATTTATGGCCTGTGGTTGCATGTTAGAAAATTTGTCACCACCAATGGGCACATTAAAGGATGAGTGAAATAATACTACTATGGGAAAACTGACAGACCCTGTGACTGACAATAAAGCTCACCCAAGAGTTTGACAGTCCCATCAAAGAGGAAACCCCAGGAGGAAGGGAAACTATAACCTAAATCTATAATTTATATCCACATAGAGAGATAGCCTTTGAGATGTGGCAAGAAGAGGAAGAGATGGACCAGGCTTTTTAGGAACTGGGGGCTGGGTGTGGGCCAGATGTGTGGTTTAACCTTTTGTCTTATATTTGTTAAAAACTTCAGTGGTGCTTGCCATTGGCTGATAACATAAACCCCTCCCTCCTTTTTATGTTTAATTCAGTTCTTATTCTGGTTATTTAGTGCTGTAGAATGAAAACATCTAAACATTTTGTCACTTTTATCGTGTTTATGATTTTGTGGGTTAGGGATTCAGGAAGGACTCAGCTGGGTGGTACATCTCAGATTCTCATGAGGTCAGCCAGGGTTGGAGAGTCTAATTCTGATATAGCTCCTTTATTCCCATGAATAGTGCTTCACTCCTCCTTGACCTCTCTGTTCATACAGTATGTCATCCTTCAAGGCCCTTTCATATAGCTTGAGCATCTCCACACAGGGCAGTCTCCAGGTAGCCAAACTTCTTATGTGGTGCTGGCTTCTATCAGAGTGAACGTTGCAAGAGACAGTAAATTAAATCAACCCATTTCTTAAGGCCTGGATCAAAGAAGTGGCAGAGTGTCACTTCTACATATTGTATTGGTCAAATCAATGTCCCCTCCTCACCTAGAATCAAGGGGAGGGGACAAGATGCTCAAAGATTTCTGGCCCTTTGTAATGTATCAGAAACCCCCAAGTCCATCTTTTGTACCTCCTAACTCTCTCTAGAGTATGCATGTCTCATGCTCACCATCTCTACCACAACCACCTGAGACCAAGCCCTTGTCATCATGCTAGCATCTCACCGAGTTAGATGTTCCTCTCTCCTACCCATTCTCCAAAGCCAGAATAATTTTTTTCTAATGAAAATGTGTCCATGTCGTTTTTACTCAAAACTCATCAAGAGCTGTCACTTTGACATCTTTGCATACTAGCTATCTATTTATTTCTGTCCTGCGTCTGTTCTCCTTGCTCTTGATATCAGCATTCTCCTTTTCCCTTAAGCGACCACCATTCTTTCACTCTTAGTCCTTGAAGTTGAGGAAGGGCTGGTATCACCTTTCCCCCATACCTGGCTCTAGGTGTAGGCACAAGCCCCTTTGAGTCTTCCACATCTGTGCATACAGAGACTAATTCAGGGATGGGCACATGACTTAAACTGGGCCAACAGAGGCATACCTAAAACTTTAAAGGGAGTTACATGGGAACAATACTTTTATGAAGGGCGAGGGGCAGCTTCATTTGCTAAAATAGTAGGGAAAATGCCAGGTGGCCATTTTTGTTTGCTATCACCTGGGGAAAGCTATCCCAGAGAAAAGCAGAGCCAAGGAATAAGTAAGAAAGATTCTTCACAATACAGTTGGAACACCTAGATACTGCTATCCCTAAAGCTCCTCTTGGTCCTTTAAATAAATGAGCTGATGCAATTTTTTTTCCCTGCTTAAACTCACCCTAATAGTCCTAATGCATACACTCTGCATGACGTCTGCCTCTCTCCAACACCTGTATCATGGCCTTTCCAGCCCTTTCTACTCCCTGCCATCCCCATAGCCTACCCTCAAGTCACATCTCCTCTACCTGTATTCCCAGATCAAGCCTTACTCTTTCAGGTCTTTGTATACAGGTTCATTCTTCCTGCAACAAGCTTCTCATGCTATCCAGAAGGGGTTCCCTCAAGACTCAGATTACCAATCACTTTCTGCCTGGGAGCCTTCTAGATCTTTTGCCTTCTCCCTAGCCTCACCCCATCAGCTTACTTTGCTCTCAGTGTTTTCCTGGGATATTTACCCATCTCTCTTCTAGGACTTAACACAGTTTGCTAAATATACAACATACAAGCCTGTTTTTACCATGCCACCCTCAGCTCCATTAAAGATCTGATTTTGTCTTACTTATCTTCAAGTTCCCAGAGTCCTCCAACATATTTCTCTGCACACAACAGATACTCATAAGATGTCAGCAGAATGAGTACAATTTTTAATCTACAAATATTTGATTCCATAGCCACTGATAGCTGTGTCACTGTACACTTCAGACCCTCCTTAAAGAGAATCACACAGACAACCACAAACCATGAGCTCAGTCCCTTATCTGCTGTGGCCCAAGGGGGCCTCAGCACTTCTTTAAAAATCAATTTGTTCCTTAATTAAGAAACATGATTATTTCTAATTAACCAACCTTCTATGTAATGTAAACAGATCGCAAGTAACTAAACAGCTTTGCCTAGCTCATTGCATGCCTGAGAGTAGTACAGTGAAACCAATTTTAGCATATCAGCTGGGAGGGTGGGAATATACCGAATGCTCTGACTTGCACAGACAGAATTAAAGAAACTTAAAGAGAGGAAATTTGTCAGCTCTTAATCCTACCTACTAAATTAAAATTCTGCTACATTATATCATTACATCATTTTCGGAATTTCTTGAGATGGAAAATCCCCACGGTTATCAAAAAGTTGACTCAAACCCTTTGCACTTCAAATCTGTATATATAGGCTGCCCACATTTGGATGTGGTAGAAAGGAGATATTCTGAATAGGATCTGGCTGGCTTGCAGCAGGCTCATATGGAAGCAGTATATTCATACCAGTGGTTGGAGTCTGTGTGAGAACAGGAGACTAGATATTATGCATCTTTAATGAGGTACCTGTCATTCTTTCACACTCTCAGGTGTGTGGAAAACATCCAGAGATAGTCTAATGCTTTCATAATAACAAATGCTAATGGAGGAACACACAGCGCAAGGTACTTTCTTTAAGCTTCTTCCGCCTCGAAACAAATCACTGACCTGCATCTTCTCATATCCTGAAGTGGGTACGAGTTCCAACTCAGATGTTCTTTACGCTTTGACAATGTACAATGCACAACCCAGGAAAACTCAAGTTTGGGGTATGTTTTCTACGTAGATGTTGCACTATTTAGTCAAAACTGTGAACAGAGCAGCACATACACTGATAATTGACTTTATCAGAGAAAAAATATGGTCTCTTTAAAGGCATGCATGAAAAGATAAGTACACTCTTTGCCAAAAGCAAGCAAACCTAAGACCTTAGAAACCAATGGAATTTGGCTTGGAATCTTCTTGAGGGTCACATGGTTATTCATTTACAATAGTTAAATGGATGCAAGAAACCTTTTACCTGGAGTAAAATGGAGGTATATTGAAATATGTCTGGGGCACACTATTGACTTTTCTAAAATTCCAGAGTTTGCAGGCTAAGGGGTTGGACTAAGACTTTGCTCCATCAGGTTATGTGGATCCAGTCTTTGCTTTATGGAACAGCAGCAAGAACATATAAGAAAGTTTGCACTCTTTGCGGAGCATCATTAGTGTGACCCTTTAGCACGCCTTAGTACCCTCCACTGCCTCCCCTCTGTCCTTAGAGGCTGGCCTGAATAGAGAAAGACCTTCGACTTCCTGTTGCGTTTGGAGATCAGAAGGTGGTGGTTGAGTAAGGTCAGCATGCTCATTCCCCTGGATCCTTCCCTTTCGGGTTGCCTGCGGTTGGATGTATCCCATGCTGGTGGTCTCTGTTCCTCCCACGAGGCTCTCTATGGGACTCACGCCTTCCAGATCAGTGACTCTTCCTTCATTCCTCAGGTCTAGGGATAGGTTAGAACACTGAGTCTCAAGGAGGTGAAGTATTTTATCGAAGATCCCTCAACTAGTGAAAGGTAAAGCGGAGATTCAAATCCAAGAAGTCTGGTTTCAAAGCTGCCTCTCTTAACCACTGTGTTATATCTTTAATCCACAAATATTTTGTTCCTAATAGTCTTAACACATACACTTTGCATGATGCCTGCCTCTCTCCAACACCTGTATCATGGTGGCCTTTCCAGCCCTTTCTACTCCCTGCCATCCCCATAGCCTATGCCCAAGTCACACCCCCTCTACCTGTATTCTCAGATCATGCCTTACTCTTTCAGGTCTTCGTACATAGGTTCCTTCTTCCGGAACAAGCTTCTCATGCTATCCAGAAGGGATTCCTTCAAGACTCAGCTTACCAATCACTTTCTGCCTGGGAGCCTTCTAGATCTTTTCCCTGCTCCTTAGCTTCAACCCATCAGCTTACTTTGCACTCTCTGTGGAGCACTGTTCCTACTCAGTTCTTACTGCCCAAGGTTATGCTCCTATCCTTTGCAATTCCCCTTTGTAACTAGGCCCTTTTAAAAATAGGTCCTCCTACAACTGTCCTAGTTTGAGCATGCCGTCTGCTTCCTATTGGGATGCTGTTATGCACGGCAAACGTTTTCAATATAGTTTAAACATTTGCTCAATATTATGGAAATACCCAAATATGCCCAAACTCTGGCTTTGGAAAAGTTGTCAAAGCCAACTTTAAAACTGGTGATAGAGATGATCAATTTTATTGATATGACGATAAACTATTTAGGTAAAACTATCTTAATGCATTCTTTCTAAACTATTTCAGTTCATCTCCTATAAAGATTTCACTTGACTCTGCCAAAGGTCCATTGCTGGCTTCCCTAGATCCATATTCATAGGCAGTGAGGATTCTGTGTTTTGTCAACTTAGCACAGTTTAACGCCATCACTTGTCAGTCTCCTTTACTTGCAAGTTTCCCCACAGAAAGCAGAGATGCAGAGATGAGTTGTCGCTCTCTGTCATTGTCTTTTTTTTTTTTTTTTTTTTTTTTAGACCGAGTCTCGCTCTGTCACCAGGCTGGAGTGCAGTGGCACCACCTCGGCTCACTGCAACCTCTGCCTCCCGGATTCAAGCCATTCTCCTGCTTCAGCCTCCCGAGTAGCTGGGACTACAGTTGCATGCCACCACACCCAGTAAATTTTTATATTTTTAGTAGAGATGGGGTTTCACCATGTTGGCCAGGATGGTCTCAATCTCTTGACCTCGTGGTCCACCTGCCTCAGCTTCCCAAAGTGCTAGGATAACAGGCATGAGCCACCGCACCCGACCCTTTCTCTAAGAATAGAGTAGACCTGGCCCATGAAAAACTCAGCATATATATTTTTTGCACTGAATTTGGGGAAGAATGGGGAGAAAAACGTCCTTATGCCAAGTACCATGACACATGAAGTTAGAACTGTCATGATTTGAGATACAACACAGTGGTTAAGAGAGACAACTTTGAAATCAGACTTCTGGAATTTGAATCTCTGCTTCACCTGTCACTAGTTGAGCAATCTTGTGTAAAATATTTCACCTCCCTGAGACTCAGTGTTCTCACCTATAAAGTGGGGATGTTACAGAACCTCCCATACAAAGCTGTTGCAAACTGGGAATGAGTGAGGTGTACATCTGAAAGGCGTAGTACAGTGGTGGCCCATGATGACCTCTCATCAATGCTGTTATTGTTGATGATGGTGATGTTTCAAATCAGGAAGCATCTCGTGAACACCCACTTACGTGGAACTGAATAACCTACATATTGGGCCATTCTACTTTCCCCAAAGGTATCCCTATATATCTGTATATACGGTCCGGGGGATGATTAGTTACCATTTATTAAACACCTATTTTTTTTCTGGACAATGTTCTTGTTCCTTTAAATACATTGCTCTAATCTTCATAGCCTTTCTGCAATGTAGACAACTAACTTTCTTAGGGTCATCCAGAAAAGACTCGTGAAGCACTGTCCATTCAGGGGTACTATCCACTCTGAGTTCCGTTTGTCTTTAAAGTTCTGCTTTTCTTACATGCAAAGCCTTCCAGTATTTCAGTGATTCATATGTAAGTATTGACAGTACCACTATTAATCTACTTTCAATATACTTTAAATTGATTTTTGAAATTTAACTTACTTCTAAGCAATGATATGATTTAAATTATGGAAACGTACCAGGTATTGCTTAGTTGTACATCAAAATAAATAGCTATTAAAATTATAAAAGATCACCTCTATGCCACCTAAAATTATCTTTCACAACAGCAGATGTATACATGGCTGACATAATAAACATTGCATTTTCAGAAAGTATAAGTATGCCAAGAAAGAGGAAAAGGGCTTATAATGGGCAGTAAGCAAGAACAAAAAGGCAGGGGTATAGTGGATTCTCTCATATTAGGATTGGGAGACCTGGATATGTTTCTCCACTAATGCAAAAGAAATGATGGAGAATGTGACTGAAGATGCAGGAAGGAGAGGGTAATGATTTAAAAAGAAAGGCCATGGGGCAGTCAACAGAAAATAGAATTAAAAGTACAGGCATCTTTATGGCAGAATGATTTATATTTATTTGGGTATATATCTAACAATGAGACTGCTAGGTTGAATGGTAGTTTTAAGTTCACTGAGAAATCACCAAACTGCTTTCCACAGCGTCTGAACTAACTTACATTCCCACTAGCAGTGTAAAAATGTTCCCTTTTTTTCTGCAACCTTGCCAGCACCTGTTTCGTTTTGACTTTTTAGTAATAGCCATTCTGACTGGTGTGAGATGGTATCTTATTGTGGATTTTATTTGCATTTCTCTAATGATTAGTGATGTTGAGCATTTTTTCACTGCAGCACTATTCACAGTAGTAAAGACAGGGATTCAACCTAAATGCCCATCAACAGTAGACTGGATTAAAGAAATATGGTACATATATAATGTGGAATACTACACAGCTATACAAAAGAACAAGATCATGTCCTTTGCAGTGACATGGATGGAAATGGAGACCATTATCCTAAGCAAAGTAACAAAGAAATGGAAAACCAATTGCCACATGTTCTCATTTATAAGTGGGAGCTAAACACTGAGTACACAAGAACACGAAGAAGGGATCAACAGTCACCAGGGCCTACCTACTTAAGGGTGGAGGGTGGGAAGAGGGTGAGAACAAAAAAACTACCTATAGGGTACCATGCTTATTACCTGGGTGATGAAATAATCTGTACACCAAACCCCTGTGACACACAATTTCCCTGTATAACAAACCTGCACATGTACCCCTGAACCTAAAACAAAAGTTAAAATAAATCAATAAAGGTACAGGTAAAGGAAGAATAAAAAGAAGATAGAACTGAAAATATGGAAGTTTTTTTTTTTTTTTTTGAAATGGAGTCTCGCTGTGTTACCCAGGCTGGAGTGCAGTGGCGCAGCCTTGGCTCACTGCAAGCTCCACCTCCCGGGTTCACACCATTCTCCTGCCTCAGCCTCCCGAGTAGCTGCGACTATAGCCGCCCGCCACCGCACCCGGCTAATTTTTTCTATTTTTTAGTAGAGATGGGGTTTCACCATGTTAGCCAGGATGGTCTCAATCTCCTGACTTCACGATCCGTCCGCCTCAGACTTCCAAAGTGCTGGGATTACAGGCGTGAGCCACCGCGCCTAGCCAACGATATGAAAGTTTTAATAAAAAGAAGATACTTGAGTAGCAGGAGATATTGGAGATACAGGTAAATACGGGCAGAGAGATCCAAGTGGAGGAGATCGTTTCAGATGGCATCAACTGTGTTTTCAAAGTAGAGAGCAAGACCAGCTGCAGGGAATGGGAGTCTAGGGACAAGGTCAACATGAAGCCAGGTGGTTGAGTTTACCATTCACCTTAATTTTGACTTCACAGTGGATGCTACATATGTGTCATGAATACAAACACGAGGCTCACAGTTTGGGAATGGCCGTTTCTAGAGAAAGGATGTTGGTGTGGGGTCACAGGAAGTGACCTAGGAGGAGTGGGGTCTACAGATGGAGAGGAGAGGCATCAAGACTAGAAGAAGACAGTCATGGTGGCTCATGCCTGTAATCCCAACACTATGTGAGGCTGAGGTGGTAGGATCACTTGAGGCCAGGGATGTGAGACCAACCTCGGCAACACAGTGAGATTCCATCTGTACGAAAAATAAATTTAAAAAAATTGGCAGGGCCTGGTGGTGCACACCTGTAGTCCTAGCTGCTGGGGAGGCTGAGGTGGGAGGATGACCCGAGCCTTGGAGCTAGATGCTGCAGTGAGCCATGACTGCACTACTGTACTCTAGACTGGCAACACAGGAGACCCCAGCTCAAAAAAACAAAACAAAACACTAGAAGGGTCTCTCTGGTCACTCTGAAAGGAGGAGAGACAGGTTTGGACCTACATGCTTATATTTTAGCATCAAGAATGATGAGAGATGGTGTGTTCAGGAAAAAAAAACAGGTGACTTGTTTGTTGGAGAGATATACTGCTACTAGAAAATGAGCTAATTTTCCCACCAACAGTGTAAAAAGTGTTCCCTTTTCCCCGCATCTATTATTTTTTCATTTTTTGATCATGACCATTCTTGGTGGGAATGTAAACAAGTACAACCACTGTGAAAAACAGTGTGGAGATTCCTTAAAGAACTAAAAGTAGACCTACTGTTTGATCCAGCAATCCTGCTACTAGGTATCTACTAAGAGGAAAAGAAGTCATTATACGAAAAAGATACTTGCACATGCATGTTTATAGCAGCACAATTTGCAATTGCAAGAACATGGAACCAGGCCAAGTGCCCATCAATCAATGAACAGATTAAAAAAACCTAGTATATATATATATATATATATATATATATATATATATATATATATATATATATAACATGGAATACTACTACTCAGCCATAAAAAAGAATGAAATAATGGTATTCACAGAAACTTGGATGGAATTGCAGACTGTTATTCTAAGTGAAGTAACTCAGGAATGGAAAATCGAATGTCATATATTCTCACTCACCTGTAGGAGCTAAGCTATAAGGATGCAAAGGCATAAGAATAATGTATTGGACTGTGGGGACTTGGGGAAAGGGTTGGGCATGGCAACGGATACGAGACTACACATTGGGTACAGTGGACACTGCTCGGGTGATGGGTACACCAAAATCTCAGAAATCACGGCTAAAGAACTTACTCATGTAACCAAACACCACCTGTTCCCAAAAAACCTATTGAAATAAAAAAAGAAAAAAAAGAAAATGAGTTAATTTTTAAATGTTTAGGAAAAGGAAAACAACTAGGCATGGTGAATAATTCAATCATGGCTCAAATAAAAGACAGTTGAAGAGGGGAAAATGCGTCCTAAGTCATGAGCTACAGCAAGCAACCAAATTCTTTCCATAATTAGTTCACACGTTAGAAAGGTAAGCTCAAATAGATGAGGATTTGGAACAATGCTACCTCAGTATGTATCTGTTTAATATTTGACTTGTGCACATGTACTTGTATAATTATGAGTGTATAACAAACAGAATATGAATGTTGGGCTCCAGTAGCTCTACTACGAGATTTGAGCAAATAAATGAAGACATAAAATAAGCATAATAATGTCTATGTTAAAAGAGAGCTCCCAGCAAGTTTAAAGGACACAAGATCAGTATACAAGAATCAATTGATTAAATATAATAACAATGAATAATCCACATAAGAAATTAAGAAAATAATTCAATTTACAATATCATCAAATATACTTAGGAATAAATTTAACAGAATAAATGCAAGACTTGTCTATTGAAAACTATAAAACATTGTTGAAGGAAATTAACAAAAATAAATGGAAAGGCATTCTATATTCATGGATGGGAAGACTCAATATTGTTAAGCTGACAATACTCTTCCAGTTGATCTACAGATTGATTCAAAACAGTGCCTTTCAAAATTCCAGCTGCCTTTCTCTTTTTTCACAGAAATTGAAACGTTGATTTCAAAATTTATATGGAAATACAAAGAACCCAGACTAGGCAAAGCAATCTTGAAAAAGGAAATCAGATCAAAACCACAATGAGATACTCCTTTACACCTAGCAAGGAGGCTATAATAAAAGACCAATAATAATGTGTTGGTAAAAAGTGGAGAAATTAGAACCCTCATACACTGCTGATGGAAATGTAAAATGGAACAGCTGCTTTGAAACACAGTCTGCCAGTTTCTCCAAAGGTTAACACAGAGTCACTTTATAACTCAGCAATTCCATTCCCAGATATATACTTAAGAAAAAGATGAAAACATATATCCACAGGAAACTTACACAAAAATGTTCAGAGCAGCATTATTCATAGTAGCCAAAAAGTAGTAACAACCCGATGTCCATGGACTTTTAAATGGATAAATGTCATAAAATATAACGTAAAAACTTAAAATAAAATATAATCCCATACAATATTAATAATCAATAAAATGAAATGAAGTGCTGATAAATGTTACAACATGAATAAAACCTGAAAACATGATGCTGAGTGAAAGAAGACACACAAAAGGCCACATATTGCATGACTGCATTTATATGAAATGTCCAGAATGGGCAAATCCATGGAGGTAGAAAGTGGATCATTGGTTGTCTAGTACCAAAGAGTTTTCGAGGAAATGAGAAATGATCGTTAATGAGCCCAGAATTTCATTTTGGGAGTCATTAAATGTTCTAAAATTGATTGTGGCGATGATTGTGTAACTTTATAAATAGACCAAAAAACATTGAATTATATACTTTAAATGGGTGAATCATACAGTCTATGAATTATACTGCAATAAGCTGTTATATGCCAAAAACAAAGAAGGAGAAAAAAAAAGAGGGCTTTGGGTATTAAACATACTGTTGGCTGAATGAGAACAGCATAACTTACGCACAGTATGTGATAAATCAAGGCAATTTATACACTTTTTTGAGAGTTCCTAAGTGTCAACCACCACACCATGACCTTCTGTGCTCCCCATTTCAGACTTTCCAGCAATTCTGCAATGAAGACAGGTCAGGAGAAGGTCATATTCCAAAACAAGTACATTAAGGGACCTATCATAAAGGATTACTTCCAACACATGTGTTCTAGGTGTAGGTGTCAGGAGACTATCTGGAGAATATCGAAAAGCTTGTACAAGCCTTAAACCAGCAACTGTGACTTCCTTAATGATGGTAGCTTATCCCAATCGCAGGGATGATGTCGTTCTGTCAGTGTGATTTCCACTTCAAATCCCAGCATCTTATGAAAGATGTCTACTCTGGGAAAGCGAGGTGAATTGTGGCAAGCAGCGATGTGACTTCTGAAAGCTGAGTGGGCTGGGGACTCGCACGTAAAGCTCCTTAATGCAGTCAGCGCAACCTCCTCAAAAGACGGTTCGTGGTAATGAGTGGCATCGCACGCATACCAAAAGTATTCATAATTCTGGGAGCTTCACTAGGAAGTGTTGCTAAACATGTCCCTGAGATTGCTTCCGTTGCTGTTTTAATTTAAGAATGATGTTGGTATTGGGAATACTTGAAAATTGTAAGTTGGTAATTCATTTGAAAACGAACTTTTGATAGCTGTTCAACAGTTTATGAATGTGTGTGCTTTTTTAAAAAAATCCCTGTTATTTTGTTGTGAAAAGCAGCTTTACTCTTAAATGGTATGTAAGATAATGTAACCACATTCTGTATTAGTTTTCTATTGCTATTGTAAAAAATTATCATAAATTAAGTGGCTTAAAACAACAACAGTATCTGTGGGTGAGAAGTATGACCTCCGTGGGGTTCACAGTAGGTTTCCTGCTTAGGGGCTCATAAGGCCAAAATCTCAGTTTCAGCAGGGCAGTGTTCCTTATTGGAGTCCCTGGGGGGAAAAATCCTTTTCCAGCATCATTTGGGGTGCTGGCAGAATGGATTTATTTCTCACACTTCCCATGCAGCCCAATTCCATCTGCAAGCCAGCAGCAGGTTGAATCCTCAGGATCTCAGAATTGGCAACCCTCTGAACTAACTTTGGCCTCATTTCTCTAACTCTTCTCTGCTGCTGCATCTCTCTTCTTCACTCTCTTGCCTTCCTCTTCTGCTTTAAAGGGCCCATGTGATTACCTGGGTCCACCTGGATAATCCCGGGTAACCTCCTTGTTTTAAGGTCAGCTGATTAATAACCTTAATTACACTAAGAAAGTCTCCTTTGCCATGTGAGGCCACATAACTGCAGGAGTAATGCCAGGAGGTGGAGATCATGGGGCCAACATTTGGCCTACAACAGTTGGATGATTAATTTTATGAGTCAACTCAGCTGACCATGGGGTAACCAGGTACTTGGGCAACTCTTATTCTGGATGTAAGGGCATGTCTGGAAGAGATTACCATTTGAATTATTAGACTGAGAAAAGGAAATGACCCTTCCTAATGTGGTGGGCCTCATCTACTCACTTACGGGTCTGAACAGAACCAAAAAGCTGAGTCAGAGGCCTGTCTTGAACTACAACATCAGTCCACTCCAGCCTTCGGACTTAAACAATACATTGGCCCTTCCTGCTGGCGTTTAGACTGGAAATGATACCATCAGCTCTCTGGTTCTCAGGACTTCAGACTCAGACTGGAGCCACACATCAGCTTTCCTGGCTCTCCAGCTACTGACTGCAGATGTCAGCCTCCATAATCATAATAACCAATATCCTTTTTTAAATTTTACTTTAAGTTCTGGGATACATGTGCAGAACGTGTAGGTTTATTACATAGGTACACCTGTGCCATGGTGGTTTGCTGCACCTATCAACCCAACACCTGGGTTTTAAGCCCCGCATGCCTTAGGTATTTGTCCTAATTCTCTCCCTCCTTTTGCCGCTTACCTACCCCTTGAAAGCCCCAGTGTGTGATGTTCCCCTCCCTGTGTCCATGTGTTCTCATTGTTCAACTCCCACTTATGAGGGAGAACATGTGGTGTTTGGAAGAACCAATTTCTTACAATGAATCTCTCTCTCTCTTCTTCCTTCTGTCTGCCTCCTCCAACCCACACTCTCTTCCCATTGTTTCTGTTTCCCTAGAGAACAGTGGCTGATACAAACATCTATAAAAGAAACATTCATAAAAGTCCCAAATTATCACTCTACTTTCACTGGTCCCTAGACTAACCAAGTAATGGAGTTCCAGCTCCATTTTTCCTCTGGGCCAATGGTAAAAACCTATGAGTTTAAAGTCACCTCTTCCATCTTGAGCTCTATTTTATATAGACAGGTTCACATGGTCTTAGAGAAGATGTGAAGGGAAGTTGTGAGACTTAGGTAAGTTTCCTGTGTACTAGGTTCAGGTCCTTATCTGTAAATGAGAACTCCTTTATCTATTTCTCGGGATAATGCAAGGCTGAAATGAGGTGATATGTATGAAAATCATGGCTCTGTATCTTGCACAGTACAGTTACATCAAAGCCAGGCACTTACTAGTCAACAGGAAAGTGAGGGAGAGACTACCTGGAAACCCAAAACACAGCTACCAACAGTTCTGGGTAGATCCACAGGCAGAAAATCTGTCTGCCATTTTGTATGTGGACTTATTATGTCTATCTTAAGGATCCCAGATAGTCAATTTCCTACCAAGAACCTAGATGGATGCTTGGTCCCCATGAGAAGCAGTGAAATAAATGACCCTCCAAAATTCTTGCGTTGACATTTATATAACATGTTAATTCATTCGGTAAACATTTTATTCTTTGAGTATCGGCTTTTCAGAGAAAGCTAGCTAAATTGGAGGGGTGAGTGTGGAGGGAATGAGATTCAAGAAGTATTAATGTCATGGCTCCTATCCCAAAATTGCTCACAAACTCCCCTCTGTCCACTGTAGGTGCTTACACTCCCAAGGTCACAAGTCCACTTGATGTCCTGTGACCCTCTCTGATATTCATTGTCTTGCTCTCGGGCCATTTTACTTTAACTCTGTGGCTTTAATAACTCCTCTATGGAGGAGGAGCACGCCCACTCAGCATCCCATGATACCTAGCAGCTCAGGATCTGAGAGCTGCCGTTCCAAAGGATCTGCCACCTCCCATGTGCCAGGCTGACGGAACATCCTGCTCATAACAGATTCTCTGGTGTGACATCATCTTGGAAACTGACATGCCTATTCACATCTTGAAGTCTCTCAAAATTCTGCCAGTAAAGAAGCCAGTTTCACTTTGATTCCTTCTCTTATTTAACCAATTGACCATTTCAGTGATGCCTCTCACCACCAACTAATTCTCAAATTCATAATAAAAGCTTGGGAAATGCTGGTTTCTTCTTCATTTAGTGGTCTCTTAACTTTTGGGTACAGTGTGAGGACCACTCACAGGCTAACCCCAAATCCATTCCAAATTCCTTCCTCCCTAGCCCACAATGCATGTATACACACATACTTGCACACATGCATACTCACATATGTGCTTACACATATTTAAATACTGCTTTATATGTTTTCTTTTTCTTGGAGCCACAAAGGAAAGTCCAAAGACTCACAGAGATGCCAACTATCAAGTCAATGAAGCACAAGAAGCAGCCACCCATCTCCCAGCTTCTAGAAATACGAGGAAAATCAACCTGTGATGTTTAAGCTGTGCTGATTGCTATTTTGTTGCCTGAAACAGAATGCATCTCTGATTGATACTTTAAAAGATAAATGTCATCTCTAGATTCCTGGTTACAGTTTTTCTAACTCTAGAAAATTTCCTCCTGGTGATGTTTGCCCTTTTTAAAATGTAGTTTGACCTTATCCTTTGAGTTGCAATTAGGACAAGGCATAGCCGGACTGTCTCATGCTGTAAGGAAAAACCCCATGGACAGGGATGACTTAGAGCAGCTTCTTAACGTGCACACTTCCAGCTGAAACCCCACCACAGTTTTTGATGCTTGCCTGTTGCATCTCCCATAAGCAATAAAATCAACATTTCCTATTTATATGCACAGCCTTGGCTGGGGAGCAGGACTGAATGCTTATGTTAGAGACCGCCGAATAAGTATAAAAGTGCCTTATCATAGAGGAAAAGCAGGCATACTAAGAAGTAATTAACCCACAATGAGACAGAGGAAATGCAGTATCCTTGAAGGAAGATGGTATTTGAGGTCAGGCAAAGGCAGACTTACATGGTTCCCCCTCTGATTATGGGTGTTGACCTTTCTGAGCTTCTGTGTCCTCACATGAAACATGGAGACAGTAATACCCAATCTCACTGGGGGGATGGAATGGGATAAAGAATTTGAAAGTGTTCATCCTGGTGTCTCCCACCTATGAGGTGAGCCATGATGGCTTGCTGAAGGAGCAAAAATGTCATTTGTTGTGGCACCTAATTGCCTAGGGCAAAAAGAGATAAAGACAAAAGGTGTCTAAATGTCTTTCACTTACACATTTTGCTGAAATAGGTCAGGAAAGACCTTAGAATAGGAGTTTTCAAAAGCTGTCTTTCATTACAGCTCATACACGCGGCTGTGACATTGCCATAATAGAAATGTACTCAGGCTGACAAAGGTAAAGGTCTCAGATTGCCTCATGAATATGTGGATGTGCGTGGAAATTTATGAAGGGGTATGTAACTTGAATCACTGGTGGGCTCCTGAAAGCCTGACACTTTGGAAGAAACCAGATTTTTTTAAACAGCATCTTGGAGACACTTGATGAGCAGGTCTGTTAGAGGGGACTTATGACTAATTTTTTATTTAATCAGTTGGAATTTTCATAGATGGAGATTCCTTAAAGTGAGATAAACACAAAAACAGATGAGATACTGCCCAAAGCTCCCTATGAATTCAATGCAATTCCTATCAAACTACCAAGATCATTTTTGATAGAATTAGAAAAACTATTAAAATTCATATACAACCAAAAAATACCCCAAATAGCCAAAGCAATCCTAAGCAAAATGAACAAAGCCAGAGGCATCACATTACCTGACTTTAAACTCTACTGTAAGCATACGGTAACTAAAACAGCATGGTACGGTACATAAATAGACACATAGACTAATGAGACAGAATAAAGAACTGAGAAGTAAAGCTGCACACCTATAGGCATCTGCTCTTCCACAAAGCCGATACAAATAAGCAATGGGAAAAGGACTCTCTGTTCAATAAATGGTTCTGGATACCTGGATAGCCATATTCAGAAGAATGAAATGACCCATACATTTCATCATATACAAAAATTAACTCAAGATGCATTAAATATTCAAATTTAAAACCTCAAACTGTAAGAATCCTGGAAGAAAACCTAGGAAACGCCATTCTGGACATTGGCCTTGGGAAATAATTTATGGCTAAGTTCTCAAAAGCAATCACAAGGAAAACAAAAATTGACAAGTGGGATTTAATTAAACTAAAGATCTGCACAGCAAAGGAAACTATCAACAGAGTAAATGGACAACAAACCGAATGGGAGAAAATATTCACAAATTATGCATCTGATGGAAGTCCAGCATCTGGAATCTATAAGGAACTTAAATAATTCAACAAGCGAAAAACAAATAACCCTATTAAAATGTGGGCAAAGGCATGAACAGACACTTCTCAGAAGAAGACAAACAAGTATCCAAAAAACATATGAAAAATTGTGATCACTAATCATCAGGGAAACGCAAACTGAAACCACAATGAGACACCATGTCACACCAGTTGGAATGGCTATTTTAAAAAGTCAAAAAGCAACAGATGCTGATGAGGCTGTGGAGAAAAGGGAAAGCTTATATACTGTTCGTGGGAATGTAAATTACTTCAGGCACTGTGGAAAGCAGTTTGGCAATTTCTCAAAGCACTTAAAACAAGCAATCTCATTCCTGGGTATATATCCAAAATAAAATAAATTGTTCTACCAAAAAGACACATGCACTCATATGTTTGTTGCAGCACTATTCAAATAGCAAAGACATGGAATCAACCTAGGTACTCATGAATGGTGAACTGGATAAAGAAAATGTACACATACACCACAGAATACTATGCAGCCATAGAAAAGAATGAACTCATATCCTTTGTAGCAACATGGATACAGCTGGAAGCCTTTATCCTATTGAATTAATGCAGGAACAGAAGACCAAAAACAGCACATTCTCACTTATAAGTGGGAGCTAAACATAAGGAACTCTTAGACATAAAAATGGCAATAACAGACGCTGGGGACTAGCGGAGGGTGCTGGTGAGAAAGGGTTGAAAAATTAACTGTTAGGTACTATGGTGCTACCTGGGTGACAGATTCAATCATACTCAAAGCGTCAGCATCACACAATATATCCATACAATAAGCCTGCATGTGTATGCCCAAATCCAAAAAAAAAAAGGTTGAGATTATAGAAAAAGCAGATAAAAAATAGATCTACCATGAAACAATCAAACCAACTAAAATTGTAGAAGGCTCTATTTCTTGAGGAACCCCCTCCCATATATTGAGCCCTGCTGCTACGTGTATTATCTCATTTAATTCTCATAACAAAACTGCAAGGTACACAGAACACAGATGTATTTTCCGTACGTGGTACATTGTCGAATATCTCAGATAATTCAGAATTTGCATAACTCAAGACTAATCTTGACGAAGAATGGTGCATATTCATCTGCACAAGCTAAAGCGATATTTCCTATGGCGAGAGCAAATTTATTTTAAAAGGAAGCCCTATCTTTGGCAATAGAACTGAAGGAGGTACTGTTACCTGCTACACAGAACATGGATGAAACCTGAACAACACGCTAAGTAAAATAAACCAGGCAGAAAGGATCACGTACTATGTACTCTCTCTCTATGAAATGCCCAGCAAGGCAAATTTATAGAAACACAAAGTATATGTGTGGTGTCCTAAGACTATAAGGAACGACGTCTAATGGCTACAGGGTTCCATTCTGGGATAATAGAAATGTTCAAAACTGACTGTGGCAATGATCGCACAATTCTGTGAATATATTAAAAACCACCGAATGACAAATTTTGTATGGATGAATTGGTAAATTGTATGGTATATGAATGATATCTCATTAAAACTGAGAAAGAGTGAGAGAGAGAATCCTGACAACCACTCTGAAATTGCAAATTTGTGACAAATATTTAAAATTTGGAGAGCACACTGTTTCTAATTCTGTGCACAAATAAAATTTTATTTATATTTCTATAATGAATCATTTCGAATGTGCCCAATTCAAACTCGTACAAAGTGCTGCCACAGAAGATTATCACCAATTCAGTAGAGGAAATAGAGGCTCAAATTAACACAGCTGATAAGAGAAGGAGCCAGGACTAGAATTCAGCTCCATGGGTCTCTAGAGTCTTTCCAACTCCTGCAAGCTGCTGGGTGACGACACTAAGACCCTCCTGAACTAGCACCACTGAAAAGAAGCCATTGCTGGCTGCCAGTATTTGTGACCCACGTGGCATTTTGTTGGTCATGGTGCTCAAAGCCTGATATCTACTTGCTCACAGAACCTTCACAGCCATCCTTTTGGGGCATTGTTATTAGCCTCATGATCAAAAGAGTTACTCAAAGCCCAGAGAGGTAAGATAACATGTTTAAGGTCTCATAATCACAGTGGAAACATAGCTGAAAACCAGATCTTTTGGAGATGGGAATCAGCCATCTCAACCCTTGTGCTGTACCCTTGTCAGAATACATTGATCTCCCTGATGAACTCACAGGTACTTTCTCATGATGCACTTCAACTTGATTCACTGGCAAGAAAAAAATTAATATTCTCTGAAAACCTTCTAGAGCCCTTTAAAGTTTTCCTCTCTGGCCCCTGGAATGTGGACACGAAGCCAGCACACTGACATAAATGGCAGCCCCATCATGGTGTGCATTATTGGAATCTCTTCAGATTATTAGTACTAGACTGTGATCTGAAATTACAGTAATACTAGGAAATCAAAATAACTACACTAAGAAAGTTCCCATCATAAGGCAGTGGGGTTTTTTTTAACCTAATAAAAATGTCTAATGTCAAAGAGGCCTTAGAATGCTTTCTGGAAGGAACTCTAAGATAACAGAGGAGACAAAGACCATTTTTGTTCCAATAAAGACTCAATTTTCTGATTACCATAGGAAAACTGGTGCATGAAAGGCATACAGAGGTGTAAGTGGGCTTATGTCTCAAGCAGCAAAGCACAGTGGTTAAAAAGCGTGGCTTGACTCAACGTCATATAGTCTGGGCTCTAATTTTTACTGGTTGAGTGATGCTGCATATTTCAGCTGTTATTAGATTTGGCTACAAATACAGGGAATTCAACATAACACTGAGTTACATAAGACAGAAGTTCATAATTCTCTTATGTAAAATAATTCTGGAGAGAAGCAATCCAGGGCTGCCATGGCATTCCGCAGGCAACAGAATCAGGTCTTATTCTGTGTTTTGTCCTGCCTTCCTAGCACATATTTTCTACCCTTGAGGCCGTGTCACAGAGCAAGGTGGCTGCTTGAGTTCTAGCCATCATATCGCTACTCCAGACAGCAAAAGAAATAGGTGGTAGGAGGAGAATACAGGGTACTCTTCCTAGGTGAGGTGGCTCCTTTCAGAATCCATCCTAGAAGTCTAACATAGACCCCTGCTTCTAGCTTGTTGGTCAGTACTTCCTCACATCACCACATTTAGCTGCCAGGGAGGCTGAGCAATACAGTCTTCATACGGACACCTGCTGCTAAGGTATACTGAGGTCTGTTACTAAAGGACAGCAGAATGGATTTTGAGGAAAATGCTTCTGCTCTGCTGGACAGTTTGTTTTCTAGCTTCTTGAAGTTTCAGTTTCCTCACTGGGACATAGAGATGATCATAGCATCCGCCTCTAGCCTGCTGTGGCAAGTCAATGAGATAACACACAGGAAGCCCTCAGCAGAGGGCCTGGCAACATCTCCCACTCGCAAAATGCTCACTGTTAAAACGAGCTCCATGTCCATTGATCCTGCTTAGAGGAATGGGTTCCTGTGGCTCACTATAAAAAGGTACCAACCAATGCCTACAATTTGTAGCATCTCTCCTGCCAACTTTACATTTGGGCTTTATAACTAAAACTCCACATTTTCTCCATTTAGGGAGAAACATTGGCACTACTGACATTTTGAGGCAAATGATTCTTTGCTGTGGAGGCCGTTCTATGCATTGACGTATGTTTACCAGTCCTTGACCTTGGCCCGCTCGATGCCAGTTGTACCCTCTTCTTCCCCAGTGTGGAACCCAAAGTGTCTCCTGGGAACAAAATCATTCAAACTTGGACCACTGCTCCATGGTGTCTGAAATCAGCAAACACGACTCTGCCAGCAGTAGTAGTCTCTTGGGTTACCTGAGTTTTAGTTGCGTGGGTCAATATTTCCAGTTAAACCACATCAAACGTGGTTTCCAAAGCTAGTGAAAATCTACGCAGACATTTTTGAATGGTGCATCACAGACCGAAGCTGATTTCATGTGTGTGTATGTGAATGTACAGACACATACACACGTATATGTACACACATGTTACTATTCAAGTCATCCCCTCTAGCCCTGGCTTATGACTTTAGTGTGAGCCAACAAGCATAGAACCTCTTCAGCTAGATAGAGGGTAAAATTGCAGAAATGAGAAGGAAGGAGAGGAACAGATGGCAAAGCAGCTCTGGAGTCTGGATGTGATGGGCCAGGGAAACAGGCCAGCGAGGTCCTCCATCATTCTGAAAAGCAGGCCTTTTTTTAAGGATACAGAGCTTGACTATAGAAACACGAACCCCAACCCACTTCCAAGAGGAAGGCATCCATGTTAGAAGCCTTTTATAAACTAGTATCATAGGAGATAAAGATGGTGACACACTAAAGAAAAGTGGAAAACTGGAGCAAGAAAGAAAACACAAGAATTCCCCAAACCAAACTTTTGACACTTCTTTGAAAAGAGCCAGTCTTCTGAATAATAAAATAGCTTGGGTACTATACTTGGTTTTTAAAAAATGCACCCATAATTAAAGCAAGAAAGCTGTAAGTCTATTAAACTTTTTTTCTTTGATACTGAAAAACTCAATTCATGACCTATATTTTATAAGACATATACTTGAAAGGGATTTTATATACCCTCTTCCCATTGAACTTAGCATACTGAATCTCTTCCATTTGGTTAAGAAGGGAGGTGATTCTATACATAAATTATTCAGGGCTTTAAAAAAATCTTACTGTATATATATATTAAGGTGAAGTGATTCAAAGGTATTTGTATAGATAAATGGAAGCAGCAGCTCTAGACTGCGTTCTCAGAAGGGATGGGAGTCTTAGAGCAAGGGTGCTGCAGTAAAAGCTGCTTTATCAAGCTCCCTGCTGATTATCAATCTTTTCTGACATTTGTGGCCTGTCTTGACTGATGGATGGCTCAGCATGCTTTATGAATCTTCGAGTTGTTGAGCATCTCTCAAACTACCGCTAGGGGGAGAATCTGGCTTTATTTGAGGTTACCACCAGTAAGGATGGGCTGCGTGGAGTTACCTGGCAAGCTGGGCTACTATAAAATGACTAAGGAAGGTTGGTGGTTTTCTCTTTCTCTTTCTCATCTACACACACACACACACACACACACACACACACACACACACACACACACACACATGAAAATAAATAAACTCACTCATCTGTGTAAGAAAATGCTCTCTTACATTTAAGGTAGCAACTTTGGAATTACTTGCAACATCATCACGGGTGAAATAGTTAAAGGACAGTGGGTGTTGTGGATGGGGATGAAATGAAAAAGCACAAGAATTAGAGTCATACAGGTCTGAGTTTCGATCTGAGCTTCATCACCCACCAGCTGTGTGACCACGGCGGAGTCACCTAACCTCCCTGAGTGTCTGTTTCCTCAATTGTCAAACGTTTGTAAGGACTGCTTTAAAAGGTAGGTGTGGAACCTGGACCAGTATCCAGTACATAATAGTGCTAGAAAAATATACAGCTGATTACCACTGCTGTGTTACCCTGGGACAGGCATCATCTCCCTCCCTTAATCCTAGAGAGATGCTCCCCTGTGTAGCAGTTGAAAACTGACGTTCCCCTGTGTAACAGTGATGCTTTATTTACTGACTTCCTCTTTCGTCTGCAAGCTCTACAGAGTCAGCATCCATTCTGTTTCATGCATTCACCCCCTCCAACCCCATCCTCATTAAACAGCATACCTGGTATACGGCAGGTACTCTAAAGGTATTTGTTGAAAGAATGAATACATTTTCAATAAATACAACCATTTATTTAAAAATTGAATTAAAAAACAGTTTATCGGGATTCAGGCTTTCTGGCCTTTGGAGCCATTTGTTCATCCAGTGGAATTTATTGGGTGGATAATTTGTGCCTGGGACTCTGCTAAATGTTGGAAGTTGAAGGATGAAGAGAAAACCATTCAGTTCTCCTGGTCTTAACTGTGTTGCTGAGAAAGAGAACTGAAGGTAGATTCTGGTTTATACTTGCAGAAAATTTATAAACCTATTAAGGCTTACAGTATTATTGTAATTCCACATAGATGGCATCAGTTATAATAAGCTGGCATCATAAAATGACTCAATATTTAGAATTTTCCGATTTGTCACACACTTGCTGTAAAAATTTTATGTGATCTCTTCTCTCCATCTCCGTAGCTGCCATGGTTTTCTCATGCCTAGAACATTGAAATGCCTTGTTTCCCTATTTCTCTCTCCACAGAATAGCACAAGTCATTTTTCAGCAGTAAAATCATATCTATTTCCTCGCTTAAAACCACCCAAGGGCTTCCTACTAAGTTTAAAATGTAATCAAAATGTATGGAGTTCTAAGCCAGGGGTCTGCAAACTTTTTATTTGCAGAGGATCAGGTATTACATACTTTTGCCTCTGTGGAATATACAGTCTGTGTCCCCGCTACCCAATTCTACCAATATGGTGCGAAAGCAGCCATAGTCAATACATGAATGAAGGGGCACATGTGTATTCTAATAAAACTTTATTTAAAAAACAACAGGCAGAGAGACACATTTGGCCCATGGCCCATAGTTTGTTGACTCATGCTCAGAACGATCTTGCCCTTGCCCTTGCCCATCTCCCTGTCTCACCTGGTACTACCGTCCCTCAGGTCATTCCTGCCTCAGGTCTCTGCACTTCCTGGCCCCTGCGTCTGGAACATCCTTTCTCCATGCCTTTACTTGGTAGGCTCCTTTATTTCACTGGGCTCAGCTTCAACATCACCTCTTTAGAGAGGACTTTTCTTGACCTTATGTCAATAAAACAATGTACCTTGTTTTATTTTATCCGAAACTTAAATTATCTGGCTTATCCATTTCTGTTGGCACCTTTCTCCTCCCAGGAAGGTGGCAATGTCTTAAGAATAGAGTTCTAAATGGTCTTGGTCACTGCTATATCCCCAGCCCCTATAATATTATCTGACTCATAGAAACTGCCCGATAAATACTTGTTGAATGAATTTACTGAGGAAATGGTTATGAAGAATTGATTTGAAATAAGGGTTTCCCCGAAATTATAAATGTTTAATGACATTTGGATCTGCCACTCTGTTTTACTCAGCTGCAGTGCTAAAAATTGCTGGGCTATTCACAGTGGATCCTTTGGTATCAGGGATAGGATCCAACGGCGCTGGTGAGCACGTTCTGTGCTAGGACAACTCAAGGACTTTTTCACTTTTGCTTTGCAGCTGCTCAACCGTCACCAATTTTCATTTTCGCTAGAAATTCCTGTCAGGTTTATCTTTTCAAAAGACTGTAGAATGATCACTACATTTCTGAAGCTACAAATGCTCCTTTGCCCTGCTGCCACTTTAAACTATTATTTTAATTAAGTTACTCAATTAATTTTAATATTTTTACTTTTATTTTTAAATATTTGATGCCACAAATCCTTCCCTCTTCCAAATATAGAGTGATGGAAGGATGACTCCCGGCTTGGGCCTAAAATATCATATCCAAAAAATTAGTGGGCAGGGCTATTAAGCGTTTATTTTTACAAGGAAGTAATCAAAGTGAACCCAAGGGCCACATCTCCCCAGTTCACCCAGAATACAAAGGTCTAATGTGAATGATATGAGCATGGGTGATGGGCAGAGGAGAGGCAGATACATAGGCTAGTCCAGGAATAAGACTTCATGGTTAGAGAGGAGAGTGTTTCAGGAAACAATGGGGTGTCCATCTCTTGAGCTGATCTCCAGCCCCAGAGATGCATGTGTGAATTTAGGGGGAGAGAGAGCTATAAATAAAAATGAAAAGAGTTGTTTTCACAGTTATTCACATTAAAGAAGAAACATACAGTTCTGTTGGTTGGTTAGATACTCTTCTACCAGAATAAAGGGGTTCAGGCATTCTCTCCTGTCCCAGCAGATGCTTTGGTATCCAGCTCCCATGAGCCAGCAGCCAAGGGTCCTAACATGTGCAATGGTGCCCATCAGGGCGGGCCTGACATGTGCAATGGTGCCCATCAGGGTGGGGGCCTGGGATATGGAGGAGGGAAATCCCAATGGCTATGACAAGGGAGCCGACTGTCTTGGTTCTGAGCCGGTGTGAGATATCACCAGAGGACCTTCAGACATAGTTAGGAGCAACTTGGCAAAGATTCAGTTTCTTTTTTATTTGTATAGATTTAACAGTACAAGTGCAGTTTCGTTACACGGACATGTGGCAGAGTGCTGACGTCTTGGCTTTTAGTGTAACTATCACCTGAGTAACATATATTGTACTCATTAAGCAATTTCTCACACGTTACACCCTTGCCACGCTTCCACCCTTCTGAGTCTCCAAAGTCTATTATTCCACACTCTATGTCCATGTGTACACATGATTTAGCTCTGACTTATAAGTGAGAGCATGCAGTATTTGACTTTCTGAGTTATTTCACCAAAGATAATGGCATCCACATTGTTGCCAAAGCCATGATTTTATACTTTATTTATTTATTTATTTTTTTGAGACGGAGTCTCGCTCTATCGCCCAGGCTGGAGTGCAGTGTCACGATCTCGGTTCACTGTACACTCCGCCTCCCGGGTTCATGCCATTCTCCCACCTCAGCATCTTGAGTAGCTGGGACTACAGGTGCCTGCCACAGCACCTGGCTAATTTTTTGTATTTTTAGTAGAGACGGGGTTTCACCGTGTTAGCCAGGATGGTCTCGATCTCCTGACCTCGTGATCCACCTGCCTCACCCTCCCTAAGTGCTGGGATTATAGGCGTGAGCCACCGCACCCGGCTGATTTTATACTTTTATATGGCTGAATAGTATTCCATTGTGTGTGTGTATGTATGTATGGTGTGGTGATGAATATACGTAGTGATAACCATGAGTGCAGGTGTTTTTTTGATACAGTGGCTTCTTTTCCTTTGTGTAGACGCCCAGTAGTAGCAGGATTGCTGGATTAAATGGTAGTTCTATTCTAAGTTTTTTGAGAACTATCCATCCTCCTTTCCATACAGTTGTATTTGTTTACATTTCCACTAACAATGTATAAGCATTCGCTTTCCTCTTGAACGACTAGGTGGAGTCAATAGCTAGTGAAGTTCAGATAATACTTTTCATTCCATTTAGCTGTGAATTTTCCTTTTGGGAAATGGTCTCTGATTGGATTATGCAACTCTTTCATAAAACGTGTTTTATGGTCACCTAAACACATTTTAGGCGACCATAAAACACATTTACAGTGAATTGTACCATAACTCAAGTGCTGTCTCCTCCAAGCTCAAGGGCTCTGCAGCATGTTAATGATGCCATCCCTGGGCAGCACTTCTTCACTAAAATTCCAGTGATGACCTAAGGAAAGGGGCCAGTCTCAACCACTGCATTCCTCTGCCTCCACCACAATATCCAGCAAGGATTCCATAGCAAGGCCATCCACTATCTACAAAACAGCTAGTGAAATGACCACAAAAACTTGTAGATACTGAGTGTCATCTGGAGAAACAAACAAAAATATCCATCAGTATGTTTGTGTGTGAAAAGAAAGACTATTGTATCCTGCTGCATGAACAAGCTTAGCCAAGATACAGACTAAAATCCTCTGATTAGAAGCATCACCTGAATAGGGATCAAAACATAACAGGGCATATCCGCCATCCCATTAATCCAGCTCATGTAAATATATCCTATAGAAATTGTCACAAACATGGGAAGAGATGAGCTCTCTTCTGCAGAATTGATGGAAGTGTAGAAAAGTGAAAACAACTTAAATCGATAGGAAATTGGTTAAGGAGACGATGGTAGATCCAGACTCTAGCTGTTTGAAACAATGATGTTGCTTGATGTTTATTGATTTACAAAAATGTCCATAGGACCCTGAGGAGTGAAGAGAGAGATTTACGGAAAAGCACATAGAGCTCCCATTCTGTAAAACTGTGCACCTGCATCTCTCTGTGTAGAGATGCCAGGAGAGAACCCCAGAACTGCACTCACTAAAATGTCAACTGTGGTTATCTCTGGATGGTGGCACTGGAGAGTGACTGCATTTTCTTTCACTTGAAAAGAACAGAATTGCTTTATTTATTTTTTAAAAAATATATCTACCTAAGGAAAAAAAAAAAAAAAAGAAATAGCCACATGCCTGATATTCCAGAAACACATAGGATTGGTTGGGGCAGTTGAGAATGGAGGAACCTACAGCATGAAAGTCTGAAAATATCAGCAAAAAAAAATTAACAGTCAATGGGTTGAAAAGCCACATCACAGTTACTGCAACAAGTAAAAAGTAACCAGAAAAGGGACTTTACTACCAGGCCATAGCAACAACCTGAACACCATCGGCTGAGCTAGGTGTCAAATATCAACTATCAACTATCCCAGCCATCTTTATTTAGCTCAAGCTGTTTTGGAAAATAGCAACTTCCAAGCAAAGCTGAGCTCTCAGGATAGCCATTAGTCCCAAAGGCGACTTGATCGGCTGGCTTTTTCTTATGTCTGGAATGGCTGGATGTGTTTAAAAATTAAAGGAACTGTGTCTTGAAAAGGAACTCAGGTGGATCCTGGAGGAAAAATAAAAGACAAAAACTCCCTACATCATCTCTTCAGAGCGGCCTCCTATCTCACTACAAGACTAGGTTTGGCCCCTCCCGAGATGAGCCTCCCATACAACTATGTTGTAGCACTTGCCGCAATTTTCTTTCTGATTTATTGGATGCTATCCTCCCTCCTCAGCTATGAATACCAGGAGGGAACAAGCAGCACCTGCCAGGTCCAGTGTTGCACATTCAGAGCTTAGAATAGCGCCAGCACAGAGTAGATGCTTGCTAAGCATACTGGATGGAAAAAAAAATTAAAGGGACTAAGACAGGAAAGAGAGGGAGGGAAAGTGGCTGGGCTTTCAGAAGTTAGACAATGAGGACGTAACTGCTAATCTCTGCTTGTCTTCAACAGCCTCAAGAAGAAGGATCAGACATGCCTAAGCAATGTGCATCTTTCAGGACACAGAACGTGCACCTTTAGGTAAATGCCACATTCATCTTTGTCAGTCATGCAGTTTGGGAGCTAATTCTTTCCTTCTGTGACCTCTCACCACCTATCTTTCTCAAAGCTGCCCCACCCGTCCAGGGTGGGGGGCTGCCATTCTCCCAGCTGCCCTGGCTGCCATTTGGGGTGGCTAAAAGCCAGGAGAGCGAACACAACCTACAGCCAGCTCCTGATGTTGTTGGAAGGCCGAGGCCTCAAGAGGACAGGATATTGGAGCTGATGGATCCCAGGTTTCCCTTGCGCACAGCTGGCGGCAAGTGCCTGGAAATTAAAGCCCCCCATCCTTGGGGACAGCTTTGAACCTATGTCTCATTATCAGACTTGGGGGAGTAGATATTCTAGCTACCTGCCCCTTAGCTGAGATAACTCTAACGTATGTGTTTAATGTCATTTCCTTGAGCTCCCCAAAAAGGATAAAGCTGCAGTTACCCACTCTGGGAGCTGCTTTAATAATGCACCTCAAGGGCCAGGTGCAGTGACTCACACCTGTAATCCCAGCATTTGGGAGGCCAAGGTGGGCGGATAACCTGAGGTCAGGAGTTCAAGACCAGCCTGGCCAATGTGGTGAAACCCCATCTCTACTAAAAATACAAAAATTAGCTGGGCGTGGTGGCAGGTGTCTGTAATCCCAGCTACTCGGGAGGCTGAGGCAGGAGAATTGCTTGAATGCAGGAGGCACAGGTTGCAGTGAGCTGAGATCATACTATTGCACTCCAGCCTGGGCAACAAGAGCAAAACTCCGTCTCAATAGTGATAATAATAATAATAATAATAATAATAATGCACCTCAAGTTGTCTGACTTCCTTTTCTGTACCTCACCTTACCTGGTATCTGTCCCTGTACCTCTCAAGCAAACCACAGGCAGGCCTCAATCTTCATCTCAGGGCCTGCTTCTGTGGGAGCCTGACATGCCATTCCTCATGGTCAGCCATTCTCAAAGGTGCCCAGGAAACCACCAGAGGGCAAAACACCCATGAATTGATGCCAACAAGACATGATGGGGCCTTGGAATTAGTGCCCTCCAGGAATTTCAAGAGTTCTCACCCTCTACCCCCTACTCATGAACACCATGTCTTGGCCATCAGAAAACACCAAACTCACACAGAGATCTGTATGCCCCCAAGGAGCAGCCAGAGCCTTGGCTTGGGCCTCATAAATCAATGTCTGTGGCTCTGCAAAAGCAACAGCTCACGATCTGCAAAGTCAAAGACCATTATGTTCTGCTGATCTTCCTTCATCCAGGAATGATTCACCAAAACAATACCCCGGAGTTCAGTGCTGAGCAGCCGGAATGGTCTCCTGTCTGCACATACAGATAAATATGGGTGACCTTCCTTTGTGATAGATTGGTGCCGAGGGCATTCGAACACATGGGGACATGAAAATGACGCGTGGTTTGCTGGAAGATGAATTTGTCTTCACACAACTCATGTGTCTCTTTGCTTTACCTTTGCTAAAGGGTACTCTTCCAGAATAAAAATAATAATTGCACTGTTAACAATACAAAGGCATTCATTGTACATTTACTGTTCCCTAAGCACTGGGTGAAGCATGTTGTCTCACTGAATCCTCACATATACTTCTCTAAGGTAGCTACTGTTATATTCTATCCCCATTTGCAGAGGGTCCTAGAAGGTTCAGTAACTTGCCCAATATCACACCGTGTTAAATAGCTGAGCACAGCGTCAAACACAGCTCTAGGCTACAATGCTGTGAGCAGGAACAGCCACATAATTTGTGACGCTCAGTGTAAAATGAAAATGCAGACACCTTGTTCAACAATTATTAAGAATTTCAACATGGTGACAGCAGAACGCTAAACCAAGCCCCAGGCCCTTCTGAGCATGGGACCCTTCTGTTCCCTTGGCTGTGTGAGGCCACAAAGGCTGTGCCCCATGAAGCTGCCTTTGGTTATGTAGGCTCAGAAAAAAGTGACATGAGTGGTGACAAAGGCCTCAACACTTAACACCGTTGAACCCTAGAGGTGATTCAATGGGCCTGGCTATTTCATCCGAAGAACTAGTCATTTTCTGTGAGGATCTAAATCAGTTCATCTGATAGAACTGCACAAATACTTCCCCCAGCTGGGCCTGCAAAGAGTCTGTGGTGTAAAACATGGAAACAAGAGAGCAGACCCAGTGGGTCACGTGGCTCTTAGGTTTCATTTTTTTCCTAGATGGAGTCTTTCTCTGTCGCCCAGGCTGGAGTGCAGTGGCGTGATCTTGGCTCACTGCAACTTCCGCCTCCTGGGTTCAAGCAATTCTCCTGCCTCAGCCTCCCGACTAGCTGGGATTACAGGCACCCACCACCGCACCCGGCTAATTTTTGTTTTTTTCGTAGCAATGGGGTTTCACCACATTGTCCAGGCTGGTCTCCAACTCCTGACCTCAAGATCCACACACCTCAGCCTCCCAAAGTACTGGGATTACAGGCTTGAGCCACTCCACCCAGCTGGTTCTTGGGTTTCTTGTAGCTCACACAAGGCCCAGGAAGAAATGCGGGCTATTGTAGACAGACCCGGACTAGTCTTTTGAGCATGATGCCAGTGCAGATGTGGCCAGAATTTGCAGAGAATTAAGGCAGATGTGGCAGCCTCTTACCAGCTAAGTAATCAACCATTCACCAAATTTTGAAGCTGGAGACGTAGACACTGATTGTGCCTTTTCCCCAGCCAGGTAACTTTGTCAAGTTCCTGAGCCTCTTTGATGTTCAGTTTTCTCATCTGTAAGATAGGGATAGTGGTAGCCACCTCTCAGGGCAGGAAGTGGGATCATGGATGAAATGATGTTGTACATATATGGCTGCTGGCACACAGTAAGTACTCGACGCAGTGCTATGATACCTGATGGCTGTGTTCACCATGAATTCAGCGGGACAGGTGAAAGAGCATATGATTTGAAGGCAGGTTATGCACTGACTCCCATCTTTTATTTGTGAGAGCATGGAAAATCATGGAACTCTTTCCAGAGTCAGCCCCCAACCCCAACCCCTACCCCCACCCAAACCCCACCCCTACCCCCACCCTTACTCCCAGTGGGTGTCGAATAATTTCTACAACACATGGGATCCTATGAGCCACAGATGAGCAGAGCATAATGGAAATACAAGAGACGATCATTTTTATAGCCAGTTAGGGTTTGTTATTACTTGTAAACGATTTAAGTTGAAGAAGAGGTTGGAAAGAGGATACCGTCTTCTTCATCAGATTCCCACTGGCCTCATGAATGCTTCGGGGGCCATCTTGCCTGCAACTCTCTTACAGGGTGCTAAGTAATCTAAGTGGCTTTTTGTTTGAAAGTCTTTTGCAACATTTCCACATTCTGGATCCCAAATCTGACTGATTCTATTTCACTGCGTGCTTTATAGTCCAACCCAGAGGGTGCTGAGAAAGAAAACAATGAATCCATACAGACACCTGAGTCTTTATGTATTTTTATAGGATAATACCAATCATAAATAGATATTTGAGGTGGTTTATGTTTTGCTGGAGAACTGTCTCTAACTGAATAACTCTGTGATTTAAGAAATTCAATGTGCATAAAGAACTCTATCTAAAAAATACACAAAAAACATACATAAAAAATACACAAAATAACATGTGCATAAAGAATTCAATGTGCAAAAAGAACTCTTTCTTCAAAAAATATTACATGTATATACATGTATCAAAAAATATTACATGTATCTGAAATTCTTTTCTAAACTTTAAGGACAGGCACAGTGGGAGGAAAATTGGACACCGTCTAATCATATACACACATAATATACAAAGACATGTGCAAGCTCACAGCCATCCCGAATGTAAGCACTGTCATTTACATTTAGAACACTTTCCCAGCCCATCTGAATTCTAGTCACTCACTCATGGGGCCCGAGTACCACAGATAGCAATTGGGAATCATTTTTCTGTTCTGCTCAAACTTTGGCCTCTTTAATCGCTTTCCTCATTGGTTCTCCAAATGTGTTCTGCACATCAGCTCGTTTAAGAAGATTTCTGTAAACATCAAACCGAAATTCTAGGGTGTTTCTCACCAGAAGCCATCTTTCCATCAAAAGCAGCTCACAGAGAGGGGCCACGTGGATTGTCTGCCCTGAAGTGACCTGACCTCCCTTCACCTGCCCTCTCTCCTTCTCTCCAGACCTGTCATTGCTCCTCTGCCATCTGCCTCCAACACTCCCCTAAACACCCTCCAGCACACACGCAGTGCATTTGCTTTCATTTTTACGGAGCGCATTTAAAGCTGGGAAGGAAGAGGGTCGCTCTTGCCCTTGGGGGATCTGATGCAGTGCATAAAGACCCAGCTCCTTGAAGCTGACGGGAGGTTTTAGGCATCTTGCATACAATTATCCACCTGGTTGTCTGGGAAGGTTACCATGGCAACATTTCCAGAGCCTCATGTATCTACATGTCACTGATAGATCCCATCAATTCAGAAAAGGGGGAAAAATAGTAAAAGCCGCTCTCATCTCCTGTCTGGTCTGACGAATCACTATTTTACCTATTTGGGCATAATCTAGGAGTATCATGATACTCTTAATATGATACTCTTAATATGGTGTTTTTTTTCACTCAAGTGTATTTTAAAGCTGAAAATCAAAGTGAGCCGAAGAGGAATTTTTCTGTTTTATTCTTTCATTTTCTCAAGCATTATACTTAGGAGTGACTTCAGCTGCTGGCTGTGGGATACTTTAATTTGTATGTATTGGGGCAAAAAAGGAAGCTCTAAATTCTAAAACCGTCCCTGATAGAAAGGTTAAACATGGGAAAAGACAGCGGGAGCTCTATAGTAACCTTGAGTGACTTCTATAACAGTAGGCACATGCATTTACGCATTTCCAGAGAGAGATATCAAACATCCTCCTTTTGGTCCTCTGACTGAAGACAAAAGATTTCTTCATGCACATCTTCTAAGGGAAGGGAAGAAGTCCTACCTATTTTACTAAAATAGTTCTTATTAAAAGGCCACTGTGAAAAGAAAGAACTGAGGAGTTTGTAATGGGGACCCAATTCTCATCAAAGCCCTGCTATAGCACAAAGTTTAGCCTTGGACTTTCACAAAGGTAAGCTGGATATTTACATGGTGCCCAACATCGGCCATGCCTTAGAGACTTAGATGGCAGTCATCCTTGGAGGATGATCTTCAGAGACAATGAAAGAGATTTCCGTAGCTTGCAACACCTCGGTCAAGCTTTGCACTTTAGCTTTCCAACCTGGCTTCTACGCAGGGAAGTATTAAGTCGACGCTGATACGAGCTGACAAGTTGGAACAGCCATAAGACAGTCCCTAGAATCCACAAAGATCAAAGTGTGCCTCTTTCCAAGCCATTACGCTAAAGGTAAGCCAATGTGACATACCTGTGGGTGACCCTTCCATGACGTGGCCGATGTAGGGGCCTTCCCGAAAGATCGGTCGGTTGTCATTCTGATCAATCACAATGACTTCCAGAGGCACCGGCCCCTCGAGAGTTTTGCCATTGACATCAGTGGTCTCCACAAATAGCTATTTGAGCAAAGAGATTGGGGGAGAAAGAAGATATTAATTCATTATGAAAATTCAAATAAGGTTCTCTAGAGAAAGTAGGTTATATCGACAATTTTATGAGCCCTTGGCAATATTGAAATTTTGGTCTCAGAGGATAGTCACTGGGACTAGAATAGAAATTGAACATTCCAGAATAAAAGGCAAAGATCAGTTCACTTTAGATCCCCCTTGGGAAATTTACAATTAATTCATCAAATCGGCAAAGAAAGTTAAAACAAAACAAAAAAACTCAAAACATAAACAGTCATAGCCAAGAAATTACGCTTGTATCATTTCTGTTTTCCCAATATCATTATGCTTAAAAGGAATGTTATGCTAATAAAAATAATTGACTAAGCAGTTATGAACCAAGTACATTAAGAGATAACCAAAAGTGTTTATGGCAATCTTTTAGGAGAAAGTCAGGTCAGTATTTGTTGGGGGCTTTCCTCAGGCTAGGAACTCAGAATTTGCAGGGGGCCTGAATGAGACCTCGGGATTCCTGCCCACCAGGCTGTTTACAATTTCGGAGGATTTCACAACACCATGAATCACTTCCATAGGGAACTACTTTCAGATCTCAATGAAGAAGGCAGCATAAAAAAACAACTTTTTTGTTTGTCTTGGAAACGAAGAATTATGTCATGGCATTTCCAGTGAATCACGGGGACCTTATGCGCACATTTTCTGTGCGTAATTCAACCTTGATTTAACTCAGCGATAAGAGTAATACTTCCTCTTGGATATAAGTGTTGGTCCCCGCATAGGAGTATTTTGATCAGAAAAGGGCATCTGCATTTGGAATCCTAGTACAACTCTTTCCTATCTGTGTGACCTTGAGCAAGACACTGGATCTCAGTTTTCTCATCTGTAAGTGGGGTTAACAAAAACACTCATTATTAGGAATAATAACAAACACTTATCCAGTGCTTACTTTAGCTCTATACTATATTATCTCACTTGATTGTCATAACAACCCTTTGGATCTTTTTACAGAGGAGAGAATGAAAGCAAAGAGAAGATAAATGGTGGAGTCCAGATTTGACCTTGGGAAGTCTGCCTCCAGAGCTCACTTTTTTAACCACTATAAACAATATTTCTAAAGCATTTAAATATGGTCTATCATATAATATGTCTCAAGAATATTAACTGCTGCTATTGTTGCTACAGTTATTATCAATACTATTGTCAAAAAAGAGCCCAAATTAGAAAAATGAAAGACAAACATTCT
The DNA here is from genome assembly GCF_000001405.40 of Homo sapiens. Taxonomy (NCBI): domain Eukaryota; kingdom Metazoa; phylum Chordata; class Mammalia; order Primates; family Hominidae; genus Homo; species Homo sapiens. The sequence goes on along the minus strand of NC_000016.10, from coordinate 83,343,609 downwards.
TGTTATAAATCAGTAGAGTCACATTCCACCTGATGGTATTGTAAACCAGTATAATCCTTTTCAAAAGCATGGCAAAATTCAACAGAAACCACGAAAGACTCATACTTTTGTTCCGTTTTTATACCACTCCTGATCCTATATAAGTTTGCACTACATATTTGGAACTATTCACTGCATTGTTATTTCTCAAAATAAAATTACACTGGCATCTGCCTGAACATCCAGTGGAAGGGAACTAGTTGAAGGAATGTTTGTGTAACAACATATTACAATACAATAATTTTTAAACTTTATTGATCTACTTAGAATATTGAGTAAAAATACACAAAATAACATGAGCATCATCATACATGACCTACAAATATGGATAGAATTTGAAGGCAGTGAGCAAAATGAAACCAGGTATGTGTGGGTAGATAATTTTTAAATTTTTTTCTTTAACATTACTTCATCCTTTTACCAGCAAATTCACACACAGACATACATACTTGATTTCTGGTGCAGATAAAATAATGCATGTAATAAGAAAAAATGAAGTGAACAGAGCCTCGTAATATCTGCACACAAAGGAGATCTCACAGAGAGTGAAATTTTATACTTTTATGTTTTTTTTAAGCTATTATGAGAATACTGCTAACAAAGGAAATCAATCAAAATAAAGCTCTGAGGCAATTTTATGTAATAACATAGGTCTGGTTTTTCATCTTCCCAAAATAGCCAAGGACTTGACTTTAACTCAACCAAAAAAAAAAAAAAAAAAAAAAAACAGAAACAAAAAAACACTGTGCCTAAAGATAACAAATATCTTGGATCTGAATCCTAAGATTCTACATTCTATAAGACTTGGCCAGTATCATAAGCTACAAGTAGGATAGGTAATCAGAATTCACATTTGCCAAATATTCAAATATGCTGAAACTGGGAAGGGCAGACAACAGATCCATCTTAACACAATGGAAAGAAAGACAGAAACTAAGGAGACACCATTGATTAGGATGAATACAGAATGTGGAGCTGAATCTCAGAAAACCAATTATGCAAACAGACAATCCAATGGTATTTTATGTTACAAAACTAATCAGAGTTTGACTCAGACTTTTCAGAGGACAATAATATCAACACAAGTCAAGACCTTTGGAATGGTCTCTAAAAACAGTGAAGGGCTGTTAAGTGGGATTTTCTTAAAGTTAATTTAATAAAAATTATTTGAGGACTCACTACATGTCAGCCATCACGCTGAACACCCTGGTATCCAGTGGTTAGCAGAAAAGATAACCCAGCATGGAAAGACAGGTGATAAACAAGAGAAAAAGATATGAACAAGATAATTTCAGTCACAGATGAGGGCTATGAAGGATATGAGACAGGTTTGAATACGAAAGCTTCACTACCCAATACTGTAGCTGCTAGCCACATATGGCTATTGCAATTTACATTTATTAAAATGAAAAAACTCAGTACTCCAGTCAAACTAGGAACGTTTTGAGTGCTCAGTAGCCACATGCAGGTAGTAGTTACCATATTAGACAACACAGATGTAGAACATTTCCATCACTGGGTAGAGTATGATTGACAAAGTGTGTGTGTGTGTGTGTGTGTGTGTGTGTGTGTGTGTGTGTGGCAGGGGACACCTATTCAAAATAAATGGTGGAGAAAACCTTATTGCTGAGGGAATGTTTCAGCTGAGGCTTGAATGACAAGAAAGTGGAAAGAGATAGCCATACAAAACACATGGAAAATGATTTCTAGACCGCAGGAATAGCAATAGCAGACTCTGAGGTAAGGATGAACTTGGAACTAATTGGAACTAATTTAGGAGTGGGGAATGGTATAAGATCAAGTCAAAGAATTAGGACTCTGCTCAACTCCGAATGGAGTAAGTTAAGGCTTATGTCCATACAAGAGTTTTTGCGTAGAACAATCTAAACCAAGTGAAGAATGAAGACATTTTCTTCCTATGAGTCCCTGGGAAGGCAGAGATGAGAAAGAAGTATATCATGCTTGATCCCCACAGAGGAAAACATAGTAGACTGAATAAAATATATAATAGGAAATGTTTGTGTTTTATGCAGAGGTTCATCCAGTTTTAAAATCATCTTATTAATGATGTGGATGAAAATTAAGCACATGCATATGCATGAGGAAGTTGTTAGTAAATACAGCCTTATCCACCCAATCACATACCGTAACAAAATCTGACATTCCCGTGAGTTTTCATCACTGTTCTCATACGAAGGTCAGACCCACAGTTAGCAAATGCCAAACTTTCTGAAGTCAGGCTCTTGAATTCCAGCGCATCCTCCAGTATCAGAGAATAAATGTTCAATAACGTTCTTGCCTGCCTTCTTTCTTCCTAATTGAAATACCCAAAGCACACAAAACCTTAGTTTGAAAAGACTGGAATAATGCTTGTTTCCTTTGAATTACATGATAGATTCAAGTGGCTGTGTTTGGGTTCTAAAAACAAAACAACCTCATATGCATTCAAAGGGAGGCATTCTGATGCTTGTTCTTTATGTTAGAAGTGAGATGCCACTTGGTAGAAACCTACTGTGAGAAAAACAAATAGGTAGGCATGGCAGAAGGCAATGAAATACTTGCTCAAAGGAAATGGAAACCACCCAGGCCCTCATTGCCTACTTCAAGACCACCCCTTCAGACATGAGGATTTCTATTCTTAGATTCAATGGTTGACCTGCATGGGAATAACAAGGTGTGATATTAAAAAAAAAGTCCACTGTGGAGGCAGATGAGAGGGGCACTCAACAAATGACAGCTAGAAACAGTTATCCAATGTTGCAGGATTTTAATAACTAATTCCATAGTAGGTAGCCTGAACTCCGAGCAATTACACATCTGACCAATGTCTGTGCTGTGTGTTCTAGTACCTTGCTATTCAAAGGTCAGTCTCCAAGCCAGCAGCATTGGCATCCCCCAGGAGCTGGTTAGAAATGCAGGCTCCTCGGTCCTGTCTAGATCCTACAGAGGAAACCCATTTTAACATTGTTTCTAGAGAATTCGGGTGCACATTACTGTTTGAGTGATGTTGTACTGAGACACAGGGGTTGGAGATGGAAATCCAAGGGTCTTGTGGAATTTGGGAACTGTATTCCCAGGTTCAGCTATAGGAAAATAAAATAAGCTCCAAACAGGAGGCTGAGTCTTGCCACCTGCTAGGAATTTCACTGTGTGGCTGTTGGACTCATTCACCACTCCCAAGTACACAGGCCAGGAAGACAGATGTTTGTAGGTCTATCTGGAGCAGCACGCACATGCGCACATACACACACACACACACACACACTCAGATGTAGGCAGACATATGTACATGTACCACAGACATAGCACACACATACAAATATACACATACATTTCCCATAAACATCAATTTTTTCCAATGTCCTTCTAATCTTCAACTGTGCATGCTGAATGCTTAAAAATCATATTTTGTCTGATCACTTTTTGAGAAGCTGTCAAATACAAAAGTAGAAGGAAATTGGTTATTAATTGAAAAGTGAAACATTGCAGAAAACAAAGTATAATGGAGAGGTCCCAGAGATGGGAAAGGTCACAGAGAATGGTGATGAGTGTTGGGGGGCCCTGTATTGCCTTAGCCTTGGTGTGATTTTTGGACCCCAACAGAATTATTTTCCTCCATTGAGATGAAATATCCCAGGGAGGAGTAACTCATTCAGCTTTATCACAGTGGGCCTATGGATCATCCAGGGAAGTGGGTAAAATCAGATTCTTTAGGAATTTATGTTTAAACCAGCACTTTGAGAGATTCTAGTGCTAGTGGTTTCCTGCTCACACGGTGGAAAGCTTGGCTGATCATGGGAGGGAGATCCAGATGCCACCTGCACTGGTGGGAGAGGTGGAGGGGAGAATTGCTGGAGGTGGGGGACATCTGTGAAAGGCTGACTGGAGGGCTTTAAGGAGCTGTGGAAAGAGCACTGGACCTGGATTCAGGAGACCTGATACTGAATCCTGCTGACACACCAGATCCGGGCCCTGAGCAGAGCATGCACCTCTCCGTATCCTGGTTTTTGTGTTATTAATAAGAGCCCACCATGGTGACTTTGCAGGATCTTGGTGCAGATTAACTAAAATAACACATGAAAGTGTCTGATACAAAGCTGGTACTGAGTCTGAAGTCAAATATTACTCCCCAGTTTTTAGGGGCCCAGCTTTATCCTTTCCTAGAGAGGGCAAAACTATTTTACATTTATAATAACTTAATTAAAATATTATTGACATCATTGGAGGCAAGGATTTTTGAGCAACCAGAAAGTATGATAAATACAGTTGCATGTTTATCATTTTGCTCTAAATATTGTCTAGAGGATGGCTCCTCTCTCAGGGATCAAGGAAGGAGAAACTCATGAGTCATTCTCTTCCTCAAATGAAACCTTCTCTTCTATCCGCAGCCACTCTATCAACATATCCTGCCCACATCCATTGTTTCACTTCCTGAATGTCCCCTTTTCTCTCCATCCCCCTCAACACTCCTTGAGATTAGCTTCTGTCACTTCTCACCAGGGCTACTGTGCAAGGCGCCCTGTGGGTCTTCCTGCACAGCCATGACTGCCTGCCACCATCTGTTTTCTATAGGGCTTCCAGGGTGTCTTTGTCAATGTTTATTGATTTATGTCACCCTCTATTGGATACCTTTCAATGGTTTCTCATCACTCTTAGGAAAAACAGCAAATACCTTTGCTTTGACAAGTCTTTCTGTAATCTGGCCACAGCCCACTTCCTCACACTCATTTCATGTTACAAGGAATCCCTCTTCTTCCTTATTATCCAGTTACACTCATCTTTTTTCAGTTCTTCCAACTCATCACATCCTTTCTTGCAGGTATTTTTACATACAACCCTCCTACCAACCATGGGTTTCCTACCTACGCTTCCTTGCTGCCGCTATTCATCCTTCAGATCTTGGCCCAAATATCAAGAAGAGCCTCCCTTACTCCTCCAGAACAGCTAGGGTGTCCCTGGCTTACATTCCCATGGCGTCAGCCTCCTTGCTTTGTAACACTTCCCATGGGTTATTACCTATTGGTGTGATAATTCAATTTACGTCTACCTCTCTGTCTGGCCACATGAGGACGGGAGTTTATTAGCAAATCCTGAAGCCTGGACCCAATGCCTGGTGCCAAACAGGTAGCTGATATGATATTGACTGCAGAGAGCCCTCTTTGGAAGAGGCTATGCCTCTTTAAGAGACTGGAATCCAAAGTTTTGGCCTGAGCTCTGGCCATCTGTCCTTTCTCTCCATCTCCGGCATATTACAGCTGACAGTTGGTCTGACTCCATGGACTCTAGGCTGGTGGACTCTGTAGCCTTAAATGATGAAGAAGAATCCCAGTGGTAAACAATATCAGAGTACATTAAACTGATTACTTGTTTTTTTTTTTTTTTTTTTAAAAAGAAGAGGACTAACATTGATTTGGTGTCCCATACAGGTCTGGCCTTTTTTTGCACTGTCTCATTTGGCTTAAAACAATCTGAACAAATACTCATCGCAGCAAAGAAATTTAAGGACCTGGTCCATGGTGTCAAAGCTGATTTGTCATCAGCCTGAACTCAAACTTAGGTCCGACTGTAACACTCACATTCCCCTCACTGTGCTCACACTTGCTGAATGTTTTTGCATGGACTCCCTTACATTTTTTTTGTTTCATTATCTTTACTAAGCTATTTACTTAGTAGCTTTGCTTTACATTGATTGCTACTTTTTACTCTTGCCTCATTTGTGGCAAAATCATCCATGAATTGAGGAGCTTAATGAGTTTCTTATATATTTTTATTAATACACATGAAGCTACACATTAAACCACACAATGAGCGTCTGTATATTATGTAGCATCCTGCCACAAACTAAAGGCTGCGAAATATTATAGTATCAGCCTAGCTACCACATAGTTCCTTCCATGACACTACACACTTTCTGAAAAGCAAAAAAAAAAAAAAAAAAAAAAAAAAAAATACGCTTGTCAATTTAATTCTCAAATGACAACAGTGAATAATATGGTGAGGGAGACAGAGGATGCAAATCACCTCTAATTTGTTTAAAGCAAAAATACTTTATCCAAAGGTGGAGACACTAAGATACCGCCTGAATATTTTCTGTACTTCAAGGGGGCATGGTAGATGGGCACTAGGTTGTTAGCCCTGATCTTCTGAGTCCTGAGAATGGGAGGAAAAAAGGGGCTCAACTCCTGAAATGGAGAAGGAGCTAAAGAAAAACCACAGGAGCCAGAAGGGAAGCTAAGTTGGAGAGCAGTTTCAGCCTTGAGTTTAGGGCCCTGTTGTCCACCCTTCCTGGCATCCCAGCACCTGGGTTCCTCTACTCTCTTTCCATACTGTGGGGGGTTGGGTGAGCAGGTATCCAGTAGAAATGTGAACCATCAAGTCACAGTACGCAAAACAATGATTCTTCAAGCCAATTAATTCACCACACTAATAGGAATTGGCTGTACGTAAAATGCTTTGAAAAGAATCCCTTAAAAATGCAAGAACATAATGAACCAAATTACAAAGCCTGCGTGGCCTTCAGCTTCATGGCGAACTATTAACAGCTTGCCCTTCATTTGAGTCATCCTCTCATCTTCAGCCATGAAAGACACAATTTAGTCCGACAAAATTTGACACTGAGATCTTACCCAAAGGGATGTACTGATGAAAAACAAAATGTGTTACAAGGTTTCTTGGGTGAAGGCCAAAATGCAGAAGCTGGCTCTTAAAAGCCAATATTTTTTGTAATATGAGATGACCCAAGCAACACATGCAAAATCTAGATCAACAGAATCAGAAACAAAGCATGACACACAGTCCATGGACTTGTGAGTCATTCCGAAGAGAAATGATTTAGAAAACAGTTTGATGACCTCTTTAACTCTGATGATTCTTCTTTGGGCAAAATATGCAAATAAAGCAAAACACAGACACACACAGAGCTTTTTTGAGATGATATAGTTCAACATTCGATCAATGGATTGTGTGTGCACAGGATTTTCAGATGTAAGTTTTCAAATCACACAGAATCAAAGCACACAGTAGTTACATCTCTAACACAATGTGACTCCGTTTCTATTTTGCAGACAGATAAGATATCTCTCACCTGAATAAGTATTTTCCCTCCGAATTACCTCTCTGGGGCACTAAAATGTTTTTTAGCGTAGATGCTGCCACTGCCGTTATCTCTGGAATACCTCTTCAGAAACTTCTATTGGAACCCGTCTATAAGTCACAAACAAGAAGGAATCTCATTGCTTTCATTCCAAATTTCTTTTTTTTTTTTTTTTTTGAGATGGAGTCTTGCTCTGTCACCCATGCTGGAGTACAGTGGCGTGATCTTGGTTCACTGCAATCTCTGCCTCCCAGGTTCAAGCGATTCTCCTGTCTCAGCCTCCTGAGTAGCTGCGATTACAGATATGTACCACTACCCCTGGCAAATTTTTGTATTTTTAGCAGAGACGGGGTTTCACCATATTGGTCAGGCGGGTCTCGAACTCCTGACCTCAGGTGATCCACCCACCTCAGGCACCCAAAGTGCTGAGATTACAGGTGTGAGCTACCATGCCTGGCCCCAAATATCTAGTAATAGAATATAGCTGTAGGGCTGTAACAGGACAAGCCGCAGACAAAAGTCCTCAGACACCGAGTTAAAGAAGGAAGGGGTTTATTCAGCCGGGGGCATCGGCAAGATTCCTGTCTCAAGAGCCAAGCCCCCCAAGTGAGCAATTCCTGTCCCTTTTAAGGGCTCACAACTCTAAGGGGGTGCACGTGAGAGGGTCGTGATCGATTGAGCAAGCAGGGGGTACGTGACTGGGGTCTGCATGCACCGGTAATTAGATCGGAACAAAACAGGATAGGGATTTTCACAGTGCTTTTCTATACAATTTCTGTAACCTATAGATAACATAACGGATTAGGTCAGGGGTCAATCTTTAACTACAAGGCCCAGGGTGTGGCGCTGGGCCGTCTGCTTGCGGATTTCATTTCTGCCTTTTAGTTTTTACTTTTTCCTTCTTTGGAGGCAGAAATTGGGCATAAGACAATATGAGGGATGGTCTCCTCCCTTAGGGCAAGAAACATAAAATGATCATCAGAAGCTCACTACATGTAAGCAGGGATGTACAAGTCTTAACACTGCCATCTCTCCAGCTAAACATGACTGTAAGTTCAGACAAAGGAACTGTGTGTGTGTGTGTTTGACTCACACAAAACCTTGAAATGCACATGAAAAATAACATGCCAGCATTTGCCCCCAGATAAAGAAAAGTTAAGAGCCGGTAATTGTTAAGGGTACAGTGACACAAACACAAGGATCACCGTAGTGGAATCTCAACTTGATACAATCTTCCTGGAAGGCAGTCTGAAAGTATGTCTCAAGAACCACAGAGATGTTCAAAGCTTAAAACAAAATTCTGCAGAGATTCCATGGAAATAAGCCCACAAAGATTTTTGTGTCAGTATACTATATTGTTTATTTATAACAGATAATCTTGCAAGGTAGAGTGTGATTGGAAGATTTTTTAAGTGATATTTTCCACCATGGATACAATGTTTGTTGTGATAAGACAGGAAATGATAACATTAATCCTAACCCAGTTTATTAATGTGACACTTACATTGCCCTTACTTTTTACACCTGAGTCCTTACATATGAATATATTATCAATATATGTACAGGCTTGGTAGGCAGATTTAGATGAAAATATACTCATGGTCCAATTAGATCATCACGATGTGTGGGTAAGAGTACTCTATCTACATATCCTTTCTAAAATTTAGTGCCTTAAACAAAGACATACTGATAAATCTTTTCATGAAGTTTCGGTCTACAATTCTCATACTCTCTCCACCTCCCAAATTAAGGTTGCCAATGGAATTAAGGTTGCTGATCAGCTGGCTTTAAAACAGAGATTGGGCCAGGTATGGTGGCTCATGCCTGTAATCTCAGCACTTTGGAGGGCTAAGGCGGGAGGAATGATTGAACCCAGGAGTTTGAGACCAGCCTGAGCAATGTAGAGAGACTGCCATCTCTGTATTTTTTTTTTTTTAAACTAGCCAGGAGTGGCGGTGCATGCCTGTACTCCCAGCTACTCAGGAGGGTGAGGTAGGAGGATCACTTGAGCCCGGAAGGTTGAAGCTGCAGGGAGCTGTGATTGTGCAACTGCACTCTAGCCTAGGTGACAGAGGGAGATTCTGTGTGTGTGTGTGTGTGTGTGTGTGTGTGTGTGAGAGAGAGAGAGAGAGAGAGGGAGAAAGGGAGAGAGGGAGATAGGGAGAGAGGGGGGAGAGAGAGGGAGAGAGAGAGAAAGGAGGAAGAAAGAGAGAAACAGAGAGAGAGACAGACAGACAGAAAGACTAGCATGAATTATATGGCATCTGGCTAGGCCCAATATAATCATGAGTCGTTAAGAGGGAGGAAGAAGCGAAGGTCAGAGTGATGGGATATGTGAAGGACATGAACAGCTGTTGCTGGCTTTGAGGATGGAGAAAGGTACCATGAGGCCAGGAATGTGCGTGGCCTTTAGAAGCTAGAAAAGGCAAGGAAATGGGTTTTTCCCCAAGAGCTTCCAGGAGTGAAGGTAGCCCTGCGGACACCTTGATTTTACCCTGACACATGTTGGATTCTCAGCTTACAGAACTGCAAGATAAGATTTGTGTTGTTTTGAGTCACTGTGTGGTAATTTACTACAGCAGCCATAGGACATTAATACAGTGGCCACATAATTTATTGTCCAAACCAGAATCTTCTTAGAATAAAAGTAGGTACCATTAACAATGAAGCCGAAACAACAGGTGCAAACCAAAGCTGTCCTGGGCAAAATGGGTCATGTGATCATGCTCTCTTACTAAGAAACTTCAGCTTTCCAGGTTTTAGTTTCCACCATAGCAACATATGGTGTTTAGAATACCACTCTCGGTTTTATTGTTAAATAAATAAAAAGATAAATGAGCATGTGTACACAGAAATTCCCAGCAAGTAGAAATACTAAACAAAGCTTTGTTAGACCTTAGCGGGAGTATGGTGACCTTGGAATGCCATCTTCCTGGCAACATCACTACCAGCCACAGCCTCGTCACAGGTCAAGATTTCAAAGGTAGTCCAAAGAGCAGCACCCTGACAGTCTCCCAGAAGAGCAGGGGGAGGCTGGGCAATCTGAGAGAGGTGCCAATCATCCCCATAGGACCACCCCCGCTCCGTAAGGAAATCAGTCATTCCCAGTAGATCTTTATGTAGAAACCTGCAAATGTGGATGCAGTATACTAGATTCAATTCCTATTTGTCAGCCATTATTCCTTTGAAATTGCTTTTCTATTACCGTAATCCAGGTTTCTCTCTGACGCCAACAACTTGCATTTCAAGCTATTTTTCTTAGTTTTATTTCACTTATTCAAGTTAAATGTCATTACGGACCAACTCCTAGAGAGTTCCCAGGGAAAAGACATTTTAAGCCCTTTGTAACATTCCTCCACCTTCATTTATCCCCCGCTTGACAGACTGGATGTGGTGTTTATATCTCCTTATAAAAACGATCAAAGGGGCGATAAAAGTTTCCTACTTGTTAGGTTATTAATTAAAGATCTTGATACTATTATCAAATGTTCTTTGAAAATCCTGCTCTGCTTAGAGGTACAGTATTTCCTTTATGAATTTGAAATTTTACTTTAAAATTTTTGTTTCATCAAACATAATGAAAACATTTTTTCTTATGTGTATGCACGCTCACAATCACACTAGACTTTCAGGGCATTCTTAAACATTTAACTTTTGAAGTAACTTTAATTATGTGGAAGAAATCTATGCAGATATTCAAAATAATTTTATGTAAGCAGCTTGAGTAAAGTCCTAGTGAATATCCTCTGCCTCAAGAGGTGACACAGGCTAAAAATTTTAATTGGTTCAAGTAGAACTTATATAACTCTTGGATGATGGAATTATGCCAGATCTATTAAGGATATGTACAAGGGTTAAGGGGATTTTTGTGCAAAGATGGGAAATATAATACTTTAGAAAACAAAGCCAGCAGAGAGAAATTACTGGGGATTGTATTTTTACGTGCCCTTTTTCCTTTCCTAATGTGAAATTCAGAGGAATAGAAATAAATGCAATACCTTTTTTTTAAGTTTACAGTTTTAAAGTCATTTTGTTAAGTAAGTGTTAAAATGTGTTTTATCAAACATGATGTTCTTAAAAAAATTAGGGTTGATACATACAAATTTAAAGTATAGTCTAATGAATTCCAGATGGATTTAAGTATTAGGAGGAATAAAGTCATTGAATATTTAAGTAATACAGGGGAGAAGGCCCTTCTAAGCCACCATTAGAGCTCTAATTTATTGCGTGAATTACTGACAGATTAAACTACTGAAATGCAGGTTTTACAACAACTAAAATATTATATGAAAATAAACAGAAAACTGTAAAAAAATTTGCATCACATATATTTATAGCATGTTATATATTGTAACAATTTATAAAATTGTTACAATAATTAGAAAAAGTTCATAGTGTTTGACAGACTTATGAGGAAATAAACTCTCATATATTATCAATTACATGAAAAAATCTTTCCGAAATGCAATTTGTTAACACCCATCACAAGCTTTGAAAATTTCACTTGTAGAAATTTAGCCTGATATGTGCGTGTGTGGTTGTGTGTGTATGTGTGTAGCAACATGTATACTCATTACAATATTGCTTAAAGATAGAAAAAACTACAATCAACACAATGTTATAAAAGATTGATGAAAGAAACTATGGTATCTGCAGAAAGTACAACACTGCATTGCAGACACACTTTAGAGAATGTAAAAATATACTAATGGTATAGTATGCATGTTAAGAAGTACAAATTCTGACTAAAACTAGTGTATACATAATGCAATTTTTAAAAAATAAAGGCATTCCACTATCAAGATTATGCTAAAATATTAACAGTGGTTTTATTGAGTGATTTTTCTTTGCTTTGCTATACTTTCTAGATTTTTCTAGGCATGTGTTAATTTCAAAGTTAAAAAAGAAATCAATAAGGTTTTTATTTTAAGATTGTAACTTGTTCAGGCAGTGACTACACACTGACTAGAGTTTATTACAAATGGGGAGCTATGGGTGGCTGTTAAACTCTAAGACATGCAACATCCCTCAGCATTGATGATTAATGAGAAAGAAACACACATTAAGTACATAGGACATCATCAGTATTATAGTACCATACAGAGTGTGGCTGGCTTTTCTAGTCTTTACAGTTCTACAGTTTTGGGATTATAAAAAGAGTCTCAATGCACCTGACAGAACTTGGTCTCCTCAGCTTTATTTTTGGAGCCATCGCTGTTATCACTCTCTGCTTCTTCTCTGAAGCTTCACTTTTAATCTCACACATAAATTCTGAGAACTAGAAAACAGCTGAGATTCCAAAGGTGGGTTTTAGATTCAGGGAGACTGTACTTTAAGGCCCAAGTCCGTCCCTTATCAGCTGTGTGATTGTTTAAGGTACTCAGTCACCTTCTCAGAATCTCAATTTCCTCATCTTTGAGATGGAAGAACAGGAACCATCTCACAGAAAATAAATATTTGTAAAGCATTTAGCAAAACACTTGCCACATAGCAATCATTAAGTAAATATTATCCACCAGTATCCTTAAATTTTGCCTAAAGAGAGAGAAACATCCCATCGCATTATGTTCCTGATAAGGGTTTACAGTCTCAAGCATCTAAGAAGCGTCTTTTGCATGTTGCTGATGCTGCCTGCAGGAATCTGAAACTCATTCAGAATTAAGAGGAAGCATAGGGCTCATGTGACCAAGTCCCCTGTTCCAACCTTCGTATGAGGAGTGATTTGGGCTGAGGTCATGGACCCCACGCCACCCCATTCCCAGGACCAGTGCAATCTGAGGAAGGTGGTCAGTACCAGCTCCAGGCCCACACTCTGGGGATTCAGTACTGAGTTGGCCTCTGTTTTTCTGGCTCTCATTCCCTGCCATTTCCCTATCTGTGCTACATTGGTCCTACTGTCTGGGGTTGGGGATGCCATGTCCCTTGGGACCCAGAGTTAACTTAGCACTTTGGGTTGGCCTCTATCCCTGTTCCACTTTCTCCTTCGGAACAATGCCAAGAATTCTTTGCCCTTCTAGATGGGTCTCCTCTTGCAGTGGCACACTCTAACCTCAAGGGCAACCTTTCTGTTTTGAGATCATTTTTTATTCACGTGCAGTTGTAAGAAATAATACAGAGAGAAACTATGTGCTATTTTTCTAGTTTCCCCAGTGGAAACATCTTACAAAACTATAGGACAGTATCACAAGCAGGATATTGGCATTTATACAATTCTGGTATCCAGATTTCCTTAGTTTTACTTGCACCTGTGTGTGTGCATGTGTGTGTGTGTTTACATGTGTATGTGTGTGTCTATTTAGTTATACATAATTTTATTACATGTGCAGGTTCTTGTATCCACCACCACAGTCCAGATACATAATAATTCATTTTCTACAAGAATCTCTTCTATTTGAAGGCAATGCTTTTAAATCTTTAATTTGCATCCCATTTCTGGATATACATCCAAAAGATTTGAAAGCAGGGTCTTAAAAGATATATTTGCGTACTCATGTCCATAGCAGCACTATTCACAATGGTTAAAAAATAGAAACAACCCAAATGTCCATTAGCAGATGAATGGATAATCAAAATGTGGTATATTCATTCAATACAAACACTATTCAGTTTTTAAAACAGAGGAAATTTGGATACATGCTACAATATAAGTGAACCTTGAAGACATTATATTAACTGAAATAAAGCCAATCACAAAAAGACAAATACTGTGTGATTCCACTTATATGAGCTCTCTAAAGTAATCAAATTTCCAGAAATAGAAAGTAGAATGGTGACTCTCAAGGACACAGAAAGGGGGCAAAGGGTAGCTATAGAGTTTCAGATGAGTAAGATGAAAAGGTTCCGGAGATGTGTTTCACAATAGCATGAAAAAATTTAACACTACTGAAATATACACTTAAAATGATGAAGCTGATCGATTTTATGTGTGTTTTTCATCACAATCAAAAACCTTTAATTTGACGCCTGTAATCCCGGCACTTTGGGAGATCGAGGTGGCCACATCACCTGAGGTCAGGAGTTCGAGACCAGCCTCGCCAACATGGCGAAACCCCATCTCTACTAAAAAAAAAAAAAAAATACAAAAATTAGCCATGTGTGGTGGCACGTGCCTACAGTCACAGCTACTCAGGAGGCTGAGGTGGGAGAATCACTTGAACCTAGCAAGCAGAGGTTGCAGTGAGCTGAGACTGTGCCACTGCACTCCAGCCTGGGCAACAGAGCCGGACTCTGTCTCAAAAACAAAACAAAACAAAACAAGAAACCCTTTAATTTGCATGGGATTCATCTGAAAACTGCAAGAATGCAGATTTCTGAAATTCAACCACAAGCATTTAGTAGGTTCTCCGGAATCTGTGAGTTAACTCATCCCACATAATTCTGATACAGTGGCCCAGAGATTTGTGCTTCGGGGAAGCTCAAGATGCCTCATTTTATTACTGAATGGAAGGTGCTAAGGCCCAGTAGAGACTATCCCTGGTTAGGGAAATTTGACTACCTAGGCATAGGTTTGACAAACTTGCTTACTGTGAACAAGACCTTCATGGAAATGAGCAGCACAAATAATCAGAACCACCTTCCTTTTATCCCTGCTAGTGTGGAGCTCCATTTTCCCCTTGGATCAGGTACATTTTTTTTTCTTAAGCATTTCAAACTAAGATACTGTCTTTGTGAGAGAGGAATCAACATCAGCTACTAGGTGAATGTTGGTACAATGCCTGAGTCAAAGAAGCCTAAAGCCTGCTAACAGGGTGCCCAATGCTCCTTATACACATCCACTCCATCAGCTGCTTCCATCAGCTATATCTTCAAACTACAACCTGAACCTGACCATCTCTCATCATCTGCTGGTTACCTTCTCAGCCAAGCCACCATCTCTTACCCAGCTTAGTAAATTGTTTCTGAGTTGCTCTTTCTGCTCTTGTCCTCCCACTCTATTCACCACACAGGTTTCCACACGATCTTTGAATACGTAAATTGGCCTTTCAGTATTCTGCTTTCCAATCATCCTATGTCAATTGTCTTCTAAGTTCTCACTGTGGCCTGCAAGGTCCTGATGTGAACCTTGGATGTAACTTTGATCATTTCACTCTCCCCAAAATCATTCTAGTTCAGCCACATATTCCTTCTTGGTGTTCTTCAAGATAGCTAAGCTAATTTTTATTTCACTCTGAAGCTTCTCTTTTAATCTCACTCATAAATTCTGAGAACTAGAAAACAGCTGAGATTCCAAGCATGGACTTCTGTTTCTTATATAAATCCCTCTGCCATTCTTACAACCCTAGCTCAACATCTTTTCTTTCACTTGTGCACAAAAGAGGTCTCAATTTTTTTTCTTTTTCTTTTTTTTTTTTTTTGACAATACTGTCTCCTGGGCTGGAGTGCAGTGGTGCCATCTCGGCTCACTGCAAGCTCCGCCTCCTGGGTCCACGCCATTCTCCTGCCCCAGCCTCCTGAGTAGCTGGGACTACAGGCACCCACCACCACACCCTGCTAATTTTTTCATATTTTCAGTAGAGACGGGGTTTCACTGTATTAGCCAGGATGGTCTCGATCTCCTGACTTCGTGATCCACCCGCTTCGGACTCCCAAAGTGCTGGGATTACAGGCGTAAGCCACTGCGCCCAGCCACCAGGTGTTAATTTTTATTTTGGGGTCTTTGCATTTGCTGGTTCCTCACCTATAAGACTTTTTTCTTTTCCAAAGAGTTTTCATGACTTGCTCCCTCATTTCATTCACGTCTGTCCTCAAAACAGAAACCTTCCTTGACTTCTTGATCAAAAAGAGTAACTCCTTCTCATTACTCATCCTTAATCCCAACCTTGTTTTCACGGCTCTTATTGCTACAGGCCTACTGAACAGCCATTTTTCTGGTCTGTAATGCCTACTAGAAGGTAAGCTCTCAACGACTAGGAATTTGTCTGTCTTGTTTCCATAGCACAATAGAACAAGTGCCTTTCAAACAGTAGATTTTCAATAAATGTAACAAATGAACAATGAATTAGCTAAGGGCTTTGAGTTTATAAAGAAGTCCCTTTTTTCTGGAGGACAGATCAATAGACAAAAAGAAATGACGCTTGTCTTTTGAGAATTCCCTGAAGGTGAATGAACCCAGCCAAAAGACAATGCATTAAAGATTCAGCAAAAGCCTGTCTGCCTGTTTCAAAGGAAGAAACCAAGCTCAGTGAAGTTATTGTCACTCTCAAAAGTGTGCAAAAATATTTTACATGGGATTATTCATTGTGTGGCAGTGACTGATAGTATATGATTTTGTTCTCACACGTGTATTACTAATAAGCATATGTAAATGAAGGAAAATAAAGCAAGTAGAACTTAATACAAATTCTAGCTCACTGAAGTGATTCCATCTGTCCCTGCCTTTATAAATGACACAAGTCATGGAAATAGACTCATATTTCTTACATAAATCCCTCTGCCATTCTTACAACCCTAGCTCAACATCTTTTCTTTCACTTGTGCACAAAAGAGGTCTTCAGCAGCCAGACATGACTGTGGCCGGATGAGATGCATTCTGTTAGTTTCTTCTGGACTTAACACATATTGCACCATTTTCTCTCCTTTGGCCAGATACCCCCACTGCAGACTGATGCATAGGTTCTGGGCTTAGGAGTACAGACAGGGCACATGACAACCAGCCAGCATTTGGCTTTGTTATAGGACCTCTAGACTCTCCTGGCACAGTGTCATCCAACTTTCTTAAGTGTCCTGGCCAGCCCAGAATTAAAGTGTCTTAGTGACTTGTTCCTTTGCTCATAACATCCCTTCTGCATGTTTGCGGGCCATGCAGAGACAAAGTGTAAATATAGTCCTACCCACCACCTAGATTGTGCAGCAAAGGGCACAGCAAGCATGCCACTACCAGGCAAAGTGTAAGTCCCACTGATAATTTATGAGTCATCTCCCTTCTCTTCTGAATTTTGTTCGGTTGAACTATATAGTCCTGCCATTCTTGTAGGTCACACATAAACAAATATTGTACTCCCATAGAGTTCAGAGGAATATTCTCATTCAAAAGTTAAAAAAAAAAAAAAAAAGCACCAAGTGTGGTGTCCATGGTAGTGAATCATTAGGACAATGATGTTTCTCCAATCCTTGAGATACTAATGATTTATGCTACCCCTTAAAGAATATGCCCCAGGTAAGAGAGAAGATAGTGATGGGATAGAAGAAGTATGGGTATGGTACATGTTGGCAGAGGCATTGCTACCAAGAAATTTCCAGGAAGAATAAAGTAATTTGTTGTTGTTGTCCGGCGAAAAATTCTGGTTAAAAAGAGGAAAAAAATCTCATGTTCTGGAAAGATGAATAAAAGACCTAGACCCTGCACACTGACACTGGGCTTATCCCCAATACTGTGTTCTGGTATTGCTATCAATTCAGATGACTTATTTCTCCTTCCCTCTATTTTAAAGTCTTGATTCTATCATCTGCTTGCCTGCGTACTTTGTATAGATAATCCATTTGGTTCATGTCACCTTTTTTCTCTTTCAGTTTAGCATTTACTGAGCATATCACATATTTGATGCTGGATGAGAAGAAGGGACATTGTGGACTTCGTTCTGTAAGTGAGTCCATATTCAATTAATTTAACACAGCCGAAGGCATGCAGCAACATAAGAATATGCCTCATTCAGTGATGAGATAGAGTGTGTTTAATTCTGTTTTGCAGGTCAAGGAAAATTTTCTAAATAAGGTATTTGTTCCCTGAGAAGAATCTTCTAGGAGAACAAAGGTGGAAGGAAATATGGGATTCTGGGGAGAGAAAACAGAGAGCGTGAAGGTATCAAGTATCAAAATACTCTAGAATAGAGGTCGTCGAGTTATGGTTAACAGGCCACATCGAGGCTGCTGCTTGATTTTGTGAATAAAGTATTAAAATAAAGCTATGCTCATTCATGTATCTACTGTCTACGGCTTCTCTCGTGCTAGAAAAGCAGAACTGAGTAACAGCAGAAAGGGTCTGCATGACTCGCAAGGCCTAAAGTACCTGTTATCTGGCCTTTTACAGAAAACGTTTTCCAACCCATATGCTATATTACTCAGTGAAAAAGGAAGAAGTAGTTAAAGATTTGGGGTGAAATGTCAATCTTCATCTAGATTTCAAACCCAACGTGGCAACCTGAGGCCTCTTAAACTAATTTCTCTTCCTCCCTCCCCCTCTCTCATTGTTATTTATTCATTCAACAGATAGATAAGGTGCCCCTATTGTAGCTCAAGTTCAGTGTGAGACTTTTGGTTTGTAATAATTAAAAAATAGTCTTAAGATTTCTTAAACTCATCTGGAGTCATGATTTAGTGGGATTAAAGAAGAATCACTTAAGAACTTATGAAACATGGAAGAATATAATAACGAGATCCCATTTAGATTGCGGATGAAGGCTGTTCAGAGAAGGTCTGTCTGATGGAAGTTCATGGGGAAGAGGAGGGAGACAGCCTTAGCAAATGCCCATACCTTTGAAAAACTGCACAAAATCCAGGGGGACCAAGTAGAGTGACAGAAGTGGGAAAGGTGACATGGGCTGGGCCTGAAGAGGTGAGTGGGGCCAAATCAGATGGGTCCCTGTAAACAATGTTAAGCATTTTGATCTCTTTCCTAAGGGCAACGTAACAGCATTAAAACTGGAAAATAGTCTGGCAGTTCCTCAAATAGTTCAGCCTAGAGTGAGCATATGATATGATGCAGCAGTTCCACTCCTAGACAAATAGCCAAGAGAAATAAAAACATGTGTCCCCACACACAAAACACTTACGCATTTTAAAGTAGTATTATTCATAATAGTCAAAAGGTAGAAACAACCCAACTGTCCATCAGTGAATGAATGAACAAAACGTGATATATTCACGCAGTGGAATATTACTCAGCTATAAAATGGGATGAAGCTCTGACATCAACTACAACATGGGGGAACCTGGAAAACATCTTGCTAAGTGAACGAAGCTACTCATGGAAGGGCAAGTGTTGCATGATTCCTTTCATTAAAAAAGTTTAGAACAGACACATCTACAGAGACAAGAAGTAGACTGGTGGTTGTTTAGAGATAGGAAAGAGGGGGTGTTGGATGCTACTTCCAAGAGTGATGGGGTTTCTTTTGAGGTGAAGACAATGTTCTAAAACTGACTGCAGAGGCCGGGAGCAGTGGCTCATGCCTGTAATCCCAGCACTTTGCAAGGCCGAGGCGGGTGCATCACGAGGTCAGGAGTTCAAGACCAGCCTGACCATGATGGTGAAACCCTGTCTCTATTGAAAACACAAAAATTAGTTGGGCATGGTGGCAGGTGCCTGTCATCGCAGATACTCAGGAGGCTGAGGCAAGGAACTACTTGAACCTGGGAGGTGGAGGTTGCAGTGACCCAAGATTGTGCCATTGCACTCCGGCTTGGGTAACAGAGTGAGACTCCACCTCAAAAAAAAAAAAAAAGAAGAAGAAGAAATAAACCTGTGATGATGGTTGCATGACTGGGAATATACTAAAAACCAATGAATTGTACACTTTCAATGGGTGAATTGTGTGGTGTGTGAATTATATCTTAATAAGGCTGTTTAAAACCTCTAAGGGGTCAAGAGGTAAGGGAGGATGGTGAGGAAATAACTATCTCAGATTTGAATTTTCGAAGATCCTTCTGAAACATGTAGAAAGAATGTACTAAAGAGGAACAAGAGGAAACTGTATGGGCTAGTGAAGAATCTACTAGAGGGGTGCAGGGAGAGTGTGATGGCCTGTACTATGGTGGTCACTTTTTGTATGGAATAGTGGTGAAGAAAACTGCTTATTCAGACAGGTAGAAAATAAAATGTTCTAGTTTGTTGTTTGTTTTGCTTTATTTTTTGTTTATTTTTGTTTTTGTTTTTTTCCAGAGGTTTAAGGTAGAGAGGTCTTTGGCCAGGCGCGGTAGCTCATGCCTGTAATCCCAGCACTTTGGGAGGCTGAGGCAGGTGGATCGCCTGAAGTCAGGCGTTTGAGAGCAGCCTGGCAAACATGGTGAAACCGTATTTATACTAAAAATACAAAAATTAGCCGGATGTGGTGGCAGGCACCTGTAATCCCAGCTAATCAGGAGGCTGAGGCATGAGAATCACTTGAACCCAGGAGGCGGGTCAGAGCTTGCAGTGAACTAAGATCGTGCCACTATACTCCAGCATGGGCAAAAAAAGCGAAACTCCCTCTTAAAAAAAAAAGAAAAAAAGAAAACAAGAAAGATGGAAAGAAGGAAGGAAGGAAAGAAAGAAAGAAAGAAAGAAAGAAAGAAAGAAAGAAAGAAAGAAAGAAAGAAAGAAAGAAAGAAAAAAGAAAGAGAAAGAAAGAAAGAAGTAGGGAGGTCTTCATTCTAATCCTAAATCTGCCACAGGTGTAGCTGATTGATTCTGGGACCGTGGGCTAACCACCACCTCCATTCGCTCATTTGCACGATAGCAAGAGTAACCTGTGGCCCCCTACAGGGTAGGGGGCCAATCAAACAAATGGGTATGAAAGTACTTTTCAGAGTAGTATGTTCCATGGGGATGCCAGGTTTCTCAGAATTAAAAGTCAACGATAAACACTCAGTATCAATTAAATAACAAAGTGTCATCCTTCTCTAAAAAATCAGAAGGTGGTTCTAGTTCCTGACGGCCTTGGAATCATTGTTGTGAACACCAATGATTAATTATAACCTGTAGGTACTGAGAAAGTAGGAGATGGTCCTGACATTATAATGACTGTAGAGTCATAGACCGGATGAATCTTTAAACCTGAATACATTAGTAAAAGAACGTCTAGATGTTGCCTTTTCTGCCAGGTTTCTTGACAGTCCCAGAGTTCATCCTTCATCTGGGCACCCCCTGCTCACTGCAGAGACCTCTATGATGGCCCGTGGGACACTGTGTGCAGGTATATACTGCTGCACCCCCCCATAAGAACCTCAATTATTTGGGTGTAAAAATGGCTTTGTCTCTGTCTCCCCAGTGTCTAGTGTATATGAGGTGCTCATTAATTTGTTGGTTGAATGACAAATGAAAGAAATGAATCAATGAACAAATGAATCATCACCGAGTGAGTGCACTAGAACTTTTCGTTTTAGTTTTGGAGAAATAAGACCACAGTAATATCCCCTAAAGCTAGCAGTTCATTTATGTTCTCTGGCTGCTCCATAACCACTGAAGCAATGGTCTCACTGCAGGGTGCACACGCTCTGCCTCGCAAATCATTTCCACTTCCTTGGAGGGTAGCAAGTGCTGCTCCAGAGAGACACCAGCCGGCAACACCAAAGGCTCTAATCTCATCGACATAATGTGTCTGTAGCTGGAGGCCTCAGTTTCCCTCCTCTTTGTGCTCCTGACCCCCCTCAACGATCCCAGGGCTCTGGGCTTCCTAGTAACAGCCCCTTGTTTTCCTTAAGCTAGTTATTTTTATTAAGTGACTTCCAGTCTGCAGCCAGCCCTGCTGAAGTCCCTGCTGTCTCCAGTGGCCTTGCACAGCTACCTCTGTGGCTCCTTCTCACCATCTCACTCTGGCTCTGAACCAGGCTCCCACCTACCAGTGCTCCATGGACTGAATCTGGCCCCAAGATAGTCACACAGAATTTGTCCTCACATGTTTAAAAACTTGTCTGCTGACACCTTAAGACAGAAGTGTTTAACAAAATTCCAGATTTCTGGCCCGGCGCAGAGCTCACGCCTGTAATCCCAGCACTTTGGGAGGCTGAGGCAGGCAGATTACGAGGTCAGGAGATCGAGACCATCCTGGCTAACACGATGAAACCCTGTCTCTACTAAAAATACAAAAAATTAGCTGGGCATGGTGGCAGGCGCCTGTAGTCCCAGCTACTCAGGAGGCTGAGGCAGGAGAATGTTGTGAACCCAGGATGTGGAGCTGGCAGTGAGCCAAGATTGCGCCACTGCACTCCAGCCTAGGCGACAGAGTGAGACTCCGTCTCAAAAAAAAAAAAAAAAAAAAATTCCAGATTTCCATATTTTCCAGAAAAAAAAATGAGGAGGTATGACAGCCTAGTCGTTGTCTTTAATGCCATAGCATTTTGCATGAAAAATAACTGTGTAGTTAACATAGAGGCCGCGCCAACTTAAATAATTCCGATGCCAATGAAGGGTGAGTGACGTGCCTCCAAGTTGATCAACTTGCTGTGATACTAATTAATTCCATTAAAGTACACATTGCCACGAGCTTTCTGTCCAGCTCTGCAAAGGAAGTGGTGTAAAAGGAAATCAACTTGAGACACTAATTCCAGGCCATCTGACCTGAATTAGCACGTTAATAATAGACAATTGTTTCACAAGAGATTGATGTCTGTGTCTGCCAGCTCAGTCTTAGCACAAACTAGTTTTCAAAATAGTGAGACATCAGGAAGGCCCCCTTAATTTCAATCTCCTTCTATTTGTATTCCATACTTCATCAATGAACTCTATGAAATGTTTCATTAACCTTCAGTTCTCATTAAACTATCACCTGGTAGCATCACATGGTCTCAGTTTCCTTTAGATATTTGTCATTACTTAGCATTTTCCAAAGACTTCACATTCAGACTAAGATTTTGGTCTTGGGATTCTTTTCTTCTTCTCAGGTTTATTCCACAGCAGTTCCTAAATTCTTCCATCCCTAAAATCTGTTCGGTAACTTCCAACTCTCGTAGCCTAAGCCAGAGATCTAATGGGCTCCACTTTGTGGCTGATTGTTGGCTGACGGTGATGTGTGCTTTTTCTCATTCCTTGCGCTTGGTCTACACACTCTAATAAGCAACCGGAACTAATGACAAGAGAATTTCACAAGCAGCCCGATTTCCTCCTTTTTTGACTTGCAGCACTGATGATCTGAACAAAATTATCTTCAGAATATTTTAATGGGGGAAAAATCTGTTCTTGTAGAAATAGTGGTTGTTTGCTCTAATTGAGGTGAGCAAGAAAACACTCTCATAGGTAATAAACATTTTTAGACGATTATCTGATTTCTGTCATTTGTTTTGATCTATTTCTCTTACTTTAAAATCAGGCAACTGTTTCATCCTGTGTCCAGCCTACCACTTTCTAGCAATGCCTGGGTGACAACACAGCTTATACTTTTCCTAGATTGGTCTTGGGACAATAAGTCCTGTTCTTTGGTCTGGGTCTGAAAAGGACAATCCATGCTGGGCATTGTGACTCACATCTGTAATCCCAGCACTTTGGGAGGCCGAGTTGGAAGGATCACTTGAGTCCAGCAGTTTGAGACTAGCCTGGGCAACAGAATGAGACCCTGTTTCTACCAAAAAAAAAAAAGGAACAATTATCCAGGCATAGTGGGGCATACCTGTAGTCGTAGCTACTCGTGAGGTTGAGATGCAAGGATCACTTGAGCCTGAGAGGTCGAGGCTGCAGTGAGCCATGATCATGACACTGCACTCCAGCCTGAGTGACAGAATGAGACCCTGTCTCATAAACAAACGGGCAGTCCAAGACAGTCCAAGTCTAACTGAGGTGTGACCACCTGTGTCACGTGCTGCAGAATAATCCTAGAATTACTTAGAACCTCGTTTTTCCATGATGCCTAACGTCTACTGTCTGTGGGCTGTATTAATCATTTCATTTACGTTGGGCTTTTGAAAATTTTGAACGAGCAGGTGAAGAACTGAAACAGTGAGCTGTTCACTTATCCCCTGAAATTTAGCTATGACCTGATTATTCACTTAGAGCCCATTCAAGCTTTCCCTGTGTTCTCATTCTTCATGCCATTCACAACTCCTTTCTTGTCACCTGTCTTCCTCACCCAGCATATTTTTTTCCTTCTCCGTTCCTGTCACAACTTTGCATAGATGACATGATGTTTTATGAAACTCGCTACACTCCTTTATCACTAGTTTTGTTTAGTAATTTAAAACTTATTCTCCTTGTTCTAAATGAAAAATATTGAGGATTTCAATATTTCATATTTTTCTCTCCAAGAAGTAAATCGTAAAGTCGTGATTTACTGTTCTCCGATATTCAATTCGGCCTGTTTTTCACATGCCTAGAAACAACAACAACAAAGCCTTCTTAGGTTGGCAAAAAAGAAACCAGCTCACTGGATATAGCTGCAGCTGCTTTCCGTCTCTGGCTTTGATGACATCTAGGTGTCTGCATCTCAAACAGGAAAACCGGAATGCTACCTTTGCTGGCAGAGAAACACCGAGGAATAAACGCCTTCGGAAGGAATGCCAAAGAGAATCCTAGAGGTCAAATATTTGATATCCAAACATGCCAATATTTTTAAAAGACAACAGAAATTATTACATTAGTAGGTAAACATGAGCATCACAATACAAAATATCTTTCTAAATTATAGTTCTATAAGAGACAACAAGCAGCAAGAAAAGAATATTACTTTGTAAGATGTTTGCCCAAAGAACTTTTACTCATCCTTCAACCCATGCCTAAGCTTCACTTGCAGGTGCATCTATTTTACTGCGTGTCTATGTATATATATGTTATATATATATTTTGTATAATATATATTTTCATAGATTTCTTAATGAATAATGATTGAATTATTATTATTATATTTTTGCTTTTTTTGTTTTTTACTCCTGTGAGCTCTCCAGAGGTAGGGACAAGGTCTTCCCTATCTCTGATTTTCTAGCATCTAGCACAGGATTCGATCAACTATGCCCATAAAATCCCAGCAGTGACTTCAAAAGAAAGACAGCACCATTGTCTGGTCACTAAGAGAGAAAACTGCTTTTATCCGAATACCAGTGCCTCGCCATTTGTTCCTGGCAGACCTTCTGAGACTCAGAAATACATACTGGAACCCACCAAGCAAATCCCTCCTTCGATTTCCGTAGGCCACAGGAGGAAGGTGCACTGTGTAACAGACTCATTAAAGCCACGAACTGCCACTAAGTAGGCATCAACGTGCCACAGAGATTCCTTTCTAGATGTCCTAGGCCAATTTTGAGTAACAGAATGAAAGCAACAGCTTACGTGTAGCAGACAGAATCAGGTTTCATGTGGGATCTTTCATTCAAATCAAACCTTAGAAGATTATGATTGCCTAAAGTCTGTGTGAATCCCTGGTTCATTGCTTTTAGAAGAAGAAAAACAGATAATTCAGTTTTAACAGTAGAAATGACTTTAATTAATAGCTGAAGGCCAGAAAGCCTCCAAATACTAGAGTTCACCAAAAAGACACAAGAAAATGGAGTGATTAGATTTAAAAGTTTAAAGAAAAGAGAAAGGGGCCCAATTTCCCTAGACAACCCACACTCAGGAAAACACAGTAAGACCTTCCTTACTGGAAATGAGCCCTACATAATCTTGTCTTTTCTCAATGGCAAAAGCAGCAGCAGCTTAAGCTTATTAAATGCTCAGTATGTTTTAGACACTGTGTTACAAATACTGGATCTTTTCAATCTTTCTAGTTACTCTATGGGATAGGTATCATTATTACCCCTACTTCACAGAGGGAAAACTGAGGCTGACTACAGCTTCCTCCAGTGGTTTTTCCTTTGGCTAAACTCTACAAGCCAAATCTAAGCAGAAGCAGTGCAGTCCACCTGAGAAGGATGTGAAGTAAAACTTGGGTGCTAGTCCCCGCCCTGTTGCTTAAAAGCTGGGTGACTTTCAGCAGATTACTTCGTATTTGTGATCCTCAGTTTCCCCACTTGGGAGTGGGGAGCATTGATGTGGCAGACTGGATTCCTTTTTTTTTTTTTCTTGAGACAGAGTCTCGCTTTGTCACTGAGGCTGGAGTGCAATGGTGCAGTCTTGGCTCACTGCAACCTCCGCCTCCCGGGTTCAAGCGATTCTCCTGCCTCAGCCTCCCAAGTATCTGGGATTACAGGTGCATGCCACCATGCTTGGCTAATTTTGTATTTTTAGCAGAGATGGGGTTTCACCATGTTGGTCAGGCTGGTCTCAAACTCCTGACCTCAGGTGATCCACCTGCCTTGGCCTCCCAAAGTACTGGATTCTTACTTGCAGCACTTGACTGGCGCTCACTGCCATGTAGCTTGAAGTGCCCCCAGCAAACGTGGATTCCAGGATGGAAAGCCCAACCAGAAAGACTTTAGATGTGGCCCTATGATTTGCTTTGGTTGATGAAATTCAAGCAGATGTAACACAAGCATAGGCTTTGACCTTGGAGCTTGCTGGTAAGTTCCACATTCAAAGTCTTTGCTTGTATCACATTCAAGCAGATGTGACACCAGCAAAGGCTTTCAACAGAACTTGCTGGTAAGATGCCATGCCTACCTTATGTGGGCTTCCAGACTCGAGTTCAGGATGAGTGATAAGTTTATAGAAGTTTGCCTTGGGCTTTTGGGTTTCTCAGTCTTAGCACTGCTGACATTTGGGACCAGATAATTAATGGTGGGTGACTTTTCTGGGCATTGTAGGATGTTTCACAGCAACCCTGATTTTCATCCATGGGATACCAATAGCAACATCTTCCCTTGAGTTGTGATAACCAGAAATGTCTGCAGACATTGCCAAATAATCCCAGGGGGCCATCAAAGCCCAGGTTAGGAACCCCTCTGCTATGTTCTCATAGATGGGTAGCCGCTTGTTCAAGAAGAAAGGCGAAGCCGTGGAATCCACCAGAACCCAGATCAGCCTGGAGCCCAGCCCAGCCCAGCCCAGCCCAGATGAAGCTCAGCTGATCAACATACATGTGGAAGACAAGCATAAATATCTGTTGTTTTAGGCCAGTGTGATTTTGAAGTTGTTTGTTTTACAGCAAAAGTAACCCAACTAATACCTTAGCTGTGAGGAGTAAAATCAAATGCATTACAGAATGCCATGCAGAGTGTGGGCACTCGCAGCTGGTATTTCTAACATTAAACTCTGCATAGACTGCATCAGATAATGAGCTGCCTGTGACGCATCTCACCTCTCTCCTGCAGCATTAACCCCTTACCACCCTCAGCAGCACTCACTACTGTGCTCCCTAGACCACATTCCCTAGCACATCTGTGACTGCATCCAACTACCCTACATTTGCCCCACTTCTGCTTTAGGAGCCAGCATCCCCCACCATGCTGATCTCCAGCTCTAGCGGTAGCACTGACTGTCTTTTGCATCGCTCCCCGTTTCTCCCAGTTTATGATGCTGGAAATCCAGGCTCGTGACACATATGAAATAGTTCAAACTAGATTCCCCCTCCACTAGGCCAGTGTATCAATTACGGTAGCAATTATTCAGTATGTGTGTGTATGTGTGATATGGTCTGCCTCTGTGTCACACACCTAAATCTCACCTTGAATTGAAATCCGAATTGTAATCCCCACGTGTTTGGGGAGGGACCTCGTGGGAGGTGATCAGATCATGGGGGTGGTTCCCCCATGCTCTTCTTGTGATAGTCAGTGAGTTCTCATGAGATCTGATGGCTTTATCAGGGGCTCTTCCCCTTTTCTCTCTGCACTTCTCTCTCCTGCCACCATGTGAAGGACGTGTTTCCTTCCCCTTCCACCATGATTGTAAGCTTCCTGAGGCCTCCTAAGCCCTGCAGAACTGTGAGTCAATTAAACCTCTTTCCTTTATAAATTACCCAGTAATTTGGGTTATTTGGATATTTCTCAGAGCAGTGTGAAAATCAACTAATACAATGTGTTTCAATATATACTCCCATATATTAACCTCCCTATAACACTAGAACCTAGCATAGTTCCTGGTGTAGAATCCTGGTGGTGAATGAGCAAATGAACTGAAAGAACATTCACCCACTATAACAAGCACACTAATAATTTAGATATAAATTGATGGTCACCTAAGGGCCTTGTTTAAATCATGCAAGATCCCGATGACTAGAAATAACTCCAAGATAGCGAGAACACACTAAAAAAATTAAAAATTTTCTTAGAGCTGTTTTTTTTTTTTAAATCCAGAGTTTGTAACATATTTGGTGATTCTTTTATTTTTCCCCCGAAGCAAATATTGCACAAAGCACAAATTGGTGATGAACTATGTGCCTATAGGTCTTATGCAGTTACTATCATACCAGACAATATCATCACCAGTTAGTCATTCACGGAAAGAAAGCAGTGATTTCACTGGAAATAATTACTGTACACACAGTGGGGTTGGAGGTGAGGTTTAAATGTGCACACAGTTAACTCCAAGGTTCTGCACTACTGTTTAGCATTTGTTTGTTTGCCTCCTGTACAAGCTAGATATGACATCAGAGTTTAGTGGAATTAACTGACCTTCTGATAAGTAAATTCCACTTGCAGCAGCATTCTCAGCACTCTGAATGTTACCTTGCCAGAAGGCCTAAGGCCCTTCCTCGGATTCAGCGGAGTTTACTGGTAAGACGCCATACTTATGTGGGCTTCCACATATGAGCTTAGGATAAATGATGATCACAATTATAAGCATCATACACAGACAGGCTACTATTGTGCTGGTTGTTCTTCTGCATTCTGTAACTCTGTTATTCCTCACTATCACTTTGTAACGTCAGCATGGGTGACCCTTTTGTAGTTGAATATAAGTGCCTTGTCCAAAGTCACACAGGGTGGAGCCAGGATTCAAACTCCGTTCTGCCCACCTCCCAAGTCTTTTCAAGGCTATATCACACTGCTCAGAGAAGAGGCTGAAGACAGGAAGGCAAAGGCCCAAGAACCCACAGGAACCACTGACTAAAGAAGAATAGGTTGGAAAAGAGCTGTGCATAAAACCTGTTTCACATACAAGCATCCCAAAGCTCTTAGAATGAAGTTGCACCTAATGTGGAATTTGGAATGTAAAGTCAACATGTAAAGAGAAAACTACAGCATGATGTACCCATGAAATCAGTAAAATCGCCTATTAAGTATAGTACAGAATCATGTCTCATTAAGTCCAACACCGCCATTTTCTTTTCTTGTGTTGGAAGAGATGGCTGACCTTCAGCTGAGCCCCATATGAAGTTGTGGGCTTGTCTTTACAGAGTGTAGATGAAAAAAATACCGTATTTTTTTTTAACACACTGACATGCCATCTCAGGGAATAGTCTTTCCATGATGAGGCATATTGATCATATTTAATGAATGAGCTGGGCTCCTCAAATCACAGAGGGTGCTCTGTCCTGGAAGTCTAATTTCACATATTATTCTAGCCATTTTAGTTTAGAAAACTGCTTGTCTTATTAATGATTAGTCTTGTTTTAAATACCAAATTATTTTTATATTTCTCCTGTACATTTATCTAATCAGCTGTTACCCATTAAGACACATTTGAAAGAAAAAAAAATCACATTTTTGTGAATCATCACCCTAGCTGGAAAGATAGTTGGTTAAAAAAGAAGAAGAAGAGAGAAGATATTATAGATTGTCCGTTTCCCAAAGTGTGTTGGGAGTGAATAAAGTTTATTAAAAATAAATAATACTAGACACAACATGCATAGCTCATTACAGTGGGGCATATTTTTGATTAGAGCAATGCTAGACAACAGCTCTTCAAATGAGATTTGACAGCAGGTAAATTACACAGTGTAAGAGTTTAAGTTGATATACAGAACAACAATGTCTTGATCATAAATAGGATTTGTGTGCTGGAAAATACATTCCATCATTAATGAAACAGACAAATGAACTGAAAAACATCATATTGCACCACAGTTTTAAGTAGGTTACCTTAGCAATGTAATATGGGTAGTAAGTCATGCATAAAACCCTATAAAAGCTCATTAAGACAGGATCAGTTTATTCAAAACAGCACATATTTCAAGTAACTGTTCTTCCTTAGCCAATTCCAGACACTATTGTTTAACAACATTAACTAAAATAATGGGAAAAAAGGCAATTGTAATTCATTATAGGTTTTGTCCCTCTAGAATGCTCACATTTTAAATTGGTAATACCAAGGACCTCCCTTTTTTTTTTTTTTTTTTTTTTTACAATGGTAAGGGTTCTTGAGAGTCATTTATTGGCACTGCCCATGTCAAAATTTCTTTTAAAAATCTACCATGGCCTGGGGCCCTTCAACTTTGGGTTGAGAACCTCTAAAAATGGCAGACACACTCTATTTGGCTGAATCTTATATTGCTTTATTCAATTATTAGCACAGAGTAACCTTACTGAAAAGGCAGTTGTTAGATTTCTGGATAGCTGAAAGTTTAGGGGCATGATGCTTATGACAGATGGCTAACATATGCTGAATGGTATATAGAGAAAGCTGCATATATTGAGTTGGATATCAATATCTACATTTGCAGAATCCACAATTTCAAAGATAACTGCTCTCAAGGATTTCAAGTCACCAATGCACCTTTCAAAATATCAATGGCTGTGAAATCTGCCAGTCACTCAGAATTCAAAGACTCCCCCTTAAGAAAGGGCTGTCATTTATTCAATGTTCCCAGCTCTACTTAAATAAATGGCTCAGGAGAGATTTTTACAAGTGTTTAAAACAGTTTGCAAACTCATGAGCATGTGCATGAGCTTCACTTGCTATCTGCAACCCTGATGCCAATCCTTTCTACAGCAGATTCAGCTGAGTGGGTGCTGATTCCCCATGCACTTGTAGAAGCTGCATCTCATGTGATCCTTCTAGTGACTCCCTGCAAGCACTGGGAAAACTTATGCTTTACAGCGGGCTTTGGAATGGTGTATCTAATACCAAGGCAACACAGCTATGGTGCCAGGACTGGGATTTAAGTGCAGATTTTCTGAGGTCAAATTCTCCTGGCCTTCCCCACACTCACAAGCTGCTGCCTTTATTTTTGCTGACTTTTGCATGGAGATTTGCAATTTAGGTTTGGAGGCAAGAGACAAGTGATTGAGCTTTTGTGGTTTTATTTTATGTAATTACATGGTGTGGGAGATGCCTATAGATTGTGACTTGCTAGCTTTCCTGTCCCTCTTCTAACATCAGCAGCATTCTGCTTATCTTTGGCCATTACCTCTCTGTGTTTCCCTGTAGACCTGGCAGGGGTGTCAGTCACAGTGTTGTTTCCTCCAAACCTGCCCAAGAAGGGTGGCCTTATGATACAACCTAAGCCAATCAGAAGCTCTCTCCTGGCAACAGGAACCAAGAAACAAAGGGCACATGAATTGAAGGTGGTTGGAGAGGACTTATTCCATTGGTTCTGCCTAAGAGACAGTATGCTCGCTGGGATCCCCAGAACTGAACTTGCTCCTGTCCTTTCTGAGACCCAGCTGTCAGCTTTTAGATTTGCAAAATATGGCCAGTGTCCATCCAATGATTCTATTGCTTTAGTTGGCAGTTTTTCCCTGTCCTTCAATCACAGAACTCTGAGCAGCTCACATAAGAGCAGTACTGTGAGCTGGTCCGCATCTGTATGGACACAGACTGAGCCGGCTCATCTGTATCTGTCTGCACTGGGCAGACCAGGGAGAGAAGGAGATTGTGCAATCAAGGGCAGAAAATGAAAAAGAACTTGTAATACAACCAATAGACAAAAAAGTGGAGGCACACTGTCTCCCAAGATTCTTTTTTTTTTTTTTTTTTTTGAGATGGAGTTTTATTGCCCAGGCTGGAGTGCAATGCACAATCTCAGCTCACTGCAACTTCCGCCTCCCGGGTTCAAGTGATTCTCCTGCCGCAGCCTCCCGAGAGCTGGGATTACAGGCATGCACCACCACGCCTGGCTAATTTTGTATTTTCAGTAGAGACGGGGTTTCTCCATTTTGGTCAGGTTGGTCTCGAAATCCTAACCTCAGGTGATCCACCCGCCTTGGCCTCCCAAAGTGCTGGGATTACAGGCGTGAGCCACTGCACCTGGCAAGGTTCTTCTTTTATTAGGAAGATGCGTAGAATTTGTCCAAGCTGGAATAAAATTGGCTTTGAAGAAAAGAGCGTTCTGGATATCATAGAGAGTACAAGCCTTGAGTCAGACTAATTGGGTTCAACCTCCTATGCTATGTACAGAACAACAAGGCACGTTGTTAGTAACTGCATGAACTGCATGCAGTTTACTTCCCCTCA
Source organism: Homo sapiens (assembly GCF_000001405.40). Lineage (NCBI taxonomy): Eukaryota > Metazoa > Chordata > Mammalia > Primates > Hominidae > Homo > Homo sapiens. The sequence goes on along the minus strand of NC_000016.10, from coordinate 83,311,591 downwards.
CTGAGACTCAGTTTTAAACTCTGTAAAATGGGAATCACAAATCATAGCATATGCATTTGTGAATATATATGTATATACAAAATCCACATGCAGATTCAGTACATATGCCTTTGGGAATTCGCTGACAATTAAAAGGTATAAGGAGAAAACTCAGAGGAAGAAAAAGGATTGGAGAGAAAGTATTTTCTCTACATTACATATGTGTAGCTGGGCTCTGGTATACACAAAAATATAACGACTTTTACTTTTTAATTTTTTTTTTTTAACAATCTCCTTGCTGCAAAGCAGCCTCCTTTCACACACCGGGACACACATCCTGATAAGAAGTTGACTTGCTCCAAGCCCCAAAGGAGGTCATGGAGGAATGGGGACAGACAACCAAGACTTCAGATGAATTTTAAGCTCTACTGATTCATATGACAAGTAGGAACTTGAGACCCAGTCAGGGATTTAATTTCATCACAGACATGGCAGAGTTTTGAAGAACAGAACCGAGACGTCAGAGGAGCAGGAGAGCAGTAAAACTCCATATGGAACTTTTACATCAGGAAGGAAGTGGGGAGGCTCCCACCACATCTGTCCTGGAAGAGGATAACCTTTATGTGGGAGTACTTTGTGTGTGTTGTGTGGTCTTTCTGGAACTTCCTGTCAGGTGGATTGGGTGAAAACAGCCATGTGATCTGACTGCTACATTAATTCCTTCAGCCTCCAAACTGGCTCAGTTGGGTTTGTTAGGAGGGTTCCTTTCTCTAGTCCTTTTGCAGGCAGAAGCAAGTCACCTGCAAGAATCTCAGCTTCAGGGTCCTAGGTTATTGTTCTCTCCTGGAGGGAATTTTAGCTCTAGGGCAGCAGACACTATTGTGCTGGTCCATGCATGGCCCAAACACTGTCCAACCCATTGTACAAGCACCAGGGTTCATTTTGATGGAATGAAGTAGAGGCAGACATAACTAAAAAGGAAGCCAAGTGAGCAAAGGCAGAAAGGTGGGAGCTGGCCAGGTACGTGTGAAGGACCTAAAAGGCAATAGCCTTGGTGGAAGAGGAGGTGATGGTTTAGCTAAGGAGTGTGGACCTGTCTTACTTCCAATTTGAATCTTCAGTGTTCTCCTCTCTGCCTCTCTGTACGTATGTGTGTACATCCACACAAATATGCATCTGTTACATATATTTGTATGTATGTGCACACATGTACCCACACACAGAATTTTCAGATCTTTACTATTTCCACTACTCATTTTCTGTTCTCAAGCAACAATCACAGAAACTAATTTACCTTATCAAAAATGCAATTACTCCGTATCTTAGACTGCTATTTATTTGACAGGCATCTAATTTTCCCACTTTTACCTAATTTGACAGGGAATATTACAGACATAACTAGTCTTTCAAAATGACTTTCACAAGGTTAGTTCACTTGTTAATTGACCCTCTGTGATGGCAATTTATGAAGCATATTAATTTCATCTGTCACTTCCAATGCACAGTAAATGTGGAAAATAGTCTATCTTTCATAAGGGACCTTATAAAAGAAGTATGTCGGAATTATTAATTAATATATGCATATTCTTTCAACCATTGATATTGTGCGGAACTTTTGTACCCACTCATCTGAAGCTCTGTCTCCCTTTCATAAATGTTTTGCTATTCCTTTATGCTGAGGGAGAGCCACTTTCACCCAGGATTATTCTGCCAGGGATATAAATCACTACCTCACAAATAAAGCAGCCATTTGTCTGGAAGGACTTCTGAAGTCCACAAAGACAAAGTTAAAAAAAAAAAAAATCCCATGGGAGTTATAGCAAGCGAAAAGTCCTCTTTTCCAGAAGGCTGAGGCTCATGTCCTCATGAGTGCTTCCATACCCTGAGTACAGGTGCTCTAAGGATTGCAACAGGACATTCCAAGTTTCAGAAGGAGGGGGCTGGGCGTGGCGGCTCACGCCTGTAATCCCAGCACTTGGGGAGGCCAAGGTGGGTGGATCACGAGGTCAGGAGTTCGAGATCAGCCTGACCAACATGGTGAAACCCCATCTTCACTAAAAATACAAAAATGAGCTGGGCGTGGCGGCACTCGCCTGTAATCCCACCTCCTCAGGAGGCTGAGGCAGGAGAATTGCTGGAAGCTGGGAGGCAGAAGGTTGCAGTGAGCCGAGATCATGCCACTGCACTCCAGCCTGGGTGACAGAGTAAGATTCTGTCTCAAAAAAAAAAGAAGGGAGAGAGGGGAGTGCCTCCAGAGACTGACCTGGACCCTCAAAGGACATCTGCTGAAGACAGTGCTCTCACCATATAAATCTGACTTCGATATAGATCTTTTCCCAAAGATCCCAGTACTCCCAAATTCAATTTCCACCTTAGTCATTGCAAAAATCCCTTTGGAGCCCACTGGTAGGCAAGCACTCGGTATAACGCTGCAAACAAAACAGACACAAGCTCAATGCTAATGAGGCTCATGTACATGCAGAAGAAACAGGAAAGTCAAAAGAATATAAAACAGAGTTACGATATGGAGGGACAAGCACCAAGCCACAGTAAGGAGTGGTTCTGAGGACTGAGGCATAACAAGGTGACAAGGGAATGATTTAGGACACAAGGGGAGGGATTTCCCTCGGCAACCAACCCAGTGTGACCTGGTGCCCTCTTTCCCTTCATCTGAATGTTCTTGTGAATTCTTTGGAGGCTTCCCGAATCCCCTACTCTCTTCTAGTTGATGGTTTTCATTCTTTAAGTTTCAGCATCTTAGTAAACTTCTGTTTCAACTTCAACTTCTGCAAAGATTCTCAGGCTCCCTCTTGGGCATATGTTTCCAGGGTCTTGATTCTCCTTCCTCATTTTACCTCAGCTCTGAACTTCCCACATATGGAGACGGCGGTGAGGGGAGCCTTCCAGAAGCAAGGGCTTCCTTTTTTCTCCCAGGCAAAGCCCTAGCTGAAATGTGGGCTTAGGAAAGGTTCTTTCCATGGATCTGTGCCATAAATCACCCAGGCTCAGCACTAATGTTTTCATAAAGCCTTTTAAAAATAATAGTGACGTTGGCTTTGTAATCTCTAGTGTGTTTTTGTTGCCATTTGCCTTATACTGAAAAATTCCTACTCCCTTTGTGTGGAGAGTAAATGTAATTCTCAAGTTTGAAGGAATTCATGTAGGAGATCTTCTGAGAATATTAGAATCCTGTGTTGGACCTTGAAATCTCACCAGGAAAATCTAGAACATCTCAAATATGAGTTTAGCCTCATCATTTATATTTTCTCGATCAACTAGCAAATTTTTCCTTTCCTTCAAGCATCTTGCTAATGAACCCCTTCATGAGCCAGGTCATTCCTGGCTTTGAGCAAAGCACAAAATATATGTTTGGAAAGATGAAGGCTAGTCTTTAATTTGACGGTAATGGTATTATAAAAGCTGGAGGTTTTCTTTGTTAGAACAACAAAAAAAATATATTGAATAGTAATGAAATATAAAAATGTGTTAAGGTATATTTATCTCTGATTCCCGCACAACATATTTAAGAAAAGCATATTTTAGAGCTTTTACAATTAGTTATTTGGCTTCTGATTGAGGTAATACACGCCAATGATTTACACACAGAACCATTTAAAAATGCAAATTATGAAGGTGGCATGCTGCAATGTCCTCATCAATCATAAAAAATACATATTTTGAATGAGCATGGAAATGTATAATCTATACTTCATAGATCTCAGCATGGAAGTGCTGCCATATTCAGCTAACGGCAGCACGCATATTACCGGCAAATAATTACTCCCCCGCTCTGATGTTATCATGGGATAATAGTGCTAAAATGCTGTTCAGAGCAGTAACATTTCCGGGGAAAAAATTTCTTCTTCATTTAGTCTCACAATCAAAAGAAGGCACAGGTGGTGTGTTATCTTTTAAAATACTTTTCAATTTCTATTATTAACATAGCTAAATCATGCCCCTGTGCCTCTCCAGACTCTGAAGCAGTGTGGGTTTATTTTACTTTGTAACCAAACATAACGAAACCCCAAGGGAGGAAATTCATGGTTAAATAGAGCTTTCCTGGCCCTGAAGGATTTGGTGCTCCTATTAGTAAAATTGCCTTAAAATGTGAGGTGAGAGCTACTTCAGAACTGCCCACACAACTACAGACAAGTGCAATTCACTTAGAGGAATTCTGGAACATTCCTGTTGCTTTAAGATTTGATCAGTGAAGAGGAAGTGAGGTAGCACTGCCTGGAGCTCAGGTTTAAGTTGACCTTTATCTTCCCAGGAGAAGGGCTTAAGAAAAAATGAGGGGGAAAATAATCGTGCTGGGGATAAGATACATCATGCTGAATCTCAGATGTGTGCTTTCCAGGGAACTAGAATTATCGCCACAATCACCCACAGAGGAATAGGGCAGGGCTGGTGTTCCTCAGCCACGGGGGTAGGGAACAGGCGTTACCACTTACATTCCCAGGACACCATGGCTTATAGCAGAAGTGACTGCAAACCCTGTGTTGTTACCACAAGTTTTTCCTGAAAATTGACAGCCCCACCCAACTGTAGCTTATATGTGGAGCTGAACTTTGAAGAGCTTATTCATGCCGAAAGAGGTTTAATTTGTTCCACTATTCTCATGTATGCATTACTATCTAGAGGCTCAGGAAACAAACATGATTTTCTTTTTCCTGTCTGCATTTCTTTCCACAACTTTACGGATAGGTCTGATTGTCTTAGCCCATTTCGTGTTGCTATAAGTATACCTGAGACTGGGTAATTTCCAAAGAAGAGTCTAATTTCCAATTTCATGTGCTTCCCAGCTTCAAATATTTTGGTGGGTTCCCAGTTTCTGTGGGATACAACCCACATTTCTTATCATGGCTTGCAAGAGTCCTCATAATCCAGCCCTCACCTACCCCTCCAGCCTAATCTCCTATCACTAGTTTGGACTCTGTGCTACCCCTATAGTCTAGTCAAATAAAAGTACTTGGAATTCCATGAATAATTACAGAATTATTATAATTTAGCTCAGGTTTGCAGGCTGAGAAGTTCAAGGATTCGGCGCTGACTTCTAGGGAGGACTTTTGAGCTGTCACAACAAGGTAGAGAAAGTCAAAGGGGAAGTGGGCACATGCCAAGGGAATGAAACCCAAGGGGCATCCTGCTTTATAACAGCCTCCTTTCAGGGGAGTTAATCCATCCCCACAAGAATGAATCTGGGCTCTCAAAAGCAAGAACTCACTCAAACTCCAGAACAGCATTTGTGAGACATCTGCCCCTATAAGCCAAACACCTCCTGCTAGCCTCCCCGCTCCCGACACCCCCACACTGGGGATCCAATTTCTACATAAGCCTTGGTGGGAACCAGAACAAACCACCTCCAAACCATAGCACAGATACGGTACCTACCCTTGTTTATAGAATACTTTCTTCTATATGTTGGAACAGTAGTTCTCAACCAGTGACAACGTTAGCTCCCCACCTTCCCCAGCCAGGGAATATTTGGCAATGTCGGGAGACATTTTTGGTTATTACAACCTGGGCTGCAGAATGCTACAGGTATCTACACCCATCTAGGGGGTGCAGTAAAGGGATGCTGCTGAATATTCTGTAGTGCACAGGGCAGCCTCAAATGAAAATAGTGCCAAGAATGAGATTGAGAAACCCTGTTCTAGATTAGAATGATCACTGTATTGTTCACACCAAACCTGCAAGTTAGGCACTGTCATTATTCCTATGTTGTAGATTAGGACACAGAGTCCAGGAGGTCAATAATTGCGACAGCTACAATTTATTGAGTATCTATTATGCGTTTGGCCTCCTACTAGGTAGCTTTACAGTATAATATCTGTTCACCAACATCCTAAGGTAAGTAGTATTAATCCCATTGTACAGATGAAAGAAAATGGAACATCATTTGCCCCCGGGATCACATGGCTATTAATTGGCAGCACTAAGATACAAACTCCCATCTGGCTCCAAGTCACATGCCATGTCGCCTGTATTCCACTGCATCAAGGTTATAGCTGCTACGTGGAAGAACTGGGATGCCAACTTGGAAGATATAATTGCAACTTCTAGACTTTTCTTATGATAATACCGCAACGCTGTACAAAGAAAGACAAAACCCTCCAAAAGTGCCATGACATATACATATTTTGGGATTAGAATGGAAACCTCAGGACATACTGGCTACACGGGTAGATTAAAAATGGTCCTTCCAGCAAAGAGACATTGCACAGAAATGCCCAAGCAGGATGCTTTCTGTGGTCAACAGTTCCTTCCTGTACATAGCTGGATGCCTAGAAACAGATGTTGATAAATATGTTAAGGAATTTCCTCACTCCCCTGCTTCTGATTGAACCATGCTTAAGTAAAGTGAAGTCATCAACAGCAGGACAGTCCTTCTGACACTGAAATGAGGATGCCTACAAATGAGTCAGCTCTCAGACAAGGAGAGCCCCACCAACTCCCAAACCAGGACAGCTCCCCTAGACCAGGATGGCCCCCTTCAGAGCAGGAGAGTCCCCCCAGGACAGCCCCTTAGAACTCTCACCTGGGCTTACATTGAGAGCATTCTGTTTTAGGTGGCAAAGCTTCCCGGTCTGTGGGGAATGCGTATATGGCTCATTGCAATTACACATACTTGGAGCTTAAATAAAATGCTCCTTTGTAAAATATGAAAAGTGGGAAAGTTCTGCTATGAATAAAATACTTAAAGACTTAATAAACTACACACTACACACACACATACGGGAGAGAGACAGAGAGAGGAAAGGTGGGGGAGAGAGGGAGAGAGTTTGCTACTGAAGCCTAATTCACTCTTACTAGCAGCTTCACCAAGGTTATTACATGACATGAACATGAATTTACTCCCAGACTATTAACCCACAGGACACCTGCTGAATGCCTTGCTTATAAATATCTCATCCACACTCTCTCGTACAACACAATATTATCATTATTCCTCCTTTCAGTAAAGAACCTGTTCCAATGGGCATTTATTAAAACAATACTCATTTATTTATCCAGCTGGCCAAGATCCCATATGTATCGAGGACAAATATCTATTATTTGATAGTCATTCTGTATTAACTACATCAAATCTGAGTAGCCAGCTCTTAGATTCTGATTTTCCCATATCTATTTTTATGTAGACTTCTAGGGAAGCTTGAAAATCCCAGAAAAAAAAACAGAATAATCACCTTGAGCTCCTTCTCATTCCCCAACCCACCCACTTAACCAGCTATATGGTCCCATTCAGACTCCTTCTAAAATTACCAACACAGTCTTTTTTCCCAAGATTCCAATCTTGCCTCACTCCCCTTTCCATTTAGTGGATGGTTCAAGATGGAACTGACACATCCAATTTCATGTACTTCTCAGCTTCAAATATTTCAGCGTGTTCCCAGTTTCTGTGGGATAAAACCCACATTTCTTATGGCTGGTAAGAGTCTTCATAATCCAGCCCTCACCTACCTCTCCAGCCTTATCTCCTATTACTAGTTTGGACTCTGCGCTACCCCCATAGTCTAGTCAAATAAAAGTACTTGGAATTCCATGAATAATTAAAATATTTTATGCTCAATACCATTGCACACCCTGGGATGTTTCTCTGTCTACCTCTAACACATAGAGACTAGAAAAAGCCCAATTCATCCTATCAGATAGGCAAAGTCTGAGATCCCCTGGGAAAACCTTCCCTGGTCATTGTGGAGGTCAACCCCTCAATGCACCTGTCACCCAAGATGCCCCACTAAGCCTGTCATGAGAATCCTGTGCCCTTGCCAAGGTGTAGTTTAAGGGTGGGTAGATGATTTAATTCTGGTATTGGGGATCAGAACACAACACTCCAAAATATGGCTCTTTGAGATATGCTAAACTGAAGCAGTAGCCTCAAGGTTTCTCTGACCTTCCCCCTATTCCTTCATCTTTCAATCACCTTTCACTCCCAAAGCACAGGATAAGGCTGTTCGTTGAAGTTTCCTTATCTACCTACAAACCATACCCAGCAAAAGGAACAAATGGCCTTCAACCCCCTCCCTGTAACTTCATTAACCAGAAGATTAAAACTCCTATTATGACAAAGAGCCTGGAAATTAAACATCACACCTACAGCCCAGACAAACTTTGTCTCCAATCCTGTTCAATTCCCAAAGAGAACATTATTTACTAACCATTGTCTCAGCACTGGGCTTATTCATTCCCCCTAAAAGTTATTTACTCCCCTTCAAATTGACAGACACATTGACTCAATCTCTCATTCCCCAATGAAGAAAGTTGTATAAGCATCTGGACCTACTGGGTTATTGCGTGATCATCCTCCTTTGATTTTCTAGGCTAATACACATTAAATAAATTTGTGTGCCTTTTCTCCTATTCATCTTCCTAACATTAGTTCTTTTTCAGAGGGCAGAAGGTGAACCTTCGGAAGGTGAAGGGGAAGCTTTCCCTTGGCCCCAACACTGGCCCATGCTGAAAAGAACATAGGAAATTCTCTTTTCCTTCCTTCTCCTCCCAAAGATGACAGATAAAAGAGATGCCCCTTGTCTCTCTGATGCCATCATGTGGGCAATTGCTGGAGCCATCATGATACTGAAACAGAGCTACTGTTGGACTGGAAATGACAGCAGCCATGATAGATCAGAGACATGAAAAGAACCGAATACCTTGATGAGATTTTTGAGCAACTGTAGTGACTGCACCTGGAAGTCTGCCCTTCCTCTGACCTCCCAGTTTGATGAAATTTATTTTCTCACTGAAGTTTAGATCAGTCTGAGTTAGAGATATCTGTCACATGAAGCTAAAGCAACCTCACTGTGTCACCTGCTCTGACATTCCCACTCTTATTGTGGCTGGGCTTGGTGTCCCTCCTTGCCTCCTTGGCGTCTCCCACTTTTTCCTCTTCTGGCATTTATTTTGTAATCTTGTTGACTTATCTGACTCCACTCTTAGACTATGAGCTCCTTAAAAGCAGGAACCATGGTAGTATCCACTGTTTCTCCCCTAATTCCTGGTAAATATCAGATGTTTGCAACATTTTCCCAAAATTGACTTTGTTGAATAGCTCTGAATTAAGGGATAAGAAGTGAGAGGACATTTATGTTGTGACTTTCATGATATTTATTTTCTAGAATATAAGGAGCCCCATTTGTGCAGTGTGAAAAATGCCTTCTTGACATAAATGTTGGGTCCTGGTAATGTTACAAGTCAGATTCGACTAATATTTACAGAGCTGCTATTCTGTGCCAAGAACTTCTACATATTTTCCATGATTTGATTGCCATGGAATTATCTATAATGTCAGTATTACATTCCCTTTTACAGATTTAGAAAACTGAAGCAACAGGAGGTTAAAAGTAACCAATAAAGGATGAATATCCGGGAAGTAAAAGCGGGGCTTAAAATTAGGGATTCTGACTTTAGGTTAGGCACATTTTCTATGATGTCATGAGGCCAACAGCTGTCAACTTTGTTAGCTTACTCTACACTGAGAACTCTGTTAAGCATTCTCTGTGTGTTACATCACGTAGTACTCACAACAACATGAGGTAAGGACGATCCCCACTTTCATTTTTCAGGTAAGAAAGGTAAGGAATGGACTAGCTGGGATTTTAACCCTAGCAAGTTTTACTTCATTCCTTAACTCTTTTTTTTTTTTCTTAAATTTACTTTATTGAAGTCTCATTGATCTTTCAAAGTGATTTCTTCCAATTTTCTTAAGTATCTGCCAGAAAACAAGAACCAGAGCACCCCTCTCCCTGCCTATTTCTTTAAATTAAGCATAAATGTATTTTTGTAAAATGAATAGTGGTGACTCTGTGTCTGCCAAAACTTTACAGAAAAAAAAATTACAGGAAATGATGTAAATTTTTGAACATCAAAGAAGGAAAAAATAAGAGGGCAGAAGGCATCCTGAGACCAAGTATAGCCATAATAAGGTACACTAACGTTCAAGCTGGAGATTTCAAAAACTCTTCGTAAAGCCTCCCAGCGCCAGGAACACGGCTTCCCTAGAACAACCTCTCTTACATCCGAGAAGATAGTCTGTCGGTCCGACCTTGCTTGCTCCACCAGTTTCACTGCTCCCTCCCCACGAGACCCTTCCTCTGTAACAGCCACACAGCCCTGACACATGTGGCAGCATCACGGAGAGAAAAACTCCGAAATGATGAGCTCCATCATTAAACAAGGTACTGGGTAAAACCAGCACGGCACAGCCTGAAAATGGAAAATCACAGAGAGGGAGGTAGAGTGGATAAATGTACTGGGGAAATAAACGGTTCTGAAATAAAACCCTGACCAGGTGCGGTGGCTCACGCCTGTAATCCCTGCACTTTGGGAGGCTGAGGCGGGCGGATCATGAGGTCAGGAGATCGAGACCATCTTGGCTAACACAGTGAAACCCCATCTCTACTAAAAATACAAAAAATTAGCCGGGCGTGGTGGTGGGCGCCTGTAGTCCCAGCTACTTGGGAGGCTGAGGCAGGAGAATGGCTCGAACCCCGGAGGCAGAGGTTGCAGTGAGCTGAGATCGTGCCACTGCACTCCAGTCTGGACCACAGAGTGAGGCTCTGTCTCAAAAAAAAAAAAAAAAAAAAAAAACCCCAGAAAGTTATATGTATCAGTTCAACATGTGCAATATTAAAAATGCCCACAGTTTAACATTTTCAGGACACATGTGCCACTTGGTGAAGAGGAAATCTAAATCCCTGTTTCCTGGCTCTCAGCCACGTCTTCTTTAACGAACTACCTTAGCGCTATGTAGCTTTCCTTCCCAGGATGTTCTAAAAACATCACATACACAGTAAAATGTACAAATCTTAAGAATGCAGCTGGATAATTTTAAAATATGTAAACCTGCATATATAAACTGCATAAATCATGATCTATAACCTTTTCAACCATTAGAAAATATTAAAGTTTGCAGTCTTATTTTATGTAAGATTTAATTGGATTAACGTCTCATCTTGACAAGATACTAGGTTCTGGGAGGGCAGAACTACATTCATGTTGTCCAACACTGCGTCCCCAGACCCTGCCTGGCATGGTGCCAAGCACATAAGATTTGTTTGTATACGTTTGTTGAACCAACACATGAACTGGCAGAAAGATGTAACCTACTCAGCTGGTAACTTGTCAGGTCTCAGTTCATTTGTCTTTAAATTTGAGATAACATCTTCCATTCCTCCCTTCCAGGTTTGAGAAAATCAAATGAAAATATTGACACAGAACTGTATGTTGTAAGCTGCAAAGCTCTATATAAAGAACAGTAAGTACACATTTAGCAAATGTAAATATTTTGACCTATCTCTTCATGTCACTCAACTTAAAAGTAAGTTGAAATGTTATGATCTATGAATTTCCAGGAGTTTAAACTACAAAATCTCATTTTCTAAGTTGACCTTTTCTGGTCAGTTGCTGAGGTTTTATCACTGTCTATCAGCTCTATGAGCATATCCTTGACTTCAAAGATGGTCTTTAATGATCCCAGCTTCCTGGTACTCACCCTCTTGGGTAATCTCTTCCCTTTGAGTATGGGCTAAAACTAGTGACTTGCATCTAATGAACAGAATATGGCAAAAGTGATGGGATATTACTCCTGTGACGAAACTGAGGCTCTCATTTGACAACTTATGAGGAACTCAATTCTGTTAACAATCAAGTGAGCTTGCAGGTAGACCTTGCCCTCATCTGAATTTGGGATGATTGTAGCCCTGGTCAGCATCGTGATTACAGCCTGAGGCCTCCAGCAGAGCTAAGCCATGAGGAGACGCCTGATCTCACTAAGCTGTGAGCTCATCATTATGTACTGTTTTCAGCCACTAAGTGTTGGGATAAAGTGTTATGCTGCAATAACTTATATAAACTCCATGAATTTTCATTACTTGAGATTGCAGTAATAACAACTGGCATTTTCCAAGTTAGCCTTTTGGTCAAGGTGTTTGGTTTTTATCATGAATCTGTATCCTTAATGAGAGGAGGTTAAGAGATGCTTTAACAAACACTAAATAAAGCTAGGGTCTTTTAAAATTCCTACACAGAGGAGGTACTCAATACACTTATGTGGAATGAACAAAGAATAATCGAGGGAAGTAAGATGATCTCTAGTGAGGATGAATGACATGCCACGGAAAAGCAGATGAGTGATGGAGACTTGGGGGAAGAATGGTGGTTCCTAGAGAGAATGAGGATAGCAAGAGTGTATGTGCTGCAAGCATGAGGAGTCCAAACCTACTGATTTGTGACATGAGCCAGAAAGTTTAAGGTAAGGTAGTGCTGTCTTTCCCTAGATTTCCTTATAATGTTCTGGGGAATTCATCTTTTTTTTTTTTTTTCATGGCCTGATAAACAATCCAAGCAAGCATCCAAAATAAGGGAATAATAAAACAAAGAGAAACATCCACACTGTGGTATCTTCTCCAGCCATTAAAAAATGAAAATATACATGATTCAGAAAGATATTATCTCCATTCAGATTAGATAAAACAGGTTGCAAAACAGTGTATATGGTATGATTCTATTTTGGTAAAATTATATGCATATGTACATACTAAAAATGTCTGAAAGGAGATATACTGACATTGCTTATCTTTTGGTGGTAGGAATATTGGTTATTTTTACTCATGCTTTATAGTATTTTATAATTTTTAAAACAAGCATGCATTACTTTTACACTCAGAAACAGTAAAAATTATATAAATTTATTGCAAAATACATAAAGCAAGGAAGATGCCCTAAAGATAACACTTCTCTATTAATGCTGTTATTGGAAAAGACATCACATTGTGAAGAGTGAAAATCCTCACAAGCTTTTCTTATTTGATCATCACAGAGCTGGAACAGTCTCATGTAATGCTCAGTGAAGCAGGCATACTGAGGGCTTTTACTCTGGGGCCATCTGAGCCTCTCAACCTTAGGCCTTTCCAAGTCCAGTGGTTAATCAAGAGTGATTCTGTGACACTGCTGTTTTGAAGGTTTTCTAAGGAAATCAAATTAGCCTATACTTGTTACCTCTAATAACAGGTCCTTACTTCTTGGAGTTTTTAAGTGCTTAGGAAGCTCTAACCCACTGATTCTTAGAAATTTTTACTGCAGCAAAAGGAAATGAGGAGCTTGCTTAAAGTTCCCTTTCTCTCTGTGAGAGATTATTTTTGCAGGCTTGAGGTAGGGCCTAGGAATCCGTCACATACACTCAAGAAATTTTGATGCCTATTGTCTAAGGGCTACACAGGGAGAAATACTGCTTTCAAAAGTTATTATTCTTGCTGGCTTGGTTTCATTCTAAGAAAAATAATATTTTACCTGCACTGATGTTCCCTCCCTCACTTCTTCCCTTTTCTTTTTCTTTTCTCATCTCGTCTCATCTCATTTTGTCTCGTCTTGTGTTGACACGGCCTTGCTCTCTCACCCAGCCTGGAGTGCAGTGGGGCGATCATTGCTCGCTACAGCCTCGACCTCTTGGGCTCAAGCTTTCCTCCCGCCTCAGCCTCCTGAGTAGCTGGAACCACAGGCACGTACCCCTGCACCTGGCTAATTTTTTTTTCTTTTTTTCTTTTTCTTTTTCTTTTTTTTTTTTTTTTGTAGAAACAAGGTTTTGCCATGTTACCTAGGCTGGTCTAGAACTCCTGGGCTCAAGCAATCCTCCTGCCTCGGCCTCCTAAAGTGCTGTGATTACAAGTGTGAGCTGCCGTGCTGGGTTCCATCTTCTTTCTTATTTTCACCAACTGTACAGATCAGAGTAGAGAAACATCATTCCTCAAGAAAGGTCTGGATCTCACTTTGAAAAGTTTCGGGCATTTAGAAGTCTATCTTGAATGTCCTTCGATTAGTCTACCTATTCCATTCCTTTGGTCATTTGTATGTTTCTTCATCCATAGGATATATATTAACCATCTATGTGCCAGGCATGTTCACATCAAAGCCTTATCTGACACTGAAATCTCCTTGACTGGTTGAAGTTATGTCTTTGTCAGTTTCCATATATCAAGGACTCTTTCCAACATTTTGGCAAAAACATCTAACTACAAAGACCACTGAGAACAGTGCCCAAGCCCAACATGAAAGAGGCATTCAAAAAGTGTTCAGTGAGAAACAAGAGTGCTCTGGTGCATGAGAGATAAGTTAGAGCTATTTGAGAACAGCATTTGTTACATTCACTTGCGTCCCACTCAGTCTTTCTGCCCTTATTCACACCTTCTTCACCTCCCATTAGTACTATTTTTTAAGTTTTGTTTTTTTAATTGACACATAATAATTGACGTACAATTATTGTATTAATAATTTATGTGGTACAATGTGAGCTTTTGGTACATGTATACATTGTATAATGATCAAATCCAGGTAATTAGCATATCCATCATCTCAAACACTTGCCATTTCTTTGTGTTGAGAGCATTCAAAATCCTCCCTTCTAGCTATTTTCAGATACACAATATAATAATGAAAACTATAGTCACCCTATTATGCAATAGAACACCAGAGCTTATTCCTCCTATGTGACTGTAGCTTTGTACCTGTTGACCATCCTCTCTCCTACCCTTCTCCCCCCATGCTTATTAAAATGAAAATAGATCCACAGCCTTCCAGAAGTCCCTCTCTCCTTCATTCCATCTTCTTCAGAGCGATTTCCCAAACAAATATCTTATCTCATCATTCCTCTATTTAGAAAGTCCCCAATGGCTCTGCATTCTTTCCAGTAATTATTCTTCATCTATGGAATATGCCAATCCATCATGAAACTGGGTTCCATCATGCTGGAAACACAGAGCACCCTTTCTCCCTTGGAAGATGTACATTTACCCATGTACATTACATAAACCCGTGTTATTGGGTGTACATGCAATCTGCTGTTGTACTTAACAATTTGAACAAGTTGTGAAATATTCAAATAGTAGTGAGATTGGCAAAAGTTCACCATTATGAAATCATTAACCCTGCCTGTCATAAAAACTCTGTGTCCCATCTAGATGGCTGAGATCCACTTATGTGTGTGTGTGTGTACTTGTGTTGTACTAATTAACTGAAACTTATAGCCACAAGGGTACATGCAGATGCTTTTATTACCACATCCTCCAAGTCACTCCGAGGCAGACATTACTAATAAACTACAGAGGTCTACCATTTCCTAGTCTCCTGTCTTATGCCTCTCCCCTTTCCAAATACGTCTGCCCTTAAACTATACTCATTACTTATCAGCCTTATTCTTCCCTACCATGAACTCCTATAATCAATAGCATTTCTTGGTACTTAATTGTCCAGGCACTAACAACAGAATGCATCATCCGACTCTGCTACTGACTGACCTAGAGTGGGATATGTGAATATAAGTGTCTCAATTTTCTCATCTGTAAAATGAAAGTATAATTTAAATCACAGGGAAATTATAAAGATTAAATGAGAAAAGCAACTAAGGACAGAGAAGCACAAAGAAGAGTGGGAAAAGTGTATCTGAAAATTATGGCCCTATACAAGGACTATACACATGTTCTCTGAGAAAAGAATGCTAAGAATGTGGAAAGCTAGTCAGAGAAATTTACCCTGTGAGATTATCTGTACATAGGAGCTTATAGAGGTTTCTGCAACACAGAGATTTCATTCAATGACCAGAGTTTATTTCTCTGAAACATCAATAGGCTCATAAAGATACAATTTTAATTCTTTCAATTAAAAATAGTTTATCCATTGATCCATTGATCCACTGATGAATTTTTAGGTTGATTCCATATCTTGGCTATTGTGAACACTGCTGCAATACATACAGAAGTGCAGACGTCTCTTTGACATATTGATGTTATTTTCTTTGGATATATAACCCTAGTGAGATTGTTGAATCATATGATAGTTCTACTTTTAAATTTTTGAGGAATCTCTATACTATTTTCCATTATAGCTGTACTTACATTCCCATCAACAGTGGGCAAGGGTTCCTCATTTCTCCACATCCTTGCCAACATTTATATTTTATCTTTTTGATAACAGCCATATTAACAGGTATGAGGTGATATCTCATTGTGGTTTTAATTTGCATTTCTATTATTAGTGATGTTGAGCATTTTAAAAATATGCCTGCTGGCCATTTTTATGTCTTCTTTAGAAAACTGTCTATTCAGTTCCTTTTCCCATTTTTCAATTATTCATTGTTTTTTCTATTTTATCAGATGTACAGTTTGCAAATATTTTCTTTTAATTCCATAGGTTGTCTTTTTACCCTGTTGTTTCATTTGCTGTGCAGAAGTTTTTTAGTTGATATAATCATTTTATTTTTGCTTTTGTTGCCTGTGCTTTTGAGGTTATGTCCAAAAAATCCTTGCCTAGACCAATGTCATGGAACTTTTCCCTATGTTTTCTTCCAGTTGTTTCATAGTTTCAAGTCTTACATTTAAATCTTTATTTCATTTTGAGTTGATTTTTATATATGGTGTCAGATAGGAGTCCAATTTCATTCTTCTGCATATGGATATGCGGTTTCCCAAATGCCATTTATTGAAGAGTTTTTTTCCCCCATTGTGTGTTCTTGATAACTATGCTGGAAATTAGTTGGCCATAGATGCATGAGTTTATTTCTGGGTTTTCTATTCTGTTCAATTGGTCTATGTGTCTGTTGTTATAACAGTACCATGCTGTTTTGGTTGTTACAGCTTTGTAGTATACTTTGAAGTCAGGTAGTGTGATACCTACAGCTTTGTTCTCTTTGCTCAAGATTACTTTGGCTATCCATGGTCTTTTGTGGTTTCATATGATTTTTAGGATGATTTTTCCTAGTTCTGTGAATAATGTCATTGATATTTTAATATAGATTATGTTGAATCTGTGGATCATTTTGGGTAGTACGGGCATTTTAACAATATTATTCCGGCAATCCACGAACATGGGATGTCTTTCCATTTATTTTTGTTTTCTTCAATTTCTTTTATCAGTGTTTTATAGTTTTCAGTGTAAAGATCATTCACTTCCCTTGTTCAATTTGTTCCTAAATGTCCATCAATACATGAATATCACATATATATATACACACACACACACACATACACATATATATGTATATATTATATGAGACAGGAAATCTTATCATTAGTGACAACATGGATGAACCTGGAGGACATTATGTTAAGTAACTCAAGCACAGCAAGGCAAATACCACATAGTCTCATTCCCATGTGAATGCTAAAATGTTGAGCTCACAGAAGTAGTGAGTAGAATGGTGGTTGCCAGGGGCTGGGGTGGTTGCAGGGAATTGGGAGTTGTTAGGGAGATGTTGGCCAAAAGATAGAACATTTCAATTGGATAGGAAAAATAAGCTCAAGAGAACTATTGTCCAATATGGCAACTACAATGAATAACAATATATTGTATTCCTAAAAATGCTAAAAGAGTGAATGTAAAATATTCTTAACACAAAAATAGTAACTGTGACATAATGCATATGTTCATTAGCTAGATTTAATCATTCCACAATGTATAGATACTTTAAAATATCATGTCGTACACAGTAAAAACTACAATTTTATGTCAATTTTAGAAAAGAAAGGAAAAAATTCTAAAAGAAAAATAGTTTATAAACAGAAGTCAGATAATCCTTGGCTTGGAATCCTTGATGCTATGTCCTAGCTACACAACTTGGGGTAGTTATTGATTTTTTTCAATCTTCTCCTCCTGCTCACAGGGGCAACAATAATACCTGTATGAAAAGTTATCATGGGAGTTAAATGAGATAATACATGCTAAGGGCATAGTATAATTCCTGGTAAACAGTGAAGCCCTTAGAGATTATGGCTCTGATTGTTATTCCTATTGTTAGCTCCCACTCTGTTGGGAAGAAACTGTAGCTGAGAAACACTTTGTTAAGATGACCAAATCCTCGTTTTTAATACTTTCCAACCCGGTTCATGACTAAAATTTGTTTTCCCACACCTGCTCTGAATGAATAAGTTGACATGAAAAGACAAATATCCAGTTCAATCAATAATTACATTTCTCACTATAATATGTTTTCATTCTGGTTTATGTATATATCTGTTATGTATTTGATTAGTAAAATACTATCCCTGAGATAGAAATAACCTCTGAATATAGACACCAAATCAAGCTTCTGAGTCTATAAAGATGACGACATTCTAGACTGCTGACATGGATAAAGTCTTGCTATGAAGGTGGCTTTGTAAAGAAAACAATTGACCTTTCCCAGATGACAGCTGGGAATTTGAGTGCCATTTTCTTCCGGTGGCAAGGCTGCCTCATGTACCTTTTTCTCTATGTGTTGTATCTCCCAAATTAGAGCAAGGACCCCAGAAGGCATGGGGAAGGTTACATGTCTGTGACTCTTCAGGTTCTAACGTAATAAGCTTCAATAAATGCTTACTATTAAAAATAATTTAATGAAGGCTCTTTACTGCCAGACCAGTCTCTGACCTCTTATCATAGGATTTGGCCCTTATCAGATATGAGTAGTGCAAAGACCGCTCATAAAAGCCCAATGCATATTCTGTTGCTGATAACCCATCTTTAGAAAGAGCAATTCAAAATAGAATCTAACATCACACAGTAATTACTGTTGTGATAAAATCTAATGTAATGCCCATTGCTGTTATGTAATTGACTCAACTATCTGTTTAGTAACTTTAGTCCAAAAGATGTGTTTAATTACAAATTTAGTCATTTATCCAATACCAGAAACCATGGAATCGAGTATTTGATATAATTACCCAATAGATATTGTAAAATGCTGTTTTCTGAAAGCAAATTCATTGGTTTCACTAAAAATTTCTTAATTTTTATTAATATATTATGCCATGCAAGTGTAAAGAGAAAAGAAACAGAGCACTATCAAGCTAAACTAATATAATCGTTCAAGCTCTTATAACACTGATTTTCTGAACATACCCTGAGGATATTCACAAATACAATGTCACCTGATCATGGTTGTTGTTTTTAATGAGATTCCCAACGATTCCAATTCAAATATTTGTAATCATTTTTATCACCCCAAAGAAATTGCCTACTTAGTGAGAGTGTGTGATGGGCCTCATCTGGGAGAGGTATAGCTCCTACCGCTTGATTTGAAAAGACCTGTTCAAAACAGAAATAGAGGCTGCAAAACAAAAAGATGGCTCTACACTTTTTGTCGCTGTGGCCCAAAGCTGCTTTATTTAAAAATGTGTCCCAAGCAATCAAAGGGGGAGTAATGGAGAGTTCTTGGCAGCTAGCAGGACAGCAGAGGTACCAAAAAGCCATCAGGCCCCAAAAGTCCCCACATGGAAAAGTGGCCACAGGACAGAGGACAGGGAGGCCCAGAACTAGGCAATATGAGAAGAAGAGCAGAACTCAAACTACAAATGCAACATTAATGAAGCCACTTCTAAGAGTCCCACTGTGCAAAGGAGAAAGTACCACTAAGTCCCACTGTGATTACAACTGTGTATTAATTGGGTTTTGCCCATATCTATGTTCATGCTTCAGTTGACAGATACCAAGTTGTTAAAGTCTGAACAGAAACTAACTGCATTGATCTTATGTTTTGTTACAACCTGACACTTCTTAAATTAGTGCTTTCTGAACTAAATGTAAACAAAGGTGGCCAACATAGGCCAATAGTGAAAAATGATACCTCAAGGACATTACAAATTAACTCTCCTATACAAATTCAATAACTCATGACCATTGGGAGCAGGCATGATGAAACGTGATGTGATAAATTTGTATGTTAAAAACAACTTGGAGGAACTCTGACCTGGTCAAGATGACATTAGCTATATGGAAAAGAATCATAGAACACACTTTTTCAATATGTAAGAGACCAAACGTACAAGATGAATTAAGGGGCAGCTCAGGGCATTTTCCCGAATAATTCAGGCAAAAGTCCCAGTTGGCATAAATTCAGGTCAAAGCAAGCTGGAGTTGAATTAACCACATTTCCCTTGCTCTAATCTCCACCGGTTTTGAGTTATTAGCAGTCAGGGCTAGTTTTATTTTTAGTTACATCAAACAGTTATGACGGCCACCAAGAAAACTATCTTGGTCTCTGTGGAAATAAATCTACTAAAATTCTATCTTGGATTATTTTTGCATAGGGTTAACAAAGTAGTATATGAAAACGCAAATGCTATTCTGAGGACTTCTAATATCTTGCTACTAACTACGCTGCCTAATGATGACTTTGTCCCAATTTTGCACTATCAGGTGGTGGAAGGAAGGGACAGTCTCGTAGCTGGGTCGCCAAACCTCAGGTATCTAGAAGCTGGGAGTGAGGTGGGGTACAAAGCGGGGGTACAATAAGCTGAAAAGTTGAATGAGAAAAGCGACAATTCTCCCTGGAAGATGAAGAAGTAGAACCCCCTGAATATATTTACTACGTGACCTCTAACCAGAATTATGCTTCGAGGAAGAGCAGCAAAGTCTAAAAGATTTCTGATTTATTAAGTGATTTATCCACTTATCCATTAATTCTTCCATTCATTAATTGAGAACAGCCGATCACTATAATCAGCATGAAGGATGCAAAGATGAATGAGATCAGGTTGGTAGCTTGCCGCTTTGAACAACGGGTAGTCTCATAGAGAAATAGACCTGTACTGTCAAATACCATTTGATAAGACCTTTAACAAAGGTCTGCGTGACATGCTGCATGAGTGCACAAAAGACAGGATGGATTAGCAAAGGCGAAGTGGAAGGAGGCTCCTCACGGGTGACAAACTGAACTCCAGATCTTGAGAAATGTATAGATGTTCCCTGCGTAGAGATGGGAAAAAAACATTCTAGGCAGTAGGCAGAGAGAACAGTCAGGAAAAGCAAGGTGAAAGGCGGCCCTGAGTGAAGATGCATGGTCAGAAAGAAAAAAAGTGCACGTGCATGGACAGTGGACAGTCACAACGAGGGCCTTGGAGCCCGAGAAAGGCCCTGAACACAGGACCAAGAGGTCTAGTTTTCTTCCGCACTGAAGAGGAATCTGATCTCATTCACACTGTGTAGAAGTCATTCGATAAGAGGGAATATATTACTCTGTTCTCACACTGCTAATAAAGACATACCTGAGACTGCATAATTTATAAAGAAAAAGGAGTTTAATGAACTCATAGTCCCACATGAGTGGGGAGGCCTCACAATCACCGTGGAAGGCAAAGGAGGGGCAAAGGCACGTCTTACATGGTCACAGGCAGGAAGGCGTGTGCAGAAGAACTCCCCTTATAAAACCATCAGATCTCGTGAGACTTCTTCACTACCATGAGAACAGCATGGGAAAAACCTGCCCCCCGTGATTCAATTACCTCCCACTGGATGCCTCCCATGACACGAGGGGATTATTACAATTCAAGGTGAGATGTGGGTGGGGATACAGCACCAAATCATATCAGGGACTGAAGAGTGAATTGTTTGAAAAGAGATCCCAGTTAGGGAGCCATTGTAAATACTAACAATTAAAATAGAATTGAATGTGGTTAGTTCCCGTAATGGTATATTGCACAGCAGCAAGGAGGAGAATGAACAAACGATATGCAACAACAACATGCATCTGACTAACCATGATGACTGAAAGAAGGTGACAGAAAAGAGTATACACAGCATGGGTCCATCAGTAGAAAGTCCCCAAACAGGCCAATCTAATCTGTACAGTTAAGTGTCAGAAGAGTGGTTCCCTCTGGGGAGAAGCTGGTGATTAGAAGGGGCTATAAGAGGAAGAGTCTTGTTCTGCTTCTTAATCTGGGTGCTGGCTATAGAGGTGGGATCACTTGGTTAAAATCCATCCAGCTGGATGAAAGTACAGCCCACAAAGAAATTGTTTTAATGGTTACATAAAATAGAACGTATCATTTACAGGCTAACTGTATGATAGACATTGTCATAAATCCTTACATATGATCAGAAAGGAAATTATTATCCCCATTTCAAAGTGAGAAAACTGAGACACCAAGAAGCTAAACCACGTACCCAAGCCCAAGCAGCTGATAAATGGTCCAGCTAGACTGTCCCCATTCTGAGTTTCTACTGTTGGGGTGAATGTGCCCTTAGATGTCCCTGGCATTATTAATATTAAATTTATATTATGCTGAATCCTGTATGTTTACTCCATTAAAACAGCCTCAAATAAGAGAAGGATAAAATGCAGCAGAGATCTTTTAGAGCAGTGCTTCTCAACGCAGGCTGCACATTAGAATCACCTTAAGAGTGCTGAAAAAATATCAATATCTGGGTTCCACACTAAAGTGGAGCCTGGGCATCTGCATTTTTATAAAGCATCCAAGATGATTGTGATGTACACCCACAGTTACCACACACCGCCCTAAACAGAAGCCTTTCAGAAAGAAGCTGTCACCAGATACCAAAAATACATGAGATTAATATAACCGGGTAGTGAAGCTGGTGTTACAATTTCAAGCTGTAGAGGCCAAAAGGGTCCCAGGTTGGGTTATGTACTGTTCATTTCCTGACAACCAAGTTCACGCACATTCATATGCAGACAGTGAATTCTTCCTGGTCTTCGCCTCCAGCAGAAATGTGTCTTTTTTGGTTCTTGTAGGCCAGGAGCAAGCAATAGCCCATGATTCTTTTCACTCCTGTTTCACTAAAGACTCACTTGGTGAATGTAGGAGTTTCACATTTTCTATTTCAAAAAGGTGGTGTTCCAACCCCTTACGGGAACTGTAGCGAGCAGGCAGTTAATGGGAGCCCAGGTAACTTGATTTTTCTCCTGCAATATAAGTGACATCTCCATTATGCAAATCCAGGCGAATGTTCAAAAGGATGCAAATACCACTGTCTTTTCAGTCTAATATCCTGTAATGTTTTAGACTGCTGGTTTCATCAACAGCATTAATTTTCATTCAGACCCTACATTTCAAGTGATTGCACTGCAGCGGCTCGTTTTGCAGAGAAATAAAGACATGTCCACTTGTGCTTTATGAAAGGCAAAATAATTTTTGTGGGTGTGTGCAATATTTGCTGACGATTCTTTGGGAAAAGGTTAAGCAATTAACTTTCAAATACAAGTCTTGGGGACACAAGCTTTCTTCTTGGTAACTCTGCCATGTGAATGTCACCGCAGAGAGGTCCTGCCTGGACAGCTGGCTCTGTGTGGCTCCTTCAGCTTGGGGGATGGCTTCCAGAAGGCACAGGGAGCTGCCACCCTGTCTCTGCCCTGCACTTGCTCCTGCGACCTTGATCAGCCTCTCATATCCTCCACCTTCCGTCTCCTTGTTACTAAACATGATCCAAGCAATAGGCTTTATGCCTAATTTGATTCCCTCCTCCTCCACCTCATGTAGACCTTGGGCTAGTCATTTAACCTCTTTGCTCTTCCATTATTAAAAGACACCATGGAACAAGATTGTTGGGACTTAAAACAAGCTGGTGCAACACAATGGCTCACACAGCACTCAAGGACAGGCGCTAAGAGTGAGTTAGCTATTGGGGCTGGGCTAGAGGAGATGAGTGAGGAGCTTGCTTTCTGCACCATCTCAAAGGAGGCACCAAAAAACTCAGTAATCAAGATATGTACTATTTTAACGCAATATTTTTAAAAATCGCAATTACTGCAAAAAGGTCATGATGGACACTACCTAAAAATTTTAAATACAGACAGGATACATCACAGTGCCAACATAAGCTGTACTGGAGCCTGAGTCAAACGAAAGAAATCAGTAATACTGATGCCCTCTTTTTAAAACATGTTCATATTTTGCTCATTATGGATTTTCTGCATTGATTTTGATCCTGTCTTTAACATTTTACTTCTCATGGACTTCTATGCATTAATTTTGAGTTTCAAAAATGTTACATTACAATGCTATCACTCTTGATCAGAGGTCCCAAACCTATTTGGTGCCAGGGACTGGTTCCATGGAAGACAATTTTTTCATGGACCAGGAGGAGGTGAGGGGATGACTTGGGGATGATTCAAGCACATTAAATTTATGGTGCACTTTATTTCTATTATTATTACATTATAATACATCATGAAATAATTATATAAGTCATCATAATGTAGAATCAGTGAGAGCCCTGAGCTTGGTTTCCTGCAACTAGAGGGACCCATCCGGGGGTGATGGGAGACAGTGACAGACCATCAGGCATTAGATTCTCATAAGGAGCATGCAACCTAGATCCCTTGCACACACAGTTTGCAATAAGGTTCATGCTCGTATGAGAATCTAATGCTGCCCCTGATCTGACAGGAGGTGGAGCTCAGGCAGTAGTGCAAGCGATGGGGAGTGGCTGTAAATACAGATGAAGCTTGGCTTGCTTGCTTGCCTGCTACTTACCTCCTGCTGGGCAGCCAGGTTCCTAACAGGTCATAGGCTAGTACTGGCCTGTGGCCCGTGGTTGAGGACCCCCGCTCTTACTGAATGAAAGTTTTGGTCCCTGAAGCGAATGCCTCTCTGGCTTCATCAGCTGGCCCCAGTCTGGGTTCTGCCAGTGATCAGGTCCTACTGGATATCTCTGATTTCATTCTAGCCATCCTGGGCCTTTCTCTACGTTGGACTTCCTGAACATTCCACTGACATTTGCAGAATGAACATGGCCTATAAAGTACCTGAAGGCTTTTCAAACATTTATGGCCTTTTTACATGGGTACCTTCAGCATGCGCTCATGAAGGTGGCCCTAAAAAAGATGAACATTATCTTCCAGATGAAAGGAGGAGTAATCTCAAGAACCATCTATGGGGTACAGGTTATAATACACATAGGAGCACGGGCATGGCAGGGGGACAAGTAGGAATCAAATATCCAGCCCTTGCTTCACTTTCCACATGGCATGAGCCTCAGTCCACTCACAAGAATATGAGGTATATATCTAGATAGATAGATAGATAGATGTAAATATATTTATATGTGTGTGTGTATATATATATAAATATATATATATACATTTTTTTTTTTTTGAGACAGAGTCGCACTTTGTTGCCCAGGCTGGAATACAGTAGTACCATCTTGGTTCACTGCAACCTCCACCTCCCAGGTTCAGGTAATTCTCCTGCCTCAGCCCCCCAAGTAGCTGGGACTACCAGCGCATGCTGCCATGCCTGGCTAATTTTTTATATTTTAGTAGAGACAGGGTTTCACTGTGTTGCCAAGGCTGGTCTTGAACTCCTGAGCTCAGGCAATCCGTCTGCCTTGGCCTCCCAAAGTGCTGGGATTACAGGTGTGAAGAATAGGATATATTTTTAAATTTGACAACGGAAACTTCTATCACCCAAATTTGTACATCTGTAAAGCTGCCTCTGACCAGAGGGAGCATGCCTTTTAAATTCTACACAAACATACCACAGGGGCTAGCAGATGCCCTGAGGATAGAACTCTTTGGGTTCACCATAAAAATGGAAAAATATTTGTCAAAGTAAAGTCAACTGCAAATGTCAGCTGTAATATGGATGCAACTGGCATCGTGCAGAGAGGTCTGCCTGGGGCTGATGTGGGAAGAGTGAAGGTCCACCCAGGTCCTAGAGGCGAAACTCCTTGAGGTGTTTGGGTAAGTCATCACCTGGAATCCAGTTCATGCCTCAAACACTGGGGAGAGAGCTGAAGCAGGAACGTTGCTCAGACTTGCCAGACAAGGAGGAGGAACAAATTTAGAGACTTGCATTTGAGACAGGGTAAAGATGGCTGAGCCATTATTTCTTGGGCAACGGCTCTTTGCTCCTCTGAAACCTGGAACAGAAAGTGGGCAGGACATGGGCAGGAACCCTCCAGTTCGCCCACGCTCCTTGGTCTGTTTCTTTGGTCCACACCCTTGTCCCACTTCTCTGTGATGCCTGGCCACAATGAGTAGAGTTTATTTTTTTTCCTCTATAATTCGTTATGCATTTTAATACAAATATGATTAATAAAACTGCCAACAAACTCAGAATGTGCTCTAGAATCCAGTTACAATTGTCCCTTGGTACCCGCAGATATTGGTTTCAACATCCCTCCCCCACAAACACCAAAATCCTGGAATGCTCAAGTCTCTTATATAAAGCGGCAAAGTATCGGCATGCAACCTATGAACACCCTTCCAACATCCACTGTATACTTGAAATCATCTCTAGATTACTTATATATGATAGCTAATACAATGTAAATGCTATGTAAATAGTTATTACATTGCTTTTTTTATGGTTATGGTGTTATTTTTACTGTTTTTTTTTCCCTGAATATTTTCCATCACTGGTTGGAACCTGTGGATATCTGTGACCACCTGTACTCAGTGAAACCCTAAAGTAGACCCCATCCCCAAATCAACTGCAGGCAGTCAGCTCAGCCAATCCATGAAAATGCCACCTGTGCCCCTAAAACAACCTCATAATTACTTCCTCCGGATTTCACCTCAAATGGACAAAAATAATAAAATACCAAGGAGAAATTGACTAGGACCAGGTCTCTTCAGGAAACCATGAGCCCAGAAAAAACTACATAATGACTTTTTTCTAGGTGAGACGTTTTCTTCCTTCTGGGTAGGACTTTCTGCATTAATAAGAACATTTTCTCTCTTGCCAAGAATCTACAGGTAGGATCACATCGATACTCTGGTCCTCCAGACAAAATGTACTTCTGAAGGTTAAAAAGCCGTTCCAAAATAAAACAAAAACCCAAGGAGAAAGAAATTATGAGTGAGAATAACTGGGTGCAGAAAAGGTGTCTGAACCAGAGTTAACATTTGTGCAGGGAGAGTGTGTATAGAAGCTGGCTAGATCTTTTATAATTAAAATTCAGTCAGAAAACAGCTGTAACCAGCTCAAGAGAACCTATCCAGTTTGTTCACTTTATTACAAAAATCATTTCCCTATTAAACTTGGGTCTTTGTTTCCTTCAACGTATACTGAAAAGGTTTTAAAAAGAAACATACACATTATATTGTATTATACTATAGTATTTTGTATTATATTAACACTATTTTATATCTATCATTTATTACTAATCATACTTATGTAATCAAAGTAATTATATTCACTATACTTATATTTACTATATTATTATATTACGCTATGTTATGTTATGTAATATATTTAAACACTTTGCCATTTTTTTCTGCACTGAGTTGACCAGAGAAGTTCTCAGCCTCAGACACGGCTGGTAGTTAGGAAATGTTAGTTTCCTCCCTCCTTCCACTAAAAAATGCTCAATTCTTTTCACAGTAGCCTGTACTCTTTAATCTTAATCTAATTTTTATTTCCTGGAGTCCATCATTTTTTGAGAGTTCACTAAGTAGCTGGCACTAGAGTAAATATATTTTAATGAGTGGTCTCATTTTACTT
Source organism: Homo sapiens (assembly GCF_000001405.40). Classification (NCBI taxonomy): domain Eukaryota; kingdom Metazoa; phylum Chordata; class Mammalia; order Primates; family Hominidae; genus Homo; species Homo sapiens. The sequence goes on along the minus strand of NC_000016.10, from coordinate 83,284,403 downwards.
TTACCTGTGAAACAGGTGGTAGTATCGTATCTCATTTTTCAGATAAGGATTTTATGGTCTAACAGGCAATTTGCTCAAAGTCAAACAGCTAGTAAGTCCAGCGCCATCTAGTACCAACTCTCTGCTTTGACTACTCAGATTCTTCTCCTGAGTGGTCTCTTTGCTCAGGATTGAAAATCCAAGTGAGAAGCCGAAAGAGAGGGTGTTTACCAAAGTCCAACACTTCCCCAGAACTAACAACTTCATGAATGACAAGAAATACATGCTCTTTGAAAACTGCGGGATGAGTTAGTTAATAAGGCTGTCTGTGAAGCTAACTACTGTGTTTGATAACACACAGACTACAGGGGCTTGGTTTCAGATCTCACAGAGAATGGTTTGGCTCTAGGCTTGTGTAAAGATACATGTCTATCCTCATTCACTTACATTCATTTATTTATTCAACAGTTTTTGAGAACTTGCTATGTGTCAAATGCTGAAACACACATTACAAAAATGTAATGATTAATAAAATTATATCCCCAGCCTCCAGGAGCTTACAACTCTGGATATAAAGATATTATTACAAGTAGATATTATTACCAAAAAAGGCTATTCTAAGACCAAAGGATGTAAATGCTGCAGGGGTTCCAAAAAGAAGGTTATTTCCAGCTCAAACTAAGACCTTAATACACAGAGAGGCCGATGATGGCAAGGTGGAAGGGAAAAGGCACCTCAGGGATAAAGGCACCACTGTAAGAACACTAAAGGACATTTCAGGTAGATATTGCCCCTGGCTGCACATTACAATCTCCTGTGGAAATTTTTGTTTCTGAGATGGAGTCTAGCCCTGTTGCCCAGGCTGGAGTGCAGTAGCGCAATCTTGGCTCACTGCAAACTCCACCTCCTGGGTTCAAGTGATTCTCATGTCTCAGCCTCCCAAGTAGTTGGGATTACAGGTGTGCACCACCACGCCCAGCTAATTTTTGTAATTTTAGTAGAGACAGGGTTTCACCATGTTGGCCAGGCTGGTCTTGAATTCCCAGCCTCAAGCAATCCACCCTCCTCGGCCACCCAAATTGCTAGGATTACAGGAGTAAGCCACCGTACCCAGCCATTCTGTGGAACTTTTTAAAATACATTGGGTCCCACACTCGGAGTTCATATTCAACTTGTCTGGGGTAGGGCCTGGCCATTGGTATCATCCAGTAACTCCACAGGTAATTCAAACATTCAGCCAGGATGGAGGAGCCCTAATTAAAGATTTAAAAATCTGTGAAGATCTAAGGGATTGTGCTGAATGAGTCAGGGTTTCTAGAGAAGAGGACCAACATTTATTGAGCAGCCCCATCATTAAGTGGGAACTTTTCTTCTTCTAAATACAGAATCTCACCTAATTTTCTCAGCAATGCTATAAATAAGGAGTGAAGAACAGAATTAATTCGGAGTTTACCATGGCCTAAAACTGTACTAGAGCATTATACAAATTATCTCATTTAATTAAATATCAAATACCATGATGAGGTTACATGTTAGCCTATCAACCATGGAGACCCACAGAGGTCAATTGCTCAATAGAATAACAGGATGAAAATATGCTTTGATGAAAATCCACCCATCAGCAGCCCTGAATGAGGAAGCAATGCAATGTGTTCAGAAGCCCCTAAGGTGTCCAGGTTTGCTGGAAAGGAAAACTTATTCTCTCAAGGCACTGGAAGAACTTATTTCTTTGCCAACTTTCTTCCATTTCCTATTTGTCTCTTTCTTGTTGATTTACAGGAGCTCTTTTTACACTAAGGACAGTAACTGTCTGGCATGTATGTTGCAAAATTTTTCTGTCCTGTTGTCACTTGTTTTATAACCTTATGATCTCCCAAATAGACAGGGGTTTTAGTGACTTATATTTTTATTTACTATTTTTTGGGTTGGAGCCTTGCTTACTAGCCCTCTCTGGTCCAACGTTACATTTTTAGCTTCTCCTATTCACAGATAAGTCATTGTCATTTTATTGTGCTTTGCTTTTATTCTACTTTTCAGCTATTGTGTTTTTTACAAATCGAATGTTTGTGGCAACCCTGCGTTGAGCATGTCTATCAACATATTCTCACTTTGTGTTTTGGTATCATATTTTGGTAATTCTGGCAATATTTTAACATTTTTCATTATTATTATGTCTCTTATGATGATCTGAGATCAGTGATCTTTGATGTTACTATTGTATCTGTTTTGGGGTACCATGAGCCATGTCCGCAGAAGACAAAAGATGGCAAATGTAATTGATAAATGTGGTGTATGCTCTGACTGCTGCAATGAGCAGCCATTCCCCCATCTCTCTCCCTCTCCTTGGGACTCCCTATTCCCTGAGATATCACAATATTTAAATTAAGCCAATGAATACCACTACAATGGTCTCTAAGTGTTCAAGTGAAAAGAAGAGACACATGGCCCTCACTTTAAATCAAAAGCTACACTGATTAAGCTTTCCCTAAAATTTTATTTATTTATTTATTTAGAAACGGAGTCCCGCTCTGTTGCCGAGGTTAGAATGCAGTGGTGCAATCTCGGCTCACTGCAACCTTTGCTTCTTGGGTTCAAGCAATTCTCCTGCCTCAGCCTCCCGAGTAGCTGGGATTACAGGTGCGCGCCACCACGCTTGGCTACGTTTTTTTTTTTTTTTAAGCACAGATGAGGTTTTACTATGTTGGCCAGGCTGGTCTCGAACTCCTGACCTCAAGTGATCTGCACACCTCAGCCTACCAAAATGCGGGGATTACAGGTGTCAGCCACCACTCAGCCTAGACTGATTAAGCTTAATGACGAAGACATGTTGAAAGCTGAGATAGCTGAAAGCCAGACCTCTTGTACCAAACAGCTGAATTATGAATGCAAAGGAAAAGTTCTTGAAGGAAACAAAACTTGCTACCCCAGTAAACACATGAATGGCAAGGAAGTGAAACTGCCTTATTGCTGATGTGGAGAAAGTTTGAGTGGTCTGGATAAAAGATCAAACTACTCACAACATTCACTTAAGGTAAAGCCTAATCCAGACCAAAGTGCTCTCTCTTCAGTGCTATAAAGGCTGAGAGAGGTGAATAATCTGCAGAAGAAAAGTCTGAACCTAACGGAGGTTGGTTCATGAGGTTTAAGGAAAGAAGCCATCCCTATAACATAGTGCTAGGCGAAGCAGCGAGTGCTGATATAGAAGCTGCAGCAAGATATCCAGAAGATCCAGCTAAGATCGTTGATGAAAGTGGCTACACTAAACAATACATTTTCAGTGTAGATGAGACAGCCTTCAATTGAAAGAAGATGCCGTGTAGGACTTTCATAGCTAGAGATTAAGTCAATGCCTGGCTTCAAAACTTCAAAGAATAGGCAGACTCTCTGGTTAGGGGGTAAAATTGAAGCAAATGCTTATTGGCCATTCTGAAATTTAATCTTGCTCTATAAATGGAATAACAAAATCTGGATGACAGCACATCTGTTAACACCATAGTTTACTGAATATTTTGAGCCCACTGCTCAGACTTACTGCTCAGGAAAAAAAGGTTCATTTCAAAATGTTACTGCTCATTGACAATATACCTAGTGACCCAAGAGCTCTGACGGAAATGTCCAAGAGTAATGTTTTTGTGTATGGTAACACAACATCTATTTTTCAACTCATGGATCAAGGAGTAATTTTGACTTTCAAAAGACATTTTGTAAAACTATAGCTTATGAGATACGAAATACATTTTGTAGGCCATAGCTGGCATATGATTTCTTTGATGGATCTGGGCAAAGTAAACTGAAAACCTTCGGGAAAGAATTTACTGTTCTAGATGCCATTAAGAACATTCTTGGTTCATGATAAGAGGCCAAAATATCAACATTAACAGGGGTTTGGAAGAAGTTGATTCCAACCCTCATGGATGACTTTGAGGGGCTCAAGACTTCAGTGGAAGAAGGAACTGCAGATGTGATGGAAACAGTACGAGAGCTAGAATTAGAAGTGTGGCTTGAAGATGTGAATGAATTCCTGCCATCTCATCATAAAACATGAATGGATGAAGAATTGCTCTTATGGATAAGCAAAGAAAGACATTTCTCAAGATGGAACCTACTCCTGGTAAAGCTACTATGAACATAGTTGAAATGACAAAAAAGAGTTTAGAATATTACAGAAATTTAGTCGACAAAGCAGCAGCAGGGTTTGAGAAGACTGACTCCAATTTTGGAACAAGTTCTGCAGTAGGTAAAATGCTATCAAATAGCATCACATGCTACAGAGAAAGATTTTGGAAAAGAAATCCTTGTTTGATGTTACAAACTTCATTGTTGTCTTATTTTAAAAAACTGCTGCAGTACCCTGCATACTATCCTTCAGCAACCACCACCCTGATCAATCTGCAGCCATCAACATTGCGGCAAGACTCTTTACCAGCAAAAAGATTCAGATGTTTGTTAGCACTTTCTTAGTTATAACGTATTTTTAATTAAGGTATGTACATTTTTCAGACATGAAACTATTGCATACTTACTACATTGCAGTATAGTATAAATGGAGCTTCTATATGTACTGGAAAAGCAAAAAAAAAAATCATGTGACTCACTTCATTGTGATATTCCTTTGATTGTGGTGGTCTGAAATCAACCTTTGATATCTCTGAGCTACGCCTATATTATCTTTAGGTATGTTTTATGGTTTGCTTCTCACTTTTAGATCTCATATCCATCTAGAAATGTGTGTCACTACATGTTGTGAGAGAGGAAGCTAATGATGTTTTTCCCAGATGTATAGCCGATTGTCTCAACTCCACATATTTAATAGCCGGTTCCTTCCAGGATAATTTCGACTCATTAATAAAGATGGGTAAATTGCCCCTGACCTTTAAGGTGAGATTTAATACCCATTTTTAGCAGCGGTTTCCAGAATGCGGCAGATATGTGCAGCGTTTGAATGATTTTAATGTTCCCCCTAACCTCTGACACTTGCATTGCAGCTATTGTGCTATGGGTTTTGTCTAACAGAATTGTAAAACAATTACTTTGTGCGTGCATCCAGGAGCCCCTCGGCATTGTGACTATTTTAAATTCAAACTCAAGAGTGGAATGGAGGCATGTAAATCTCTACTAACAAATCCTCGGGGATGAAATATTTACTTTCTCTTCTACTTCAGATCTATAAAAACAGCTGACTTACAATGATTTAATCAGAATAAATCTAGCCCTGATATTAGACTCGTTTGTATCTATGACATGGAATTCTTACCTTTGGCCTCCCAGAGAACTTAAAACTATTTCCTGTGACTAAATATTCAATTCAAATTCACAAAATGAAAAAAAAAAAAGTTAAAATGAGACGAACCTGCACAAAAGTAGTTGATTCATTCTTCCCAAAAGAGCACCCATTACAATAAAAAATAAATAAATAAAAAGGAAAGATGTCACTACTACAGTATAAGGCAGGCAGAGTGCTGTGTGCTTTCTGTATTTCTATCCAGGCTTAGCATGCTGGCTATTGTTATTCTGATAAGACTGATTATGAGACTAAGGTTCAACATCCTGCCCTTTCCCCTCTCCAGGCAAGGTAGTCATGTTCTAAATTCACTGCTTCTCTTTTCAGCCTCATTTCTTGCTATGAATACAGGTTCTTCACAGAATGCGAATCAGATGCTCTCAAGGAGTTTGCTCCAGCCTCTAACATATTTGGCCACACTTGTATCCTTCTCTTCTCTGCTGACATATGAAAGACTACCCTGGAATAATGCCACCTCAACCGGCATTGCCAGGATCCAGAGTAAACTCTGGATGGTTGAAAGAGAGAACGGATTTAGACAGTTTTTCTTGCTGTCTCCTCCAGAGCCTGTTGTATGTTTCCCTTCCCATTACCGTGTTTAGTGATGCCGGGTTGATAGCTTCAACTCAAAACCAACTATAACGGGATTCTTCACACCATGGAAACTGGCAAGTCAGGGCTTGGCTTTGCACGTCCTCCAAGCCATTCATTAAACCTTTACCACAATACTGCTACCTTTCCCCATTTCAGAGGGTTGTCTTGGAGCTTAGAAGGTGCCTTTTGCTTAGAAGGTATCTTTGGTTTAAGGAGCCCATGGTGAATGGGGAAGAGCTAAAAGAAAATCAGATGACTTTAAGCTGGATCTGGTTTAAGCTTTGGGAATGAGAGATAAAGGAGTCATATCTATGATCACAAAATTCCTGGGGTTGTACTTTTTAAAAATCCAGATGGATTTGGTTCCCGCTACTTAAAATTGAATAACTGCAAATTTGCCAGAAATCTGGGAAATATAATGCATTTTTTTTTAAAGGAAAGCAATACTTAGCGCCTGATTCCTGCTCATGCTGCAATACTGCAAAAACACCTTGGCCTTCTTGGAGAATAGGAACTATGAGACCTTTTATCAATAGAAATCATAATTTTAACAAATTAAGTTGACATGGGATCAACTACTTGATATAGCATTTCACTGAATAAAGATAGGAAATCTACTTTTTAAATACATTTATTTAGTTTGTTGCCCAATAGCAAACAAACTTCTCAAATTTTTTGGTTTCAGGATCCTTTATATTTCTACAAAACCTAAAAAGATTACCAAATTACTAAAAAAATAAACTCATAGCTTTTTAACATAAAAATATTTTTAAATTAAAAACTGTATTTTCCTAAACAAAAGAAAATATAGTAGAAAGAGTGGCTATTGCAGGGCTTTCACGTTTGACTTAAGGGAATCCGCTGGATTCTCTTATCTGCTACTTTGAGTCTGGTTCAATGATGTACACCAGGAAGCCTCTGGAAGCTCCATGATATATACATGAGATATGAGAGGGATGAACGCACAAAACACCTCAGTATTTTTATGAAAATAGTCTTGACCTCATGAAGCCCCTGAAAAAGTCTCAGGGATTCTCACTGATCACACTTTAAGAAATCTTTGCCCTTTTAAAGCCTTTGTAGGATTCCCAAACTGAATTGTACCTAGGAATCTGTTAAAATGCAGATTCCCTGGGCCCCACAGAAAGAGATCCTTATTCAGTAGGTTCGGAGTATGGTTTAGGCATCTGAGTTTTTAATAAACTCCCCATACTTTGGAGAACATAGTTATCTGACAACCTTCAGACAGGCTTTGTTCAGCCTGCCCTGAGAAGGTGAAAACATATTTGTAGATGACTTTCCATCCAAATGCAAGGTCATAACCATGAGTGAGAAAACCTCTCATTGATTATCCTGCCTTTCTTCTTTTAAGAAGACAGGTACCAATGAATCCACCTATCCAGTATTTATTGAGTGCCCATTTTGTAACAGGTATTGTGGTAGTTCTGTGATATGATTTGGCTGTGTTGCCACCCAAATTTCATCTTGAACTCCCACATGTTGTTGGAGAGACCTGGTGGGGGGTAATTGTATTATGGGGGCAGGTCTTTCCCATGTTGTTCTCATGATTGTAAGTCTCATGAGATCTAATGGTTTTATAAGGGGGAGTTCCCCTGCACATACTCTCTCTGCCTGCCAACATCTACGTAAGATGTGACATGCTTTTGTTTGTTGTTTTTTGAGATGGAGTCTCACTCTGTCACCCAGGCTGGAGTGCAGTGGCCTGATCTTGGCTCCTGTAGGCTCCACCTCCCATGTTCATGCCATTCTTCTGCCTCAGCCTCCCGAGTAGCTGTGGCTACAGGTGCCTGTCACCATGCCAAGGTAATTTTTTTGTATTTTTAGTAGAGACAGGGTTTCACCGTGTTAGCCAGGATGGTCTCGATCTCCCGAACTCGTGATCCTCCCGACTTGGCCTCCCAAAGTGCTGGGATTACAGGCGCGAGCCACCACGCCTGGCCCAAGATGTGACATGCTCTTGTCTTCTGCCATGACTGTGAGGCCTCCCCAGCCATGGGAAACTGTAAGACTATTAAACCTCTTTCTTTTGTAAATTGCCCAGTCCTGGGTATATTTTAATTAGCAGGGTGAAAATGAACTCATACATTCTGCAACTCAAAGGTGTTTGAGAGGCAATCACTGGCTCAAGGTGCTTGCAAGTCATATGGGAAACACCAAAGACACAGGTGAAGAGAAGACAGAGAACAAGAGGAAACCCTCAACTTATTCAATGAGGGGCCATCTTGTAGAATGATAGGGCTGCTCTTGGGGGGCTCCTAATGGATAGGGCTAGGACCAAAGGGAAAAACAGATATCAGCTTGATAAATGAAATATATCAAGCAGAAGTTCTCAGAGTTGGAGTGATTGGGATGGATTGGGCTGTCCCTTGAAAGGATTCGGACAACAGCCTGAGAGTGTGGGGCGAGTTTGAACTGAGTGCTCCTCATAAGCCTGTTCAATCCTGATGTGCTATGATCCTGTAAATCAGTCTTGGCCTAGGTGTTCAGGTTCTAATTAACTCCTTTCCTTGTACATTTTTTCCTTCTGTTATAATTGTTTAAATGACCATCATTAATCTGTAGTCTTCATTATAAGCCACCTCGATTTTTTCTATTATAGAACATAAAGCATAAAAACGAAAGTGCTTCATTAGTTTGTAAGCTCTTCAGGGCAGTTTTCATGGCTCATTTGTGACCCTTCCCTCACCCCTCTTTCCTTCCCTGCACCGCTACCCACTGTGCCCGGCATCCGGGGAACTTATTTGCTCTGAATGGAAGGTTTAATTCCCATAAAGTGGGCGACAGACACTATGGGTTCAGAAATGACGTATAACCAAGTCATTAATCCTGTAGTCACAAGTGACAAAGCAGGCCCCCCCTTATCTTCCAAGCCAGAGTCATAAGGCTCACTCCTGAGGTTTTACTAATGCCAGGAGGAAAATGGTGCCCCCTCCTTAAGCCCCTCCTATACACGCTTTCTGAGCTCCCCTGCATCTTCTCCATCTCTCTCAGTAATTCCAAGATCAAGGAAATAAAACACAGCTCCTCATCAGAGAAAAACTAAGAAGCCTGCATGAGCACTAATGTCAGTGCTGTCTTCTTTACTCTGAAAGGGGGCTCTGTGCTCACTGTCTGAATTCAATTAATCTGATCAGACAGGAAATTAGCAGCCAAAATTGCCTTTCTATTAGGTGGACATGACCCAACAGCCATTTGGACAGAAAGTATGATGGCTGACCTAATTTCTCAAGTGTCATCTAATCAAAAGGAAAAAAGAAAAATAGCAAAAAAGAATGTCAATATTATCTCAAGTTATGTGGCCCAGCATCTCTCCTTTCCCAGCTGCTTAAGGCCTTGAACATCATAAATGCTCTATGGGGCAAACTTGGCATTAATTCAAACATGTATTGGATGTCTAATGTGTACCAGGCACTGTTCTAGGAAATGGGAATATAGTAGGAGTGACCAACGATCCCTGCCCTCATGTATAATAGTGGGAAGTGACAGACAAGTTCTCTGGATAAAAATAAAGCATGTGTCTATAGGGAGTGCCGGGTCAGACAGGGCTGGAAGTATGGAATTTTAAATAAGAGGGGCAGAGGAGGGCTCACTGAGATGACACCATTTGAACACACCTAAATGGAATAAAGACTGGATTTTGTGTGCTAAGAAGGAAGTCCCCAAACTCTTATCCAAATCAAAATTCATCCTGGGAGCTTGCTTATACATTTTGCTTACAAATTATAGTTCACACCCATGGAGGTTCTTAGTAGTAGATCTGGCGTGGGGCCCAAGAATGTGCATATTTAATAAACACCCCCCCTGCCACCAGGTGTTTGAGAACCATTGCAGTAGAAGCTGAGGATCCTTTAAATGAATTTATAAAATCATTAGCTTATTATTTTCAACTCATTCAGCAAGTTTCACACATCAGGCTCTGTGCTGCATGTGGGGGTTTCTCTGGGGGGAAAGACAGAATCCCTTTCTTGAAGGAATACATTACTTAGAGAGCTCTAAAGACACTAATCAGATAACCTCACAAAGGTAAGTTCAAACTGTGGTAAGTGCTTTCAGGAGGCTGGAATAACTAACTGAAGCCTGTGGCAGAGGGTCTCTAGCAGGTGAGGGAGGCAAGGGATCACTCAGGGTAGGAGCCAAATAATGAGTGGCAGGAAGAACATTATAAACAGAGAGAAGAGCATGTACCAAGGGCCTGAGCTAACTGAGAGGTCTCTGATCCACAAACCCTTCCAGCAACCAGTGCTTTCTAGAACATTCTCTCCACCTCCAGCCTTGGCTGAAACCAGCCTTTCCCTAAGGCCACCTTCCTGCCAGCAATCCCACCCAGCAGAATGGTTGTCACTGAGGCTTTTAAGCAGGGTTGAGACTTCACTGGTCTTTCCTTTGAGGGACCTTGGTGTTGGGATGGAGGAGACGGCCTGGCCTGGGGGAAGGCGAGAGGGTGTAAGATTGGCTTGAAGAGGCTGTTGTCATAGTGCAGGCTGGAAGAGAGCTTAACCCCAGGTAAGTGGTGGAGAGGAAGATGGAAAGTGTAAGCAATGTGGTCAGAGGCAAAACCTGCACTGCCGCCTATGATAGACTAGTATGGGTGAATCATTAAGAGCTCTGAGGTCCTGCATGTGAGGCTAGAAACCAGGTTCAGTACCAACTGTTTGATCAAGGGTGGCCTTTTCACCCCTCTGAGCCTCAATTTTCTTACATGTTGCTTGTGGAGATAACTAAACTTACCTCGCTGCGTAGTTACGAAAATAAAAACACGATACCTATGTAGTATTGAAATGCCCCTCCCACGGAAACCACAAGAGATCAACAAACAGTAGTTAACTTGAAACCTATGTCATTAAAACCTGTCTTCACTTTTATGTACCCCTTTGTGGCTGCTTTTAAATGGGCCTCCCTGTTGGCTTCTTAAGAATTCATATTGTTTAGGATAATGGTCCACAGCTCCATCCATGTTGCCATGAAGGACATGATCTCGTTCTTTTTTGTGGCTTCATAGTATTCCATGGTGTGTATGTACCACATTTTCTTTATCCAGCTGCCACCTATGGGAACTTGCAGGAAGAAAAAAGCAAATGCCCTTGTTCTCACTTATAAGTGGGAGCTAATAGACACTACTATGTCTATGAGTACTCACTCATAGACACTAAGACGGGAACAAAAGACCCCAGGGCCTACTTGAGGGTGAAGGGTTGGGGGTGGGAGAGGATTGAAAAAAACTACCTATTGGGTATTATGCTTAGTACGTGGATGACAAAATCGTCTGTACACCAAACCTCTGTGACATGCAATTTATACACGTAACAAACCTGCACATGTATCCCCTGCACCTAAAAGTTTAAAAAAGAAAAAAAAATTGATATTATTTTAGAGCCATTTTGCTTGATTAAAGAAGTGATATGCACCAAAACTAGGGTGAAAGACTGCTCAATGGATAGCAGCTTTGTGGTGCTTCCCCCCACAACAAGTGCTGAAGTTACGAAACAAAAGCCTGTTGTGTAGGCACCAGCCACAGGCACCAGTCACACTGCAGATTGGGTTATCTGAGCAGATTGTGCTTACCGAGCTCACTGTACTATATTAACAATTAGAAATGGAAATGGAAAAATTATTTCCAGCAAACTCATCATTAGCTCTCAGAGTACAATCCACGTCTAAAATCCCCACAGGGCTGACTGATCTGCACAGAATAGTTGTTCTTGAAACTCCTAGGACCACTCAACAGACCACATTTCCCACGTTGACTCTGCCACAGCTCTGCCTTTCCTCCAGTTTTCAAGGAAAGCTACTGAAGTGTGTCCAGCCCAATCCCCATGAATTGGGAGTAGTTTTTCCACCTTATGAAATCTTCAGGGGCCACACAGACCTATTAACGCAAATGATTATGATTTGCTAGAGATGTCTCTCTGCAGCCTGGTGGGTCTGAAGCTCAGTAAGGAGTGGAAAAAATTTGATGAGCCCCGGACTGCAACGCTGGATATCTATAAATCTATAAGGACATCCATAAATGGAATATTTTTCAGACTTTAAAAATTCAAGTTTGAACAACATGGGAAAATACCCGTGTGGTATTAAGTAGTAAGTGCTAACTGCAGTACGATATGTGAGGCATGATCCAAATATTCACTCTGCCTGGAACGCTGTCCTCCTGGTTCACAGTCTCACATTACTCAGGGATGCTCAGCCTTTAACTCTTTATGTAGCAAGAACAAGCATTTCTTGTCCAGATCTAACCCCTGGCCTCTTAATTCTACACAGGTCTTATCATTCCCTGACACTGGATCATGCACTTGCACAATTTTTAATTTTATCATCCATCTCCCTCACTAGAATATAGTTTCTTTATGGCTGGAGACTTCATCTTATTTGCCATTGCATCCCCAGTGGTGAGGACTGAGAGAGGTACTCCATAAATTTTTGTGGAATAAACAAACAAGAAGCACCCAAACACTGGTTGAACAAATTAATTTTCTAAAAATCAATATGAAAATTAAGAGAGATAATGGATGAAAAACACTTTTTAAGCTGTAAGGCACAAGACAAATGTTTATTACCATTATGATATGTGAGATGTATTGGATCAAAAGTAATTTCCGGTGACAAGATCTTCATATGGATCACTTAGGTTTGAAGAGATTAATCCAGCTAAAGAGGCTTGAACATAAATTGTTTTCTCCCAAGTGCAGTGACACAGATGATTGGACAGCAGCATTTTTACTGGAATTGATTTGTAGTTAATATTTACTTGAAATTACAGAATTTTTCTCTAATTATCCTAAATAAATAATTCTAGTAAAAGACTTTGCAAAGAAAGATAAAAGAAAGGTTTCTATAAATAATGCTGGCTCACAAGTGCTACCTTCCCCTTGAGTATTGTGAATTATTTTCTTACTGTAATTGAGAAACCAGCGGTTGTATGATTTCCAGTATTTATGATCTTGGGTATGCATTATATTATTCTTTTCTGGACAGTTACTTCTAGGTACAGCGTTTTTTTTTGTTGTTGTTGTTTTGTTTTGTTTTTTTTTAAATAAAAGCCCATTATGCAGGATTGGGGCTCTAACAGCAACCATGAATTTTTTTTTTTTTTTTTTTTTTTTTTTTTTATGAACTCTGCCTCAATGTGCGGTAGAGCTGGTGTCTAGATCCAACACAAGAATGTTGCTGGTGGCCTTAAGCCAGGATAAGGAGAAGTCCAGCCTGGGATCTGCCCTGATCACTTATCCGTAAGACTCACCCACATTACTGGAAATACAAGAAGATGAGCAAGTTTTAGTTAACAGACTTCATCCAGAAAGGATACAATATGTGATTCAGTTGTACTGTTTTCTTTGAGGAGCTTCTGGGGATAGGGCATAGACCTCAAAGGTACATGTATCAGTGGTCAAAACCAATAAACTGCTTTCCAAGAAGAGGCAATTATAGGATTTTATATGCTGAGTGGGCAGGACTTTGGGCTCCCTAAAAGCAGGGAGCTGGTGGTGTTCATGGCTGTATACTTAGCACTTAGAGTGAGGGGGAGGAAGGGAATGAGAGAGGGAGAAAAGAAGGGAAGGAGAGAGGGAGGAAGAAAGGAGGGAGGGAGGAAGGGAAAGAGAAAGGAAAGGAGTGAGGGAGGAAGGAAAGGAGGGAGGAAGGGAGGGAGGGAGGGAAGGCAGGAAAGAAGAGAGTGAGGAAGGAGAAAAGAGAAGAGCAACACAGCATCTGCAAAAATGTCTTTGACACTAACAACAAAAAAAGCAAATCTGTAAATGTAAATGATGTGTAAATAATTCTTATCATGAGAAAACACGTCTGGGAGGATAGAAGATGACAGATAGGAACGTGTCTTGAAAAATATGAAGCCTCCTCTAAGCGTGAGGGAGAGTTATTGAGTGCTGAATCTGTGTCAATGAGGGCCTTCATGCACACATACAGGATCCGCATCCATTCGTGGACTTGCACCTACACGTGAGCTGTGCGTGCACTCAGGTGTTTGCATACTCATGTCTTTTCCATGGATACCGACATTGATAATTGATGCTCTCTGCTTCATCATTTAAATATTTTAAATTTCACAATGGGGGTGGCTTACTAAGGGAAGAAGCTTCCTATTGTGCAGCAATGGTTGTAATTCTCAGATGCCAAAAACAAACCGTATTTCCTCGTGGGCATATTATTGCAGTGAAACACAGCCACATCCCAGACTGTAAAACCTGAGTCTGTCGACTTCTCCATATAGAGCTGTTTCCTAAATATACATTTTATTCCACCCAAACACAGCATGACAGGGCCATTTTAGCACTAAGAGAGTCATCAAACACTCGTGTTATACTGTTTTAATTACAAGCTGCCCCCTTTTTGGGCTTATTTCAATAGATTATTGCCCTGCTGTGTAACAGTGTATAAAGAAACAGCAGTATCTCTTGCTGGTATATTGTGGAAATTAAAATTCTCAATACTACTTCAGTAATTAATTTCCAAAGAGAAACCAGTTACATTTAATAAAGAGATTAATGAAAATGTTGCAGAAGATCTATTTCTCAGGAGGTGTAGTACATTATTTTCTTACATTCAAAATAATAGAACCATTTCAAAAGACTCAGTAAATCTAGCCGCAATCAATTCTGTTTAACTTAGCATAGAAATGCATTTTAGGGGCTTTGAGGAAGCAGGACAGACAAATCAGATGAGATCATCCCCAAAGTGCAGAAGGGATTAACGGTTCTCCAGTGGACCAATCCTCCTCTTGATAGTGAGCTGTCCATATGTCTAGGATTACCTGGTGAGGAGCAAGGCTAGGAGAAGGGAAGGTGGCCAGAGGTCAAAGAGGATGATGTCATGGAGCACTCATTCAGGGTACTGGGCAGAGATGGTCAGTGTGTGAAATGATAGGACCTAATCCACAACTACCACCTCCCACTAAGGACAACATAACCCTCATTCTTTTGGGGTGGAGTGATCCCAGAATTCTTACTGGGGTGGGAATCTGTTCTCTGAGTTCCCATGGCACTCTGTACCTTCCAGGAACAACTCACACTATTCTAAGATCTGTTTAAGAATTTTATTCTGCCAACAGACTGCATCTTTGTATCTTCATATCCCTAGGTCCAAATAGATGATGTGGGATAGTTTAGATAATCAATATTTGAGACATGAAGGATGGTGTGTCTATTTATGATGCATACAGCAGTAATGCATTGCATAATATATTTAATGAAGTTTTGTAATACAAAGCTGTGGTGATAGGATCTGCCCCCCACTTTAGGTCTCTCCAGGAGTTCTGGGGAGGGGCCTCATAAGATACAACAGTCATCTGGTGAGTTCTCTGCAATTATGCAAACTATGTTAGGTTATGACACAACATTTGAATTTCTAAGAAGCCTCACATTTCCAAAAACTAGGAGAGAAAAGCAGCTGCTTTTGTAATAGAAAAGGAGGTTCTAGAGAGTTCTAGATTATGAAGTCATTGTTTTTCTGTTTAAAACACCAACAGTAAAAGCGTCTTTACAGATGTAGTTGATTGCTGAAGCTAAGGCTGAGCAAGTTGTCTGGTCAGAAGGAAATAAAAGCACCTTCATGCTTCTTTGACAAGCCTCCCATCTCTCTGCTCTGGTCTTTGGCTTGTGGCAGAGTTTACCTTTAACAACAGAGAGCTAAAGAATGCCAGGTAGAACCTAAGAACTGGGTAGGTGAGCAGAGCAGCTCTGGCCTCTCTGTGGTGTCCTCAGACACTCACTCCTTAGGAACCTGTGCCCAGCTTCAAGTGGTTATACCCAATAGTAGTTCATGGACTATATAAATCCTATTTCTCAACATCAATCACATTATGATCAATTCAAATTTTCACAACATTTTTGTGTAGGAAGAATGTCTGCACTAAAACTATTGAGACCAGGATGCGACACCCATTGAAATGTGCATTTCACTTCATGTCACTTGTGCTGTCAAAAAAACGTAGAAACGTAGACTTTGTCTACAACATGTAATTTATATATCCTTAAACATGACCCGGGATGAACTTCTGTAACTCATATGACATCAAATAATTCACAGATTGGAAAGAAGTACCTATCCAATTGTGTATGCTGACTGCTGGTTTGGAAAAAATGTGGTAACTGTAGTAACAACTGTGGCAACTGCCCTGAAATGCTTGAGCCAACTGGCAGCAGCATTTGTGCGAAAAGAACTAAGGATGTGCCAGATCCCTCAGGCTACACACAGCTCACCAGCAGCGTAACTGTCCAGTTGATCTTCTGTTCATACTTCCATGGAAGTTCCTCTCCTACATATTGTGAAGGTTGTATACAACATGAGTATAGGTATATATACACCACTGTTCTAAAGACAAACTGCAGTACAGTTAATGTCTGCACTTATAATTATGTCAATTACTATGATCAGGGGTTTACTCTGGTCCTACCACTGAGTTAATATCCATGTGTCAGTGGTGCACATAGGGGCAGGTGTATCTATATACACCTGTGTGTGTCAGTGTCCACCATTTCCCATACAGTCATGTGGCCAAAGAAGGTATCCTCCTCTAAACTTCTCTAAATGAGTAAAGCTTGATTAATTTGCCATTCATGGTCATCTCATTTCCCTCACCTGTGACTGAGAGACACTTCACTTGGTCTGGCCAATGAGGTATGAGAGCACATGTGTGGGGCATGGGAACTTCTGGGAAAGTGGTGATAAAAGATGTCTTAGTCCATTTTATGCTATGACAACATAATATCTTGTTAAATAAAATGACTGGGTCATTTCTAATGAAAAAAAATTATTTGGCTCATGGTCCTGGAGGGTGGGAAGTCCAAGATTGAGGGGCCACAACAGGCGAGGCCTCCTTGCTCCATCGTAATGTTGTGAAAGGCATCATATGATGAGTGAGCTTGCAAGGGGAAGGGGGCCGAACTCATCCTTTTACCGGGAGCCCACTCCCGCGGTAACAAACACTCTCCTGAGATAACAGCATTCATCTATTCATGAGGGTGGAGCCCCCATGACCTAATCACCTTTTAGAGGTCTTACCTCTTAATATCATCACAGTGGCAATTAAATTTCAACGTGAGTTTTGGAGAGGGCATTTAAATCATCGCACACACAGAAAGGGAGAGCTGCTCTCTCTTTCTCCTATAAGCCGATGTGCCTGCCTCTGACACTGGTAGCTGTACAGCTATTCTGCATACATGGAGTGAATTAGCCTGAGGATAATCCAGCCGGGCTCTGAATGATAAAGCAGGAAGAGGGAGAGAACCCAATCCCTGATGCTGCGGAGGTGGGGAATTAACCATCCCTGGAGCTTCCCTGCACCTTCAGCCTTTGTGTTTTGTGAAATGATAAATTTTCCTCTTTGTTTACAACAGTTGGGTTGGGGTTTTCTGGTACTTGCTTCTGAAGGCATTCTGTTTTAGCAAAGAATGAGGCATGCATGTCTCTGCTGCACTTCAGGATTTCACCAGCTCCTCCCTAACAAATTCTTAACACTGAGAAAAAAAAGCAAGGCTGAGAATACTGGCAGATGACGATGTTTAAGTAGATGATGAGATCTGGGGCAACAACAGTCATAACTCCTGTCATTTGCAATCAGAACATGAGTAGAAAAAAAGAAAATAGGCTGAGGGCTCAGCTGAGAGGTAGAGGTAACTGTGGGTCATTGATAGTTAGGACAAGACATCCCGACTTGAGACCAGGAATGGTGAGTGAAGAGTGTGGACCTCACCAAGAAGCCCTGAGAGGTGGGGAAAAGAGAGGATTCCAGAAGAAAAGTGTACTTCATAAGCCTCCATGAATGAGGTAAAAGACAGCCACAGGTTGTGATGTTTGTTGTGCTGTGAACCTTAACATCCATATCGGAAATATTGGCTTAATGTTTGTCCTTACTTAAACTTCTTTGCCTTAAGAGTTAGTAAAGGGCACAGTCTACCTTTTCCATTTTTTAGGTATTCCCTGGAGTGTGAAGAGGGGAGATGATGCCAGCAGAAGACTTTATCTGTGTTAGTTACAGTGGGAGTGGGTTCCTGATAAGACTTTCTGAGGAATACAACAATGAACACACTGACTTGGACACAGATGTTATAATTAAAATAAGTAACTGCCATTAAGTGATAAATTCAATGTTAACAATGGCTACAATTTCAATTAACATTTCCCCCTTCTTAGGGTAGAATTCATAAAAATTAAAGTGGACCATATATCCATGGAAGGAGCTATGGTCTTGGCCTCATGTCAGTGCTTAAATCCAGTGAAACCTTTGGTCTTGGGTAGTAATGGTATTGATTTCCTGCACAAATGGTAAGGCAAATATGAGTATGTGTGTGAGAGTGACTTCTGTATGTAATCCCAGAACTTTGGGAGGCTGAGGTGGGTTGATCACTTGAGGTCAGGAGTTTGAGACCAGCCTGGCCAATGTGGTAAAAACCCCGTCTCTACTAAAAACACAAAAATTAGCCGGACGTGGTGGCAGGCGCCTGTAATCTCAGGTACTAGGGATGCTGAGGCAGGAGAATCGCTTGAAGCTGGGAGGCAGAGGGTGCAGTGAGCCAAGATTGCACCACTGCACTCTAGCCTGGGCGACAGAGCGAGAATCCATCTAAAAAACAGAAATAAACAAAAAACCGAAAATAACTACAGATACTGATGGTGGAGTCCCAACCCCATCACCCATTTTGAGGCTCATCAGTTTTCATGCACGTCCATGCAAAACTCCTAAAGAGCCTTTAGTGCTTCACTCAGAGGACAACGGCAGCAAAGATTCACAAAGAATGTGAACAACCCTTCTAACATGACACAGACCAAAAAAAAAAAAAAAAAAAAAAAAAAGCAGAAATTTAGAAGCAACAGAAAACAGGTGAATCTTTAAAACCCAAACACCTGTAAATGATATTCTTGAAGAGCTAAGAGGGGATACTGTATTCACAAAACAAAGATTACTATAAAAATGAACATTGAGAGAACAAAAAAAACCATTAAAATTGAAATTATGATGGCAAAGATTAAACAATAATACAACAACAGAGTGGTCATAAGATAAAGTTGAAGAAATGTACGAAGTATTTTTAAGAGAAGACAGTTATGTAAAAGGGAGCTGAAAGAAAATTAGATAATGAATCTTCCAAGTTCATCATCTATTGAAAAATATATTCAACTTAGAGTTCTATATCCAGCCAAATTTGCAAGTCTAAAAGTAGAAAAAGGATTTTCAGGCATGCGAAATACACACATAATCCAGAGGTTAACCAGGAAGGAAAAAGAGAAAGGATTTGGGAAAGAGGAGACTCAGTACAGGACAAAGGCAAACAGAGTTCCCAGTTTGATGGCCAGTCAGGGTGATGGCTGAGAAGCAGGCTTAGAGGAAGAAACTAGAGCAGAAATACAGAGAATTCCAAGAAAAACAAATTCCAAGAAAATAAGAACAAACAAACAGACGACTTGAGACATTTAAAGACATTGACAAGTATCTCACAGCTCTGTTGGAATGTTTGGCATAGGATTTAATAAAAAATACATAGAACACTAAACAAATGAAGAAATAATTATTAACACCTGGAAAAACAAAATGATAGGTGACAAAGAAAATTCTATCAGAGTCGTATTTCATATAATTATTTACAGCAGATTCTTATAGCCACAATAACATAAACCTAGAATATAAAGGGATAATAAATGTGTGCATAGTTTGACAGCCATATCTTTAGTTTTAATAGGAGAAATAAATGTTTATAAGTGAAAATTATAATAGTATGATGATAGTATAATTATGTATTGAGAAATGCATACACAAATGCCAGAAAAAAAAAACCAGCCAAAGGAGTTTAGAGGGGTGTTGTCTCTAGGAATTAGAAATTAGGGGTAGGCAGAGGGGTAAGCTGCAAGCCATAGATATGATTTGATATTAATTACATATATTTCTTCAATCAAAAAGAACCTTAAAAGTTATTGCATTAGTCTTAAAGGGCATATATATATATACACATATGTATACACACACACACACATACATATATATACACACACATATACATATATACATATACACACACATACATGTGTATAATATGTACACACACAAATACTATATATACATATATACGATGTATATATCCACATATAAGTATATATATTTCTACATATGTTATTGATGAAGTTAAATATAAAGTTCTATTTCAAAAAGCGATTGGCCAAACCAAGTTGGAAAAGTCAGAGATTGATAAAAATTCATAAACAAAGATTTGAGAGTTCAAGCTGACCATAAACTCAGTGTGATCCAACAGAAAGTTTGACTGCTAAAATGACAACCTGTCTTAAATTCCCATTGAACAGGTGGTATTTATCAGGAGAGCATCATACTGGATGAAAAAAAATGTATTCAGGGTTGGGCAGCAGCAATTTATACCCTATGTCTGCTATCTATAACTCTGATTCACTTCAGTTGCCTTGAAAATGGGGTGTCCAACTTATGATAATGGCAGTATGTTAAGAAAATCACATGCTAATAAAAAATGGAAATTGGATGTAGAGCCACAATAGGTTGGGTACTTCTATCTTGGAATCTATCTAGGAACTTTAGGATCTTGACATAAGAACAAAAATTTTCTGAAGTGTTAAATTGAGTCTCTGCATGAAAGACTGTCTGAGGTGTTTCTGCTATCATTATTTTTTTTAAAAAATTCAGCCTCAGTGGCAAGTAGTGGGATGTTCACAGTGTCTCTAGCCGTCAACCTGTAGTACACATGGGCAGGAAAATGGTGAAGCCAACTTAAGTGGCTGGGATTGAGGCCATGGCAGCAGCCTGCTGTCTCTGCCACTCTCCCTGCCTGCACCGTTCATCATGGGGTTTGAGAACCTGGATGACAGAAAAGAGGAAGCCAGTCAAAAGCCTCATAAGCAGAAGAAGCAGTGGTAATGGTTTTAATCCTCTACATTGGCCAAACCACATCACGAAGATCATATTTTAAGTTTTGTTTTGTTTTGTTTTTTTTATATCAAACCATTCAGTGGGCGGTGGCTAGGGAGGAGTCAAGACCATTCCTATGAACCAAGTCAAGGAATCTGTCCTTTAATGATCTGAGTTCCATTCTGTGATGTGGTTGGTAGATCTCTGCATATCTCAAGAGGAAGAACCAGGAGGAAATGGATATTTCCTAAAAGGCAGATTTGAGTTCAGTACAACACTATCAGCCTGATTTTCTGAAAACAAAACATCGCTGTTATATATTCACTGATCCTGGAAATGTTCCGAATGTTTGAGGAGCAAGCAGACAACCAACTAAGCAAAAGGATGTTTTGTACAAAAAGGTGGAATTGTTGCTTTCACTAATTGTTTCCCATCTGAGAACTTATGAAAACACCTGTATCACTTGATTCCTAAAAATTACTGCTAGGTCTTGCGATGAGCTCGACTCCTGTTTTTCTGGCATAATCACACTCAGCCCATCCATCTCTCCCTCCTTGTTTATATCCATAGCTAATATGTATTCATTCAAATAACAAAATGTATTTGAACACCAGACGGTTTGCCAAGCTCTAAGAATATCGAGTTTCAAAGAATATATCCCATTTCCTATCAGTCATTTAGTCATTCTCAGGACAAACAACATCATATCAATTTAGCTGGTTGGTTTGAAATATAATTATGCTAAAGCCTAATGAATTTACACTAATTAGCCAAATTCTTACTCAATTGGTGGTCCAAATAGGCAACATAAAAGCGTTGGGAGAAAGCTTTTAAAACCATTGAAACCACCCCAAATATTTGAGAAACATCTGCCAAAGAAACACTGTTGGTATTTTTGTTACAAGTTATTCTAGTGCATTTATTATAACCCATCTCATGAATTTTTAAGGAAACCCTTTCCCTTGAAAGTTATACCATTTTTTCATATTTCTTTATATGTTTTTCCTGCTTCAGATTTCTTTTCAAATTCAGACAGTCCTTTCCAAGGTAAATGAGGGGGACTCCAATGAGAACATTCTCTAGGGTCTCCAGCAAAATCCAGGTCTTTTAATGTGTAAAATATGTTCATACTTCCCAATGGCTCACGGTATAATTAGAAAAACCCCAGGTGCTTCACCTGCACCATATAATATTTGAAAGAAAATGAAATTTCTTCTTTTCAAACAAAATGTCTACCACAAGTCTACATTAATTGACAAGCATTTCAGGTGAGACAGCATGGAAAAGAGATTCCTCTGGCTCTCAGAGTCTCCCTACACATCTGATTACACCACAGCTGTGCAGACTTAATGTCCTCCCCCCATGGGCAAATCAGAGACATGGAGGCCCATTACCCCATGTGGTCTGGGGAAATTATACTTACAGGGGATTGCATGAAGCTAAACCTCATGCCCAGGTCTCCAGGGGTGCCTGCTGTTACCCTCTTATATTCAATTTATATGACTGAATATTAAAAGACAATAAGCCAGTTGTGTGTCTTCCACCTGGATGTTTTGGGAAACTCCACGGCTATTAATCATTTGGTAACTTCTCAGTGTGCCAGCGTGAAGACAGCTGCACCAGGTAACCTCAGACGTGAAGCCTTCCCACAGGTTACGGTTGAATTAAAACCTGGTAGTTTGCAGTGACTCCGGAATGGAACAGAACAAATCTGATCAGCAAAGGGAGGGAACTCACACATTTGTTATCAGGCTCATAAGACTCTTTGAGTGACTCCTCCCACTGCCTCTGTTCCTTGGCAGGCAGGCACAAGAGACCAGTATTGAGAGGTACAGCAAGAAGGCAGGGTGTCCTGGTACCCCACAGATCTGGGTTCAAGCTCTGCCACTTATTCGCTTTCTGATCTTGTGACTGTTATCTAACTTTCTGTCATCAAAAAAAAAAAAAAGAGGAAAATAAAGAAAACCGTCACTATCATGCAAGTTTTTTGCAGGGCTTCTCAGCTTTGGCACTAGTGACATTTGTACTGGATAATTTCTTTGTCATGGGGGCTGTCCTGGGCATTGCAGGATGTTGAGCCACATCCCTGACTGTGCTGGGGAGAAATATGAGAAATAGATACTAATAGATACTTTCCAGAACACTGGACACCTAGCCCCACTCATTCCTGTCCCTCCACTTCAGTATTTTTGCAGAAATATGTTCTTACCTACCAGATGCCAGGAGCACCCCCAACCCCCCAACCCAGCTGTGACAACCAAAAATTCATCCAGACACTGCCAGTTCTCCCCTGAAGGGTAAAGTCATCCCCAATTGAGAACAGCTGGCTTATCGAGGGGATGAAGTTAACGTATCGGTAATGAGCTTTCCACAGAGTTGGTGTTTAGCAAAAGCACTTACCTTCCTCTCAAAGCCACTTAGTTTTCAGCAACCCATGTGCTGTGGCTGTATCTGCCCACTCCGCATGCACGCCCCCTTGCATGGAAACTGAACCGTGGTCACTATGTCATAACAAAGTCTTGGTGGGTCAGTCAAGATGCCCTGTTCTCCTTGGCTGAGGAGTGGACCTGTGAGCCAAGGGGCCTCTTAAATCCTTTCCCTGAAATGTGAGGGTCTACTGCAAGGGCCAAAGGACATGGGATGCTGCTTCAGTCCAATGGCCTCACATAAAAAGATCTCCACCAGTTCCTGCTACCAAAGCCCAGAGCTCCCCCGATACATGGCCGCCCCCCAAGACCTGGTGCATCCATTTCACTGTCAGTTCTAGGAGCTATGAGCTATGCATGCTTTTCAAATACATTCTTTGCTGACTTTTAACTTCATCCAAGTGGCTTTTAAATATTCAATCGAAGGCTTACTAAATGACATAATCAGTCTCTAAATGTGAGTAATGAGACAATAAGATGCCCTTGAAGGAGAAAGGAGGCATTACTGGATGGGGCTGTCGGTGGAGGCCAGGAAACACAAGGTTCCAACTTTGCATTTTTCTCTTCCTTTGCTGTTCAGTGTATGGCCTAACGCACTTTGGGGAGCAGCAGTATCAGCATCACCTGGGAGCAGAATCTCAGTCCCTCCCAGACCTGCTGGGATCCCGGGTGATTCCGATGCACAGAGTTGCTCCAGCACTCCCTCGAAGACTGAGCTAAAAAGCAATCAAGTGTCCTGGTTCCCACAGACTCCCCTTGGTAGGATGGCTGCGCCACGCAGAACTGACTGTGCTGGGGAGAAATATGAGAAATAGATACTAATAAAAAATTTAATTCTTTCCAGAACACTGGACACCTAGCCCCACTCATTCCTGTCCCTCCACTTAAGTATTTTTGCAGAAATATGTTCTTACCTAACATCTTGCATCAGCATTTTTTAAACCAGGTTTCACAATTCATTTTTAGATCATAAAATCAATTTATAGGTCATGACCAGTATTTTAAGTAACAAGCGACAGTAGAAGAGAAACTACAAAGCACCACATAGACTAAGTATTATTTGTAAACTTTGTTTTGAGAGAGCGTGTGTGTGTGTGTGTGTGTGTGTGTGTGTGTGTGTGTGTGTGTGTATTGGGGGTACATGGTTACAAAAAAAAAAAACTATTATATACTGTGAGAACCTGCCAAAAAGTTTGAAAGTCCTCATCTTTGACTATTACCAGAAATTCTTCCGAGAGAGCCACGTAAGAAGCATTTTTGTCCTCTTTCAATTGTTAGAATCACTCAAGAATGATGTTCATTTGGTTGCACGATGAGCAATCTGAATTTCTCCCATGATTTTAGGCCCCCAAAGAAGTTTGCTTCTTTCACTTGAAGGGGTGCTGTGGTTCATGGTGCTGGAAACATGAAAGGTAGGTAAGCTGCCATGGATACCTCTTTGCCTCAGGGCTAGAAGGCTCAGCATTCAGTTTTAAGCAAACTGAAGCGAGTTTCCTCAGTCAAAATCACGTATACCTATGTAACTAACCTGCACATTGTGCACATGTACTCTAAAACTTACTGTATAATAATAAAATAAAAAAAAATTTGAGACTGAGAAGTCTTCTATTGACTTTGTCTTAAGTGAATGATTTTCAAGTGTTTCTCTGCCTGTAATCTATGTAAGTACTATGTCGCACATTTCCTTTTTTGGATGCATTTGTAACATAATGTAATCAACCAAACCAACACTTAAAAACGAACGTCGAGAACTCCACTGGCCACCCAAACAAGGATGCTGAGAAAGGGAGGTGGGTACAGCCATACCTGAGGGGCTGTTCTCCCCACGCTCAGGAGACAGACTTTCCAAGCAGCACCATCTAACCTTTATGGAAGACTCGCTGTGTGCCCAACATTGTGTCAAGTGTTTTAGAGATTTCTCCCATTTCATGCTGAGAAGCATTCAATGACGTGGATACCAGATTCTCATTAGCTCCACTTCACAGATGAGAAACTGAAGCTCAGAGAGGAAAACAGCTTTCCCATCCATAAGGTTTATATCAATCTTACTTCCAACTCATCTTCTTAGTGACTGTCCCCCTCAGCCGGCCTCCCATCCACCATGAGCAGCAGGAGGTTCCCTGCTCTCCCCACATCCTACCACAGCCCTGGCTAGGAGGACACATTTTCCCCCTTCCCAGCAAGAAGTTTAAGTACAAGGCTGGCAATGATGGGTGATATTTATGACATAGCACACAAGCCTCCTTTTATCTTTTCCAATTCCTTTTGTTTATGTATCAAATGGAATAGCACTCACCCTCTTCAAAGGTGGAAGGAGAGGCAGTGATGTGGAATGAATCCTTCAGAAGTGGAATGTGATGGTGAGCTAAAGGTTTATTCAAATGAGAGTATAAGGACTGGTCACGTGCCTGTTATTTATAGCGTCACGATGTGCTCTGTGCCATTAACTTTTAATTAACTCAATTAGAGCAGAATGTCTGACACCACAACGCGCACATACAAACACCCCTGTTGGTGTCATGTTAAATTAATGTCTCTGAATGGCAGATTCTCTTCTTGCGTTAATGAGTTTGCCACCACGTCTCTGTTAATTGTCCCTGGCACCTATGTGTTGGCCACCTCTGAAAAGTGCCAATGGTCCGCAGTGCACATTTGATGCCAAAAAAGCCACATATCAGACAGAACACTGTGTACCCAATCTTTCACAGAGTGCCTTCCTCTCTTCTTGATCATCATCAGTAACAGTATTTGCAACACTCGGGTTTTACTGGCATATCTTTTTATTTCTAGACCAGTCACTGAAGCTGGCTAAACATCACTAGATATCTTTGAGTCTAATTTTTATTGCATACATTAAGAAGGTGCATCTTAATAAGCAGGAACCAGGACTGTTAAAGCAGGCCATTTCCAATAGGGTGCTGCAATTTCACATAGAATATACCTTTTATTGGCACATTTGCCTGAAAATATTGGTGGTAAAAATGTTTTTATATAGCCAGACTTTGGCTATGCCTCTGTAGAGCTATGCTTTCCAGCTAAATCAATTTCTTCACTCATCTTAATGAATGTGATTAGTATACGTTATTGTGTAAATCAGAAATAGCCCCCAAATAACCACTAATTTATACTTGCTTATAAAGACTCAGTTTAATTTATCACTTTATGCATTTAACCAAGAGTATGCAAGAATAAATTCTTCAAAATGATCAGTGTCATTAGAGAAATGCAAACCAATACCACATTGAGATACCATCTCACACCAGTTAGAATGACTAATATTAAAAAGTCAAAAAATAACAGATGCTGGTGAGGTATTAGAGAAAAAGGACTGCTTATACATTGTTGGTGGAAGTGTAAATGAGTTTAACCATTGTGGAAGATAGTATGGCGATTCCTCAAAGACCTAAAAATACAAATAGCGTTCAACCCAGCAATCCCATCACTGGGTATATACACAAAGGAATATAAATCATTCTATTATAAAGACACATGCACATGTATGTTCATTGCAGCACTATTCACAATAGCAAAGACATGGATTCAACTTAAATGCCCATCAATGGTAGACACGATAAAGAAAAGGTGGTACATATACGCCACACAATACTACTACACAGCCACAAATAAAATAAAATGATTAGTGCTGCTGGTGTGCAGCCTCACTGGAGTTTTTCTTCCTAACAGATTCATGGAGGAACCTTTCCCTGAGACATTTTCTTTTGTAAACTTTCTACATCATGGACCTACCATCAGGGAACGAAGATGGGTGGGACAAAGAAAGAAACCTAAAAGCTGAGCGGAGAGGAAAGAGGAAACCTCATCCATGAACTTTGGCCTTTGGGGTCTGCTTGAATACTCCTTATATAAATTTCTTATTCTGTCATTCTATTTTTAGTAAAAGAAAAAAAATACGATGAATTCTACTTGAGTTGCAGCTGTCTCGGCTTCTTTGAACCTTTCAAGCTCACCGTCGCTTTCTCTCCTCTTCGCCTGTGTATATTCTGTCTCTTTGTCCATGAAGCCCTACTGTCTTTTCTCCTACTCACCCTCGAGGAAGCAGGCTCAAATGCTACTTCTTCAAAGAAACCTTCCTCCATCCCCCAACTCAGGAAGGAAATCCCTTTCTGTATTCCTAGGTGCCTGTATGGTTCCTTCAAAATCAGTCATTACTTATCATTACTGGTTCAGTGTTTGCTTTCTTGCCAGGTAACAAATCCCAAGGGCAATGAGCTTTGCCTGCCCTCCTCACAACACACAGCATGCAGGCCCCAACATATAGCAGGCGAGCAACAAATTCTAATATTTGTAGGAGAGAGGGAAAGCCAGGGAGCATGAAGTCTAACAGGGGCCTGGGAACTATTTTTTTTTTTTTTTTTTTTTTTTGAGATGGAGTCTCGCTCCGTCGCCCAGGCTGGAGTGCAGTGGCGCGATCTCGGCTCACTGCAAGCTCCGCCTCCTGGGTTCATGCCATTCTCCTGCCTCAGCCTCCCAAGTAGCTGGGACTACAGGCAGCCGCCACCATGCCCGGCTAATTTTTTTTTTTTTTTTTTTTTGTATTTTAGTAGAGACGGGGTTTCACCGTGTTAGCCAGGATGGCCTCCATCTCCTGACCTCGTGATTCGCCCGCCTCAGCCTCCCAAAGTGCTGGGATTACAGGCGTGAGCCACCGTGCCTGGCCACTGGAAACTTCTTGAGGTCAGGGAACATATCCTTTTCATTGGAGGTGCCTAGGAAATTTTTTCTTTTAATATTTTGAAAGTCTATCTCTAATGCTCTTGTAGCCTCATTAGAACTCTGAGCTGACAATACTTAAAATGAAGACAAGGTTGGGTCCTGACGATCTCAGGGAATTAATTTCTTGTAAATATTTACTTATTTTTAAAAAATCACTTATGGGCCAAGTGTAGTGGTACATGCTCGTAATCCCAGCACTTTGGGAGGCTGAGGTGGGCAGATCACTTGAGCTCAAGAGCTTCAGACCAGCCTGGGCAACATGGCAAAATCCCATCTCTACAAAAAGTACAACAGTAGCTGGTCATGGTGGCACACGCCTGTAGTCCCAACTACTTGGAAGGCTAATGTGGGAGGCTCACTTCAGCTCAGGAAGTCAAGGCTGCAGTGAGCAAAGATGGTGCCACTGTACTTCAGCCTGGGTGACAAAATGAGACCCTGTCTCAAGAAAAAAATAATCACTTTTATTGAGCTAATTTATATATACCTATTTAATCCTCAGTGGCCCTAGGAAGTTGGGTCTGCATCAAATCTTCTTAGATTTGACCATAATCAAGCTGCCAACTCCTCCTTTTCTATGCCAACTATGTGCCAAGCTTAGTGCTAGGTATTTTACTGACATTGTCTCATGTCATCTTCAGAACCACCTTAGGAATTAAAAGCCAGTATCCTTATTTTGCAAATCAGGAGGCAGAAGAGTTACTCAGCAGCTCAATCAGGAAAAGGCAGAGTTGGGATGTGAACCCAGTCCTATCCACAGCATAGTGCCACTTTATTACCAATATTGAAAAGAGCATAATAAAAGTCACCCTAG